>NC_000016.10:81380682-82005682 GCF_000001405.40 Homo sapiens | reverse complement strand
TCTGAGTGCCCAGCCCTAGAAGGAATCAGATAGAAACTAATTAATAAAACAGAAGCCACAGAGTAGATGAAAATCAGGCAGCTGGTTGAAGAACAACTGTATATTCTCTTTTCTCCCTTCTGGCTTAGGATTCATGTGAATTTTGGGTGGGGGCAGGTCTGCAAAATGCGTTTGCTGAGATTTTTCTGTGCTTATCAATGTTGGGGATCAGGAAGGGAGGAGGCGGCTCCCAGCAGTGCAGCAGATGGCTACCATCCTGTGAAGGCTTTACTGGCCTGGTGGATAAGCTTTTTCCTTGCTGTTTATCTTGTTAAGTTATTAATTTTTCTTATCTTTCTCTTCTGACCCCCCCGATCAGGTCAGTTATACAAGTTTTTGCCTCAGATCATTCTGAAACTAGTTGGAAGGTAATGGAGTAGCATCACTAGGCCTGGCAGGTTTCTGAAGCATTAATAATCCGAAGTTGTATGTTCCTTACTTGATTAATGTGCACATGAACCATGATTGACCTATGGTCTTGTGACTGGACTGGAATGTGTAATTTTAAAACCAAAGACTAATTAAAGATAGGTATTTCCGTTGGAATGTTTTAATTGGGCTTTTGAAGGCCTTGTCCATTTTCAGAATTCCTTATGGTGGAATTCTTACAGAGATATTAAGAAGATCTTAAATTGTTATCTGACATCCTGTTTGTCAAAACTTTCAACCAGACAAGAACATTTCCAAAACTTACTGTTTCAATTAATGACATCATCTTCCTCAAAACATCACCTGGGTGCAGCACGCTGCCACCTCCTGCAGTTGTTCACCAGCCCTCACCCTGATTTCACCTGAGCACACTGGCCTTTTGTCCTCACTGGTAACCCGCTAGTCTAGAGCCACATCTCCCTTACCTGGACCCTGGCCCATTTCCTCCTCCAGGGGAAGCCTTCTCTTTCACAAGTACCAAGGTGGCCCCAACGGTTCATTGCTGTAAACCTACAAAGGCTTGTGTTGTCTGCAGAGTGGAATTCAATTAGCCAGGCATCATGGCACACGCCTGTAGTCCCAGCTACTCAGGATGCTGAGGTAGGAGGATCGCTTGAGGCCAGGAAATCAAGGTTGCAGTGAGCCGTGGTCACACCTCTGCACTATAGCCTGGGCAACAGAGTGAGACCTTGTCTCAAAGAGAAAAAAAGAATGGGATTCAAACTTTATGGAAGGGGACAGAAGCCTGTCTCCAGGCTCACCCCAGGCTGTCTTTTCACCCTCAAGCATCAGCTCCATGCTTCAGTTTGCACACCAGCCATGGCGGACTCACCATGTTAGCTGCCCAGCACAGCCTTCCCTGCATGTGATCCATTTATTCGTGGTGCACCCCCACCTGTGATAACCCTCCTTTCAGCCTACCTAGATCCTCCCATGGGCCCTGTAGTGCTAAAGCTCACTCTCCCATGATCTCTTCCTGATGTGCCCTGTCAGAATCAGTCTCCCCACCCCTCACCTTGGTTTCCCACCACACTTTGTTTATACCAACATTATAACAGTAGCGTTATTTTCATCTTTTTTGCCTTTTCCTTTTGGTATCTGTAGAAGCCTCTTTCTTATTTGTAAGCTCTGGAAAGCAGGACCTCTGTCTCGTTTGGGTTTGTATCTTTCATTTCATAACCCGGCACTTTTTAGGAGACATGTTATTGTTAAAATGGCAGTATTAATGTCTTGCAGAACAGCAGCTCTTAGACACTGCAGAGCCCTGGGTAATTTGTGCCCATCACAATTTTACTGAATTGGATATATTTTAGGGTGTTCAGAATAATCCATAGATTCAACAAATATTTATTGAGCATCTACTATGTTCTGGATTCTAGTAGGGACACCCCAGAAGGCAGAAGACCTCAGTTCTCATAGAACTTAACATTCTGTGGGAAGGAGATCAATAATAAAAAGTAAATAGTTTTAGATAGATAGCAAAATGTTCCATAGAGAAAACAAAGCAACATTTAGGGTACAGGCATCTGTGTTAGCTAGGGTGATCAGAGAAGTCTCTCTGAAGACTTGTCAGCAGACCTAAATATTGAGAAAGAAGCTTCCAGAAAAGGACCTAGTATACGATGTGTCACACTGAAGTGAGAACAGGAGGCACTAATGGGCTCAGCATCTTCAAGATAAGGAAAGTCTGTACGGTTGGAGCACGGAGTGCCAGTAGCAGAAGAGTGGGAAATTGTGACCAGGTCATGGAGGTGAACGTGGGAAGTCTGTATTGATATATCAGTAACTGATGTCTACTGTGTTGGGAAATAGCATTCATCATGAAGGGTTGTGAGTACACTAAAGAACAGAATTGACTGCATTTGGTTTTATGGCTACTCTAAATCCAAATGGGAGTGTTCTGCACTCAGAAAACAATAGAATCACAAGGTCACTGTTAGGTGCATTGAGGGAGTGCTGGCACATTCATTCTTCATGAATTTTCTTGAAAGCACAACCGTGGCAGTTGCTTAATGGAACCTTGGGAACTCATCAGCCATCCTCTGCCCCATTTTGCTCAGTTTCCCTAGTATTTCTCACTCTTCTCCATACCCTCAAACCACTGAGACAGTCACTTGCTGAACCTTGTCTTCACTTGTCACACTGACTGACTCTGCATAAGTGATCTGATTCGCTTCATTGGCAGTCTTAATACACTCACACAGGTATTCAGAAGAACTTACAAAACTCTTTGTAACCCTGTGCTTTTGAGAGATGTAGTCATGTCATGTGGAAATGTAATAAAATAGTTGGATCTCTAAACTCTGGAGTGTGAAAAAAGGGCAGCTCAAGGAATGACATCTGTGGAGTGCCCATACGGTGTCAGGTGTTTTGTTGGACATTTTTTGCACATTATCCCATGCAGTCTTCAGGCAGGCTTATTATCAGCTCCACTTTTAGATGAAGCAGCAGGTTCAGAGTGTTTAACACATGTGGTAAACACACAGTCCAAAATCACACAACTGGTAAGTGGACCCCAAAGTCCATTCTCTTTTCATTTAAGACTGTGTTTTAGTGGTTAAGAGTGCGGGCTCCTGGGGCCAAACTGCCATCGGGTGTGAATCCAGGTAAGCTTGGGCAAGTTTATTTACTGTCTCTGTGGTAATTCTCAGCTGAAAAACAGGATCTAATAGTACTTTCCTAGTAAGATTATTAAAAGGATTAAATGGCTAACATACACATAAAGCACTTAGCATGCTGCCTGGCCCTAGTAGTAAGCACTAGGTATGTGTTTGTTGTTATTATTTCCACTGTACCATGCTGCCTTTTTAGAAACTTTAGCATTCCTGTAACATAGCACAACACACAACCAGACAGAAGAGAAAAGTGAAATCTAGAGAAATGTCTTGGCCAAGATCACATAACCATTTAAGGGCGGAGGCGAGACGTCTTCACTGTGTATTCCTGTCCCCCATATTTTTTCTTTCTTTGTGCATGTACACTGACTTCACACTCATAGCCTCTCTGCCATACAAGCTCTTCATCCTGCATAGCCCTAACCTCTGCTGCTCCCGCTTCCCTCCTGTCTCCACACTCTTCCATGTTGAAGTCTACTTTTGTGGTGCAGTGGCTGCAGTCGTGGGTGCCTGGCTGGGAAAGAGAAATGGTAGGGCTCTTGATTGCTTGCAGTCTTCATGCCTAACCACACCTCTGAGTGTCTCTGTTGACTTGAGCACAGGTATATGTGTGTGTGTGTGTGTGTGTGTGTGTGTGTATACGCACCCAGTGCCTTTGAGGACCTGTGTGCTTCCTGTGGTTTTTTTTTTTTTTTTTTGAGATGGAGTCTTGCTCTGTCGCCCAGGCTAGAGTGCAGTGGCGCGATCTTCGCTCATTGCCAGCTACGCCTCCTGGGTTCACGCCATTCTCCTGCCTCAGCCTCCCGAGTAGCTGGGACTACAGGTGCCCGCCACCACGCCCGGCTAATTTTTTGTATTTTTAGTAGAGACGGGGTTTCACCGTGTTAGTCAGGATGGTCTCGATCTCCTGACCTCATGATCCGCCTGCCTCGGCCTCCCAAAGTGCTGGGATTACAAGTGTGAGCCACCGTGCCTGGCCTCTCTCCCTCCCACATGGAAGGAGTTGGGTGTCTTCATTTTTGCTTATTTAGTTTTGTTTTTGGGAGAAGGGGGCCTTGGAGCCTTGAAAGAAATGCGGGGAGGGCCACAGAAGAAGAGGGAGAGAGAAGTGGGATCCCCAAAGGCACTGAGCACTTGTACTTTAAGTACTTGCAAGATTTGCGGTGGGGGAGGTGGGGCATGGTTTGCTACATAAAGGAGTTTTTCCCCATATACATATTTTTTAAGTATAGGGTTAATAAAGCAGTATTAAACCATGCTGCAGTGCGAAATTTTAAAGAAAAGATGTTGGGAGCTTCCTTTAGAGTGCTCTCTAATTTTCTGATGCATGGGGGGGAAATGCCTCTTCCTACCAAATTTGAATCAATTATTTTCAAAAAGGCTCTAATCATTTTCAAGAATTTACAATAATGCCTTATGTTCGAAACGTTTTTTGTGGCTCTCAAAGCACTGCCAAGTACATTCTCTTATTTAACCTCCACATTAACCTTTTCAGGTGGGCAGAGCAGGTATTACTGTCCCCATGTTACATCGGGTGAAATTTGAAGCCCAGGAACTGAAGGGAAAGTAGCTAAATGACACAGCTGTGACCAGACCCAGACCTCACCTTTTCATTCTACTACAGCGTATTGACTTTTTGTTTTTGTTAGGTCAAAATTAGGGAGAATGACGTTTGCATTTGGATCAGTAACAGTGATGCATACTTCTTTCTTCAGGTCCAGTTATCTTTTGACTGCCACATATGGACCCCAAAAGATCTCAAAAGGAAAGTGTCCTCATTACAGGAGGAAGTGGCTATTTTGGTTTTCGGTAAGTGTATCTATAAAATATACACATGGAATTATTTTACTGGTAGTTGCCAGAAGCATTCAACTCTGACAGCAGAGCAGACTTTTACTTGTTTGTGTAATGTCAAACCAGAAATGATCTGTGTTGCCCACTGCTCAGACATTGCAGCTGAGAACTACAGGTATATTTCACTTAAAGAAAAATTATTTATAAAGCCATTAAATTGGGAGGGGTGACTATTCACATCACCAAAAACAATTTTAAATCATAGCTGTTCTTTCACAGTTATCTTATTATTCACAAATATTCCAAAGAATAGATAGTGGGCCCTAGAACCAAGGGGGAAAAATGCCACCATTCTTTGAAGATAAGGCCTCTCTCTTTGTAATTTAAGTAGATGAGAGGATTCTCACTTTTGAAAATTTGAAGAAGCGAGGCTTGCACCAAGGAACATGCATAGTGAGGGGCTCAGGATGAGCCAAGAAGACTTGGATCAGCCCCACCTTGATTGGTAAATTACTTTATACACTTCCCCTAGGCACAGCTTAAGAGTGACTTGATTCAACGTTTACTGTTTCTTATTTCAGCCTGGGCTGTGCCCTGAACCAAAATGGAGTCCATGTGATTCTGTTTGACATCAGCAGCCCTGCTCAAACCATTCCAGAAGGAATCAAGTTTATACAAGGAGACATCCGCCACCTGTCTGACGTAGAGAAAGCCTTCCAGGATGCAGACGTCACTTGTGTGTTCCATATTGCCTCTTATGGTATGTCAGGGCGGGAGCAACTCAATCGAAACCTGATCAAAGAAGTCAACGTCAGGGGCACAGACAACATCCTCCAGGTTTGCCAAAGGAGAAGGGTGCCCAGGTTAGTTTACACCAGCACTTTCAATGTCATCTTTGGAGGTCAAGTTATCAGAAATGGGGATGAATCTCTGCCCTACCTGCCTCTTCACCTCCACCCTGATCACTACTCTCGGACAAAGTCAATTGCAGAGCAGAAGGTGCTGGAGGCGAATGCTACACCCCTGGACAGAGGCGACGGTGTCTTAAGAACCTGCGCTCTGAGGCCAGCTGGCATCTATGGGCCTGGAGAACAAAGACACCTTCCCAGGATAGTCAGCTACATCGAGAAGGGTCTGTTCAAGTTTGTCTACGGGGACCCCAGGAGCCTGGTTGAGTTTGTCCACGTGGATAACTTGGTGCAGGCTCACATTCTGGCCTCAGAAGCCCTGAGAGCTGACAAGGGCCATATTGCCTCTGGGCAGCCCTACTTCATCTCAGATGGCAGACCCGTGAACAACTTTGAGTTCTTCCGGCCTCTGGTTGAGGGCCTGGGCTACACATTCCCGTCTACCCGCCTGCCATTGACCTTGGTCTACTGCTTTGCTTTTCTAACAGAGATGGTTCACTTCATTTTGGGTCGACTCTACAACTTCCAGCCCTTCCTCACTCGCACTGAAGTTTACAAAACTGGTGTCACACATTATTTTAGCTTAGAGAAAGCCAAGAAAGAGCTAGGTTATAAGGCTCAGCCATTTGACCTCCAGGAAGCAGTGGAATGGTTTAAAGCCCATGGTCATGGCAGAAGTTCTGGAAGTCGTGACTCGGAGTGTTTTGTTTGGGATGGGCTATTGGTCTTCCTCCTGATTATAGCAGTTCTCATGTGGCTGCCTTCTTCTGTGATTCTGTCACTGTGAAGGAGGGGCCAGAAATAAGGTGATCACAGTTGGCTGAGATGGTTCTCAAGAAACATGGGTTTTAAAATGTGTACAGTGATATCTGGTGCCAAACATTGGCTCTTCAAATTGCTACTTAAGAATAGGTTCTTGGATTGAATCTTTATGTCTTATTTCCTTGCACTAATCCAGATGGGAATGAAAAAGCAGAAGCAGAGATTAGTTTGAAATTTGATTTGTTATGTGCTTCTGTTTTAGGTGGGTACAATAGAAGTCAGTTTGGAGCCATAGAAGTAGGCTTAGTTGAGTTGGAGATGCCCATCTTGAATTTCTGAGAGGGCAAGATATACTTATTTCCATTTTATGCAGTCTGCATCTACCTAAAACCTCTGACTGATGTGGGAATGGCGAAACACTATCAGGCTTGAATGCGTGTGAAAAACACCAAATTGGCCCAGATCCCTAACAGAGCAATCCTCGAGGGGATGGTGGCTATTGCTGGAGAGGCATTAGCTATTCACAGGGTACGTTTTAGGTGTTAACTTTTGCCCTTTATGATATCAGGGCATTATGCCTATGTGAACACATGGTAATGTTTGATGTTTAGGCCTTTATTCTACCTCATAGGATTCTTTTGAGGATTAAATTCAAGCATACAAAGCGCTCCTCAACACACATAGCCATTCTTTTTATCAGAATTGTCATGGTACATTCCTTATGAGGGCTTTCTTCCTCAGTGTTCTCTTTAGAGGGCTATTGCTACTGGACTTTCTGCAATGTCTTTGGGTGTGCCCTCAGAGCCTGCAACAAGTGTATTTGGATATACTCTATTTGTAAAGTTTAGGCCTCTAAGAAGGCCACAATGAAGCAACTAAAAATCTGATGATTAAGGGAGTCAATCAAGCTGATGCCATTTTTAGTTTAAAAATGAAGCAGAGCTCTAAACTCATAGATGGGTTTTCTTACTGGGAAGAAGATTGGCTCTCTGAAGACAGCTTCCAATGAGGAATGTATTGAACAATGGCAGCACTGTCTGGCCACCCACAAACTGTTACAGATGATCCAGTTACACTGTTGCATAGGAACCCAAGTGGAAAGAAGACAGAGTCCATGTCTGTCCATGGCTCCAGCTACAGAAAGGATAGTATGGGAACATTACAAGGGGGATACATTACTGTGGAAAGTTCTGCTAGAGTTAGTCTTGAGAGTATCTGTAAAATACAAATAGATGAGCAATCCCTGTGGAATGCTGCCTGGATATTTTCAGAAAAGCTCTGAACTTGATGTCATAATACCAACACCGTGAATATCGTGTGTGGCCTTAACCAAGGAACAGAAGCCCTTTAGAACTTAGCTTCCTCACTTGGGAGCTGGGACTGACTGCATTTGCCCTTTGTATAAACCCACCCACCCCATAGGGTTCACTGGGAGCATAAAGCAAGATGTGGTGAAAGTACTTCTAATATAAATTGCAACATCAGTATGAGGTGATGGTAGTGATTGTTTTTAGGAAAACGTGTTTGGAGTCTTTTCTGTCATAAAGAAGCTTTTGCATTAGCCTGGGGTTAACGCATATGAGCACCTGCCATGTATTGTTCTAGAACTGCTTGAATATCCTCATCCCCAGAGCAGGTCATCCAAGACAGCAGGGTGGAAGCTGCATTGTCCTTTATGACTTGGCCTCAAATGTCACAGTGTCATTCCACAGTATATTGGTTATGCAGGTCAATCCTATTCAGTAGGGGAAGGAAATACACAAAGGTATTTCCGTATTATACCAGAAGAGGGAGATGGTCAAAGGCGATCTTGGAGGCTGAGCTCTTGGCCCGATGTGAGTCATCCTTCCTTTTCCATGAAACGTTGCCCACATTTCCAGCTACAAAGCTTTTTCTGCCTGCTTCTTGCCAGAAGGATTTTAGGGGCCCAACGGCTGTGTTAACATTTTGCACTATATCCCTTTCCATTCAAGCTGGCAGTGGTACTGGGAACATTATTTTGAATGCGTCACCTGAGTCTTATTGCAGTTCACTCACAAAAGCCACACCCACAAATCTCTGAGGTAAGTTCTCCACTGTGAGCTTCTGCTCAGACTGCCAAGGGACAATACGCTGTGCTTCTTAGAAGCCTTACTGTCTGAACAGCTCTCTGGGGTGCCACATCAGGCCTTTCTGAGATCTTAAAAAGATTTTATACTCACAGCCACAGCCATGCACTGTCGTTTCCACAGTCTCGGGTGTTTACACAGGTTAGCCGTATTCAGTGTGGGAGGAGACTACACAAGGATATGAATACCAGGAGGTGGTGTCATTGGAGGCCAACGTGGAACCTGGCTACCACATTCCTGCTTCCATATCTCCCCAATTCTGTTACTGTCTCCCACTCCAGCTTGAAATGGTAGATTTTCTCAGTGCTCATTCCTTGGCCCTGTTCTAATACCATACTTTCTCCCTAGGTGAGCTCACCTAAGCCCATGGCCTCCATTTTCATCTCCCAGCCCAAATATGTACTACTAGATGTACAGTTCCAGACCACTCCTGGGCTCCAGACTCATATCTAAGTACTTCTGCAACTCCACATGGATGTCCCACATGCACCTGTCAGCCAGTGTAGCCAAAGTGGAATTCATAATCCTCTCCCACCCCAAATTCTTACAGGGCTCCCTTCCTTAGTAAATATCTCCACTACCTGCTGAATTTCCCATCCCAGAGATCTGGGATAATCCCTGACCCCTGCCCTCTCCCAGACTTGACACACCTAACCCATGTTTAAGCCAGTTGATTTTTACTTGTAATCATGCCTTAAAACTGCCCAAGGTATAGGTGTACCTTCTCTCCCATAGATTCCACTAGTAGCCCATTTGCTCTTCCACCCATATCCACACCCTCCTTCCTTCAGTCCATTCTCCACATGCCTAGCCAAGAGACTCTATAAAGGTGCAAATCTTTTGTCACTTCTCTGCTGAAAACTTTCCTTAGGTTGAGAATCTTTAACGTGATCAAGAGGCTTTGTCTGAACTGGCCCCTTGCCTGTCTCTCTAACTTCATCTCACATTATTCTGCCTTCTCTGCCCCAATTACACTGACCTTTTTTAGGTTCCTGGGCTCCAAGCTTCTCAGGCTCCCTGCTCCTCCTTTTGGCCTGAATAATGTTTATTTCGTGTCTCTTGTTAAGTCTCTTTCTAGAGGCCTTCACTGATCCCAGCAATTTAAGATTGGTGCTCCTGCTACAAATGATGCTACAGGCCTGTCATAGCTTCCTGCCTTTCTTTTATAGCATTGCTCATAACTGTAAACATTTGTACGGTTATTTGTTTAATGCCTGTTAGCTCTATGAGGGTGGGAACTTTGTCTTGCTTACAGCTGTACTCCTAATGCCCGGCACAGTGCAGGAGTTCAATAAGTATTTGTCCAATGAATGCTGTTTTCCCATCTGCTATGGATGAACACTCTTTTCTAGCACACAGATAACTCACTGTTTCTAATCTTTTGGAGACTGGGGAAAATAGCCAACCTACACTAGAACTGTCGTAACTAAGTCAAGATTAGATGAGGTCTAGTGAGTAAGGGAAGTCATTGTCTATATGATCTGGTGGAGTATTAATGCTATAAGGAGGTCAGGGAATGGGGAAGGAATGTGGGCCAAGTGATTTGTGCTCCCTCCACATCTCAGCTGAAAACTCACCACTTTAAAAGACTTAGTCTATTTCCTGAAAGGGAGCTCCCCTTCCTTTCTATGGTCAGGAGACGCTGCAGTTAAGAAATTCTATTAGTTCTAGGGTTCCCAGCTGCCCTCACCTTGCCTCAACCTTAGATTGAATCACTCAACCCTGCCTAACAATAAAATTATGCTCACACTTGTGCACTTGGGGATGCTCTCAGAGGTCTGGGCAGAAGCCACCCAGCACTGCTACCTCACCCATGGCTTCTGAGGAGTGTGTGGGAGGTTATCCATATGATTGATGGAGGGTCGCAATGAAGGAAGGATGTGTGAGCAACAAGGAGCCCTGTATTGGAACCTAAAGGTAATGCCCAAACTGCTCCCACCTGCAAAAAGGGAAGAGCGGTCTGGAAAGCCTGTTGGAAATACTTCTTGGATGTCCTCAGTGCCGTTTCTGGTGACAGGGGCAGACAGTGCCACATTACAAGCAGTAACAGTTAGTGGAGGGTCAAATAACTCATTCTGGCACCAAATTACCTATGCTGTGGTGTTTCTCAAACCTAGGGAATAGGCCTAGGGATTCTTTTCAAGAAAATGTTTTATTTTCCTCAACCATCTAACATGGTGTATAAAAGAGGCAAGTGTTGCTTTGTCGTAGATTGTTGGGGCTGCTTCTACCTTGTATTGCTTTCCAAATCTCCGGTTCGCCCAGCCTTACAAAGGGTAGAAGTTGCCTGCAGAATGCCACGCCCCAGCTCTGACCCAATTAGACATCATTATAGGGCCACTGGTGCCCCTGCTGGCTGGCCTTGGAAGCCAGCACCAGCAATGTTATTAAAATCTTCACCAGCATCTCTTGCTTAGAGATGGCACACCAGGTTGTGTGCTGTTCACCAGCATATCTCACTTTAGAGAATGATACCCCATGCTCCTTTTTGGTGACAAAAAGTCCCTCCCAGCCCTTTCGTGGGGCTGACCTCCACATGCAGGCCTGACCGCTCACAGGACTTCCATCCTTCGGCCGCAGTCATTGGGCCACGATGGGCCAGTCAGCGTCATCCTTTCAGCCTTTCTCCCAGAGCAGGTTTAGAGAAACCCTTTCAGCTAGGATTGCTTCTCTGGGGAGGACAGGCGCTTGGTGCAGCTCCTCTTCAGGGTCCTCCTACCTGAAGGAGAGGACCGAGTGCTGATGATGTTTGGGCTGCTGGGTCCAGCTATGTGTTAAGAAGAGCCAAAAAATGGAGAGGGAGGAGGTCCTGGTGACTACACTGGGGTTCCGTAACGCTGCCTGCGGGACGCTCATCATTCCAGATCGTCCTCTCACGTGAGTCTTCAGTTCACTTTCTTTTCTGCTTAAGGTCCTTTAAGTTCGATTTTTCTCCAGGAATCGCAGCATGTCCTGGTGTGCCATGTCCACAGTCCACTCCTGGGTACAGGTGATCCTACCCCGTGGTTTCCAAAGGCAGCCTCTCCACTCACCTCTGTGCCCTCTTTCTTTCAAACGGGGGTCGTCTTTTGGTCCCTGGGTAATTTAACATTTGCTGGAGTTTTTCTTAAAAAATGAGATTGATTTCCTTTTCTAGAATCATGTTTATTTGAATTACGTTTATTCAAATCATGTATATTTGGCACCAACATACCTTTAAGCAGAGTAGTTCAAACTCTTGTTTTATATGGAAATTGTTTGATGAAGTGATTTGCTCCCCAGAACATAAACGCCCCATGAGAGCAGGAACCATGTCTGTTTTTTCTACTTCTGTACCCTTCATATGCCCAATAAATGCTTGTTGACGGGGTGAATGCACTTATCAGCCAGGTGGTCCCTTATCTGAAATTACAGCTGATTCCCCAGTTATTGCTTCTTTTACACCTGAGACTCCCAGCCTGAGGCAATAAGAACATTCAAGGCCTAAATTAAAAATGCAGACTCCAGAAGGGTGACATCATGTAAAACGGCAGAGTAGGAAGCTCTGGAATCGGTCCTTTCACTGTAACAACCAGAAAAGCACGGGGGCAGGGGAATGATCAGAACCAATGATTTCAGGAACTCCTTACATCTATTTTACCTCGATATACAGACTCCAGACTCTTCCCTGATGCTTCTGATTGAGAAAGTCTGTGTTGGTTGGTAATCTGCACTCTAGGTGTTTCTTATCTTTCAACAAGGAGGTGAGCACTGGTGCCAGATACTAAACACTGGCTCCCTTGCAAGATGCTGAGAGGCTCCTGACTTCTGCTTGGCTCTTCCCTTTGCAGTGCTTTGCTACAGCAGGTGCTCAGTACAACTTTGCTGAATGAATGAAGGGGGAGATGGGACTCGCCAAAGGGCCTTGGATTCGAGTGACCCCCCACCTGCTCCTTTATGCAGGGCCCAGTTCTTTGTTGACACAGACAAGCACTGCTACGTCCCAGTGCTGACTTTTCCAGCCAACCTAGAGCCTCTTTTTCTTGAGCCAAAGGGATTCTTTGGCAACACATCTTGTTGTGCCTGGTTACCTGATCTTTTAGTGTAAAACAGCCTTTTGCTATTGAAAATCAAACCAGAAATAGAGTCAACCAGTCCCTGGTATCTCTAAGTTGTGCAAATTCATACCATGTTACCCTTCTGTATTTTAGAACCTGGGCACACCAGGAACTCATTGAACTCAAGTTGCGTTCATAATTACTTGAGTTCATTGAACTCAAGTAATTATGACCGAGGCCAAATCTAGTTCACTACAAAGAAATTGCATGTAGCAAAGTGATCCAGGCAAGTGTCTTTCAACCAACAGGGGATTTATCAGCAGTAATTCGCAATGTTTATTTTTAACAGCTGGTTAAAGCATGCAAGTAATTAAAAAATTCTTCATTACTAATATGCAAGATTTTAATCTTGGCAAGTATTCTACATATCTTTTGCTCTAGCCTCCCAGTGGAGCCATATTTCAGATCCAAGAGTAAAATACTGTCTTACCCATATATATATTTTAACATATGTATATATGTTATAAGAATGAGTCGTCTTTTGCTCTTAACAGTCACTAGGAGTTAGTGTCCTGAATAGATAATAATAAGTCTGAAATGTTGCCCAGGTTTTAAGGGGAATTATTTGCACATTGCTGGGCAATTACAACACCCCCACTCCACTGATTTATAGTCCTGTGCCTTTCATAGGGGATTTAGCTTCTGGGAATGTTCAACATGAAGCTAATGATCAATATTAACCTGTCACCCTAGTTAACTAAATTACTCAAAGATGAACATTGTTAATAGTTAATTGCTACTATTTGTTGAGAGTTTACTCAGGATAAGGCTTTCTAATTTTTTTTTCTTTTTTTTGAGATGGAGTTTTGCTCTTGTTGCCCAGGCTGGAGTGCAATGGCGTGATCTCAGCTCACTGCAACCTCCACCTCCTGGGTTCAAGCGATTCTTCTGCCTCAGCCTCCTGAGTCAATAGGATTACAGGCGCCCACCACCACAACCGGCTAATTTTTGTTTAATTAGCGGTGATTTGGGGTTTCGCCATGTTGGCCAGGCTGGTCTCAAACTCCTGACTTCAGGTGATCCACCTGAGGCTTTCTTTATTTCTTAGGCTTATTTAGCTTTCTTAATGTCTTTAAGAAACAGATCAATTTATTATCTCCAGTTTACATGGGAGGAAACTGAGGCTTAGGGAGATGCAGTACCTTGCCCAAGGGTACCCAGCGTCACCAGCTAGGAAGTGGCAAAACTTAAATTTGAGCCAGGTTTACTTGAATCCAAGACCAAATTTTTTTTTTTTTTTTTTTGATAGAGTCTCGTCTGTCACCCAGGCTAGAGTACAGTGGCACAGTCATGGCTCACTGTTGGCTCGAACTCCTGGGCTCAAATGATTGTCCTACCTCAGCCTCCCAAGTAACTGGGACTACAGGTGCATGCCACCACATCCAGCTTTTATTTTCTGTAGAGACGGTGTTTCACTATGTTACCTGGGCTGGTCTTGAATTCCTTGCCCCAAGCAATCCTCTTGCCTCGGCCTCCCAAAGTGCTGGGATTACAGGTATGAGCCACCGAGCCTGGCCCAAACTCTTACCTTGTTGGAGGTGGTTTTATCACGTTAGCATGACATTATTCAAGGCTAAGTGTTACTCGAACTTCATTTGCAATTAAAGTAAACTATTTGTTACAAAAAATGAGTAACTGTAAATAGTGACTTCTGCTACACAAACTAAGTTACAGAAGCAAACCATTATTTTGTCATGTGAGTATGTATTACGTAGAGCTGAGGTGTGTGGGCGGGGGGTGCTGTTAATCTACTGGAATTCCATGTATTTTGTGAGGAGCATGGATGTTAGAGCCATACTTAATAGCCCAGAGGACATCCTCCAGGAAGACTTGTTTGTGTACCTAATCAAATACTGATATTGGTCACATTGCACATGTCCTAGTCTCTCCTCTAAATCAGTATCTTGAGAGCAGAGCCCAAGTATTATTCGCTGCTGATGGCTCTTTGCCTCCCCTGCAGTCTTACACTATTCTGGGCGTGGAGCACAGACCTAATAAAAATCTTTCGAAGTAATGAAAATGCAAAGTCCAGCCTGTAGAGGTGCCCTTAGATGTTTAAATTCTCCCAAAGAAGGGTGAACTTTTTACAAAGCACTTCACAGTGGAAGTGTCTCTGAGCACAGCAAATACCTTAAGTTTGGGCCCAAGTGGAAAAGAAATATTTGGTAGTGGGTGATTATAGCCCTTCAGTGCTCAAGGGACTCATGCATTTGCTTGCACTTCCTTATGCCTGTCCTGGAGCCATCTCTTATTTGCAATGTGACTTTGAGCAAATGCCTCTCATCTGTAAAGTGGAGATAAAACATTCCCTGCTTATCTCTTGGGGGAACTTGTATGGATTTAATGGCACAGAGGCCTTTTGTAACCTGTACAAGAACTATGCACATGGATCCTTAATTAATAGTGTTTCTGCTGGGAAAGATGGAAGGGTTTGGAGGGGAAGCTGGTGTCTACAGGAAGAGATGCAAGACATGCTAGTGGAGTTTGAGACGTTCAAATGGAATGTTCAGTAACTAATTAGCAACATAAGACTGTAGTTTGAAAAAAACAACTGCATATGCGGGTAGAGATGGTTCAGTGAAAATGTTTCATTGATTTCCTGCCATATAACAGGTATTAGTTTATTTACCGTGGCTTTTCTTTTTTTCTTTTGAGACATGGTGTCACTCTGTCGACCAGGCTGAAGTGTAGCACTGTGGACACAGCTCACTGCTGCAGTGCCCTCCTGGGCTCAGGTGATCCTCCTAAGTAGCTAGAACCACAGGTGCACCAGCACACCTAGCTAATTTTTCTGTCGTCTTTTGTAGAGACAGGGTCTCACCGTTTTGCCCAGGCTGGTCTCAAACTCCTGGCCTTAGGTGATCCTCCTTCCTCAGTCTCCCAAAGTGGTGAGATTACAGGAATGAGCCACCGTGCCCAGCCTACCATGTTTTTTTTGTTTGTTTGTCTGTTTCAGACGGAGTTTTGGTCTTGTGGCCCAGGCTGGAGTGCAGTGGCACAATCTTGGCTCACTGCAACCTCCGCCTCCCAGGTTCGAGTAATTCTCCTGCCTCAGCCTCCCAAGTAGGTGGGATTACAGGTGCCCGCCACCACGCTCAGCTAATTTTTGTATTTTTAGTAGAGATGGGGTTTCACCATGTCAGCCGTGATGGTATCGAACTCCTGAGCTCAGGTGATCCACCCACCTCGGCCTCCCAAAGTGCTGGGATTACAGGCTTGATACCATGGTTTTCAATTACTCAATTCAGTCACGTTTTGAGCTCTAAACTGAAAATGAGTTTTTCTTTTCTTGAGATTGCAGAGTCAATTACACCATGCTAGAGAACAAGTAGGCATCTATGCCTCTCTGCTCTAAATTTTGATGTCTATAAACACCCATAGCGGTGTGTGTTGGTTTTAAATTGTGGGGCTAGAAAGCCAACCCAAAATCATCAAGCTTTTATTTCTACACATTCAGAGTGCTTCTGTGTAACTTAGATTTAAAAGTAACTATACAAATAATGCATAGATGTATTTTTCTTATATAATGTTAAAATATTACGGATAAGGCCAAAGACCCCTTTTACTAATGTCCCCAAATTTCATATATGTATATATTTGTATAGAAAACAGGGCTGTGGTGTTCATGTCTTTCCCCATACTACTGTCTCCCACCTCACAGTTCCTTCTGCTACTACGGTTTCTCACTCAATAGTACAGCATGGTGATCTATTGATATTAGTATATATTCTTTATTTGCTGACATAGGAGGTCACCGGGTATATAAAGATGATAAGCATATGTCCTAGTTGGCCTAAGACAGTTCTGGTTTCATGCCTGTAGTCCCACCTTAATTTTTAATAGTGCTTCCTTTCACTCTCAGGTATGTCCCATTTTGTATAATAAATTGTACGATCACCCTATATATAAGACACATAGTTATATGAAGAATTAAGCATTTTTCATAACAGATGTATTAGAAGTTATTGTGAACTGATTTTGAGGGGAAAAAATCTCATTTTGTACTAGAATAGAATATAGTAGAAAATCCTGAATTCTGGGTATGTAGCAGTATTCTACCAACATTGAAATATTAATAAAAAATTACCTAAAGAAAATCTTATGTATAGTTTTTCAGTGCTTCTTTTGTGTATCCCTCAGCAAAATAGATTTACTGGTGGAAGAGTAGATGATCTGACACGCGGTCGTATGAAAGCAAACACTGGTTCGGTGGTTCACCGAACACTGGTAACTAGGAAAGACACAAAATAAAATATATCTGAACGAATTCCTCTACAGCACATGCAAAATAAAGCTAATATCAGTAGCAAACTATAATAAATTTGAATAAATTCCTCTGCAAGTAGCCATTGAACATGTAAAAGAATAAATATTTAGTCAATATTGGTACAAATTATGCAGCATAATACACTAGAAAGAATTCCAGTATCAACCTTGCGAAGGCAGCAAATTTAACTATATCACAGAACACTACAGTATTCAAGAAGCAAAAAGGAAAACATTTCGGTGAATTCAAATGGAACTTGATTTTCCAGTAAGTATAGCAACATCAGTCCAAAAGCATTTGTGAAATGCATCATATATGTTTTGCTTTTCATTTTCTCCAAACCTAAAAAGCCATCTAAAATGCCTGAGTATAGGTAATTCTCCTTATACTTAGCCGTCATTGTGTTAGTGATAGAGTCGATAACAGCCTCAAACAACCTCCTTCAATTGTCCTTCACAATGTTGTGGTTATTACTTCAGTAATTTTACTGCCTCAAACCTAGTAAACAAATAACATGGCTTTGCCTCGGCCAGCCCTATTAAGAACAGAGGTTAGGAACAGGTGGCACTGCCAGCTCCCACCCCTACCCCAGGCTGCCCAAGAAACCTGTCGTTCCCCAGCTGTTGATAGAGTCCTGTGTGCCACATCAGAACTTTCCTAACTTCTGCTGTCCACCTACCTCTGATTATGCTTCATGTACCTCCCCAACTTCCCTGCCAGTCTCCCAGGCATAGGCATGACTCATCTACCAGCAAAGGTGAAATCTGAGTTGGTAGATCTAACGCCTGGACTGCCTTTCCATTCCCCACCCTGGACACACATTCAGGGCACAACTGGCGCCAAGGAAGGAGGCTCAGTATGTGAGCTGGGTGGCGCCTGGCCTAGAGCTTGCCTTTGTAAGAACACTAGATGATTGCTACTTTCTCAAACAACGATGGCATAGAATATGTCTTATTTATGGCCATCAGATAAGGTAGATATACCTAGTTCTTAACAGCTGAACAGCATTCCATAGTGTAAATGTACCATGGTAGATTAAGGCATTTCCTTATTGGTGTTTATTCCGTTTGTTTCTAGCTTGCCACCTTATCAGACAGCACAGGCATGGATGCTCTTATATATATATATCTCCTTACATCCACGTTGAAATGAGCTGCTAGGATAGACATCCAGAAGTGGAATTAGAATTTTAATAGGGACTACTGTATCAGACATGCATTCAGCTGCGCATTTAAAAATTATTAACAGTGCCTTGAACAGTAGTTTGTTGTTTTCATGTAACAAGGGGTCCGGAAGTAGGCATACGTGGGATGACGCAGCTCAGTGGTAACATCAGGGACTGGCCCCATCTTTCGGCTCTGTTGGATCCTCATTCTAATGATTCTCACCGCGTGATTCTGAGAAGGTGGCTGCACCCTCAGGCATTATTACAGGCAAGAAGAAAAGGGAAGATAAACAAGGCCAAAGGGAAATGCCAGCTGGGTCTATTTCTTTTAAAAAGCCTTCCTGAAAGCCGACTCCAATTTCTTCTACTGGAAATGAGGGAGGAAGATGGGATTATAGGTGGGGCTTGAGTCAGCCATACTGTTCATCCGCTTCCAAAGTGGCTGTACAAATTTACCCTCCCACCAGAGTTCCTAGTGCCTCCATACCATTTCCAGAACTACCTTACATTTCCATATTTGCCAATCTCATGAGTTTTTTAATATCTCATTTTTTAAAACCTACCCTTTGTAATTACTACTCGAGAGCATCTTGCCAGGTATCTGTTAGACCTTGAGTTTCCTCTTATGTGAATTTCATAGTCATATTTTCCCCTACTTCTCTATTGGGTTGCTCATCATCTTTGCATGGATTTGTAGGATGTAAAAGACGTAACATCTTCTATCATGTAAATCATGGATAGTTTCTCTCTCCCCAACAGTTGCCTTTTAACTTAGTTTCAATTGTCTTTTTAATTATAGTAGTTTTAATTTTGTTGCTAAATTAATCATGGGGGGTTATATTTGTTTATGAAGGTCTTTCCCATTCTGAAGAAATAGATATTGTATGTTTTCTTTTAATAGCTTTAAAGTTTTATTTTTTACCTGTTTACCTTTATCTGGTATTTAGTTTTGTGCATGAGGTGAAGATCTAACCTGGTATTTTCTAAGTGAACAGTCAATTGTCTCAACATAATTTATTAATAATTATCTTTCTACTGAATTCAAATTCTCCCTATTCCCTCTCCTTCTCCTCAAGTTTATCTTTTACTGTGAAGATAACACAACTTCAGCTATTAAGGATTTATTAGGTCTTTTATATTTGCTAAGACATATCCCCACTCAATTTCATTTCATAATTGCAGGCTGTTTATATATACATTTTCCATATCCCTTTTAGAATCAGGTTTTATAGTTCTATGAAAATCTTGAGGGTATTTTTTCAACTGGGTTTGCTTTAATATTACAGTTAAATTTGGAGAGAATTGACATGTACAGTTTTGAGGCGTTGCCTTCATAAACATGGTATACGTCTCCATTTAGTTTTGTGTCCATTTATGAATCTCCATTTATGAATCTTCTGCAAATGATTTTTTTTTCTGAGACAGAGTATCGGAGTATCACTCTGTCGCCCAGGCTGGAGTGTGGTGGGGCAATGTCGGCTCACTGCAACCTCCACCTCCTGGGTTCAAGCGATTCTCCGGCCTCAGCCTCCCGAGTAGCTGGGACTACAGGCATACACCACCATGACCAGCTAATTTTTGTATTTTTAGTAGAGACAGCATTTAGCCATTTTGGCCAGGCTGGTCTCATACTCCTGACCTCCAGTGATCTGCCCACCTCGGCCTCCCAAAGTGCTGGGATTACAGGTGTGAGCAACCATGCCTAGCCAAGATTCTGCGTTTTCTATGTTAAGGTCTTGGATATCTTTTGTTAAGTTTATTCTAGGTAATTTAAGGTTATTATTTCTACTATTGTGAATATCTTTTTATTAGAATTATTCTAATGAGTTACTGATGATAAATGGAAGTATATTTGAATTTTATACATTGATTTTTATATCTAACTTGCCTTAATATATTGTTACTGGTTCTGCAAGTTAGCTCATTTTTCTTGAGGTTTCTAGGTAGATGGTTATAGCCATTCATAAATAATGACAATTTCATCTCCTTTCCAATTTTTATCTTAGTTCTTTTCTTGCTTATTGCTTTGGCCAGGATATCCTGTATAATATTAAATAATAGCAGTATAGTGGACAACCTTTGTTTATTCTAAGTGATGGTATTGTTTCCATATTTATCAAGCATGAAGTTCTGTGTAGGTAGGTTTCTGGTAGTTACCCTTCATCAAGTTGAGGCAGTATTCTTTACTTAGTTTGCTAAAAAAAAAATTTGTTTCTGGGTTTTTTTCTTTAATAATTTCAACTTTTATTTTAGATTCGGGGGTGCATGTACAGATTTGTTACATGAGTATATTGAATGATGCTTAGGTTTGGAATATGAATGATCCCATCATCGAGATAGCACAGGCCAGGTGCGTTGGTTCATGCCTGTAATCCCAGCGCTTTGGGAGGCTGAGGCAGGGGATCACATCAGGCCAAGAGTTCAAGACCAGCCTGGCCAACATGGCAAAACCCCTTCTCTACTAAAAATACAAAAATTAGCCGAGTGTGGTGGCACACATCTGTAATCCCAGCTACTCGGGAGGCTGAGGCATGAGAATCGCTTGAGCCCAGGAGGCAGAGGTTGGTTGCAGTGAGCCAAGATCGTGCCACTGCCCTCCAGCCTGGGTGACGGAGTGAGACTCTGTCTCAAAAAACAAAACAAAACAAAAACAGATAGCACAGTACTCAACAGTTAATTTTCCAACCCTTGCCCTCCTCTTACCCTCCCCACCTCTATTAGTCCTCAGTGTCTATTGTTGCCATCTTTATGTCCATGGGTATTCACTTATAACTCCCACCTATAAGTGAGAATGTGTGGTATTTGGTTTTCTGTTGCTGCATTAATTTGCTCAGGATTTTGGCCTAAGCTGCATCCGTGTTTCTTCAAGGGATGTGACTTTGTTCTTCTTATAGCTGTGTGGTACTCCACGTTGTATATGTACCACTTTTTTTTATCCAGTTCATGGTCGATTGGCATCTAGGTTGATTCCGTGTCTTTGCTATTGTGACTAGTGCTGCAGTGAACATACGAGTGCATGTGTCTTTATGGCAGAATGACTTACATTCCTTTGGGTACTTGCGCAGCGATGGAATTGCAGTCAAGTTGTAGTACTGTTTTAAGTTCTTTGAGAAATCTCCAAACTGCTTTACACAGTGGCTGAACTAATTTACATTCCCACCAAAAATATATAAGCATTCCCTTTTCTCCATAGCCTCACCAGCATCTGTTGTTTTGGGACTTTTTAATAATAGGTATTTTGACTGGTGTGAGATGGTATCTCATTATGGTTTTGGTTCGCATTTCTCTAATTAGTGATGTTCAGCATTTTTTCATGTTTGTATGCCACTCATATGTTTTCTTTTGAGAAATGTTTGTGCATGTCCTTTGCCCACTCATTTTAATGGGGTTGTGTTTTGCTCGTTGAACTGTTTAAGTTTCTTATAGATATTAGACCTTTGTTGGATGCATAGTTGGTGAATATTTTCTCCCACTCTGTAGATTGGTCTTTAATTGCTTCTGAGGACTTAGACGTAAATCTTTCCCATGCTGATGTCTAAAATCCTGTTTCCTAGGTTTTCTTCCAAGATTCTGGTAGTTTGATGTCTTACATTTTAGTAAGTCTTTAATCCATCTTGAATTAATTTTTTTATATGGTGAAAGATAGGGGGGGTCCAGTTCCATCCTTCTGCATATGGCTATCCAGGTATCCTAGCACCATTTATTGCATCTTTCCTCATTGCTTTTGTCAACATTGTTGAAGATCAGATGGCTGTAGGTGCACAGCTTTATTTCTGGGTTCTCTATTATGTTCACTTGGTCTGTGTGCCTTTTTTTGTACCAGTACCATGCTCTTTTGGTTACTGTAGTCTTAAAGTTTGAAGTTGAGTAACATGGTGCCTCTAGCTTTGTTCTTTTTGCTTAAGATTGCTTTGGCTATTCAGGCTCTCTTTGGGTTCCATACGAATTTTAGAATAGTTTTTTCTACTTCTGTGAAAAGTGATGTTGATAGTTTGATAGGAATACCAACGAATCTGCAGACTGCTTTGGGACGTGTGGCAGTTGTAATGATACTGATTCTTCCAACCTTTGAGCATGGAATGTTTGTCCATTTGTTTGTTTCATCTGTGATTTCTTTCAGCAGTGTTTTGTAGCACTCTTTGTAGAGATGTTTCAACTTATTGGTTATATGTATTCCTAGGTATTTCATTTTGTGTGTGTGGCTATTCTAAATGGGATTGCATTCTTGATTTGGCTCTCAGCTTGAACATTATTGGTGTATAGAAATGCTTCTGATTGTTGTACATTGATTTTGTATCCTGAAACTTTGCTGAAGTTGTTTATCCATTCCAGGAGCCTTTTGATGGAGTCTTTAGGGTTTTCTAGGTATAGAATCATATCATTCAGAAAGAGAGACTGACTTATTCTTTTCCTATTGGTATGCTTTTTATATTTTTTTATTGGGCCTGATTGCACTGACAGACTTCCAGTACTGTGTTTAATAGGAATGGTGAAAGTTGGCATCCTATGTTGTTCTAGTTCTCATGGTAAATGCTTCCAGCTTTCGCCCATTCAATATGATGTTAAAGCTGTGGGTTTGCCATCAATGGCTCTTATTCTTTTCAGGTGTGTTCCTTCTATGCCTAGTTTCTTGAGAGTTTTAACATGAAGGGATGTTGGATTTTCCCAAAGGCTCTTTCTACGTCTATTGGGATGGTATGATTTTTGTTTTTAGTTCTGTTTATGTGGTGAATCACATTTATTGATTTGCATATGTCAAACTAACCTTGCAGCCCAGGAGTAAAGCCTACTTGCTTATGGTGGATTAACTTTTGATGTGCTGCTGGATTCAGTTTGTTAGATGCAAAAATCCTCAATGAAATACTGTGTTCATTAGGGATGTTGGCCTGTAGGTTTTTTTCATTGTGTCTTTGCCAGGTTTTGGTATCAGGGTGCTAACTGGCTTCATAGAATGAGTTAGGAGTCCCTCCTCCTCAGTTTTTTGGGATAATCTCAGTAAAATAAGTACCAGTTCCTCTTTATATGTCTGGTAGAATTCAGCTGTGAATCCATTTGCTCCAGTGCTCTTTTTGGCTGATAGGATTTTTTTTTTCTTTTATTATTATACTTTAAGTTTTAGGGTACATGTGCACATTGTGCAGGTTAGTTACATATGTATACATGTGCCATGCTGGTGCGCTGCACCCACTAACTTGTCATCTAGCATTAGGTATATCTCCCAATGCTATCCCTCCCCCCTGCCCCCACCCCACAACAGTCCCCAGAGTGTGATGTTCCCCTTCCTGTGTCCATGTGATCTCATTGTTCAATTCCCATCTATGAGTGAGAATATGCGGTGTTTGGTTTTTTGTTCTTGCGATAGTTTACTGAGAATGATGATTTCCAATTTCATCCACGTCCCTACAAAGGACATGAACTCATCATTTTTTATGGCTGCATAGTATTCCATGGTGTATATGTGCCACATTTTCTTAATCCAGTCTATCATTGTTGGACATTTGGGTTGGTTCCAAGTCTTTGCTATTGTGAATAATGCTGCAATAAACATACATGTGCATGTGTCTTTATAGCAGCATGATTTATAGTCCTTTGGGTATATACCCAGTAATGGGATGGCTGGGTCAAATGGTATTTCTAGTTCTAGATCCCTGAGGAATCGCCACACTGACTTCCACAATGGTTGAACTAGTTTACAGTCCCACCAACAGTGTAAAAGTGTTCCTATTTCTCCACATCCTCTCCAGCACCTGTTGTTTCCTGACTTTTTAATGATTGCCATTCTAACTGGTGTGAGACGGTATCTCATTGTGGTTTTGATTTGCATTTCTCTGATGGCCACTGATGATGAGCATTTTTTCATGTGTTTTTTGGCTGCATAAATGTCTTCTTTTGAGTAGTGTCTGTTGATGTCCTTCGCCCACTTTTTGATGGGGTTGTTTTTTTCTTGTAAATTTGTTTGAGTTCATTGTAGATTCTGGATATTAGCCCTTTGTCAGATGAGTAGGTTGCGAAAATTTTCTCCCATTTTGTAGGTTGCCTGTTCACTCTAATGGTAGTTTCTTTTGCTGCGCAGAAGCTCTTTCGTTTAATTAGATCCCATTTGTCAATTTTGGCTTTTGTTGCCATTGTTTTTGGTGTTTTAGACATGAAGTCCTTGCCCATGCCTATGTCCTGAATGGTAATGCCTAGGTTTTCTTCTAGGGTTTTTATGGTTTTAGGTCTAACATTTAAGTCTTTAATCCATCTTGAATCGATTTTCGTATAAGGTGTAAGGAAGGGATCCAGTTTCAGCTTTCTACATATGGCTAGCCAGTTTTCCCAGCACCATTTATTAAATAGGGAATCCTTTCCCCATTGCTTGTTTTTTGTCAGGTTTGTCAAAGATCAGATAGTTGTAGATATGCGGCATTATTTCTGAGGGCTCTGTTCTGTTCCATTGATCTATATCTCTGTTTTGGTACCAGTACCATGCTGTTTTGGTTACTGTAGCCTTGTAGTATAGTTTGAAGTCAGGTAGCGTGATGCCTCCAGCTTTGTTCTTTTGGCTTAGGATTTACTTGGCGATGCGGGCTCTTTTTTGCTTCCATATGAACTTTAAAGTAGTTTTTTCCAATTCTGTGAAGAAAGTCATTGGTAGCTTGATGGGGATGGCATTGAATCTGTAAATTACCTTGGGCAGTATGGCCATTTTCACGATATTGATTCTTCCTACCCATGAGCATGGAATGTTCTTCCATTTGTTTGTATCCTCTTTTATTTCCTTGAGCAGTGGTTTGTAGTTCTCCTTGAAGAGGTCCTTCACATCCCTTGTCAGTTGGATTCCTAGGTATTTTATTCTCTTTGAAGCAATTGTGAATGGGAGTTCACTCATGATTTGGCTCTCTGTCTGTTGTTGGTGTATAAGAATGCTTGTGATTTTTGTACATTGATTTTGTATCCTGGGACTTTGCTGAAGTTGCTTATCAGCTTAAGGAGATTTTGGGCTGAGATGATGGGGTTTTCTAGATATACAATCATGTCATCTGCAAACAGGGACAATTTGACTTCCTCTTTTCCTAATTGAATACCCTTTATTTCCTTCTCCTGCCTAATTGCCCTGGCCAGAACTTCCAACACTATGTTGAATAGGAGTGGTGAGAGAGGGCATCCCTGTCTTGTGCCCGTTTTCAAAGGGAATGCTTCCAGTTTTTGCCCATTCAGTATGATATTGGCTGTGGGTTTGTCATAGATAGCTCTTATGATTTTGAAATACGTCCCATCAATACCTAATTTATTGAGAGTTTTTAGCATGAAGGGTTGTTGAATTTTGTCAAAGGCCTTTTCTGCATCTATTGAGATAATCATGTGGTTTTTGTCTTTGGCTCTGTTTATATGCTGGATTACATTTATTGATTTGCGTATATTGAACCAGCCTTGCATCCCAGGGATGAAGCCCACTTGATCATGGTGGATAAGCTTTTTGATGTGCTGCTGGGTTCGGTTTTGCCAGTATTTTATTGAGGATTTTTGAATCAATGTTCATCAGGGATATTGGTCTAAAATTCTCTTTTTTTGTTGTGTCTCTGCCAGGCTTTGGTATCAGGATGATGCTGGCCTCATAAAATGAGTTAGGGAGGATTCCCTCTTTTTCTATTGATTGGAATAGTTTCAGAAGGAAACTTGCTTGGTAGATTTTCCTCCCTCCTTTTATTTTGAGCCTATGTGCGTCTCTGCACGTGAGATGGGTTTACTGATTACAGCACACTGATGGGTCTTGACTCTTTATCCAATTTGCCAGTCTGTATCTTTTAATTGGAGCATTTAGTCCATTTACATTTAAAGTTAATATTGTTATGTGTGAATTTGATCCTGTCATTAGGATGCTAGCTGGTTATTTTGCTCGTTAGTTGATGCAGTTTTTTCCTAGTCTCGATGGTCTTTACATTTTGGCATGATTTTGCAGTGGCTGGTACCAGTTGTTCCTTTCCATGTTTAGCGCTTCCTTCAGGAGCTCTTTTAGGGCAGGCCTGGTGGTGACACAATCTCTCAGCATTTGCTTGTCTGTAAAGGATTTTATTTCTCCCTCACTTATGAAGCTTAGTTTGGCTGGATATGAAATTCTGGGTTGAAAATTCTTTTCTTTAAGAATGTTGAATATTGGCCCCCACTCTCTTCTGGCTTGTAGGGTTTCTGCCGAGAGATCCGCTGTTAGTCTGATGGGCTTCCCTTTGAGGGTAACCCGACCTTTCTCTCTGGCTGCCCTTGACATTTTTTTCCTTCATTTCAACTTTGGTGAATCTGACAATTATGCGTCTTGCAGTTGCTCTTCTCGAGGAGTATCTTTGTGGCGTTCTCTGTATTTCCTGAATCTGAACGTTGGCCTGCCTTGCTAGATTGGGGAAGTTCTCCTGGATAATATCCTGCAGAGTGTTTTCCAACTTGGTTCCATTCTCCCCATCACTTTCAGGTACACCAATCAGACGTAGATTTGGTCTTTTCACATAGTCCCATATTTCTTGGAGGCTTTGCTCATTTCTTTTTATTCTTTTTTCTCTAAACTTCCCTTCTCACTTCATTTCATTCATTTCATCTTCCATCACTGATACCCTTTCTTCCAGTTGATCGCATCAGCTCCTGAGGCTTCTGCATTCTTCACGTAGTTCTCGAGCCTTGGTTTTCAGCTCCATCAGCTCCTTTAAGCACTTCTCTGTATTGGTTATTCTAGTTATACATTCTTCTAAATTTTTTTCAAAGTTTTCTTTTTTTTTTTTTTTTTTTTTTTTTTTAGACGGAGTCTCGCTCTGTCGCCCAGGCCAGACTGCGGACTGCAGTGGCGCAATCTCGGCTCACTGCAAGCTCCGCTTCCCGGGTTCACGCCATTCTCCTGCCTCAGCCTCCCGAGTAGCTGGGACTACAGGCGCCCGCCACCGCGCCCGGCTAATTTTTTGTATTTTTAGTAGAGACGGGGTTTCACCTTGTTAGCCAGGATGGTCTCGATCTCCTGACCTCACGATCCACCCGCCTCGGCCTCCCAAAGTGCTGGGATTACAGGCGTGAGCCACCGCGCCCGGCCCAAAGTTTTCAACCTCTTTGCCTTTGGTTTGAATGTCCTCCCGTAGCTCAGAGTAATTTGATCGTCTGAAGCCTTCTTCTCTCAGCTCGTCAAAGTCATTCTCCGTCCAGCTTTGTTCCATTGCTGGTGAGGAACTGCGTTCCTTTGGAGGAGGAGAGGCGCTCTGCTTTTTAGAGTTTCCAGTTTTTCTGTTCTGTTTTTCCCCATCTTTGTGGTTTTATCTACTTTTGGTCTTTGATGATGGTAATGTACAGATGGGTTTTTGGTGTGGATGTCCTTTCTGTTTCTTAGTTTTCCTTCTAACAAACAGGACCCTCAGCTGCAGGTCTGCTGGAGTACCCTGCCGTGTGAGGTGTCAGTGTGCCCCCGTTGGAGGTTGCCTCCCAGTTAGGCTGCTCAGAGGTCAGGGGTCAGGCACCCACTTGAGGAGGCAGTCTGCCCCTTCTCAGATCTCCAGCTGCGTACTGGGAGAACCACTGCTCTCTTCAAAGCTGTCAGACAGGGACATTTAAGTCTGCAGAGGTTACTGCTGTCTTTTTGTTTGTCTGTGCCCTGCCCCCAGAGGTGGAGCCTACAGAGGCAGGCAGGCCTCCTTGAGCTGTGGTGGGCTCCACCCAGTTGGAGCTTCCCGGCTGCTTTGTTTACCTAAGCCAGCCTGGGCAATGGCAGGCGCCCCTCCCCCAGCCTCGCTGCTGCCTTGCAGATTGATCTCAGACTGCTGTGCTAGCAATCAGCGAGACTCCGTGGTCGTAGGACCCTCTGAGCCAGGTGCGGGATATAATCTCGTGGTGCGCCGTTTTTTAAGCCCGTCGGAAAAGCGCAGTATTCGGGTGGGAGTGGCCTGATTTTCCAGGTGCCATCCGTCACCCCTTTCTTTGACTAGGAAAGGGAACTCCCTGACCCCTTGCGCTTCCAGAGTGAGGCAATGCCTCGCCCTGCTTCGGCTCGCGCATGGTGCACGCACCCACTGACCTGCGCCCACTGTCTGGCACTCCCTAGTGAGATGAACCCGGTACCTCAGATGGAAATGCAGAAATCAGCTGTCTTCTGCGTTGCTCACGCTGGGAGCTGTAGACCAGAGCTGTTCCTATTCGGCCATCTTGGCTCCTCCCCCTGATAGGATTTTTATTACTGATTCAATTTCAGAAAAAAATATTGGTCTGTTCAGAGTTTCAATGTCTTTCTGATTTTATCTTGGGAGTTTATGTATTTCCAGAAATTTATCCATTTCCTCTGGATTTTCTGGTTTGTATGCATAAAGGTGTTCATAATAGTCTCTGAGTATCTTTTGTACTTCTGTGGGATTGGTTGTAATGTCACCTTTGTCATTTCTGCTTGTGCTTAGTTTGATCTTCTCTCATTTTTTGTTAATCCAGCTAGCAGTCTGTCAGTCATGTTTATCCTTTCAAAGAACCCAGTTTTCAGGCCGGGTGCAGTGGCTCACACCTGTAATTGCAACACTTTGGGAGGCCGAGGCGGGTGGGTCATGAGGTCAGGAGTTCGAGACCAGCCTGACCAACATAGTGAAACCCCATCTCTACTAAAAATACAAAAATTAGCCGTGTGTGGTGGCACACGCCTGTAGTCCCAGCTACTCAAGAGGCTGAGGCGGGATAATTGCTGGAACCCAGGAGGCAGAGGTTGCAGTGAGCCAAGACCATGCCATCGTCATCCAGCCTGGATGACAGAGTGAGACTCTGTCTCAAAAAAAAAAAAAAAAAACAAAAATAAAAACACACGCTTTTGGTTTCATTGATTCTTTATGTGAATTTTTGGGTCTCATTCAGTTCTGCTCTGATTTTAGTTTTCTTCTGCTATCTTTGGAGTTAGTTTGTTCTGGTTTTTCTAGTTCCTCAAGACGTGATGTTAAATTAAAAATCTCTGTGAGATCTTTCTTACTTTTTGAGGTAGGCATTTAGAGCTACAGACTTTGGTCTTGACACTGCTTTTGCTACATCTCAGAAATTTTATGTTGTGTCTCTGTTTTTGTTTATTTCAAATAATTTTTGGATTTCTGCCTTAATTTTGTTGTTTATTCAAAAGTAATCTGGGAGCAAATTGTTTAATTTCCATGTGGTTGTGTGGTTTGGGGATATCCTCTTGGTATTGATTAATAATTTTATTCCACTCTGTTCTGAAAGTATGGCTGGTATGATTTCAATTTTTTTGAATTTATTGAGACTCATTTTATGGCTGAGCATGTGGTTGATCTTGGAATATGCTCCATGTGCAGTTGAAAAATATGTATGTTCTGTGGTTAACAGGTGGAGTGTTCTGTAAATGTCTGAGATCGAGTTGGTCCAGTGTCAAATTTAAGTCTAGAATTTATTTTCTGCCTTGATGATATGTCTAACACTGTTAGTGGAGTATTGAAGCCTCCCAGTATTATCATGTGGCTAAGTCTTTTCAAAGGTCTAGTAGTAGGTTTTATTTTTGTTTGTTTGTTTTTTAATAAATCTGGGTGCTCCAGTGTTGGGTGCATATGCATTTAGGACAGATAAGTCTTCTTGTTACATTGAACCCTTTATCATGTAATGCCTTTTTGTCCTTTTGTTGTTGCTGGTTTAATGTCTGTTTTATCTAAGAATAGTGACCCCCTACTGTTTGTTGTTTTCCATTTACATGACAGATCTTTCTCCATCTCTTTACTTTGAGCCACTGGGTGTGCTTACGTGTGAGGTGGGTGTCTTAAAGACAACAGATGTATGGGTCTTGTTTTTTAATGCAATTTACAAGTGTGTGCCTTTAAAGTGGGGCATTTAGACATTTACATTCAAGATTAATATTGAAGTGTAAGGTTTTGATCCTGTCATGAGGTTTTTAGCTGGTTGCTTTGTAGTTTTTACTTGTGTGCTTGCTTTATAGGGTCTGTGGGCTATGTCCTTAAGTGTGTTTCTTGGGTAGGAGGTATATTTCTTTTGTTTCTATGTTTAAAACTCCCTTAAGATTCTCTTGTAAGGCTGATCTAATGGTAACAAATTCCCTTACTGCTTGCTTGTCTGTAAAAGATTTTATTTTCTCCTTTACTCATAAAGCTTAGATGGGTGCAATATGAAAATCTTGGTGGGAATTTCTTTAAGAATACTGAAAATGGGCCCCCAATCTCTCCTGGCTTGTAAGGTTTCTGCTGCAAGTCTGCTGTTAGCCTGATGGGGTTTCCTTTGTACATGATGTGACATTTTTTTCTAGCTGCCTTTAAGATTTTTTTTCTCTAGCATTGACATTGAACAATCTGGTGACTATATGGCTTGCTGATGTTTGTCTTGTATAGTATCTCACAGGTATTCTCTGGATTTTTAAAATCTGGATGTCTACTTCTTTAGCAAGGTTAGGGAAATTTACTTGAATTACTCCCTTAAATATATTTTCCAGCTTGCTTATTTTTTCTCCTTTTCTCTCGGGAATACCAGTAATTCATAGGTTTGGTCACTTTACATAATCTTATATTTCTCAAAGGTTTTTTGTTCATTCGTTAAAATTGTTTTTTATTTTTGTCTTACTAGATTAGTTTGAAAGACCAGTCTTCAAGCTCTGAAATTCTTTCTTCCATATGGGCCAATTTATTGACAAAGTTTGCAATTGTATTTTGAAATTCCTTAAGTGAGTTTTTCAATTCCAGAAGTTCTGATTGATTGATTTTTTTTTTTTTTTTTTTTTTTTTGTGACAGTGTCTCACCCTGTTTCCCTGGCTGGAGTACAGTGTTATGATCTTGGCTCACTGCAAGCTCTGTCCTGCAGGTTCACACCATTCTGCCTCAGCCTCCAGAGTAGCTGGGACTACAGGTGCCTGCCACCACGCCCAGCTAATTTTTTGGCATTTTTAGTAGAGACGTGGTTTCACTATATTAGCCAGGATTGTCTCAATCTCCTGACCTCATGATCTGCCCGCCTCAGCCTCCCAAAGCTGGGATTATAGGTGTGAGCCACCGCACCCGGCCTGATTTCTTTTTAAGATGTTTATCTCTTCCTTAATTTACTGGATTGATTTAGAAGTTTCTTTGTGTTGATTTTCAGTCTTGCCATGGATCTTGTTGAGCTTCCTTGTAATTCATGTATTGAATTCTTTCTCTGTCATTTCTGCATTTCCATTTTGGTTAGGGACCATTGCTGGAGAGCTAGTGTGATACCACTAAATTCAGATTTTTCATGGTGCCAGAATTCTTGTGCTAGTTCCTTCTCATCTGGAGATGCTGACTCTTCTAATTCTTGTAATTATTTTCATGTGGGTAGGATTTCTTTTCTTTTTCTTTCTCTATAATATTACCGGTTTTTTCTTCTTTCCCTTTCCCTTCCCCACACCACCCCCGCTACTGCCCCCAGGAGTTGTGACTGTAGAGAATGTGGGTAGGGTCTTTTGGCTTTGCTTCTATAACCCTATGCACTACTTTTGGCAGGTTTTGTATTAGGCTTTGTGGTTTGACTTACAAACCAGTAGAGGGTACTTAAGGGTAAGAGGCAGCTGCAGCCAACATGCTGGGTATATACTTGCCCTTTGTTTACTACTAGAAGCTCGCCGTTGCCTCAGGAAATGGGCTGATGCATGGAATGCACAGTCCTCTGAGCTTCCTGCTTAGCCCCAGGAAGAGGGGGGCATGATGGGCAGGACCAGACCAGGTAGGCCTACCTACAGGTCCCCCAGTGGCAGGCACAAGCACCAGTGCTGAGGGAGAATCCAGTGGGCAGCCACCAGATACCCAGAGGTGGGCCTAGGCATGGAGCTGGAAAACCTCCTCAGCCCCAAGTTATCTGTACAGATCAGGGGTCAGCCTAAATTCCTAATTCAGGAGAGTGGGTGCTTCAGCTGCCTAGAGATATGCCTGGGCATGGGACAGAGAGGTCCTCGCTTTACCATCGTCTCTACACAGGAAGGGTGGGCTGGCTCAGACTACTCATTCAGGCAAGGAGGTGCTCTGAATGCCTGGACATCTGCCTGGGCATGGAGCGGAGAGGGCCCTGTTTCACCACAATTTCTGCAGAGGAAGAGTGGGGCAACTCCGGCTGCTGATCCAGGTCAGTGGAGATCTGCCTGGGTGTCAACCAGAGAAGGCCCTGGGGCACTACAATCTTTTTATGAACTAGACATCATCACAGGGGCTGTTTGCCTGTGTTCTTCTACCCAGGATCTGAGGTTTTCTTTACAATTCTAGTGGATTCCAATTTTCCTTCTCCAATTAAAGCTCAGAGAGTTTAGGCACTACTTTGCTATTTCCAAGTGGCTGAGGCATGTTAAAAACCTCTAATCCACCACCTTGGAAAAAAAAAAAACACTAATTCACTAAAAGCTTTTATGTGGCATATGTGTTTCATATTATCAATTTCCTTATGGAAAAGCATAATCTATTAATGTAGAGAACTGCATTGATAGGTTTTCCAATATTAAACCATTACTGGATTCCTGAGATTAACTCTACGTTATGAACAAGTGAACATTGGTTTGCAAATATTTTTCAGGATTTCTACTCTATTTAACAGTGAGATTGGCATCATCCTCCCTCCCTTTCTCTCTGTTCCTTTCACTTTTCTTGATTTTCCCTCTCTTCCTTGATTGTCCTCTACCCTCCTAAAATGAGCTTAGGAGGTCTCTTTTTTTTGGTCTGTCACCTTATAATTTTTATTCAATAAAAATATATTCTGTAGTCAGGAATAGTGGTTCATGCCTGTAATCCCAGCACTTTGGGAGGCCAAGGCAGGAGATAGCTTGAGGCCAAGTTTGAAAACAGCCTGGGCAACATAGCAAGACCCCATCTCTACAGAAAATAAAAAATAAATTATCCAGGCATGTGGCTGCATGCCTTTAGTCCCAGGTATTTAGGTGGCTGAGGTGGGAGGATCATCTGAGCCTAGGCGTTCAAAGTTACAGTGAGTTGTGACCCTAACATTGCACCCCAGCCAGGGTGACATGAGCAAGACCCTGACTCAGAAAGCTTTCACGTGTGTGTGTGTGTGTGTGTGTGTGTGTGTGTGTGTGTGTGTGTTCGTGTGTTCCTTCTCTTTTGGGAACAGAAAGCCCAGACACAGATCATTGAAATTATCCAGCCAGAGGAGCAAAAACAGGAAGAAGAAGAGAAGTGGGGGGAGGGGGAAGAAGGGAGAGGTAAGAGGAGGGGGAAGGAGAGGAAGAGGAAGATGAGGGAAGGAGAAGGAAGGAAGAACAGAAGGAAGGAAGAGGAAGAGAAAAAAGCCTCACAGACTTATAGGACACCATAAGCAGACCAAAATACTCATTATGTTAGTTCCAAAAGTAGAAGAGATAAAGAGACAGAAAGCTTCTTTAAATAAATAATGTCCAAAAACTTGTCAAATCTCTGAAAGAAAATGGACCCAAAGGGAATAAACTCAAAGAAGTCCATATTGAGACATCAGTTGTCAAAAGTCAGAATTTTGAGAGCAACAAAAGGGACTAATTACATACAAGGGAACTCCCATAAGAATCAGTGAATTTCTCAGCAGAAACCTTGCAGGCCAGAAAAGAATGGGACAGTATATTGGGAGTGCTGAAAGGAGGGGGAGAAAAGGTTGTTCAAGAATACTGTATCTGGCAAACTGTCCTTTAAAAGCAAAGGAGAAATAAAGACTTTTTCAGATAAAATTTGAAGAAGTTCATCACCGCTAGGCCTGAATAACAACAAATACTAAAGTTCTTGAAGTTTAAACAGACTCTAAGCAGCCATACAAAAGCATATGAAAGTATAAAGTTTGCTGGTAAAGGTAAGTATATAGCTAAACACAGAATACTATATTGTTAGTGTATACATCACTTTTAATTCTGGTACAGATGTTAAAAGCCAAAAGTATTTAAAAACTATGAAAATATGTAAGGGATACACAATATAAAAAGATAAAATTTATGACATAATTGACAAAGTTTGGAGGAAAGAGTAAAACTGTAGAGTTTTTCAATGTGATTACAGTTGTTATCAGCTTAAAACAGATTGTTACAACTATAAAATGTTTCATGTAAGCCCTATGTTAGCTACAAAAATTACAAAAAATCAACAAAGGAAGACAGTGAAAGAAGAAAAGGGACAAAAGAGCTGCAAGACAGACAGAAAATTATTAACAAAATGGCAATAGTTAGTCCTTTCCTATCAATAATTAAATGTAAATGTATTAAACTGCCCAGTCAAAAGACACAAAGTAGCTGAAGGATAACAAGATTCAACTAGATGCTGTATATAAGAGACTGACTTTAAGTTTAATGACACACATATACTTAAAGTGATAGGATGGAGAAAGATACGCTAAGCTACTAAAAGAGGGGTGACCATACTTAAACAAAATAGACTTTAAGTCAAAAGCTGCTACAAGAGACAAAGAAGGACAGATAATGATTAATGGGTCAGTTCACCAAGAAGATATAATAATTGTAAATATGTATGTACCAAACATCAGAGCACTTAAATATATGAAACAAACATCGGCAGAACTGAAGGGAAAAACAGCATCGCAATAATAGTAGGAGATTTCAGTAATGAATAGAACATCTAGACACAGGATCAATAAGGAAACAGAGGGCTTGAAAAATACTATAAATCAAATGCACCTAATAGTCATATACAGAACATTCCACCCAACAGTAGCAGAATACACATTTTCTCAAGTGCACACAGAAATATTCTCCAGGACAGATCACAAAGCAAGTCTTAACAAACTTAAGAAGATTGAATTCTCAAATTTATTTCCAACTACAGTGAAATGAAACTAAAAATCAGTAGGAGAAGGAAAATCAGAAAACTCATAAATATATGGAAATTAAATAACACCTACTCTGGAACAACCAATGGGTCAAAGAAGATATAAAAAGGTAAATTATAAAATATCTTTAGACAAAACAAAAACATAACTCATGGAGAAAAAAGCAGTAGGAAGAGGAAAATTTGTGGTGATAAATTCCTACCTCCCAAAAGAAGAGCTCAAATAACCTAACTTCTATACCTCAAGGAATGAGAAACAAACAGACTAAGCCCAAAGATGGCAGAAGAAATGAAATAATAAAGATTAAGGTAGAAGTTATCAAAGTAGAGAATAGAAAATTAAGACTGAATCATAAAGAAATAGAACATCTGAACAGACTTTTAGCTAGTAAGGAGATTCAATCAGTAATCAAAAACATCTCAAAAAAGGCCCAGGACCAGAAGATTTTGCTGATGAATTCTATTAAACATTTAAAGAACAATTAAGACGAATGCTTCTGAACTTTTAAAAAGTAGAAGAGGAACGAATACTTCCGAAGTCATTTTATGAGGCCAGCATTACCCCAGTGCCAAAGCCAAAAACAGACATTACAAGAAAAAAATAATGCAGACCAATATCCCAGATATAGATGCAAAATTCTTAACAAAATACAAGCAAACCACATTCAATAGCACATTAAAAGGACATACACCATGATGACTAAGTGGGATTTAGTCACTTATAAGAGACTGGAGAGTATCCCTAGGACATAAGAATGATTACAAATATGCAAATCAAAAATGTGATACACCACAGGAACAGAACAGAGGATAAAAATTACATGATCATATCAATAGAAACAAATTGCGTTTGGCAAAATTCAACACCCTTTTGTGATTAAAAAAACTTAGGAAACTAGGTGTATTAGTCCATTTTGTGTTGCTATAAAGAAATACTTGAGATTGGATAATTTATTTTGGCTTTCAGTTCTGTGGACTGTGAAGCATGGTGCCAGCATATGCTTCTGGTAAGGCCTCATGAAGCTTTTAGTCATGGTGGAAGAGAAGGGCAGCCAGTGTGTCATATGGCAAGGGAGGTAACAAGAGAAATGCCAGGCTCTTCTCAACAACCAGCTCTTAAATGAACTAAGAGTGAGAACTCACTCATTACTGTAGGGAGGGCACCAAGCCATTCATGAGGGATCTGCCCCCATGACCCAAACATCTCCCACTAGTCCCTACCTCCAACACTGGGAATCACATTTCAATATGAGATCTGGAAGGGATGACTATCCAAATCATATCACTAGGAATAACAAGGAAATTACCTCAACATAATAAAGGCCCATATATGAAAACACGACAGTTAACATATTCAAAGGTAAAAAACAAACTTTTCGTCTAAGATCAGGAAAGAGGTGAGGATGCTCACTCTCACCACTTCTATTCAGCATACTAGTGAAGGTTCTAGCCAGAGCAAGTAGACAAGAAAAAGAAATAAAAGGCACGCAAACTGGAAAGGAGGAAGAAAAATTATCTTTGTTCACAGATAACATGATTTTAGGTGTAGAAAATCCTATAGATTCCACCAAAGGGGAAAAAAACTGTTAGAACTAATAAATTCAGTAAAGTTACAGGATTCAAAGTCAGCATACTAAAATTAGTTATGTTTCTGTACACCAACTACAAGCAATCTGGAAAGGAAATTACAGCAATCGCATTTATAACAGCGTCAAAAAGAAAACACTTAGCAATAAACTTAACCAAGGAAATGAAAGACTTGTACACTGAAAACTATAAAATATTGCTGAAAGAAATTTAAAACACAAATAATGGAAAGACATCCTATGTTCATGAACTGGAAAACTTAATATTGTTAAAATGTCCATATTACCCAAAGTGATCTACAGATTCAATGTCATTCCTACCAAAATCCTAATGGCATTTTTTACAGAAATAGAAAACACAATCCTAAAATTCATATAGAACCACAAATGATCCCAAATAGCCAAAACAATCTTGAAAGAGAACAAAGGTTGAGGTCTCATACTTCCTAATTTCAAAACACACTTCAAAACTACAGTAATAAAATATTATGGTACTGGCAAAAGACAGACATATAGATCAATGGAACAGAATAGAGAGCCCAGAAATAACCCTATGCACCTAAGATCAACCGATCTTTGACAAAGCTTCCAAGAATACACAGTGGGGAAAGAATAGTCTCTTCAAAAAATGGTGTTGGGAAAACTGAAAATCCGCATGCAAAAGAATGAAATTGGTCTCTTAACTTATATGTGAAAATCAATTTAGAATTGATTAAAGACTTAAATATAAGACTTAAAGCCATAAAACTGCTAGAAGAAAACAGAAGAAAAGCTTCATGACATGGGTCTTAGCAGTGATTTCTTGGATATGACCTCAAAAGCTTGGGCAACAAAACAAAGGTAAGTAGAACTGTATCAAACTAAAAAGCTTCTGCACACAGCAAAGGAAATATTCAGGAGAGTAAAAAGGCAACCTCTGGATTGAGAGAAAATATTTGAAAACTGTACATCTGATAAGGAGTTAATATCAAAAACAAGGAATTCCTATAACTCAATAGCAAAAACCCACAATTTTTTAAATGGGCAAATGACTTAAATAGACATTTTTCCAAAGAAGACATACAAATGGTCAACAGGTATATGAAAAGATGTTCAACATCACTAATCTTCAAGAAAATGCAAATTGCCCAGGCGTGGTGGCTTACGCCTGTAATCCCAGCACTTTGGGAAGCCAAGGCAGGCAGATCACTTGAGGTCAGTAGTTTGAGACCAGCCTGACAGACATGGTGAAACTCCATGTCTACTAAAAATACAAAAAAATGAGCCGGGTATGGTGGTGTGCACCTGTAATCCCAGCTGCTTGGGAGGCTGAGTCAGGAGAATCTCTTGAACCTAGGAGGCAGAGGTTGCAGTGAGCCAAGATCTCAGCCCTGCACTTCAGCCTGAGCGACAGAGTGAGACTCTGTCTCAATAAAATAAAATTTAATTTAATTTAAAAAAAAAAGAAAATGTAAAAGCCACAGTGAAATATCACCTCACACCCTTTTAGGATGGACATTATTAGAAAAATATGTATATAACAAGTGTTGACGAAGATGTGGAGAAATAGGAAACCTTCTGCACTGTTGGTGGTAGAAGTGTAAAATGATGCAGGCATTATGCAAAGCAGTGTGGAGGTTCCTCAAAAATTAAAACAGAGGTACTATACGTTCTAGCAATCCCACTTCTGCATATTTAGCTAAAATAATCAAAATCAGGAACTGAAGGAGAGATTTGCACTCTCCAGTTCATCGTAGCATCATTCACGATAGTCAAGAGGTAGAAACAACTTAAAGTGTACATGGACAGATGAATGGACAAAGAACATGGGGTATAGGCATACGATGGAATATTATTCAGTCAGAAAACAGAAGGAAATCCTGTCAGATGCTACAACTTGCATCTTGAAGGACATTATACTAAGTAAAATACGCCAATCATAGAAAGACAAATACTGCGTAGTTCTACTTATGTAAAGCATCTGAAGCATTGAAACTCATCTAAGCATAAAGTAGAATGGTGGTTACCAGGAGCTGGGGGAAATGGGAAATTGCTGTTCAGTGTATATAATGCTTCACTCATGCAAGGTGAAAAAGTTCTAGAGACCTGTACCACTTTGTGCCTGTAGTTAACACTGTACTGTACTCTTTAAAAAACAGGGTAAATCTCATGTCATGTTGTTTTGGGTTTTTCTTTTGGCCACAGTAACAAAAAAAAAAAAAAAAAAAAAAAAAAAAAAACTTTCTCTGGAATGTTTGGTAGAAGTTGCCCATGAAATCATCTGAAATTGATGCCATGGGGTGGGAGGTGCATGTCTTTGTTTTTTCTATTTCTTGGATGATAATTGGATTAGTCTTATTTGTTTTTTCTATTTCTTGGATGATAATTGGAATAGTCATATTTTTAGTGATTCTTAGACATTTGGTCGTTTTTATTTTAATATAATATTACCTATTTTGTCTAGGCTTCCAAAAGTCTTACTATAAAATTATTTTTACTCCTGGTAGTGTTGATTTGTGCTGCTTTTTTTCCCCTTGACTTTTAAAAGAACCATTTTATCAATTTTAGTTTTGTTTTTTTGGATTTTCTTGTTTTTTACCCTCTTTAGAGTGTTTTCCCTAGCTTCTAAGTTAAAGCGTAGATCATTTATTGTCACTTTTTCTCATTTTACAATAAATGCATTTAAAATTCTAGTATTTTTTTTCTGGGCAGTTCTGTCCCTTTCCTGAAATACTTTTGTCCCTTCCCTAACATATTCCCTAAAAATATTTTAGAAATAGCTTTTAAACTTTGTGATCATAGGACTTTTGGGGAGCATCTTTTTGTTTGTGATTTTCATGTGGCGCCAAGTTTAATCTTGTATTAGAGCAATTAAAATTGTTTCCCGCTCTGTGGCTTGTTGTACAGTCAATATTTGTAAATGTCCTGTGTTTGAAGAAAATTTGTATTTTCTGGATCCAAAATTTACTCTGTGTTTGCAGAAGCCTAATGTACCTTTGATCAGGCTGGTGACTTGTGTTTTTCAGATTCTCCTTATCCTTGTTTTGTGCCTTCTTTATCTGTGCTGTTGTGAGAAAACACTCTGATCTCCATCTATAATTGTTAACTTGTTGATTTTTGTTCTCCCACTCTGCTCTGTGCTTCTCGAAGCTATGTTGTGAGACACGCAAAAGCTTGGGTCCTTCACAATTGGCTGGTGCAGTATTACTGTTAGAATTGTAAAACATTGCCCTTCTTAGCGATATCAACCTTGATTTTGTAACTTGTCTGATATTAGCAATGCTGCAGCAGCTTTATTTGTATTAGAATCTGCCTGATACGTTTTTTATATAACTTTGTTTTTTGTTGCTTTTTTTGAAAATAAAAATGAAAAAAGGAAAGAATAATATAACAGCCACTTTTCACTCTCCAGAATAATTGGCTAACATTTTGTGCCGTTTTAGTCTTTCTTCCCACTCCCTCGCCCCTGCCATCTTCCCCACCGCCTTCTTCCCCACTCCGCCACCCCTCTCACCTCCGCCCCGCCTTTCCCCTCTCATTTCCCTCCTCCCCTCTCTCTCGTTTTCTTTCTTCTTTTTTTTTTTTTTTTTTTTTTTCTTGTGCAGTGGTACAATCTCGGCTCACTGCATCCTCCGCCTCCTTGGTTCAAGCGATTCTCCTGCCTCAGCGTCCGGAGTAGCTGGGATTACAGGTGCGCGCCACCACGTGCCTGGCTCATTTTTGTATTTTCAGTAGAGATGGGGTTTCACCATGTGGGCCAGGCTGGTTTTGAACTCCTGATCTCAAGTGAGTGACCCACCTCAGCCTCCCAAAGTGCTGGAATTACAGGCATGAGCCACCGCACCCAGCCTCATTTTCATTATTATTATTTTTTATTTATTTTTATTTATTTATTTATTTTTGAGACAGAGTCTCGCTCTGTCGCCCAGGCTGGAGTGCAGTGGCGCGATCTCGGCTCACTGCAAGCTCCGCCTCCCAGGTTCACGCCATTCTCCTGCCTCAGCCTCCCGAGTAGCTGGGACTACAGGCCCCCTCTGTCTAGCTATTCATCTGTGGACAAGAAAGCTTGAGTATGCCTGTATCCCTTTTTTTGGTAGAGCAGGCTGCATTTACATTTGTGTCAAGCAGAGCAACACTTCCCGCTCTCTAAAAAAGAAAGAAAACCCATACTCAAGCTGAAACTACCTCTCCCTGCCTCGGTCACATGGCCTTTGCCTTCCCCGCTATGTGACTCAATCCTTGTCTTGACATTAAGATGTTCCTTTCAGTCCATTTTTATACCTGTATTATCTACTTAGCTGTGTGTATGTTGGAAGCAGTTTTATGTGCAGTTTTTAAATATGTGTAAATGGCGTCACTGGGTAGCACTGTTCTGTATTTTCCCTTTTCTCACACGATATTGTGTAAACGTATCCATGTTACATATATGGGCTCTGTTCCACTCCACTTTACCTCCTTATACTATTCCGTCTTACACATATCCCGCATTTTATCTATATGTCTCTCTACTAATTCATACCATTTCACTCTTCTCTTTGCTGTGTGTGTGTGTGTGTGTGTGTGGCTGCTTTCACTCAACTTGTATGGGTGTGATCCATCCACGCAGTTACTGTAGTTGCAGCTCAGTCATTTGTCATTGCTGTATGGTGCTCTATTGTAGAAATGCGCATTTGTATGTGTATATCAACTCTTCCGTAGACGGACATTTAAGGCTCTTTTCAGTTTTTGCCTATTGTGAATAACAGTACTACGAACACTCTGTATATGTCTTTTGGTGTGCATATATATGCTTCAGTATTAGGTATATATTCAGGAGTGGAATTGATGGGTTGCAGGGTGTGTATATGTTTAATTTCAGCAGAGAATGTCATACATTTTTTACAATGTAGTTTTGTACTAATTTACACAAGTGTGCCAGGTGCTCTACATTCTTGCTAACACATTAGGCTTTTAATTTTTGCCACTCTAGTAAGTGTGTAGTGGTATCTCATGGTTCTAATTTTCATTTTTCCCATAGGAATCATGAGTGAACTTTTTCCTACACATTATCAGGCCTTTGGATATACTCTTGTGAGGTGCTTATTCATGAAATATGCCCCTTTTTTTTTTTTTTTTTTTTTTTTTTTTTTGAGACGGAGTCTGGCTCTGTCACCCAAGCTGGAGTGCAGTGGCGCAATCTTGACTCACTGCAAGCTCCGCCTCCTGGGTTCACGCCATTCTCCTGCCTCAGCCTCCCGAGTAGCTGGGACTACAGGTGCCCGCCACCACGCCGGAATATGCCCCTTTTTCTCAAATGGATTGTCTTACTCTTATTGACTTGGAATGATGGAGTTATTTTTTGGCTGAGGTCTTTTGTCAGATACATTATTGCAAATATCTCCCTCTACTCTGTGGCTTGTCTTTTCTCTCTGTCTTCTTATTGTATCTTTTGATAAAAACCAGTTTTGAATTTTAGGGGAGTCAAATTTAGCAGTCTTCCTTCAGGGATGCTGCTTTTGTAGTTTTGTTTAAGTAACCTTTCCCTACGCCGATGTTGTGAAGACCTTCTAGAAATATTGTTTTATCTTTCATATTTTGATCTATAATCTAACTGACTTGATTTTTGTGTGTGGAGTAAGATAGGAGTCAGATTTCACATCCATCAGCGATGCTGAAATAAATTTAATAGATATAAAACTGGTAAAACCAGTGATCAGTATCCACAAGGGAATGATCAATGGAATCTCCACAGGACACAGTTTGCATTTCTACGGACAGGAATAATTTGCATTATTCGGACAATAAAACGTGGAGAAACCGTATAAAATCAGATAATCTGGATAGCGGATAACCTATACTGTATGTATATATATTGTTCTCTGCATTCTCCTTTAAACAAGCTGGAACATCTCACTGGTTCCTTTGTTAATTAATAAGATTTCTGACATATGTTCATTATATATCTTTATGAGAGTTATGGTTGTATCCATTTAAAAAGTGGTCATTTGGCAGTTCTAATTTCATCTTTGCTTTTTACTATTCCTTGCTCATCTTCTAATGCAGAGGTTTGTCATAGGCTATTATTAAATCTTTGGACCAGGGTAACTAATCCAACCACTGGGGGCTGGGGGTTGGGGGTCAGAGGTATGAGATACAACATGGCTTCCTGTGGACCAGGGATTGTTGGCAAGAAACGCAGTGATTGACAGTTCTAGGGAGCCTATCACTCAGCTGAGAAATACAGGGACTTACTATAAGGTCCTCGCTCCTTCCAACACTAAACATTCTTTCAAAACTGATAAATTGAAGAGCACTCAAGTATTAATCGTACAAACTTGAGTTTCAACACAGAGTGAGTTTTTGCTGAAGATAAACCTGTAACCCAAAGAAACGTGGGATAAATAGGATAGTAAAACACATTTCAAAAAATAACTGTAACTCTACCTATCTCATGACTAAATTATTGTATGTGTGTGTGTGTTTTATTTGGGAATATAAAAGGTGAATAGCAGTTTTTAAAAAAAGTTCTGGGCAGATTGCTATATTCATTCAGATGAAACTTTTATTTTTCAAAATGTGATACAGCTGTTTAATTTTCACATTAACAACAGCCAACATCTGTGTGACTCATTCACTTAATTCTCTATGTACACAAAGCACATACTATTTATATAAAAAATAAATTAAGCTTTAATAATGAAACACAAGTTTACAAATGCAGCTTCTTAAGGCCTAATGAAAAATAAGAAATGTGGAAATTTCTGAGAGGCAGGATCACTGGAATCTGGCTCTTCAAAAAGAAAATATTTTGAAAATTAAAAACCAGGGACAAATTATTGAGTATTTTTAAATGCCAATTTTCTAATTCTGTATAATTCCAAATCTAATTATTAACTTTTTGTTGGTTAGAAGATAGCTTTTACGGTTGGGTTCAAAAAGTTAAATGTCACACAGGTTGAAGGTTAAGCTATTTTCCTTTTAAAGTCAAAAGGGTTGAGGTCCTTTTTAGCCATCCTTTTTGCTTCCAAATACAATTCATCACTTAGTGGCCCTAGATCAGCAATCTTGAGAGCTTGTTTGGAGGTTCCAGCAGGGGAGCGCAGCTACTCGTATACCCTTGACCGAAGACCGGTCCTCCTCTATCGGGGTTGGTCGTCCTCTTCGACGGAGCGCGCAGCTTCGGGAGGGACGCACATGGAGCGGTGAGGTAGGAAGGGGACACCCACCTAGCCAGCCAGATCAGCCGAATCAACCCTGGCGATCAATGGGGTGACAGATGTCGCAGCCAGATCGCCCTCACATCCGATCAGCAATCTTAACATTTTATGCTCAGATACTCTTAAGTGAATTTTGAAAATCTCTATCTTCTTGCACATTGCTATATTGACATCTAAAATTTCTCATTATAAATAGCTGCAAAGTGCTGGCATACCGTAGACACTACATGTTTAAATAAAACTGTTGTATTACTTTTTAAATTTAGCCCAGGAGGTTCTTAATATAAGTTATTTGATAGATACTATGATCTTTTTAAAAATTTTATGAACAGGGCCATTTTTTTATGATCAGTCTTACCTGGAACAAGGCAATTTTTAGTAGCAAGGAATGCCCCACTTTTCCTTTTACTCCTTGAATTTGTATTTTCATACCACTTCTCCCTCAAAATTTTAGCCTAATAAATTTTTGATTTTTATGTTATTTAATTCTATCTCTGTACCAAAAGTATTATATAGTATCCTATAATCCTAAGGCTGTAAGCCTTTAAAATTTTCCTCTGGATTGAGCTGAATCAATAAACACATAGCCCAAATTTCACTAAATTATTAAACATAGTAAAACTTCTTTGGAAATGTATCACTTAATGAGATAAAGAGGGCTTTTCTCCACAATTATTTCATCTATGTAGATTGATAACATCTTAAGATTGAGCCAAAGTTCATCATCAATTCTATTTTCCGTTTTCAATTTCATTTATGGAGATGTTGATCCTTGTTCACACAGATACATCAATGGGAACGGAAGCTTTATGATAGCAGAATCACTGAATTCTTCCAACCCCTTTGTAGTTACATGCTAAGAGACTCAGAAATCTACAGGCTGTTCCTCCCACTTTGTTGAAAGCAAAAAATTTGGAACCACCAGAAAAACTTGGAAAATCCATTTGCAAAAAGATTTGTGCCCTGTTGATAAGTCTTTCACTTTCCAAATATCCACATTTTGAATTTTTACACCTTGGGACATGCTCTACAGTAAGACTAGAGGTGGAGACAGCCATATTTTCTTTTGTAAGGTGAGAAAAGGGCATTTTCTCAGGCAGATGAATCTTAGAGAAGAATATAACAGGAAGATGAGGCTCTGAACACTGCTCCCCTGAGAGTACTGGAGTCTGTGTATTCCTTGGAAAGCTCTGGTATACTCCCAGGGGTAAGGCTAGCTTAATCTAAAGGCCACTGGCCATGGCGACTTAAGTTTAGATTTTAACTAGGTCACAAAGCATACGAAGTATTAGAACATGTTGTCCGGCTGCCTTCTTAATAGAGCAGTAGGTCTTCAAATGTGTTCCACTATAGATAAGTCCCATGAGACACTTCTGGCAAAAAGATTCTGAGATCGAATTTGGAAAACAAGACCCTCTACACCTTTCACTCCTGCACATCTAGTCTCACAGTAGAAAAACTTTATTTAGTTTTTATAACCTAAGTTTCCCAAACTCACAAGGCCTAACCAGCCTCCCCACTTTATTTTTCCTTGTAATAACCAATATTCTAAATAACACACTTAGGAAAATGGTGAACAAAAACAGTGTAATACATATGCAGTGGTGGTTTTGATCTATCAGTGCTGCTTCCATCTTTCAGAATGTGCCTGTTACTAGTCTTCTTGGCCTGGATTGGCTGTGCTTTAACAGTCATGTAGGAAGCATGTCTCAGCTAGATACTGAAGTTATGTAGCATCACATAGACTCTGGGAAGAGCCATCATACCATGTGTGCCTTTCCTGAGAGAATCAGTCCCTAACACCACCAAGAACCAGATTAACGTGTTACTCTGTCAAGGACAGGAGGAAAGAACCGAAGAAAGTACTCTCTCATGGTGGATTCCGGTTGTAGCACCAGGAGAAGGAGACAGTTTTAGGCAGAGGGTTCTTCCCAGCACCATTTATGTCATAATCCCCTGACTTCTCTTTGGCCACGCATGGATTTTACACAGCAGCAGCTGGAGAGAGGCTTAGCTTCTGCTTCCTATGCCGCCATATGTCAGGTTCTTTGATATGGTAGCAAAAAACCCATTTGGGCAGAAAGGGGATGCAGGCCTTAGCACTGTGGCTTTAAAGTAGAATGAAGTGAGGAGCTGAAAGGAGGTAATGACAGCAACACCTGAGCTCTGCTGTGTGGAAGTCCTAACAGAGCTGAGAGGGGTTGGGGGAGATGCCAGGTGCAATAAATAGGTTCTGGTGGCTACCTGGCCAAAGGCTAATGGGGCCCTGGCTACAGAGTGCCTGCAGCACTCATCCCAGTGCCTTTCTCACCTAGCCTTTCTTGAAAGTTGCTTTGAACATCTGCCACTAAGAGGAATGTTCTTTCTTCAGTTGCTGACTGCCAAATAAAATAGCAGCTCCCAGTTGGAGGAGTAACTGGAGTGATAGCACCAGATAACAGCCCTTCCTTGGCCAGACTGCTGTTCCCTGTGTTCCTGGCTTCAAGCGAGGTAAATGGCTTTCTTTTAGGAGCTTGTGGATGGAGATGATTGATGAGACCCACAGCTTTTTGTTTAAACATCCACACCCCCAAATCTTGGCACTGTATTTGGCATGTGGAGGTGATCAGTAAGTTTTTGTAGAGTGAAGGGACCAGAAGGATCTTCTGGTCAGAGCCTGATTTGTTCTGCCCTGCTTTTCAGCAGTACATGCATACTAAGCCCAGCATTTCGGGTAACAAGAGGAGGGTCAGATGGGTTTCTAGGGGCCAGTTCCATCCACATCAAACATCAGGCTTACTGCTGGTTTGTTCTTCCCCACCACAGCCATCGTTTTTCACAGTTACACTCCTTTTCCCATCAGCTGTAAATTCACTCATTGAGAAGTTGTGACTCTACCAACCACCTCCCTTCCCAACCCAGCACTCTCCTCTCCTTTAAAAAGCCATATTACATTATTGGTATGTATTAACAACTTAAGATGCAGAGGTGTAAAGCCCTGGCCAGCCGCACATACTGTCATGAACTAGGTAGATCTGCCCCAAGGGAGATGGCTGCATTTGAAATTTTCTGTAACACCCTAATGCTTAGCCCATTAAAGCTCAGCTTGCTGCTCCAGAAGACTGGGTAACCCAGAGACATTTCGCCATCAACCTAACTTTTGTCTACCTCTTTCAAGCAGCAGTTGACCTCTTGCCTGTGGAGAGCTGTGGACCAAGGGCCATTCCAGCAGCCTCCCAGCCAGTTCAGTAGGGCCATGAGGGACTAGTGGGGCCAGAGCCTCCCAGCAGCTGGCAGAGCCAGGGGCAAGTGAGAACCTGCCCCTGCAGCACGGCTCTGGTCTCTCTGATGGGCTTTTTAAAACAAAGAGGCCCCAAGATTCCTACCCTCCATCCCAGTAACTCTAGTCACAAAACAAGCTGTCACCATTAATTAGAAATTGTCTTAATGAACAGATCCCATCACTCAGCCATTTTCTTGTGGACTGCAGCAGGCAGCCGGTGGTAGTTAAAGTACATTGAACTGAGCAGGCTGCCTGTGGGTAGGGCTTCTCTTTGGGCCCTTATGGAATCATTTGCCTTTGAGTTAAAATCCTTTTCAGAATCTCATGAATAGTTTCTTACATTTCCAGCTCATCCTCCATGGACATCAGTTACCTGGATCATTAGAGGTAGAATCTTCTTGGCCAGAAAAGAAATCCTGTTCACTGCACAGGTCGTGCAACAGAAGGCTTAATTGATCAAGGTTTTCATTGCTTTTATTCAATGAGGTTTGGAACATGAGAGGCCAAAAATGAGGAGCACATTTTGGGGAATCCTCTATAAAGAATATAAGTTAAGAAAGTTGTCCAAGATGAAAATAATAGGAAATTACCCCAACTCATGCCAGTTGGGTCTTAAGAAATGTCCTTGATGGCAGGCTTGAAGAAAAGATGTCACAGATTAGCGTCTTCCCAGAGTGTGAATAGGGCACGTTCTCCTACATGCAAACACACATGCGCACACACACAATACCCTTACACACATACCCCAGCTTCTATGAGTAAAACTTGCTGTTGCTGACTCTCTTCTCTCTTAACCTGAAATAAAACAGATTTCACCATCAGCAGTGGGCCATGAGAAATGGGCTGCGTGCTGAACTCTGTAACATTTCTCTTTCTGTACATTTGCCAGTCATTCATAGCTGGATGGTATAGGGCTGAGTGTCAGAGAGGCAGACTCCAAGTTCCTGGTAAGACGTTGAGACTCAGAGAGGTTAAATCTCCTCAATGGTAAAACAGAGTAAGAGCTACTCTGCAGGCTGACATGAAGATTCAATGAGAATAATGTGAGTAAGGGAGGCAGCACAGTTTCTCGTTGGTGGCTACTATTAGGATTTTTGTCTGGATGATTCTTTCTTAGAAGATTTAGACATATTATGAAACACTTGGCAACCCCGGCCGCCCCGCACCCCATTACATGCCTGTAGCACAACCACAAGCATCCCTGTTGGGGGATCTTGACCCAGTCTAGAGCCGCTGGACTAGCCCATTCTTGGAAACACAATAAGTACTCCTTAAAAGTCAGTGGTCATCATTTATTTTCGCTATTAAATTGAAGTGTCCTTCTAGAGGAAACAGTTCTACTTAGGGGAAGTGGCAAGCGCCTAAGGTATTACTGTAGGTTAATTTCTAGAACAAAGAGAACTAGAGTCAAGGGTGCCAAAGGATTTTTTGTTTGTTTGTTTGTTTGTTTGTTTGACAGAGTCTCCCTCTGGTGCCCAGGCTGGAGTGCAATGGTGTGATCTCGGCTCACTGCAACCTCTGCCTCCCAGGTTGAAATGATTCTCCTGCCTCAGCCTCCCAAGTAGCTGGGATTACAGGCGCCCACGACCATGCCCAGCTAATTTTTGTATTTTTAGTAGAGACAGGGTTTCTCCATGTTGGGCACGCTGGTCTTGAACTCCTGACCTCAGGTGATCCAACCTCCTCAGCCTCCCAAAGTGCTGGGATTACAGGCATGAGCCACCATGCCTGGCCTGTGAGCCACCATGCCCGGCCAAGGATTTCTGAAGAAAGCAACTCAGAGGGCTTTCCAGAAGCCTGGCCCGTGGTGCCCATCATCACCGTGCCTAGAGACCCCCCAAAAGTTTTTGCAGGTGGAGGGGCTGACCTACCTCTTGTTGCATTTCTCCTGGTACAGCTGGAGCTGGTTCTCATTAACACTGAACTCTTTAACCAGGGCATCCCGGTTGGCATTGCGCAAGTTCTGGTGTGTGTCATACAGAAAGAGCTGGTTGTTCAGTTCTTCTTGCCGCCTCCTCAGCTGGCGACAGGAGGAGTAAAGTTCCTCTTCGCTCTCCTGGAGGATGCAGGGGAGAGAACAACCATGTGGTGACTACACCTTCCAAACCAAAATGTGAACCTGGCATCTCACAAGCATGCCCAAAGGGAGCATGGGGCAGAAGTTTTGCAACTTGGATTAGCCCAGAAGAGCCAGGGCCTATTTTAACCAAAGAAAGATAAAACACAATTATTTATTGTGTGGGAAGCAAGCAGTTTAAAAAGTGCTTGGTCTTTACACTGTTGATTTATTGCAAAACATTGAAATAATGACTGCATTTCCTGTAGATCCTATTTCTTAATCTAACCCGGTTTTCCTTTGGTCTACATGTCACCTTCTGGCCTTTACCTGACTGCAAAAGTGTCTAAGCAGCTGCACGCTTAAAGTGGAACCCAGCAGAGGAGAAAAAAACAGCATGACATGAGAACTAAAAGGCAGGCAGGAGGCAGATAATTTAAAATCTTTTAAGGGCCTTAAAAGGCAAGGTAACAAGCTGCAAGGTGGATGAACCTTGAAAACATTATGCTAAGTGAATGAGCCCAACTCTAAAAGATCACAAATCACACGATGCCATTTATATGAAGTGTCCAGAACTAGCAAAATCACAGAGACAAAGTAGGTTAAAGGTCACCGGGGTCTGGGGGATGGAGTGAGTGGCAGCAGCTAATGAGCGTGAGGTTTCTTTTTGGGTGTTGGAAATGTTCTAAAATTGATTGTGGCCATGACTGTACAACACGTAATAGGCTATAAACCATTGAATTGTACACTTTAAATGAGTGATTATATGATATGTGGTTATATGAATTATCTCTCAAAGCTGTTACCCAAAAAAGCCAAGGTATCATAAATTACATCTTGCAGAGATGGGCATGTGCCTCACCTGTAGCCAGTAATGATTTCTACTTCCCCCACCAGTACAACCTCCAGGCACATGACCCAAGCAAGGCCAACTAGACGCATCCGTGGGACTTTCGTTGGTGCTCTTGGTAGAGTTTCTTTTCTTGGGATCAGCTGAAAGAGTAAGTGTGGTCCTGTCATGGCCACGTTGCTATTGAGTCAAGAAGTTTGGAATGTGCCAGAAAAAGAGGAAAACAGCCACTGAGTGAGCACAGAGATTCAGCCATGACTGAAACAAGACCTACCCCTAAACTTTTCAGTTGCAGGAACCAAAATAGTCCATTACGCTAGGGGAGAAAAAAAGACAAAAGCCACTCAGGGTAGGGAGTTTGGGTTTCAATGCAGGGGGAGGATGAGGATGTTTTGCCTCATCTGTTTCAGAGGATCCCTGACTACTCTGTGAAGCTTGGCTTTGCAGGAGGGTCAAGTCAATTGGCCTTTCCCGATGGAGTTCAAGTGAAAGACTCCTGTGCTACAAAAACATCTGTTGAGGTGCACAAACAAGATCCTTTGTCATTTACTTTTAGAAAAACACGGACTCAGACCATACTCTGCAAGGTTTTTTCCTCCTTTAATGACCTAACAAAACAGTCCCCAGGGTAACAGCTGGAACTGTGACTTTGGAGAAGGGGGACAGAAGATGATTATTCCAGCTGTTTGCAAAGGTTGAAGAGTAAGCAGAGGTAAAATGGGCTGTCCTTGGTGATTAAGTGAATGTATCAAGTGAGGCATTGGGAAGAGTCAGTAATGACTTCACTTAGTAATGACTTTCCTCCCTATTAAGAATAAAGCATATTAAAAAGTCAGGAAACAATAGATGCTGGCGAGGCTGTGGAGAAATAGGAACACTTTTACACTGTCGGTGGGAATGAAAATTAGTTCAACCATTGTGGAAGACAGTATGGTGGTTCCTCAAGGATCTAGAACCAGCAATACCATTTGACCCAGCAATCCCATTACTGGGTATGTACCCAAAGGAATATAAATCATTCTACTATAAAGACCCACGCACATGTAAGTTTACTGCAGCACCATGTACAACAGCAAAGACATGGAACCAACCCAAATGCCCATCAGTGATAGACTAGATAAAGAAAATGTGGTACATATACACCATGGAATACTATGCAGCCACAAAAATGAATGAAGTAATGTCCTTTGCAGGGACATGGATGAAGCTGGAAGCCATCATCCTCAGCCAGCAAACTAACACAGGAATGGAAAACCAAATACCATATGTTCTCACTCATAAGTGGGAGTTGAACAATGAGGACACAGGGAGGGCAACAACACACACCATGGCTAGTTGGCGGATGGGGAATGCATGTGGGACTTAAAACCTAGATGACAGGTTGACGAGTACAGCAAACCACCATGGCACACGTATACCTATGTAACAAACCTACACGTCCTGCACTTGTATCCTGGAACTTAAAGTAAAATTTTACAGAATAAAGTTCAGAGAAAAGGAAAAAGAAAAGAAAAGAATCAAGTCGCCGGGCGCAGTGCCTCAGGCATGTAATCCCCAGCACTTTGGGAGGCTGAGGTGGGAGGATTGCTTGACCAGGAGTTCAAGACCAGCCTGGGCAACATAGCGGGACCCTGTTACTATAAAAAATGAAAGAAATTAGCCAGGCATGGTGGCATACCCTGTACTCCCAGCTATTCAGGAGGCTGAGAGGGTAAGATCACATGAGCCCAGGAGGTTAAGGCTGCAGTGAGCCACGATCATGCCACTGTACTCCAGCCTGGGCAAGACAATGAGACCCTGTCTCAAAAAATAAAGCAAAATGAAAACCCCATTTAAGTCTTAATACTATACCATGAAAGGTCTCTCTTTCCCTTTTCTGCACCTAGAAGAAAATGGCTTCTGTTGTTTTATTCTATATAATGGGTATTTGTTATTCGGGCGCAAGTTCAAAATTCACCTTTTCTATGAATGCTTCTATAACTGCAACCCTTTATCACCTTTCCTGAGTGCCAAAATATTTGCAGCTATATTACATACTGTAGTCCTGGGTACACTGTATATATATGAGATATAATGCACATTCAGAAAAGAACGTAAAAGATAGAAACAGTTTAGTGAATAACTCTACAGCAAATGAACCAGCCCTCTTGACTTGAGGAACCACCACTCTAGTCAAGAGAAAGCATTTTGTGATACTTATTTCCTGGATTTCTTTTGAGTCTGAGTTTTCACTTAAAAATTTAGTTTGTTTTATTAGAAAATGAAGCTTTTGGTAATAAGTTTTACCTGGCCTGAGACAAAATCTTTATGGCACTCTCTGCCTTTAGTTTTTCTCCTGTTTGTTGGGGGGAAAAATACACAAAAAAATAAAGTTTTTCCCCCACCAATACCTTTTAAATTGTTTTATGTTGGAAGCTTAAGCTTACAAAAAAGGTACAGTAATAGTACAATGTTCTCACATACCCCAACCACCTAGACTCCACAGTGTTAACATCTCGCACAACCACAGTACAAGTATCAAAACTAAGAAATTAATATCGGTGCAATACTAAAACTACAGATCTTATTCATATTTCACTGGGTTTTCCACCAGTCTCCTTTTCCTGTTCCCACATCCAATCCGGGATCCCACAGAACCTTTAGTCATTGTGCTGCCTTAGTCTCCTACAATCTGTATGGTTTCCTCATTCCTCCCTCAGGACACTTTGGAAGAATACTAGTCAGTTATTTTGTATGAATGTCCAGCAACTTTTGTCTGGTGTCTTCTTATAATTTGTTTGAGGCGATGCAGTTTTGGCAAGAATGTCACAGAAGCAATGTACCCTTCTCAGCGTCTCACCTCAGGAAGTACGTGATTTCAACCTGCCTTATTCCAGGTGGTTGGTAACGTTGATCATCTGATTAAGATGGTAGCTGCAGGGTCTATCCGCTGTAAAGCTGCTATTTTTGTCTTTCTAATTGATAAATTTCTTGGCGGAAGACACTTTTGGGACAATGGAAATATATTTCTCCTCCAACTTTCATTTTGCATTCATCAGTAGGTCTTACTGCAGCAGTTAGTACTATGCTGTTTCAATAGTGATTTTCTAGTTCCCTCATTCCTTCTACATTTATTAATCAGAATTCATTTGTAAGGAAGAGCTATCTCTTCTCTGTCATGTATTCATTCATTCACAGACATGTGGCTATTTCATTCTGTGTGCTAGAATCTGATATTATCATTATTTTGCTATGCAAATGGTTCCAGCTGTGGCCATTGGGAGCGCTCCCTGGTTGGTTCCTAGGCCCCTTTGATGTGCTTCCACCATTTTTTCAGCACTTCTTTATTTACTGAAATGTTAAGATGCTCCAGGTCCTTTTTATATTTTATTTATCCCATGTCTGGAAATCAACCACTTGTCTAAGGAGCCCTGATTTCTTTTTATTGGCATATGATATTTAGCAATATCTGGAATTGAGAATCCAATGACTGGGGTGTCATAAGTTCTAGGCACTCAGCAGAGTGAGCTAGGATATGTATGTATTTGTAGTAACATGTAAACACACACATTTATTCATCTACGTGTGAATATATATATATAAATATATATGTAACTTGAGTTTATATTGATACCTCCAATTCCAATCCAACATTAATTTTGGAAGGGTTGGTATAAATTTCTACTTGTTCACATGGTGTTTTGTTTTTTAATAAGATTTTATGTTTTTTTCTTATATAAGTTCTGTACCTTTATTTAAATTACTCCTAAATGTGTTATGGTTTTTGTCAGTATCACAAATGGGATGTCCCATTTGTCCCTTCCTCCCACACCACATTTCTGTTTGTTACTTCTAGAACAGACAGAAGTGGTTACGTTCAATAAATACAAGAAAAATAAACATCAGTCTCTTTAAAATTGAAGTCTTCCTGTTTTGTAAACTATACAATCAGAATTTGTACAGTTTAAATTTGTATACAATAGAGATCACTCGACCTTTTTTCTAAAATTATACTGATTATTTCATTTGGCTGTTTACATTTATGGCATCTACTAGTTTATGCTTTTTTCATATTTAATTTGTTGCTAACTGTGCTGGTGTTAAACCATCCTTGCATTCCAGAATAAATGCTTAGTTGTAATATATTGCTCTTCTAGTAAACAGCTGGATATTTGCTATTTTTTGAAGTTTAACATCTATATTCACACATGACATTGGTCTACGGCTGAATGAGGTTAGGGGAAAGCTAGGAGTACTATCTTTCTCCAGTTTTGATATGAAAGTTGTATAGCTTCAAGACAGAAGAAGGATTTCCATTGTTCTTCTTACTTTGGTGGAGTGAAATTGGAATTACGTTATTTAAATGAAGACAAAACTAAGCTATAAAACCATCTAGATCCTAAACCTGTTTTATCTAATAGGTGTTTTAACTTTTCTACTGCTTTTCAGAACAATTTTAGCCTATTTACATTCTTTAAGGTAATCATCCATTTGCTGTAGTTTATTATTTGGGGTTCAGTCTCCTTTCCAGTATTTACTCTTACATGTTTTTCCTCTTTATTCTTTTATTAAGTAGGCAAAGAGTTTAACTGGTCTTTTGAGGGCTGGACACAGTGGCTGACACGTGTAATTCCAGCACTTGGGGAGGCTAAGGCAGGAGGATCTGAGAGCAGCCTAGGCAGCAAAGCAGGGCCCTGTCTCCACACACACACACAAATTTTAAATTAGCCAGGCATGGTGGCATATGCCTGTAGTCCCAGCTACTCAGGAAGATCACTTGAGCCCAGGAGGTCAAGGCTGCAGTGAGCCATGATCACACCACTGTATTCCAGGCTGGGTGACAGAAAAAAACACTGTCTCAAAACAAAATTTGGCCTTTTTGATAAACCAGAATGTTTTATTCTTTTTATCCTTTTATTTTTATTTGTGTTTTATTCAGTTGGTTTCTATCTCTTTTATTCCTTTGTTCTATTTTATTGGTGTTTTAAAAGTTCTGAAGATGAATACTTAGTAGTACATACGTCTTCATTCTTTGTGAAGTTTTAAGGCAAGCACTTTCCTCTTCTAAATGTAACTATGGCATAAATGTTTTACTTTCTAAGTAATTTACTTGTTTTAGTATATTTAGAAAATTATTATCTTCAAATTGTGAGCAATTTTGCCATCTTTTTGTGTCTTTTGAATCTAGTCCAGTTACAGCCAATGACTTAGGAAATCATTATTTTTAAAAAATGTATTAAAGTTTTCTAACGAATGCAATCAAATTTATGAAGTTTGAGACAGAAGAAAATAGTGTATGTTATCCATTTGTAGGACACAAAGTTGTATATTTCTTAAGGCAAATTATTTTGATATTATGTCTTTGCTGATTTCTTATATACAAGACTTTCCAAATTCTGAAAGATTTTTTCTTTATACAGTTGTCTTTGTATATGTAGGAATTTTTGTCTTATATACTTAGGTACTATGCTATTTGCTAATGACTTTTATATCCCTTTAGAAAACAAGCATTTTATCATCACATATTGTTCGTCTTAATACACTGTAGTACTTCTGATCGTAAATTCTAGATTGATGTTAACTTTTCCTTCCCAATTTTCCCAGTAACTCTTCCATCCATTCCTATTTGTTTTATTTACCTTGCCTTTAGGCCTCTTGTTGTAAACACTGCAGGTAGATTTCTTTTCTAATAGGAGGATTCAGCCTATTCACCAAATTAAATGTAAGTTCTTATCCATTTCACTTCAATTACTACACATTTTACCTTGCTTTAACTTATTCTGATTCTTTACATTATTTTTACTCTCTTGGTCAAGTTTATGTTGATCTCCTTTTTTCCTCCTTATTTCTTGTCTGTTTTTCAATTCTGACAGTGGTTACCCTCAGTCTAACAATGCTAACTAAAATCACAGTTTCCTTTAACATCAGATGTAGCATTAAATCTCCCTCTGCAGTATAGTTTATTTACTGACTGATTCCCTAGTCGTCAAAGTTGAAATAACCTTTAGCATACCTTTATTTTACCTTTCCATGCCTTTGCTTTGTTGATACTTGATTATTTTTTAGCTTTTGATTGTCATTTTTTATCATGGTATATTTCTTCCAATTCAAAAATCCTTATTTGATATTTACCATGACAAAATTTTTATCACACTGTCATCATCCTGTAAGATGTAACTGTACTGCAAAATTAATTATTCACTGGTTTCCCTCTCTTCACCTCCCTATCTAAAAGTTTTCTTTTCTGACTAAAATAATCATCGATTCAGGGGCTGCCTCAAGATTTCCCTTGAGTAGGATACATGATATATCTAAAATATTGCATACCTTGAAATTCCTTGACATGTCGGGGGCTGGACACTGAATTATTCCGTCTTCCTAGTCCACATTCTACCCACTTTGGGAGTCTTTTAGTTTTCAGCACCAAAGAGGACAAGTCTGATATTAGACTTATTCAGTTTCCTTTATACACAACTAGTGTGCTGGAAGTCCAGGTTTTTAAATTTATCCTTGGAACTTAACATTTTTACTGAAATATTACTGAGGGTATGGATGTGTTTTCTATTCATCTCACCTGCAACCAAGTGGGCCCTCAGAAGCAGCAGATTAGAGAAACACTTCCTTTATTCGCTATTTCATTAATAGCTCTCCACCGTCTGTTTAACTTTGTCCTTTGGGACATGCTTTCATATTAGGTCCTTGGCATCTGTCCTCCCAGCCCACCTTTTCCTTTCTTTCCATCTCATGGTGGGGTTGCCCTAGATTGTGAGACTTTTCCTTCACATTATCTTTGGTGTCACTAATGCAGATCTCTTTATATACTGAATTTTTTAATGCAACAAATCAGGTCTATTCTCTGAATTCCAGAAAGCTTTCTCCAGTGCTCTCCTTGGATGTCTTTGAAAGATCCTATGAGTTATGTGTTACAGTTCTCATCATCTGAGGTTTCCACTGGCTCAGTTTCAACTGCCAGCCATCTATTCCAGGTGTGTACCTTAGTCTGTCTTCCTCTTTTTCCACTGCATGCTCATGGTTTTGTGTGTTCAGTAGTCATGTCACACTCTTGGGTCATGGATGTTAAACACAGCAGTTTTTGCTCTTTGGAGCCAGCATTAGGCAAACTGACCAACTTTAGCTGATGAGGCATAAGGAGGGCCTTTGTGTCCCTCCAGGTCTCCCCAGGTGTAAGGAAATCTTTCCCAACCTCAAAAACCAGGACCAGCTCAGTGCCAGAGTGCAGCTCCCAGTCCTGGACCTCCAGGATTCTAAAGTGTGCAATCTTCTACAAAGGGATTCAAGCATCTGCTCTAGGATAAGCCTTAATCTAGTGCACAACATCCTGGGTTTTCTTCCACTCTAAAGAAGGGCCTCTCCACCCCTTGCAGGTTAGCTCCTACCCAGCACAAAACAGAACCCAGTCCACCCAGGATCAGTACTAAACAGGTCGTGGGGCAGCCAGTTTTCTCAAATGTGCCCTCCAGAAATGGCCAGTTTGCCCATGGAAGATGATGACTATTTAAGCTTTCCTATTTTCCCCAGTCCCATTCTTCGGGATCTCACCATGTTAAATCATTCCAGTGGAGGCCTATTCCAGTTAATGGCAAGATGGGATATAATACGACAACTTAGGAGAAACTATTTACTTGCAGAGAACAATTTGACATGCAGATAAAAATACATGGTCCTTTTTTCTTTGATTTATTATTCCATTGCTAAATATCTAGCCTTGGGAAATAATTTTTAATCAGAAAATATTACATGAAGACCTATATTATTTATAAAGTAAAGAACTGCCAACGACTTGACTCTCCGTTAGTAGGAGCATAAGTGAATTAGGGACCCATACCTGATGAAACAGGCATCAATGGCTTTGAAAATCATTTAAAGTCGTCTGTGAAGTAGAAAAGGGCACCTGTATGAATCTGACTATGGAAATATCATATACAAAAAATCATAAGGCAATGGAAATCTACCAAGATGGTAACGGTCGTTAGATACAGGCTATCTGGGGGACTCTTTTCAACTCCCCCACCTTTCTTACATCTTAAATAAAATACAGTAGGTAATAAAATGGTGCTAAAAATACTCTTTATAAACTAAACAAACATACTGCTAGCAAAGTAAAGGACTGCGACTTGATAAAGTAATTGTGACATGTAAATGGCTTCTTCAGAAGGTGTGTAAAGTGCTTATTGACAGTTTTCTGGGGCTGTAAACTCTATCTCAGCAAAGGTTTTATGAGTAAACTCCATCTTAGCCCTTACTGGATCAATCATTTGCTCAGAAAAGTCTGCATTGAGGCTGTTTACCAGAGTTTCTCCCTGGCTTCCAGAGGATATGGTGATAAATAAAAGGTATGACCGTGGGCATTAAGGAGAAAGCCCAGGTCTACCGAATGCAATTCAGCTCGGCTTCCAAGAGCGACTCTTCATCCCAGTGTGGACAGAAATGCCGAGCTGCACCTGTGAGTGGCACAGAACCAGGTGACAGATGTGGAATTAAATGAAATCTCAAGACCTAGCAGCTGAACTAAAGAAAACTTTCAGAAAGCAGATTTGTGAGCGTCGACTTTCCATTTAGAACCCCACACAACGCCCCTGGCTCCCTACAGTGGCAGCCCCGGCATTAAGCTTCCCTCATCAAGGAAGTCAAATCTGCATCAACACAATTTTCTTTTAAATATACTAATTTTCTCTGCTGCTGGTGATACCTAATCACTTAAATTATTTATAATGTTTCCGGTTGTTTACAACAGCCTTGCAGAGCAGCGGGCCTAGGCAAATGCTGCCCTACCACAATCTAAAACCATTTTTATCACTTGACTTTTCTGTGAAGTGTCTGCGGAGGGGTTTTATGTATAGAGAGAAGCAGCACTGGTTCCCTTTCCCCGGGCAATAGATGCACAAATCCCAGATCTTCAGTGAGCTGGGGAGGGATAAGCTTCACTAAGCAAAGGGTCTGCTTCACTAAGCAAAGGGTCTTCATGCTCACTGGTTTAAGGCTTCTGCTAAAGCCCAGGTTTTACAGTTTTACCATTCAGCTAAATTAATTGATCCCACTAATTCTATATCTGAGTATTGATCCTAAGGAAAGAATTCTGGCGTAAAGGAGGAAAAAGGTACTCACCTAAAGCTGTGCATGATCGCCTTATTTGTAAATGGATTCCATCTAAATGCTCAGCTTGGGGGGTGATTAATTTATGGTCATTCTACTTGATTGGAGGCTATCAGACTTTTTGATAGGATTCCTAAAGATGCACTGGCACCAAAAAGCATCCAGAAAGGATGAGTCTATCTAGGAAGGCATCATCTGGCCTGGCTCTTGCTGAAGTGAAACTATGGGGAACTTACAAGTACCGGCACCCTTTCCTACACTGCCTACACAGAATCACACAGCATTCTCCAGGAAAGGAGGATGCTGGGAGGGAAAACCCAGGACACTCTGGGGAATTAGCAAAAAGGAATTCTTGTATGATGTCTCATGCTTGGGCTAGACAATTCTGAATGGGCTTAAGTCCATCTGCCAATTGTATTCACGGGCCGTTTCTACCCTCACCAGCAGGCATAGCTCAGGGAACCCTTAACTGGTGTTTCTCCACTCACCAGGACTGGCCGCATCTCACAGAAAACCAGGAGGGAAGCCAGCTCTATGTCCTCGCTGTACCCATTCTTCAGAGGAACGGACCTGAATCCTGAAGCAGAACAAGGAGGAAAATGCAAAGGCAGGTAATTAATGTCAGACCTTAGATTTTTTTTGGAGGCTACCTCGGGATCATAGGCCTAGTTCAAAGGGTAGAGAAGTCAGTGCCCCATGCTGGGGGCTGACTTTGTGGAAGCCAGAGGTCCTATCCTGATGGTTAGGGACAGAGGCCGGCAGCCATGACTGACTGGTCCATACAGGGAAGCAAGGTTAAAAATATCTACCATCTAGAAATAAAAATGATTCACTCAGAAGAAATTAAAACCCACAGAACATTCCACATTGAGTGTAGTGATTGCAGCTGTGGTTCAATTCCTTAAATACTCCTGAGACCAAAAGAGTAGTGAATCCTCATCCATTTCCTCCACTTACAGCCTTACAAAGCACAGGACCAGGGAGTGTGTTTTATCTTTAAAGATTTCCAATGGGAGGAAATCTTTCTGTCCCTTAGTAGTTCATAGCAGTATTGATCTTCCTCCTCCTAAAGCCATTCCCTCTTTACAATTAGGACCTGTCTTTCACAGTCATTTAAATGTTTCTTTTTATTTGGGGCTGAGGGGGGCAAGTTGGAGCCGAATCTCCCCCACCCCCATTCAGTAATGTTTAAGGCAACACATCTCAAAGGTTGGTTTGCTGGCTTGTTTTAGTATAAAAGAACACAGGGCTGAAACAGAACGGTCACTCCCACCCAATCCTCCTCTCTGTCCTAAAAGGAACCATGGTTAACAGTATCTTTCCCAAGATTGCCTATGCATATGTTTGAGTTGCTTTTAATCACAAATGATAGTGCCTTACCCAGTTAGCATTGTATCTCAGAGATGGTTTCTGTGGTCCTAGTTTGTCTTGAAAGCATTTATATCATATCTACTGATTCTCCAAGTAATGCCCAAAATAGGACACTCCCACTGTTTCCTCTGTGCCTTCCACCATTCAGATTTTGGGCTTATTTCTCTTGGAACATTTTATACTCTCAGTTGCTTTATCACCTTCAAACAATATCCACTGAATCTCTCACTTTCCGCTGCTTATGAAGAGGAAGGTCACATTCTTACACAAACCTGTTCCTTTTCTCTCCCCAATTTCTCCTTTTACACCCCTAAGGTGTATTGTCATTTCTGTATGGACATGGTATATAATATTTGCATTCCATTTTGTAACCATAATTCTCCCACAAAGGGAGGCTTATGTTTTTCTGGCATTTTAATATAAAATTCTTAAACATACAGCAACACTAAAAAAAATTACAAGGATTACTTGTATACCCACCACCTAGATTGTACGAAACTTTTACTCTACAGTTGGCCCTTGATATCTATGGGGGACTCGTTCAGGACCTCCCCAGATACCAAAATCCTTGGAGGCTCAAGTCCCTGATATAAAATGACATAGTTGGCCAAGTACGGTGGCTCATGCCTGTAATCCTAGCACTTGGGGAGGGCAAGGCAGGAGGATCACTTGAAGCCAGGAATTCAAGACTAGCCTAGGCAACATAGCAAGACCCCCATCTCTACAAGAAATAAAATAAAATAAAAAATTTAGCTGGGCACAGTGATGCACACCTGTAGTCCCAGCTACTAGGAAGACTGAGGCAGGAGGATTGCTTGAGCCCAGGAGTCTGAGGCTGCCATGAGCTATGATCACACAACACTGAATTTCAGCCTCAGTGACAGAGGGAAGACCTTGTCTCTAAATAATTAATTCAGTGGCGTAGTATTTGCATATAACCTATGCACATCCTCCCATATCCTTTAAATTAGATTACTTTAATACCCAAGACAATATAAATACTGTGTAAATAATCGTTATACTGTATTAAGGAATAAGAAAAAAGTCTGCATATGTTCGATACATAATGTTTTCAAAAATATTTTCAACCCAAGCTTGGTTGGTTGAGTCCACAGATCCAGAGGGCTGACTGTACTTGTTTTGTCATGGATTTATCTACCCATCAATCCATCTTATTTATGTATACAATTCAAAGTATGACAAAGACATCAATATACTTTCCCCAGCATGCATCTCACCACCCAGAGCTCAGTATTACTTTACAGTGTTCCTCTTCTGATACACAATTTTATACATAAGGAAATGTACAAATTTATATTTTTTAATGGCTGGATGCTCATCATCTTACTGAATTCCGTGGATGCCTTCATTGGCTAAATTTGTCCTCTTTTGTTCTCTTCAAAATGAGCCCATGGGACACAGAATTCCTGAGCTGTGCATGTTTGAGAGCATCCATCCTTTGATTTTATACTTGAGTGACAGTTTGAGGGGGTATAAAACCTGAATGTTTTATACCCACTCATTTCCTGGTAGGGTTTATGGGGACATTGCTCTCATTGAATATACTGCTGTAAAGAAGTTTTCTGACCTATTTTTCCCTATCGCTACAATGTGATTTTTGTTGCTAGTTTGTTTTTTGCCTTGATAGAGACTCAGAATTCTTGCAGACTAGCCCAGTGATATGCCAACATTAATGCAAATGTGAATCACCTGTGAATCTTGTTAAAATGCAGATTCTGACTTGGGAAGTCTGGGGTGAGGCCTGAGATTCTGCATCTCTAATGAGCTAATCTGTGGACATTGGTGAAGAAATCTATGTTATGGTTTGGCTCTGTGTCCCCACCCAAATCTCATGTTGAATTGTGATCTCCACTGTTGGAGCTGGGGCCGGGTGGGAGGTGACTGGATAATGGGGGTGGACTTCCCACTTGCTGTTCTCATGATAGTGAGTTCTCACGAGATGGGGTTGTTTAATAAAAGTGTGTAGTACCTCCCCCTTCACTAGCTCTCTTTTCCTCCTGCTGGCCATGTAAATATGTGCTTGTTCCCCTTCTACCAGGATTGTAAATTTCCTGAGGCCTCCCCAGAAACAAAAGCCTGTACAGCCTGCAGAACTGTGAGCCAATCAAACCTCTTTTCTTTATAAATTACCCAGTCTCAGGTATGTCTTTATAGCAGTGTGAGAACGGACTAATACAGTCTAGCTGCTGATTGACTGTTAGAATGAACTGGAATGACTGTTTGCTCCATGGCATTCCGGGAGGCTATCAGGTAGCCCCTACACTCCAATAGCATGGTTCCAGGCTGGACAGTACTATCTGACACTAGGCGTGTGCCTCTTAAATCGGAGACATGAGCTCTGCCCTCATGACCAGCTGTCTCCAGCTCTATGTACCTTCTCTCGCTGCCCAAGTCCCATTTTTATGCACTGGGCAGCCCTCCTTGTATAAAAAAAAAAAAAATAATTGTTTTTCTTCTTCTTGTTTCTAGTCATTTCACTGGGGAAAGGGAAATACAGACACCTTTTAAAGTAAGATCAATGCATCTGGCTTTGAGCACCCAGTGAGAGGGCAGCCTGCAGAGGAGGAACACGGGGTTCGAAATTAATTAGACATTCCTGGGTTTGAATCTCAGCTCTGGTCCTACAGGTGTGTGACCTTGAGCAAGTTAAGTCATAGTCTCTCGGCCTCAAAGTGCTCAGAATTTTAAAACCAAAGATAAAACCCCTTTCACAGGATTACTGTGAGGATTAAAAGAGAAAGAGTTTAAGGTACCTAACACAATAAAGGCTGCTGCTTTCCTTCCTGCGCTCCAACTGGTTTAAAAGCTTCAGTGCATCTCTAATGACAATGGGTGAAGTTTATTTTTTCAGTATGGAAGACCCTCAATGCCTCCTGTTCATTCTATTTCATTCCTCCCATGAATATGGATGTGCCAGGCACTGCTAGGAGCTAGAAAGAAGTGAGGAAAGGTCCCTGCTGAGAGTATCTCACAGTCGGGGGAGGAGAAGGTCACATTTTTAATCTCCCTTGAGGTTTTGACCTTTGTTTTTTCCAAATCTCCAAGCTAAGTCATTGCATTCTGCAGATGAATTGACACACTTTGATGCCCATTAAGGTAACGAGGTTTTATCATCAACTCTGACATCTCTGCAAGGCACTGGGAGGGGTTATGAGGCTCAAGGCCCTCATCCTTCAAGAGGACGTCGGGGTAACCAAGGGGTTTCAGCACAGCTGCCCCTCTCTGCTGGATGAGTTCAGTAGAGGAACTGGCAGGCAGTTACCATAAAAAGAAATCTGTTACAGCGTCAAGGCTAGGAACGTAAAGGTGTACCAAAAGCTACACTTCCTGCACCAGAAGAATTGGTGTCATTCCTAAGCCTTATTAGACTAATCTAAAAGAAGCAAATTAAGGAATCACAGCCCTGATCAGTGCCGGGTTTAAAGTAGTTTATAGGCCAGGCACAGTGGTTCACTCCTTTAATCCCATCACTTTTTTTCAGACCAACATGGCAAAACCCCGTCTCTACTAAAAATACAAAAATTAGCCAGATGTGGTAGTGTACACCTGTAGTCCCAGCTACTGAGGAGGCTGAGGCAGAGGTTACAGTGAGCCGAGATCACCCACTGCACTCCAGCCTGAGCGACAGAGCAAGACTCCATCTCAAAAAAAAAAAAGGGGGAGTTTACAGTGTGGGTGAGTTAACCCAGAAGGGTTGCCAAATATCAGGCCTCTTACAAATGAATACTCATTATTATTGCTAGAGTAGCAATGTTCATGAAAATGAACATTTCTAGAGTACAAAAAAAAAAAAAAATCAGAAACTTTAAACATTTTCCCAAAGTCTTGTTTCATCTAGTAACTTGCTAAGGAATTCATTTCCTCAATGGTAAGATAGGCAGCCTTGACATAGTTTGGTTCTGTCAAAGTGCCATCCAAGCACCATCTGGGGAGCTGCCTAAAGATGCAGATTCCTTGGCCCCACCCTGGGCTGACTCATCACCCTGTGGTGGGTCCAGGAACCTGCACTTTCTTCTGAGTCTTGCTCTGTCACCCAGGCTGGAGTGCAGTGGTGCAACCTCAGCCTTCCAAGTAGCTGGGATTATGATTACAGGAGTGAGCCACCGTGCCCGGCCAGCACCTGGATTTTCTAGCATGCCTGCTGCTCAGAAACTGGGCTCCTGCCCAGTAGCAGAAATGGTCAGGTTTATGATATTATACAAAAAAAGGTGGAAGTTGAGGGAATGTCTGAAAACAAAAAAGATCCAATTCAGCTCTTCATTGAGCCCCACGTTTCCAAACAATATCAAAAGACTGTATTTTTTTATGTAAGTAACTAAAATGACAGTCATCTTTCTCTTGAAAAATGATCCTCAGAAAACAAGGGAACAGTGACCTCTTGAGGAATCCAGAAGAATCTATGATCTCATATCTCATGCACCATGCATCAGAAATACTAAAGGAAGAGGAAGAAGGAAAATTCAACATCCAGCAAGGGCCTATTTGTCAAATATTATACCTAAAATCCAGTGGGAAAGATCCAGTGGGAAAGTAAACTAGAGAAACTATATAGAAGCTAAGGAGAGCCAGTTTTTTTTGTTTTTGTAAATGACTGGCTCTAGAAGCAGCAGGGTCCCAAATCCCCTCACCTGGAAGTGTCTATCTCAGCTGTGTAGGAAGGGCTCAGTCATCTGGGATTCAGCAGGGTTCTTAAGAGCTGGTCGTATGACCCAGCTTGGCTTGGTTGCAGAAAAATACAAAATGACCCTTCTTATACCATGAAGGGATCTTGTGTTTTCTTCAGCAGGGAAGAAAACTGTAACAACTCAAAGAAGTAAATTAACCCACCCAATTTTATAGAAGAAGAAGGTGAATTCTGAAGGGTTTGGGGAGTTGGACCCTCGAGATTGTTACTCCCCCCCCAAGATGCCAAAGGTCTCTCCCTTGCCACCCTCTCACACTGCCAGCCAGAGAGCAGGAGGGGGAGATCAAACCAGACTTAGCCCTAGCTAGGGAGAAGCAAACCGCATGTAATATTTCAAAATGAAATCAAACTGCAGTGCCAGGTTGAGGATCCACTAACAATCCAGTTTTGCTTGTAAACATCCCACTTTGAGGGGCATAGCCTCCCCTGTCACCCACTTCCTCCCACCTGTGTGCTACACGACAGGCTGTACACCTGCTCTCCAAGCCACCCAATCGGTTTTACAGTGATTCCATCCAAACCAGGAAAAATCATTTTTCATTCTTTTTGAAGCCAGCAGCCAAACCAAAGTACAACGCCAGCCCAAATCGAACATCTTAATTAAAATGCCTCTTACCTGATTTGACTGCTTTAATGGGGTAAGTGGCATGAGCAAGAAAGTTGGGATCGCTGAACATATCTTCTTCATAAACCACAAAGCGCAGAAATGCCAGGTTTGGGTCATAAATTTCAAATGTCACCTTCTCCTGTGTTGGAGCCCAGATAGGGCTGAGGCCATTATCATCTGGAAGGAGATCAAAGCTCATGAGAGGCCACATTGGAGCTGCCCCCTTCTGGTAAGACAATCTCCGCATCCTTCAGCTGTGAATCCCCTTAGCAACCATGTAAATAAATATGCATCTATGCCAAGATCTAAGAAAATCTGAATAATTATCTTCACTCCCCCACCCCACCTTGAGCAATCCTGGAAGCTGCTGTTGCAGGCTGGTCCCTTGGTGAGCAGAGGAAGGAGACCACCTCCCATCTCCCCGCCCCAGGATCAGGGACAAGGGAACGGGGGAGGTGTTTGTTTGCAGAGCAGGAAGGTGGATTTTGGAAAAGACAAAAGGGGAGGAGAGCCTGGGAGCCACATCCACCAGCAGGGGGTTCTACAGCTGGCAGGGGAGAGCCCAGCCTCACAGAGCAGGCAAGCAGCAATCCTGCCACTCTCCATAAATGCCAGTTTATTTGGTCAGCATCTGAGTTGTTCATTGGGCTACTTTTTACCAGGGGCAAGGATCCTGTGCTTTAGAAGGCCCACCAATCACGGTTCCCTCCTGGCTTTTCCTGGAAGAGCAAGCATTCCTCTTGTCCCTCCTGCCCTCTAGGGGCTAAGATCTCCCAGGTTAGGCTGATCCTCTGGGTCAGGTCAGCCACGTAGGTTCACCCCCTCTCTCTGTGTCTCTGCCTCTTGGCCTTTGACTCAGGAGATTAATCAGATTGGGCTGTTGCACAGAGAGGACCAACCTAGTGTCAGGGCCTCACCTACGATTCCGGACTTGAGTTACAGGCAGGCAAACAGCACTGGGGAAAGTCTAAGGATTTCAGAAAGTGGCCCTTTGTATGTATCCCCTCCTCAAGCTGAACCATGTGGGCAAGAGGGAGGAAAGAAAACCCTGGGACAACTAAAGAGCATTGCAAAATCCCCCACGAAGAGCACTCCCACAAAGGATTCACTGGCCGGACGTTTAAAAGCAGAGGGGCCAAGGTGACTGACTTACTCACAACCGTCGTCTTGAACTTGTTGTTGTCATACTCGGCTCCACAGATCTCCACTTCTACAAAGGGACAGGCAATACTTCGTCCAAGTTTGGGGAGATGGCGAGCACCGAGAACCTGGGACACCAAAGGGAAGCATTGGAACCCCCCTGGGGTCCTGAACAGGCAGCCTAGCGTGGATTGCAGCTGGGTTCTAGAGTGACACTGGATGAGTTCAATGCCAGCCCTAATTTTCCTAGATTCACTGGAAAAGCCGGAGCAACCTTCTGCAGTGGATGAAGGTGGACTGTGGTAGATCCCACAGTTCCTCAGCATCAGCCTGGGTCTCGGCCCCATATGCCACCTGACTCAACAGGTAAAACTCACCTGAGCTCATGAATGCACACATCCATGCCCAAGCAGGTGCCTCTGATCAAGGCAGAGCTTAATCACTGGATTTCCACACCCCTAGGAAAGGCTGAGGAACAGTGTGGCATTCTTTTTATAACTGCTGTTTATTTAAAGGCCTGTGTTTACGTATGCTTCTTCCCCCTACCACCCGCCCGCCCTTAACCTTAGGAGAAATGCAATTCATTTCTCTACTTTTCAAAAATTCTTACAAAGCAACAACACTTTCTCTGAAAGTCAGATGAATTTTAAAAAGCCCTGGAATTGGACAAAGTAAGGGAAAAAACTTCTCCATTAAGACCAAATGGCTGTTTCCCATGTTTTCTTTCTCTTTCCGGCCAGAGGCTGACCTCACCAGGACCCCAGAAAGATAGGGTCATACCTCACCCCCACAGAGGACAAGGGGAAGTGGGTTTGAGGAGGTTTCCCCTCTCTTCCCTCTTCTCCCAGAACGACCCCGGAGTGTACTGTAAGAAAGAAAGATCCTCAAACACTGCCTGAATGGGGATCGTTTAAACAAGACAACCAGCCTCCCTAGACATGGGTTCCCTGCTCTCAAGACAGCATCGGCCCAGCCCCCAGGGAGGGCGGCTGGCTCCCCTGGCAGGAAGGGAGGGCTGGCTTTACCTTGACTGTCAGCGTCATCAGGATCTTCCTCTGGGACTCGGGTGGCATCGGGTCATATTTCTCTGTCCTCATGCTCTCAGGCTGCAGAACGTAGCCCGTGCGCCCATTGAGAGAAAACAATGCGTGATTCATCTGCATGTACTTATCTGGGAAGGAAAGTGAACGCCTGCTGTAAGTCAGGCATGAGCACGCTGGCCCCCTAGGCCAGGAGTTTCTAGGTGGGGAATGAATTTCACCTTTTCCCCAAATTAATGTGAGGCAGCTGTTCAAATAGGTATCTCACTCAAAGAAAATATAGGGTTTCTAGACAGCAAACTCCCAGACTGGGGAACACCTTTCCAAGTATGTCACCAAATCCCGAATCATAAAAGAAAAGATTCAAACTTGCTAAAAGTGTCTATGTAGCAATAAATTGCATAGGCAATTTTAATTCAAATGACAAATATGTGAATATAAATTTTTAACCTCTTAGTTCTGATACATCTATGCTATAAATACCTACTGCAGTAGATACATCAGGTAAGAAGCACAAATAGTTCCCAGAAAAGAAAATGCCACTGCTCCCTAAATGAGGGAAAAACTGGTTAATGTCCCTTACAAGAAGAAGCTCTAATGGACGACGATGTATCAGTTTTCACCTCTCAGTTGTGCAAACGGCAAAAAGTTCAACAAAACTCAGCGAAGTCATACCAAAAGAGCGTACTCCAACCTCCACCTATTTGCATCCCCGCCCACGATCTCTATGGAGGGCAGTTTGGCAGTGTGGCTTAGCTCAGGCACGTCTTCAGTGGTTTTCCTCAGGGCAAAGTTGATCAAAATGCAAGCGCTGTTTGACCCACCCTGCCTTTCTGAGAATTCTGTCCCATAGACATATTCCTACATCTGTGGAATGGCGCTCACGTCAGGGTACAGAAGGCAGTGCTGTCTATGACAGCAAATAATGGGGAATACCTACATGTGCCTCCACGGGGACTTATTAAATAAATGATTGTTCCATTCTGTGGAATCCGATGTGGCTATAAAAAGAATGTAAAGGAGGCTACTGATGAATAGATCCCTCGAAAGAGGTCTTAAATAACAACAACAAAAGCACAAAGCCCCGTGATTTATGCGATCACTTTGTGTCCAGAAGTTTGTGTATGTTAGTTATGCCAGCATGTAAATGTCTCTGGAAGAAAGTCTGAGCAGAAAGCCCTCACACAGCAACAGGCCTGGAGAAGAGAACTCCAAAGATGCTTTAATTACATGAACTAATGCATTTTCTTTTTCTAAGCCAGACTAACTCAGCCTCTGTCACTTACTTACAATCACGAAGCCTGCGTAAGCCAAGCAGCCTTCGGTCCTCTCATCCCTCCATTCAGCTGCTGGACCTCATACTAACCATTACTCTGCTGAACCGTGCAGTCCCTCGGACAAATCACTCATTCTTGGACACCACATGGTATCGCTGACCCAAGGTGACTCGGCCTGGAGTGACTGCAACCGCCACCTTGCAGGGACGGGACTACCTTCAGTCGGCCTTTACCTGCCGTCTGGAAATTGAGTGCCACCATCTGAGAACCGCACAGCCAGAGGCGGAAGGGGTCGTAGTTTGAAGAGTCAACTCTTTGTCCCTTTGGGTAGACGCGGGTCAGGCCCTTTTGATTGTACTTCAGGAGGTCGACGGGCTTCTGTCTGATGATGCTGTCAGCCTTCGTCTCCACAAAGGAGCGGATTTCTCGGAAGTCAGGATTTTCTGCACACAGAGAAAAAGGTCATCAGTACTTCTGTGTCTCATCTGTGCATTTTCTTAATGTTTGCTGCAATGGCTGGATGCTCAGATTATAAAAGGAAACCAGGAATCTCCCTCTTTGACATTCAAGGGGTTCTGATGATATTGTCCCAATTGGTATCACTGTGGACTCTTGCCCTCTGGGGGTTCCAAGTATTAAAAAGGGGCCTAGTTTTCCCACCACCTTTTAGGCTAGAATTACTGTAATTTACTTTTTTTTTTAAACTATCACCATCCTTGAACAAGAAAACACAAAAGTGGTACAGTTATAGAAGAGGGAGAATGGGAATGGTTTTGGGTAGGAGAAGATCTTGGGAGGGGAAGATCCAGAGAGACCACAGACACAAGATGAACAAACTGAGAATCACCTGCCAAAGCCCACAGGTAGGGTTGCAATGTGGGTGCCTGTGCAGGGAAGGGAGAACAGGAGGAGAGGGAAGGGGACAGGCCTCATCTTCTCTCCCATCCAGCTGTGGTGGGATAGCCCGGCAGTCAACATGCTGAGCCTGCTGAGTCCCTGAAGGTAGAAGTTCCTAGGGACTGGCCTCCCGGTAAGTTAACTGAGGGGTCTAGTATTGTCTGGCTGGTCTTCTGTTCTAAGATGAAAGATATGGAAGCAGCTCAAAACACCCAAAGAAAAAAATACGTACAGCATCATCAAAAAGCTTGCTACCTGGAGAATGTGGTAGAAGGTCTTTTTTTTTTTAAATGGCCCCCAAAGATGTCCAGGCCCTAATATCTGGAGCCTGTGCATGTCACTTTATATGGCAGAACAGACTTTGCAGGTGTGATTAAGGAGCTTGAAATGGGAGGCTTATTCTGGAATATCCAGGTGGACCTAATGCATCACAAGGGTCCTTATAATAGGGAAGCAGAAGAGGAGAAGGCCAAGGAATGCCAGCAGCCCCCAGAAACTGGAAGAAGGGAATGGCTTTCCCCTCCGGAGGGAGCACAGCCCTGCTGGCACCCTGATGTTGACCTCATGATACTGATTTCAGACTCTGGCCTCCAGGACTGTGCAAGAATAAATGTTGTTTTCAGCCACCAAGTTTGTGGTAATGGCAGTAAGAACTAAATCCACCCACTAAGTGGGTGATATGGTTTGGCTGTGTCCCCACCCAAATCTCACCTTGAATTGTAGCTCCCATAATTCCCACGTGTTATGGGAGGGACCCGATAGGAGATAATTGAATCATGGGGGTGGTTTCCCCTGTACCGTTGTTGTGGTACTGAATAAGTCTCGCGAGATCTGATGGTTTTATAAGGGTTTCCCCTTTCACTTGCTTCTCATTCTCTCTCCTCTGCTGCCATAATTGTGAGGCCTCCTCCACGTGGAACTGTGAGTCCATTAAACCTCTTTTTCCTTATAAATTACTCAGTCTTGGGTATGTCTTTATCAGCAGCATGAAAATGGACTAATACACCAAAAAAGCTTCTGCCACCAGCTCCCTCACTCGGAGGACAAACCCAAGGTGGGGCCATCTACTGGGAGTAGTTAAGAATGAGAGAATGCACTCTCTGCCCCCTCTGAAAATATCAGACTCTAAAGGAAGTTAAGTTTTCATTGGAGTTATAGGGCATGTTCTTGGGAAAGATGTTACCTAAGTTGTCCTTGGTTTTGCTGGTTGGTTTGCAGTAGACAACCAGGTCAGAGAGCTCGATGGCGATGGACTGGTTCTTCTCCCAGTACTTCATGTTGTTCTCCTGTTTGGAGTTCACTGTCTTTAGTGCCCGCCCCCGAGAAATCCCATCTTCCCAGCTCGCCCTGCATTTTTCCTCCTCCATCCCCACTTTGCTTTCTTGCACACTCGGATCTTTAATATGGTTGAATGTTTTCCTTTCCTGAAGACAACCCTGCCCCTCTCGTTTCTTCCTCTCACTGTGAAAATTCTCGACAAAGCTGTTTCCACGAGGTTTTGGTGTGCAGCTCAGTCCTGGCCACAGCCCTCAAATATAGGTGAGGTCAGGATGGAAGGGGGCTCTTCTCTGTCACCACCCCTCTGTCTTTAACTCTGCCTCCTGTCCCCTCCCCTAAAGCCACACTGTTAGAGTGTCTCAAATTCTAGTTCTTCAAATCCTCGGGGGCTCTGTGGACCCCAGCATCCTCGTCATAACTCTCTATCCCCTGCACCCTCAAAACCTGCACACCTGCTCCCCAGCTCTGACTGCCCATCAGGGCTCTGTCCAAGGGGACCACTACCCAGTGCCCAGGCCATGTGCCATGGACTCAGGAGGTACCTCCCTTCAGAAGACCCACCATCAAATCTAACTCCTTGCATGTAAGGATGAGCTTCTCACTTCACCCCAAAGCAGGCAACCCTGTTGGGCCTCCCCAAATTCTATCAGACTTTTATTGGCCAAGGGGGGACCTTGAGAGAATATTTAGATAATAATGGTGACTGTTTGGGGGGTGCTTAGCTCTAGCCGTCACAGGCTAAGCACTTGAGGGATATTACCTAAGTCAATCCACACCCTGACAGGGAGAATTATCTCCATTTAACAAAGAAGTTGAGTAGCCTGGGCAACAGAGTGAGACTCTGTCTCAAAAAAAAAAAACAAAAAACAGCATGACAATTACTCTCCAGGCCTGCAGCTGTCACCCCTCAAGCCATCTCAGAATGGGAAGTCACAATACAGTTGGTGAGGCTCTGGAAACCCACTAACTAGAAGGATTTTGTGACTGCCCTCTGCCATCAATGAGGTGGCTACAGACCGTGTAACAATGCGGGCACTTAGGGACAGGCAGAGGTCCTGGCAGTGACAAAGAGTTTATCCGCCGCTGGTTTCCCAAGAGTGGGATGGGGCCTTCTTCCTTTGCTCCCCAACACCAGCTCCGCAAAAGGGGTAGCTGTGCCCAGTGTGGGAACTCCGTCAACTCTACTGTCCCAGTTTTTTTACCCCTCAGATGTAATAACAGGACTTTAAAAATCATTCTCATGAAATCTCAGTAAATATAAAAACCAGTTAGAGAGGAATGCAGACCAAAGGCCGCCAACAGCAACCTTGAACAGCTCAGCTTCATTTCAGGAACCTTCACGCGGCAGGAGAGGAGGTGTGAGGCAGGGGAGAGACAGAGCCTTCTAGGGAAATAACACTTTTCCACATTAAGCAAAGTAGAGAGAGCTGGAGTGCACTATTTGGAGATTTTTTAAATAAACCTCAGGGTCGTGGCACCTCCCTGTGCCTCAGAGCTGTACTGTGGCATCAGAGACACTGGAGGGCAGAAGAGATGGTTTCACTGGGAAAGCCAGAAGGACAGCGCAGCTGGCTACAAGCTCATGGTTCCTCCCCCATGGCTGGTGGTGTGAAAAGCCATGGGAAGAATTAGGAGCCCTAGGGAAGGCCCCCAGGAGTTCCTGGGTCAGAGAAAGACGATGCCCCACCAGCGAGGGCACCCATGGACCAGTCCCCTCTGCAAAGTCTCCTAAAGAGGACACTTCCCTGCAGAAGAGTTGAGTGAGTCAAGGATCCTCTCGTGACCAGGGACTGGCCAAGATGTGAGGCCCTCCCAAGGGGAAAAAAATGACCTGGCCACTGGTGGGTGACTATCTTGGAGGAGAGACTCACTGACTCTAGCCAGAAGTCAGAGGGCACAAGAGGCCCCAGGAAGGCTTTAATCAGCCCTTTGGGTCAAGTTCTACCTTAGAAACAAATGGGTGCATGGGAAACCCTACAATTTCTTTCCAGTTCGGCAGCCACAAGAACAGACAGCCCTTACTCCATCATCGAAGACAGGGTGGCACTTTCCCATGTCGCTCTGATATAATGATAAGGCAGTGATTAAGTACTTGTGAGTTAGGAATTTGGCTCCTCATTTTGCAGACAAGGAAACTGAGGCCCAGAGAAGTGTGGTTACTTGCCCAGGGTCCAGCCCTGCCAGGATGCAAACTCCAGTCTGCCCAATTCCAGACCTCCTATTCTTATCCAGAAGCTCACACCTTCCCAAAACACTTCCAGCCAGAGACTAGTACTTCAGGTAGGACAGCCCTGAAAAGGTCACTCCCATCTAGAGGGGAAGTTCCTCCACCGGAAAGAACCGGGTCTCGCTGATTTGCTATGTTCCCAGAGCCCATTCCAGCTCCAGGCAGGTGAGCTCAGTGAACGTTTTCTGTCAGGAGGATCCAGACTGCTTTATATGATACTTAGAAAGAAAATATTCAAAATGAGGAAGGCAGTAACTTCCTTGGTAAGATATGTAGGGCCGCAAAGACATCATCAATGAGCATTGCTGCAGGCACTCAGCCTTCTGAAGGTTCGAACCAGACAACCAGACCCACCTTCCCAGGGCACCTCCACTATCCCTGCCTCTCTCTAACAAGAGGTGCTCCAATTGTCTGAATCCACCTGGTCTCCTTCCTGAATTCTGAGTAGGACCTGGGCCTGCTCATCCTGCTGCCTGGACCCACCCACAGTCCCAACTGAGCACCAAAGCCCTCAGAATGCCAGGCCCACCTGCACCCGGGTGAGCAGGTGCCTACCTTGGTGTCAATCTTCCAGGTGATCTCTCGGATGCTCTGAAACCACTCAAAGAGCTCCTCCACCCTGTCTGTGGCAAACTCCACCGGAGGATCGCCCTGCTGCTTGGGCTCCAGGATGAAGACAAAGGACTTCTGGTTTTTTCCCTGAGGGGCTTTCACTTGGGGTAAGAGAATAAGAAATGTCCCAATCAGCCTATTAGAGGGCCACAAAGACCAGACTGCACCCTGCCTGAGCTGTTTCTCTCATGGACCAACCACCACTGCTATGACCACGGTTAGCACTGATGGGGACGTCTACTTTCCATCGGGGTAAGTACACATCACAGATGACTACTCAAGGGATGCAGTAGATTCAGTAGGGTCCTCCGAAAAGATGTGTCAGGTCACCAGTACCTGTGAATGGGACCTTATAGGGTCGTTGCAGATGTACTTAGGTTAAGGATCTCAATATGAGATTATCCTGGATTTAGGGCAATTCCAACATCCAACAAGTATGAGTATCCTTATAAGAGAAAGGAGAGGGACACTTAAGATGCAGGAAAAAAAAACAAACATTAAAATGCATGAGAGAACCTGAAAAAAATACCCTCTTGTCCACTTTAGTTATAGACATGTGTTCGTCTTGATCAAAAGAAACACTGAATATCTTTTTGGTTGACCAATTAGAAAATGCTTTTTACACTCATCATAAATATTTTTTACAAATTACTAAAACAATACATGTTCATTTTAAAAATATTTAAAATATAGCTAAGCAACTTGGCATTTTTACAAAATGTTTACATACAATACATAAAATTTTGTGAACTGTTTCACTTAGCATATTGTGCATAATTTTCTATGTTGTTACATATAATCTTTTACATATAAAGAATAAATAATTTAAATGGCTTTTTTTTTTTTTTTTGAGACAGGGTGGCACTCTGTCACCCAGGCTGAAGTGCAGTGGTGCGATCTTGGCTCCCTGCAGCCTCCACCTTCCAAGTTCATGCGATCCTCCCACCTCAGCCTCCCTAGTAGCTGAGACCACAGGTGCACACCACAAAGCCTGGCTAATTTTTGTATTTTTTGTAGAGAGGGGTTTCGCCATGTTGCCCAGGGCTGGTCTCGAACTCCTGAGCTCAAGCGATCCACTCACCTTGGCCTCCCAAAGTGCTGGGATTACAGGAATGAGCCACCACACCCAGCTAAATGGCTTTAAAAACAGATGCAGACACAAGGGAGAAAGCCATGTGCAGGCAAATGTGGAGACTGAAGAATGCAGCCATGAGCCAAAAACACCAAAGAGTCACCAGAAACTAGGAGAGAAATGTGGCGTGGGTTCTCCAGACACAGAGAAAGGATCTTACAGAGAAGAAAAGATTATGACAGGGAAACTTATCTGCCAAATAATATTAGTAGCTAAGATTTCTGAGCTCTTATATACCAGGCAATATTCTAAGCAGATTACATGTATTGCATCTTTATTTTATTTTATTTTTTTAATTTTGAGCTCTTGCTACATTATCCAGGCTGGTCTCAAACTCTTGGGGCTCAAGGGATCCACCCACCTCAGCCTCCTGAGTAGCTGAGACTAAAGGCACCCTGCTTTTGCTAGGCCCATTTTGCAGGAGGCAAAACTGAGGCTCATTAAGAGAAAGTCACATGTGGAAAGTCATACAGCTAGTAGTAGTAAAACTGAGGCTCAGTTCAAACCTGACTCCAAGATTTCTACTCAGAACCAATGAGCCATGTGCCTCTGCTCTGCAGATACAGGGATGGGGGAAGATGATACAAAGAGCACCAGAAGTGGATGCAGGGATCCTGCACCCCCCTGCCCAAAGGACCTCAGCACATGTGGTGGTCGGTCACTTAGGACCTTGATTTTCCCATCTGGTAATCGGAGCAAAGAATCCCTCTCCTACCTATCCTGCTGGATCATTGTAAAGGTAAAGAAGCAGGTTATAAATGTGGAAAGCAGGCTGGGCATGGTGGCACATGCCTGTAATCCCAGCACTTTGGGAGGCTAAGGCAGGCAGATCACTTGAGGTCAGCAGTTTGAGACCAGCCTGGCCCACATGGCGAAACCCTAGCTCTACTAAAAATACAAAAATTAGCCAGGCACGGTGGCCCATGCCTGTAGTCCCGGCTACTCAGGAGGCTGAGGCAGGAGAATCACTTGAATCCAGGAGGCAGAGGTTGCAGTGAGCCAAGATCACGCCACTGCACTCCAGCCTGGGTGACACAGCGAGACTCTATCGCGAAAAGAAATAATAATAAATGAATGAATGTGTAAAGCAGAGCATTGGCAATAGAAGCAGGAAGTTCCTGGGGCTGCTGTCACCTGAGTCCTAGGGGAGCATGCCCGTGCCTGCCCAGGGAGGGTCATGGGCTGCCCAGAACAAGGAGGCCCGCTACAGAGTCCCTTCACATGGGAGCTGCACCACACCCACTTCAAAGCAGGCAGGCTCAAGACCCAGGAAACCCAGCACACATCAGACCCTGGCCACCACTGGACAAGCCTAGCCTTGGGGCCACGCCTTCACATCCCGTTGCAGCATGGTCAACGTGGGCGGGCTGGGTTTCCTGGGCCCCAGCCGAGCAACCAGGAAGCAGAGGTTCAAAGAGGAGAAGTGACAGGCCTGTAGTCTCACAGCGACAGAGAGGCAGAGCTGGGTTTAGAACCCAAGACTCCCAACTCCACGCTGCATTTCAGCCAGGCTGACAGCTCAGCTTTCCTTCGCAACGCATGGGAAACACAGATGGATCCTGAAATAATAAGAGTGACGCTGGTAATAATATCCGCTAACCACCATCTAGCACTTATGTACGAGACCTTGTTTTAGCACTTACAGTTTTAGTAGAGATTAATAGCAGACATAGCATCATACTCACTGACCAGCCTGACCTAAATACTCAGCTTCAGCCAGGGAAGGAGCTGGCATTCAAGACAGGACCCTGTGTCAGCCACCTCCCTGTGTAGGGCGGGGCTGAGGTCAGCCCATGGGGGATAGGGGTGGAAATCCAGGCTAAGATGATGTGTGCACGTACCGACGTTATAGGTATTGAGGTCCAATATTCCTCTGCAAAGAGACCCTAAGGGATTGTCTTCAATAATCTGTGAAGAAACAAGACATAACTCACGTTAGTTGTAACGGGAATAATAAAAAGAAAACCCGTTTCCAAAGCACACCGTTTAGCAGAGATACTGCCTGTGGAACTGTTTAAAATGCATTTTCATTACCAGATACGTCCATGGGGAGAGAGCTAAATAATGAAGCATGGAGCTGATAGGGACCTGGCGGGGAGAGGGTGCCAGGAGGTTCGGAGTTTCATTTTCCAATCCGTAAAAACGTGCCTTGTGAATTCTAGAACAGGTTTCATAATGCTTCCTCAGATCTGGTTTCCAAACACATCCTAGACTATTTATCTGACCTTATTAGAAAATGAGACTATTTTGCCTACTAAAGCCCGGCTCAAGAACCTTCTGTGGCTCCCCATGTCCTGTGGAAGCAACACCCATGCTCTATGACCTGGCTTTTAAGACTTTCAGAGCCCCCATCACCCTTTCCAGCTCTGCCTCCCATTGCACCCTTGAACCATCCCAGGGTCTGGCTGAGATGAAGAATATCCTGGGCTTAGGAGAGGTGGCAGAACCAGGCATCCACTCCTTGCCTGCACCACCCCAAACCCCACCCCCTGCACCAGGTAAATGCTGATGTACAGGTAAGGGCAACTCAGTACAGAGGAAGCAAGGGCTTCCAGTCTCTGCCTCAGCCCAAGCACACGGAACACAACCACATTCCCACTGCCACACCTTTGCTTAGACTGTACCTCCCACTTGCACCTCTCTTCTGCCAGTCTCTTGCTGTTGAACTCTAACTTGACTTTTAAGGGTCAAATACTCCTTCCTCCAGGAAGCCTTCCCAGATTGCCCTACATCCCTTAGAAAATAAACACCTGGGGGTCTAACGGGATCTTAAAATCCTCATTACAAAGATATCATCCTTGGTGGAGTGCTAGCACGCTGAAAGTGGCTGCTCTCTAAACAAGAGGCGGCGAGGGAACAACCACCAGGTTTGCAAAGTCACCAGGAAGGCCTCATCTCACCTCTGGTTAGGCCCACTTGCTTACTCGCCCCAAGCACGTTCTCAATGTCTGGCTGTCCAATATAAATGTGTTTCATCTGCAAGTTGCTTAAGCAAAGGACAAATTCCCCATTTGGTCACTTTCACTCCAGCGGGAATTCTCCTGCATAATGAAATCCTTCCAAGCCCAACACAACCTGATTAAAACACGGCCGGCTTGTCACAGCAACTCACCCACAACAACTCAATCTCAATTTCCCTATCATCACTGTGTCTTCCCTGATCCAGAGCTCCACAGAGACCACAAGCAGCACATGGAAAAATTCACCCACTGAGATGGCACAGCTCCCTGAAAAACTGGACCTGCAGATCCCTTCTTCCTGTAAGAGGATCGAAGAGGGGGACTCACCTGCTTTTCTAGCTCCTCGAAGTCTGCAGTTGAGATGTCCTCGACGTAGTTGGATGGGAAGTACTGCTGGATCCTGGTTCCATAGTCTCCTTTCCACCTGGATAAGAAGAGAGGACATGGGGGCGCTGTCACCAGGTGGCATGAATTACCCACTACTGCTCATCTGCACCCGGCTGCTGGCTCAATTCTGATGGGGACAGACAGCAAGTGGCCAAGTGACCAGTGTCACTATCTGTGACAATGGAGCATCTCAAAGGCAACTGCTGTCTTTTTATTTTTTAATTACTAATGAGTTACTGGGGGCTGATTTTACCCCCATCACATGATCTTAATGTTTAATCAAAGATCACAAGTCAAAAGTTTCCATGCTTTACGTGGAAGTCAGAGACCATACAAGACAAAAGTTCACCCCTATTTCGGGGAGGTTGTGAATTTAGAGAGAAGGTGGTTCTGGAGGCAGACAGGCTGGAATTAAACTCCAGCTCTACCACTGACGGTGGAGGCTTTCTGTGCCTCCAACTCTCCATCTGAAAAATGCATAAACGTGAGTGCTTCCCTCAGAGGGTTTTATTAGGACTCTAAATTAACATAAGCTGAGTGCTTGGGACAGCGCCTACCTAGTACACAGTAAATACTCAATAGTGTTAGCTCTTATTATTATTCAGCTAAAACATTGTTCCCTATCTTTATAACAACACTAACAACACGGGACATAATCCATCTATGAATGTTCCTGGACCCCACCAGACGGTGAGCACCTCTAAGATTCCTCCCGGCAAGGCCGTGCCCAGACATGCAAACGCCCTCCTTCAACCTGCCCATCTCTTGAGCTATTTTCCGCAGCCAGGGACTCTCCAAAATGCACCTCTGACCACACCACATGATGGCTCCCCAGGGCCTCCAGAATCCAGCCCAGACTCTTCAACATGGCAGCCACGGCCCAGCACAGTCTGACCCCAGGACTCCCAGACATCACCTCCTAACTCTCCATGATGTTGACTCCAGCTGGCCCGTCGTCCCTATCATGCCCCTGCCATGCTGCCTAGCTTCCATGCCTTGGCCCATGCCCTTGGTACCCAACTTCCCCCCACTAATTTAAGACTCAGCTTGGGCATTTCCTCTCCCACGGAGTCTTCCCTGACTGCCCCCTAGGCTGAGCACTCTTCCTCTGTGGTCCCCTGGCATCCTGTCCCCACAGTCATCCAAGCAGCCACATCTTATACTTAACGTATAATTATACATCTGTCTTCCCCTCTATATGATATCCTTCTGGATTTTTTTTTTTTTTTTTTTGAGACAGAGTCTCACTCTGTCCCCCAGGCTGGAGTGCATGGCACGATCTCAGCTCACTGCAACCTTCGCCTCCCAGGTTCAAGCAATTCTCCTGCCTCAGCCCCGCCAGTAGCTGGGATTATGGCATGGGCCACCATGCCTGGCTAATTTTTGTATTTTTAGTAGAGACAGGGTTTTACCAGGTTGGCCAGGCTGGTCTCAAACTCCTGACCTCAAGTGAGCCACCCGCCTCGGCCTCCCAAAGTGCTGGGATTACAGGCGCAAGTCACTGCACCCGGCTGACCTTTCTGGATCTTAATCAAGTCTGTGCTCCGTGGTGGTGGGAAGAACTTAACAATTTTTTGGTCTGAATAAGCAGAGTGAGGACTGATGCTACCAATTCACCTAGCAGAGACACAGGACTGCGGGTTGTAAGCCCTTTTCACGCCCCCCCGCACCATTTCTCCAGACCCACTTCTGGCAAGGGCTGGCTGTATTTACGGCGATCATATATACCATCTGTCCAGGACTGAGCACTTTACATTCTCTTCACTCTCAGGAGCATCTTGGTTCAGACAATAATTGTTTGGTCCCCTAGCTACAGGGAACCAGTTTGGAAGTATGCAAAAAAGCCGGTTTCACCCAGGCGGCCCCCTAGGTAGCACTACTGCCATCAGAGAGAGGAATTGACCACAGCCGCTGGGCGGTTTGCCCACAGTCCCTTGCCAAAGGGACTTCTGACAGTCTCTTAAGACAAGAGCCTTCGAAATTCAGAGAACTGCCTGTCAGAGGCATAGAAAGGCATGAGGCCATCTCACACAGAATGGAAAACCGTGATTTGGAGTAGTCACCTGGGCTCCAGCCACAACTCCAAAAATGTTGTTAGTCACCCACCCAGTGCGCACCAGGATGTTGACCAAGGCAGGGACAGGAGCCCAGTGAGGGAACGCCAGTGTGCCTGGAAGAGACCTCAACTCTGTGCCACTTCGAGTGGAGGGACTTCGGCAAAGCCGAGCCTCTGAACTGGGAGAAGCAGACGGACAACACTGTGGTTGCCCAACTGGGTCTGGGAGCCTCCAAGGGGAAGCATCAGAGGCTGCAGTAGGAACAGCAATGTCAGCAAGGAGGCCAAACAGGGCAATTCTACGCCCCCACTCCAGCTCAATGGGTAACTCGGCTGCATCTTTGATTCTGTGGAATCTAGGTATGAATTGGTTTGCAATGAGGTTCTCCTGATTTTAAGAAAAAGTTTGATAATCCCTGGATTAAGGCATCTTGCAAGAGGACAGGGAAGGACTTAGCAGATGAATGGAGTTAAGAGTGTAAGCTCTGGAGTCAAAAGGCCTGGCGGTTCAAATCTCAGCCTGCTATGTGGCCCTGGACAAGTGACTGCACTTCTGAAGGCTTCAGTTTCCTCATCGGTAAAATGCAGGTAACAACAGAACCAACCTTTTACAGTCATCATGTAGACTCAGTTATTTCAAATGAAGTGAGTTATTTCAAACGTGCTTAAAACAGTGCTTGACACATAGAAGCACTCCATGCATGCTGCTATTCAGATTCCTAAGCCAGGTCCAGTTATCTTGTGGGAGGCAGAAATGCCAGTCTATGAGGTGCTTAAACCAGTGCTCACTATTATGAGCAAGTTCTTATTGCTCTCAGACAGAAGTCACCCCACAAAACCACTTCCCCAGAAACCTATCAGTGGGCAGTGAATTTTTCTTCTAAGGTTAAAAAGCGAAGTGGTAACTAAACCCTAGCATACCCAGGTACCTTTGCACGAAAAACGTATTGTCTTCAATTCAGGATGTGGCCATTGCACACAGCACGGGACTATGGAACAGCATACGAATTTGAATTGGAAATAACACACAGTCTTGTGTATTGGAAAGCGCCTGCACTATTTAGTATTTAGTATTTATTTGTGTGACTTGGAAAGTCTCATTTGCCGCATCTTTTGTCACAGGGAGTAATGAAGATTTGGTTGAAGATTTGGTTAGACAATGCATGGAAAGCAATTAGCAGACTGCTTGCCACTTAGAAAGACTTCAATAAATGGTAGCTGCTGTTGTAATTATAATAATATACAATATATGATATGATATGTCGATACCTGTTAATATTGTTGTTTATCCATTTTCTCAAATAGAGCATGCACCAAGCCACCTTCCTAAGAAGGGACTTAACACAAGAGGTCAAAGCCAGCCCAGGATGACAAAGGGGGTCAGACTTGGCCAGCACCTGAGTCTTATCACCAAGAAGGGACAAGTCAAGCCCACCTGCCGAGCAGCCCAGCCTCCACTCAGCCTTACCAGCCCCCGGGCTCCTTGGAGACATTGTGGATGAGGGCACCACGGCAGAAGCTCAGCTCATCGCTTCGCTTGGCTTTGTAGTCATACAGAGCTTTCACGGTTCTCTGAGGCTTTCAGGGAAAACAAGAAGGAAAAGGTCAGGCCAGGGACAGGAGGGGAGGGAGGCGGCTGCGTTCCCAGGTACCATTTGGTTCTTCTCATTGGGGAGCAGGAGGCTTCAGGCCAAGGTTACAAAGTCATCTGCTGGAGAGGGACTGGCATTGCAAAGGATCGAAGGCCCCAAAAAGCCACCAGGGAGTGAAGGAGAACTGGCCTAGTCAGAGCCAAGGGTACCTGGGTTGGGGTTAAGGGTTAGGGGTTAGGAGTTAGGGTTTGGGGCTAGGGTTTAGCGCTGGGGTTAGGGTTAGGCTTAGGGTTAGGGTGGGAGTGACCCTATATTGTAGTGACACAATATTGCTCAATTTCCTCAACAAAGAAAGGACATGCCTTTTAGATTAAGCCAAGACTGTCATCACAGTGCCGGTGCTCAGCAAGCCTCCCAGAAGCTCAAGGGCAACCCCATTCTTCCTGCCTGTCCTGAGGGCCTCATTGCTCTGTTTTTGTAGGTCAGCAGTCCCCTATCTACACTCCTGCAGGACCCTGACATTTTGCAAGAGTAACTGAGCTTCTCCTCCATGAAATTCATCAAAAGGTGGTCTCTGTTCACAGAACTAAATAAGATAGAACTTCCTTGGTTAGAAATTTTCTTCAATGAATTTGCTTTCATGCTTTCTGCCTGGCGGGCATAAATGAACACCCACACGGCAAGCAAATGTTAGTGGGAAAAGCTCTGACGTTGTCAAACCTGTTTAAATGAGCAGCTTCCTTCTCCTCCCACCCAAAGGAAATGGGAACAGGAATTTCACAGGGAACCTAGTAAAATTTTTCCTCAGAACACAGGCTACAGAGTCAGATATGTAGGTTCAAATCATTGCTCTGCCCTTGAATAATGATATAAGTTTGAGTCTCTCTGATCCTCAGTTCCCCCGTCTGTGAAATGGGAATTAAATTTTTATATATTTCACAGGGTTGTTAAGACTACTAAATGAGATCATGTGTATAATGATAAAACTGACAACAGCTTGCACTTCTTAAGTGCTAACTATAGTATCGCTAAAGCATTATTCCAAGCCTTAAGGTATCTCCTTTAATCCTTAAGCAACCATAACAGGTAAGTAGTTATATGAGTATGCCCATTTTGCAGATGAGAAAACTGAGATGCAGAGAGAGAAAGTAATTTGCCCCACATCGACCAGCTGTTTTAAGTGGCTCAGCCCAGAACTGGATCCATCAATGTGAGTTAGTGCCATAGTGCATGATGTTTCATAAGAAGCAATGTGGGTTCTAGGAGCTCTGCCACAGGGATCTGCAGCTGGAGGCCAGAGGCTAAGCAGTACCCTTGCCTTTCTCTCCCCCACCTGCAAACAGAGCAGCCTCTACTTGCGTATCCTGCTTCAAGGGTGGATATAAGGACCAGCCAGTCTCCAAGGCCACAGGAAGGAAAAGTCATCAGTTAGAGAGGTGACTGTTCTCATCGCCAAAACATCCTTCACTACTAACAAAAGTTTTTGCTACTAAGGTCTCTTAATGCATTTCACACACAGCTCAATTTGCCCACAACTTTTCAAGATTTCATTTCTTTCTGAAACAGATCTGCATTGGCCATGGATTATAAATTTTTGAAAAAGAAAGTCATCTCTGGATTTCAACAGAGCCCACAAGCAGGGCCCCTTCCTAAGTGAGCGTTGTACACTAATTGTGTGCCACATGGCCCCCAAACAGAAAATTCGCTGTGGTTCTTCCTCTGCCGGCTCAAACTAAATTTGAGATGAAAGCATGGCAAGGAGGAGCCGAGGGCTGAAAGTAAAATCCATCCCTACCTGCATGAAATTACACAACAGAGTCAGGGTGGGAATATGAGATAGCATTTGCACTGCAAGGAGGTCAGTGAACCAAATGGAATTTATAAACACCACAGGCTCTGTCAGCGAGCCAAAAACATTTGAAAGACTTTTCATTAGAAGCCATTTGGCCCAAAGGTGGTTCGTCAAACCTCAGAATTTTAGCAAAACACTGTTGCATTTGGATGGAATTCTATTAACATTTTCCCTGAAACTAGGCTTGATATTATCAATCATCCTTTCTTCTCAAAAAAAAAAAAAAATTATTTTGGCCAGGTTTTCCAAAGTCTTCCCTTGCCCTGTTATAACTGCCATGGGAACAAGATGGAATCCACATCAGCCTCGTGACTCCAAAATCATGTGAATTGGAGGTTCGGCACCGTACCATGGACGGATTGATTTCACTGGGATCCACATACATTCTGCTGACGTCGTAGAGGGAGTTTATATCTCTTTCCTGGAAAAAAAAAGAAAGAAAGAAATGGAATAATCCATGCTCCTGGAATAGCCCTTACATATAACAAGGGTTCTAGGCTTCCTTATGGTTACCTATCCTTTGATAGAGGAGTTGAAACCTCATAGAATTTTCTTTTGGCCCATGAGTAGACACAGGAAGAAGCTATAAAGAAGGTCCCCAGACTTGGAAACTAACCCAAAATCAGAGAGGCCCTGTCCTGGCCTGCTGCGTGCCAGGCACTGCGTTCCTTTGTAAAAGCACAAATCCTAAGATGCGATGGTGTGCTGGAGTGACCTCCCGGCTCACAAAAGCCCACTGTGTACATCACTTCCTGACTCCACGTTCCAGGTTCAACGACAGCACATCAACAACTTGAAACTGACCTCCATGGAAGTATTTACACCATGGAAACTGGCAAATGCTACAAACCAGTGCCTTCCCCCTACCCCGCTGAGAGCTGTTTGAACATTTACTAGCACACCACTGACAAGATCCACCCCCACCACCTCTCTGTTCCTCTCTAACTCTTCTTTCTGTTCCTCATGTCACCTTAGGGCTTGTGATGTGGCCACTCCTGTACCTAGAGTCACCCCTTCATTCACTTCTCCCCAGATCCCATTCACTGCTATCTTCCATGTTTCGGCTCACATTTCTCCCCTTTTAAGGTGGCCTTCTCTGATCTCCACTCCCACAGCCTAAGGTAGTGTCCACCCCTTTTCACACTATCCTGTTTTCTTTGCTTTATTATATTTCATGCTACCTGAAAACATCTTAATTGTGTATATTATCTGTCTCTCCTCTCCAGAACCTAAATTTCCCAAAGCAGATTTTGTTCCACAGTACTCCTAGTATCTAGAACAGTCCTTGGCACATGATCGGGATGCCATAAATCTCTCTTCAATAAATTAATGATCTATGTGGTAGGAATGGAGACAAAGTAACCACATCAGGTCTCTCCTGCACCCAGAACTCTCCAATGACTCAGAGAAAAAGCCAGGGCCTTACAATGGCCTATGAGCCCCTGCATGATAAGTCACCTGTGAACCCTCATCCTTATTTAGCTCTACCCCCACCTGGGCTGGCTTGATTCCGGCCATGCTGACTTCCTCTTGGTGCCTCCAGGCAGGCTTCTACCTCAGGACCTTTGCGCATGCTATCCTCTCTTCCTCCAGAACATACCCACATGGCTCATTCCTTTTCAGTGAGATCTTCCTAGACCACCCTCTGAAAACTTCAACCCCTTCCCCATCACTCTGTATCCTCTTATCCACCTGCCCAGTGTTTTTCTCCATAGCACTCATCACCATCTGGCACATGCTATGGATATTTTAAATGTCATTTGTTGCATCTCCCCAACACTACACTATAAGCAGCACAACGGCAGGGTCTTTGTTGTGCTCAATTTGTATCCCCAGGACCTACAGCAGTATCAGATACATGGTGAATACTCAGAGGTTTGCTGAATTCATGAACAGATGAGTTACAACCTCAGACAAGAAATCCCACCAAATCACAAGGGAGTCCACCACCTACCATATTGTAGCGCTCCAGGAGCTCGGGGGTCACGGGGTAGCGCAGTCTCATCTTTCGGTAGAGTGAATGCTTCTCGTAGTAACTGACGAGCTCCACCAGACTCTCAAAATAGGCGGAGGTCCCCAGCACAAAGTGCCGGCCGTCCCGGTTGATGCGACAATGCTTTACCTTGCCCCTAGCCCTGGAGCAGGAAGAACACAGGGTTGACATGCCAAGATCCTGGTGGCCAAACAATTTTTACACAAACCCTACTGATTAGATACAACCTAGTTATCCAGCCTTAGAGAAGTGGGTAAATAAACAGGGTATAGTCCTCCTATGGAATACAAGACAATAAGAAAACAATGATGTGGGTATTTTCAAAACAGATCTAGAAGAATCTGTGTCTCAGAAGAAATATGGCCGAGTGACTCAACAGCTCCTCTTACCCTTCCTCTCCTCCCCAACTACAGGACTTGACTTTAGGAGCTTCCTAGGGAACTAGGTCAAGAGTAGGCCAAATGTGTCCCACCACCTGCTTTTATAAATAAAGCTTTATTGAAACACAGCTACAGTTCATTTGTTTATACATTGTCTGGGACTGTTTTCACACTGTAACAGCAGAGTTGTGTAGCTGCAACAGAGACCATATGGCCTGCAAAACCTAAAATATTCACTCTGTGGTCCTTCACAGAAAATGTTTGCCAATCCCCCCCACCTCAAAATTATTAAATCTTGTCTTCGGTGACTCAACTAGCAAAACAGTGACTTTTTTTAAAAAAAAAAAGAAACAAGTCTTTCATTCCTTCATCTGTTTGAAACATGAAGCAGAAAAAATCCAAAACAGAAGAGCCTCCTTGGTTTTATTAGCTTTTATCAGCAAGACAGAAACATCTGGAAAAATATTTTTGACCCTAAGTTTACAGCCAAGAGGGTCTTTTTAAAAATGTCTACCCCAAATAGCCAAAGCAATTTTGAGCAAAAATAACAAAGCTGCAGATAGCACACTATCTTACTTCAAAATATACTACAAAGCTATAGTAATAAAAATAGCACAACAGTGGCATAAAAACAGACACACAGACCAGTGGAACAGAATAGATAGCCAAGAAATAAATCCATGCATTTACAGTCAACTGATCTTCAATAAAGATGTCTAGAACACACCAGGGGGAAAGGACAGTCTGTTAAATAAGTAGGGTTGGGAAACCTAGATTTAAAAAAATTAAAAGAATTTTGAAATAAATTCCTATATAGAAATAATAGCAATTTCGAAAGAAGAAAACTAGACCATTATCTCACACCATAAACAAAAAAAGCAGCTCAAAATGGATTAAAGACTTAAACATAAGACCTGAAACTGTAAAACTACTAGAAGAAAACAGAGAGGAAAACCTCCGTAGCATTGGTCTGGGCAATTATTTTTCAGATATGACCCCAAAAGCACAGGCAACAAAAGTGAAAGTGGATAAATGGGATTTTATCAAACTAAGAGGCTTCTACATAGCCAAGGAAAGAATCAACAGAGTAAATAAACAACCTACAGAATGGGAAAAACATCTGCAAACTGAACATCTGGTAAGGGGTCAATATCCAAAATATATAAGGAAGTCAAACAGCTCAATAGTAAGAAAATAAATGACCCAATTTAAAAATGGACAAAGGCCGGGCGTGGTGGCTCACACCTGTAATTCCAGCACTTTGGGAGGCCAAGGCAGGCAGATCACTTGAGGTCAGGAGTTCGATACCAGCCTGGCCAACATGGTGAAACCCCGTCTCTACTAAAAATACAAAAAATTAGCTGGGCGCAGTGGCGGGCACCTGTAGTCCCAGCTACTCGGGAGGCTGAGGCAAGAGAATGGCGTGAACCCAGGAGGCGGAGCTTGCAGTGAGCTGAGATCACACCACTGCACTCCAGCCTGGGCAACAGAGCAAGACTCCATCTCAAAAAATAAAAAATTTTAAAAAATGGACAAAGGATCTGAATAGACATTTCTCAAAGGAAGATACATAAATGGCCAACAGTTACGTAAAAAATGTTCAGCATCACTAATCATCAGATAAATGCAAATTAAAACCACTATGAGATGTCACCTCACACCTGTTAGAATGGCTATTAGCTAAAGGAGAAGTGCTGGTGGGGATGTGGAGAAAAGGGGACCCCTGCACCTGGTGGGTGGGACTGTAAATTAGCATAGCCACTATGGAAAACAGTACAGAGGTTCCTCAAAAAATTAAAAATAGAACACCATGGGATCTAGCAATCCCACTTCTCGGTATATATCTGAAGGAAAGGAAATCAATATGTCAAAGAGAAAGCTGCACTCCCATGTTCATAGCACCATTCACCATAGCCAAGGTGTAGAATCAGCCTGCCCATCAACAGATAAATGGATAAAGAAAATGTGGTACATTTACATAATGGAATACCATTTGCTTTAAAAAAAAAAAAAAAAAAGGAAAGCCTGTCATTTGCAACAGCATGGATGAACCTGGAGGACATTGTGCTGTGTGAAATAAACCAGGCACAGAAAAACAAATACCACAGGATCTCATACGTGAAACCTAAAAAGGTTTAAACTCACGGAAGTGGAGAGTAGAATGGTGGTTACCAGGGTCCGGGGCAGGGGGAGGTAGGGAGTGTTGGGGATATGTTGGTCAAAGGATACAAAATTTCAGTTAGACAAGAGGAGTAAGTGCAAGAGATCTATGGTACAGCATAGGGACTATAGTCAATAACAAAGTCCTGGCCGGGCGTGGTGGCTCACACCTGTAATCCCAGCACTTTGGGAGGCCAAGGAGGGTGGATCACCAGAGGTCAGCAGTTCGATACCAGCCTGGCCAACATGGTGAAACCCCACCTTTACCAAAAATACAAAACTTAGCCAGGCATGGTGGTGCATGCCTGTAATCCCAGCTACTCAGGAGCCTGAGGCAGGAGACTCCCTTGAACCCAGGAGGTGCAGGTTGCAGTGAGCCAAGATCACGCCCCTGCACTCCAGACTGGGCAACAGAGCAAGACTCCATTTCAAAAAAAAAATATGTCCTGTATTCTTGAAAATTGCTGAGGGTAGACTTTAAGTCTCACCACACACAAAAAAAAAATGGTTAAGTGTGTGTATATGTTATTATCTCAATTTAGCCATTTCACCATGTATACATATTTCAAAACACCATGTTGTACATGATACATATAAACAACTTTTATTTGTCAATTAAATAAATTAGGAAAAGCATCTAGAGGCATCGTTTCTATGGGCATACTGCTCATTTAACAATTTTGCATGGCAGGGAAAAAAATCAAGAAAAGGCATTTTTTGCACTATAGAGAGACTTTTTGTTTTAAAATATTTATTTTTTTCTTTTTTTAAAAAACGTTGTTTTTTTTCTTTTTTTAAAAAAGGATTTCCAGTCTTTTGAAAAAAAAAATATATTGCTTTAAGCGATTTCGTCAAAAAGTCCTGTAAAAACAAAATGCTAGAAGACTTCTGCTTCAGTGGTTTATTTCCAGTGATATTTTATTAAATATTTATTCCTTCTAAAAAAACAGAGGAAAGAAAAGAAACACTGCTGAGTAGAAAAGCTGCAGAATGTTCCCATTTGTATTTTCTAAAAATAGAATGAAAATACCCAGACACAAAATGGCACCATATATTTTCCATAGATACAGACATGTATAAATATGTACATATTTTTTAAATGTCTGGATGGACACACCAGCTAGAAAACTGTGCTTTCTACCAGGACCTCTCTACTGAGATTAGAAGGACCACAGGGGGCTTTAGCCTTCACTGTAATGTCTTAATTTTTTATAGAGAGAATATCCTCCTGCAATATTCATGTAATTAAAAATTAATTTTAAAACTTTTTATAAGAGCTCCTCAGGGCAGGCAGGGGGGCTCTGGGGTGCCGAGGTACAGAGCCAAGGTCAGGTTCCGGCTCCTTCCACAGGGGACCCCTAAGCCTCAGCTTCCCGATCCACAGCATCGGGGATCCACAACCCGTCGCATGGGGAGCATTAGGATCATCGTCTATTAGCTTATTCAGGGTAAGCTGTCGGCACAGTGTCTGGCACTCAGGCAGGACTCAGTAAGTGAATGGTTTGGAAAACATAAATGAAATCAACCCACAACTAACTTCCCTGGGAGAAAAGAGAATCAGAAGGGGAGATGGGAACAGGTCTGGAATACGAGTTGCATCTTCCATCCTCCTGGAGCGTGGATGCCACGGCCACAGCCTGAGGTCTCAGCTTCACTGCCCAAGAGATGCCTTCCACCAATCACAGCCGGGCAACAACTCAACACTTCCTTTGTGGATTTGAAAGCAGGTGTTTCTCCTCTACTGGGGAAATCTATCCAGAAGTTCATTACACATCCCCAGAGCCCAGAACAGTGCCTGGCACAGGAGAGGCACTTTACAAATATGTAGAGGGCAAGGAGAAGTTGCTGCAGACCTGTGTTCCCCTACTGCCTGGTCCAAATTCCCCATCCGTTTCCCTGGAGAGCTACTCACCCTCCACCACCCTGCCTGACCAATCCCTTTGTAGCACTCATCACAAAATACTACACTGATTTCCTTATGTGCTCAAACCTCCTCAGTGCTTCTCAGTGAAGGACAGTGACGCTTCACCCCATACCCTGACCAGAGAGGGTTTGAAAAAGTGTGTGTCCTGGGGCAGGGATGTTATTTTTGATTGTTACAATGACTTAGGGTCCCAGACAGACATGCAGTGGGTAGAGACCAGGGAAGTTCAACATCCAAATACAACAGGATCAGTCCTCACACCCCAACTCTTTGAGAAACACTGTGTGGACTGAGCTTCCCTGACAGTGGGCCATGGGGTGAGGTGGGGAGCGGCCATCCTTGCTGATTGATTCACTGAGCCAGCATTCACCAACCACCAACTACATCCCAGCCAATGTTACATAAGCAGGAACAGGTCAAAAGCAAGAAACACTTGGAGTAAGGCGATGTCTCTCATCCCTGCCAGACCATTAGCCTGAGAGAGCAAGGACTGGGCTGTTTTTATCACTCCTGCATCTCTGGAGCCCAGCACAGGGCCCGGCACACAGTAGGTGCTCACCAAACATCTATTAACTTCTAAAAAATAAAAACTTCCATTCTCAAGACACCTCCAATCTCATGGGGAAGACAAGCTCACAAACTGAATGGGGCGTGTATGTAAGTCAGGCAATCAACCTGAGGACCCACCCAACCTCTTCATTCACGCGGTCCCATTGAAGTGACCCCAACCCCATCCCCAGATGGCCTGTCAGAATCATGCCACCTGGCTCAGGGAGGGGGCCATCCTTTCTGCCGGACACTGTCCTGGCAGCCCAAGGTACAGCCACCTGAGACAGAAGCTGATGGAGAGTAACGCCAGCATGCACATACAGGTGGCATCCTGACCATCATCAGGTGAGGCCCCGATCCGGTTGTGTCAGAGCTGTCTCACCGCTTGGGCACCTCAGTTTCAGCCAGTTGGGTTTAGTTGCCATCATTTGCACAGGATGACAGCACAGTGGGAGTGCCAACACCCCACCTGGGGCCTGGCACACAGCAGGTTTTCAATCCGTGTGCAGCGGACTGAACACACCTCCTCCCCATCCAGGCTGAGGAGGTACCACTAAGAGGCTTAGGGGAAAGAGCAAAGGGCAGAGGCACCAATGCTGAGAAGCCCAGGTCACCCTCTTGGGAACAGAGAGTACAGAAAAGCCATGCTGGTGGGAGGCTGCTCTCTGGCTGGAGCCAGTACACAGTAGGTCCTCAGTAAACTATAGTGATAATGACCGTCACCACGGTCCCCAGGGAGGTGGCTCAGGCATAGTGGTGCAGGCAAGGAGGAAGGGAAATCCAAACGCCCAGGGGGCAGCCTGGCAGGGTCACCAGGGGATGGGATCAGGGCAGAGGGAATGGGGAGAGGAGTGGACAGGGGCAAACCACACACCCCACAGTAGCTGCCATGCAGCCAGCACCACCGCGCCCATGTGGAAACACAGGCCCAGAGCATCCACTGCCTCCCATTTTTCACAAGAAGCAATCTGAGTTTTTCAGTGAAATTTCTCAGTTTTTCACATCAGTGTACAAAAGACGCCCACAGGCCTCTGGCTGGAGATTTGGCCCCCAGGCCTCTGGCTAGAGACTCTGGAGTGAAGAGCTTAGGCTTTGGAGACGGACAGGCCTGCATCTGAACCTCAAACTCAGTTGACTATGAGGCTGTGTGACTCCAGGCAGGTCACTTAACCTCTCTGGTCCTGTTTCCTCCCTTGCAATAACTAGACCTACCTCTCACAGGCTGTAGCAAAGGATTCAATCAGATGAGGCCTTGAAGGCAGTCCAGTGTCTAGAACACGGTTAGGAACTCAACATATAGCAGACTGTTACCACCGTAAGAACATGCAGGGAAACCCTGGGGCTGGGGAGATGGAGGGACAGTAGGCTACACGGAGTCTGAGTCACTCCTCGGCTCCTTGTCATTAGTGGAAGTGGGAGAATCTGGCGTTTTGGGGTAACATTAGAGAACCACAGGCCTAGAGGTGGTTGGGCAGCAGCTGCAGTTGGGAGGAAACCAGATCTATATCATCACAGGCCTGGGCTGCCTGGGCTGTCTGGGCTCGAATCCCAGCCCCACCACTTAGTGGCTGCATGCTTCAGCAAGTTACTTAATCTTGCTGTGCCTCAGTTTCCTCCTCTGAGAAACACGGATCATGGTCATGTCAACCCCACAGAGTTACTGGAAGCCAAAGTGAGTTACTACAGAACATCCTGCCCTGGAGAACGCAGACTGTGCCTGGCACGCAGGAGCGCACATTCTCGCAGCGGCTTTTGCTGTGGTGGTTGTTGTTGTCGCTGATGCTGGGGGGGCAGGGCACTGCAGGTGAGCCTCCACCTGAAGTTCCCCCTTGTCTCTCCGCATCTGTCCTTGCCAAGCCCCTCTGTAGAGCATGTGCCTCCCACCCTCGCACCCACCTGAAGGTGATGGCATAGGAGTCGCTCCCCTCTCGCTTCCGGATCAGGAAGGCCCCGTCCCGGGGAATCCTCATCAGCATGTCCTCTGCCTCTCCGCGGCTCAGGCTGTCATAGTACCACCTGCGGCACAGGGCCAGGGAAAACGACCAGGTGAGCGGTCTCCAGGCTGTCAGTGGGCCACCCGCAGAGGACAAGATAATGGCACCAGTGACACCTGGAACCTGGCCCTGGAAACGACCATGGAAATCACACAGTGGGCTTCCCCAGACAAAGGCACCTCAGCAAAGAGAATTTGTGAAAAGAATAGTGGAAGACCCCAGGGGTCTGTTTCAAGCCCAAAATAATACATTGGGCCGAGCACAGTGGTTCACACCTGAAATCCCAGCACTTTGGGAGGCTGAGGCAGGAGGATCACTTGGGGTCAGGAGTTTGAGACCAGCCTGGCCAACACAATGAGACCCCCATCTCTATAAAAAATAAAATAGCCTGGGCACAGTGGCTCACGCCTGTAATCCCAGCACTTTGGGAGGCCAAGGCAGGTGGATCGCGAGAAGCCAGGAGTTCAAGACCAGCCTGACCAACATGGCGAAACTCTGTCTCTACTAAAAATACAAAAATTGGGCCAGGCGTGGTGGCTCACGCCTGTAATCCCAGCACTTTGGGAGGTTGAGGCGGGTGGATCATGAGGTCAGGAGATCGAGATCATCCTGGCTAACACGGTGAAACCCTGTCTCTACTAAAAATACAAAAAATTAGCCAGGCATGGTGGCAGGCGCCTGTAGTCCCAGCTACTCAGGAGGCTGAGGCAGGAGAATCACTTGAACCCAGGAGGCAAAGGTTGCAGTGAGCCGAGATCATGCCACTGCACTCTAGCCTAGGCAACAGAATGTGACTCTGTCCCAAAAAAAAAAAAAAAAAAAAAAAAAGGAAATACAAAAATTAGCCAGGCCCAGTGGCGTGCGCCTATAATACCAGCTACTCAGGAGGCTGAGGCACAAGAATCTCTTGAACCTGGGAGGCAGAGGTTGCAGTGAGCTGAGATCGTGCCATTGCACTCCAGCCTGGGAGACAGAGCGAGACCCGGTCTCAAAATTAATTAATTAATTAATTAATTAATTAGCTGGGCACAGTGGCACACACCTGCAGTCCCAGATAGGAGGCTGAGGTGGGAGGATCACTTGAGCCCAGGAGCTCGAGGCTGCTGCGAGACGTGATTGTTCCACTGCACTCCAGCCTGGGCAACAGAGCAACACCTTGTCTCAAAAAATTGATTCATCTTCATCCACCCAAGCAGCCCAAACCTGAAAAGCCAGGCTCCCAGGGAGGCACAGTTATTGCCACGTGTCTCAGAAAATCGAAGACGGAGATCACAGCAGGAGTTTCACAAGGTTTTGGGTTGTTTTCGGGTTATTTCTTAAGATAAGAAATAGCAAGTTTTAAGAGGCAATCCATAGGAAAATGTGACAGAAAAAGTGAAAAAAAAAGTTGCTATAAGTAATACGGCCTCCTCGGAAATGGACATTTTTGCAGCTTTCTGCCTAAAAATTGTTTTTTCTTTATTCCCAGAATTTGTTGACCCTTCGCAAGACCTACCTTGATACTCATTTCACTAGATAAAAAAAATCAGCGGGAGACTCTTATAATCATTGTTTCCTTGTTCATTTTCAGAACAAACAGGAAGGAGCTCTGAAAGGTAAGAGAATATCCCCAGGCCAAAATGACCCTCTGAAAATCAAAGCCCAAAGTCTCGGGGCTATGAAGACAAAGTAGAAGAAAGGGAAAAGAGAAAAGGGGAGGAAAGAAAGAAAAGAGAAAAGGACACAGGTCATGGTGCCAGGAATTTGGAAACTGGCCACCTCGGCAATTTTGAGATGCCGGTGGGCTGGGGAGAGGGTGTCCTGGGGGACTGGCCCGGCTGAACCACCAGGCCAGCTTCTCTGCCTGGTGGAGCTAACCCGACCACCGCCTGCCTCCTGCTCCACCCTCAGACACGTACGGCTTGGACTCGTGGGGGTTGGGGTTGGGCACAGGGTCCGTGAGCCGCAGCTCGAACTCGGCGCAGCGCAGGTGCGTCTCGCGGTAGTGCTGGATGAGGGCATAGATGCTGCTGAAGGTGAGGTTGTCAGTCAAGTAGTATTTCAGGGTCCCGCCCTCCATGGTGGAGCGGATCCGGCAGTGCTGGACCCGGCCTGACCGCCTGCGGGGAGAGGACGCCATCAGTGCTGGGAGAACGCAGGCCAGGCCATTGCGGCAGCCAGGGCCTCAGAGGCGGGGACATTACATGTGGCCACACAACCTTCCCTCTGCTCCTAGAACAGACACAGGAGGCTGGGCGCAGTGGCTCATGCCTGTAATCCCAGCACTTTGGGAGGCCGAGACGGGTGGATCACCTGAGATTAGGAGTTCCAGACCAGCCTGGCCAATACAGTGAAATCTCGTCTCTACTAAAAATACAAAAATTAGCTGGGCATGGTGGTGCATGCCTGTAATCCCAGCTACTTGGGAGGCTGAGGCAAGAGAATCACTTGTACCTGGGAGACGAAGGTTGCAGTGAGCCGAGATCACGCCACTGCACTCCAGCCTGGGCGACAGAGCGAGACTCCATCTCAACAACAACAACAACAAAACCAGATGCAGGGCCTTAGTATAGGCTAGACCCTCAGCCTGGATTCCAGAACATTCTACCTACTTCCCCCACCCCACCCCACCCCATCCCCCTTTTATATATATAACTGCTTCTCTAGAGCCAGGATGCCTGGATTCAAATCCCAGCTCTGCCACATATGAACCAAGTGTCCTGGAGCAGGTCACCCGTGCTGTCTGAGCCACACTGTATTACTACCCCAGCGGTCTGACAGGAATGATAACAGTATCCACCTCAAAGAGGCATCCTGAAGAGTAAACGAGACCACACACACAAGGTGTCTCGAATACTGCCCAGCACATGGTAAGCATCATTTAGGTGTCCAGGATTATTTGCGTGTTATTAGTATTCTAATTTTCAGCCAGGTGCAATGGCTTACAGCTGTAATCCTAGCACTTCAGGAGGCCGAAGCCAGAGGATTGCTTGAGCTGAGTTCAAAACCAGCCTGGGCAACGTAGTGAGACTCCAGCTCTACAAAAAATTTAAAAGTTATTCAGGTGTCGTGGCATGTGCCTGTAGTCCCAGCTACTTAAATGGCTGAGATAGGAGGGTTGCTTGAGCCCAGGAGTTTGAGGCTGCAGTGACTGAGACTGCTCCATTGTACTACAGCCTAGGCAACAGAGCAAGACCCTATCACAATTTTTTTTTAAGTGACAGAATTATAATTTCCCTCTTTCAGGTCTCATCTTCTTTCAGGAAGGTTTTCCTAACCATTCCCCACGTCAGGGCATCAGAGCCTTCCTCACAGACTTTCACAAATCCCCCCAACTCACATTAAACCCCCCCAATAAAGGGAGGGATGTCCCTTTATGTTGCCTTGTTTCATTGCACTCATCACAACTATACTTGCAAATCATTTGAGTGACTGCTTTTTCATTGCCCATCTCCTTCAAAAGACGCTAGTGTCCAGGAGGACAAAGACATTGTCTGTCTGGCATAAGTACTGTGTCTAGCACAGGGCACGCCCTCAAGAAGTATCTTTTAATGCACTGAGACATGGATAAGTGGGTGGATGAATGAATGCACAAGCTCATCACAGCCTATGACGGCTTCAAAAGGACAGCCCTAGAGTCCTCGTTTTATGGAGGAGACAGAGATGCTAGAAGGTTGGCTGAATCATCCAGAGCCACATGACCCACTCCAGGGCTGGGATCGGGGAAAGTGAGTGAGACCACATCATCTAAGAGTAGGGTCAGATCTTGTCTTTGTTTAAAATGTTCATATTTTGTTCATCACAGACTTTTTTGCATTACTTTTGATTTTTTAAAAGATTGCCCTGAAATCTCATTAATCTGGGTTACAGTGCCGAAGTGAGTCATACCCACCTCACCCTTGTCCCGGCCTAGAAGAGCTAGACAAATGAAGCCTGGGATTCAGGTCCCAGCCTGCCCAATTCCTGCCTGAGCTAGAACCACTCGCCACCCTGCCTCATCGGTTGGCATGGAGAAGAAGGTAGGCGTTCCCTGGGTCGGGGGCATTACCAGAAGGACAGGGTGTAGTCATTGGGGAAGGTCTCGCTCTCCCGAACCAGGAAGGTGCCATCCTTGCCCCCCGTCTCCATGCAGTATTCCTGCAGCAACTTCTCGGCACTCGTCCTCTTCTCCACCTTCTTGTGGAACCATTTCTCCCCAAAATGTAGTTCTGTAGGGGGTATATCCTGGGCCGCAAAGAGAGGAGGGGTTTCTGAAAGCCTTGGACCAAACCCCAGCATCACTAGACAGGTCCTTCTGTCTCACCCTGACCCAGGGTACCAGATAACATAGAGAGGCCAGCCTCAGCTGGTCCCCACCCGAAGGGGTATGGGAAAACAGCACCTGCTACCCTCCTCTGCCTGCCTCCCACTCCTGAGAGCCCTCATTTATGGTGGCCTCCTGGCATCCTGAGACATGCAGTGAACGGTTCCCAGCAAAGCCCTCCATTCTGTTCTATGGGAAGTCTGAGAGCCATGAGGCCCTGGGGGCTGCAGAAATAAACAGCGGGAAAGATGACCACAGCTGGAGGAGAGGGCAACAGGAAAGCATGGGACCAAGCCAGAGCACCGGCCTCCATCTAAGGCCAATCAGGCACTTTAGAGAGCAGGAAAGCATCTTGAACCTCACTGGTTAAAGCACCTGGGGCAGCCAGCCAATCAGAGACAAGCCAGCCAGGACATGGTACCCAGAGTATCAACAGCTTCTTCAGCGGAGCATCCCCTTGCCAGCCGGCCAGAGAAGCCACATGGGAAGGAGGTCCCGGGGACTGGCTGGTCCTCGGGGTTCCTGGGGACCTCCTCCCTATGTGGCTAGGGTGTCCCCCTACCTGGGGCACTTCCTCCTCCATAGTCTGTTCAATGTCATCACTGAAGGACAGCTTGGCATCGGCAATGGCGCAGTAGTGCCGAGTCCATTTCTAGAAAGTGAAACTGGTATTAGTGCCCCCCAAGTCCTCTACCTCATCAACTGTGGAGCCCAGGAGCCCTGCAGGGCGTCACCCCAGCATCTACTATGGATGTGCTTTTCCCAGTTTCATAGACATTTATGGCGAATTCTCTGAATTCAATTCCTTACAAGGCATTTCTTTTTTAAAATATCGATGCATTTTGAGCTTCTTTTGGTATTTGAGCTTCTTTTTGGACTTTTTAGATCCATGAGTCTAAGGTAGGTACAACTCCTCATCATTTTCTTTTCTATTCCATCTACCTTTTAAAACTTTCAGGATTTCCCAGCCAGTTTGTCTGGAGACCTTACGTTCAATATTTATTTGTGGCTTAATGACTTCTTTTTTTTTTCCCCCGATGAAATTTAGTCTCTGGTTTTATTGTAAAGTACCAGGGTTAAGTTCTTAGCTTTGGTCACTGTTTTATTGTCATGCATGACGTTAATGTGAGAGGAGGCTGGGTGCAGGGTATGCAGAAACTCTTTTTTTTAATAACGTTTTTATTTGTATTTTTTTATTATACTTTAAGTTCTAGGGTACATGTGTACACTGTGCAGGTTTCTTACATATGTATACATGTGCCATGTTGGTGTGCTGCACTGTTTTTTTTTTTTTTTTTTTGAGACAGAGTCTGTCTCTCTCACCAGGCTGGAGTGCAGTGGCTCAATCTCAGCTCACTGAAACCTCCGCCTCCCGGGTTCAAGTAATTCTCCTGCCTCAGCCTCCTGAGTAGCTGGGACTACAGGCACGTGCCACCATGCCCAACTTATTTTTGTAGTTTTAATAGAGACGGGGATTCGCCATGTTAGCCAGGATGGTCTCGATCTCCTGACCTCGTAATCTGCCTTCCTCGGCCTCCCAAGGTGCTAGGATTATAGGCATGAGCCATCGCGCCTGGCCCAACTTAATTCTTTACTTAAATATTGCCATTTTTGGCTGGGTACAGTGGCCCACGCCAGTAATCCTAGCACTTCGGGAGGCCAAGGCGGGCAGACCACTTGAGATCAGGAGTTCAAGACCAGCCTGGCCAACATGGCGAAACACTATCTCTACTAAGGCTACAAAAATTAGCAGGGCATGGTGGTGCACATCTGTGGTCCCAGTTACTTGGGAAGATGAGGCACAAGAATCACTTCAACCGGGAGGTGGAGTCTGTGGTGAGCTAAGATCGTACCACCACACTCCAGCCAGGGCAATGGAGCAAGACTATCTAAAATAAATAAATAAGTAATAAATAAATATTGCCTTTGATATGTATGTTATATCTAGGATATAAGAACGGACATGTAAAAATATACTCAAAATGGATATACACATTAGGTAAAGGGATAGAGGCAGCATTAAAGTCTGAAAAATAAGGTTTCTGGTGGAACGACCCCCAGTTGGAGGACACGAAGGAGTCAGGACAACCTAAATGCACGGCAGCACCGGGTACTGGATCCTGAAACAGGAAAATAGCCTGAGTGAACACAGTGGCAACAATGAAATACCATCTATAAACTAGTTATTAGTATTGTACCAATGTTAATTTCCTGATTGCGCTAATTATACTATGGTTATGTAGGATGTTATTAATAATATTTGGAGAAGCTTGGTAAGGGTAGATGGGAATATCCCATACTATTTGTGTGTGTAAATATATTTAATCTAAAATTATTTCAAAATAAAACATTAAAAATGCAAAAGGAAAATAAAGTTGGCCAGGCTTAGAAGCTTACGCCTATAATCTCAGCACTTTGAGAGGCCAAGGTGGGAGGACTGTTTGAGCCCAGGAGTTTGAAATCACCCTGGGCAACACGACTAAATCCCATCTCTGCAAAAATACAAAAAATTAGCCAGGCATGGTGGTGCGCACGTGTGGTCCCAGAGACTCAGGGAGGTTGAGGTGGGAGGATCACTTGAGCCTGGGAGGTCAAGGCTGCAGTGAGCCGCAATCACACCACTACACTCCAGCCTGGGCGACAGAGTGAGACCCTGTCCCACAACATAAATAAATAAAGTTTAAGAAGGAAGGTAAATTCACATGGCAAAAACTCACTTGACTAAAAATGGGAACAAGACAGGCGTATTCTCAGAGCTCCCAGCAGGGCTCCAAGAAGCAGCTGCAAGGGGCGTGGCCGCAGTGGCTACGGGAAGGGACCAAGGCCCACCTGGTCAATGGAATCCCACATGTACAGCTCCCCCTGTTGCTTGTGTTCGTCCTTCTTGTCCTCCATGTTGACATCCACATCGCCTCGGGGGCCCAGCTTCTTATGCTGAGGGGAAAACATATACATAGGCTGTCTCCATGGAGACCCAAGTTTAGGCCTTTGAGCCAGCAGCCTTCATCTGCCTCTTCCCAGGCAGGGCCTTTGCACTGCCTGTTCTTGCTGCCTGGCTTCCCTCTTAGTCTGTTCAGCTCTGCCCTCCAGGTTACCCTGAACGAGGAGGAGGAGCTTTCCTTACAGCTTCATCTAAAAATTGCCCATACTGGTCAGGCGCAGTGGCTCACACCTATAAGCCCAGCACTTTGGGAGGCTGAAGCAGACAGATCACTTGAGCTCAGGAGTTCTAGACCAGCCTGGCCAACATGGCAAAACCCTGTATCTACAAAAATAAAAAAATTAGCCGGGCATGGTGGCACGCGCCTGTAATCCCAGCTACTCAGGAGGCTGAGACAGTAAGATTGCTTGAACCTGGGAAGTGGAGGTTGCAGTGAGCTGAGACTGCACCACTGCACTCCAGCCTGGGCAACAGAGTGAGACTCTGTCCCAGTAAAAAATAAATAAGTAAAAATAGCCCACACTCCCCTTCCTATCCTGCCACTCTCTAGCCCCAAGCCTGCTTTATTCCTCTCACTTGTCTAGCCCTACACACACCATGTGTTTGTCTTCTGTCCTCACTGCTAGAATATAAACCCCATGAGGGCAGGGATGTTGTTTTGCTTCCTGTTGAGTCTCCTGTGCTAGAAGAGCACTTAGCAGACAGTAAGTGCTCTGTTGATACTCGGTGAATAAACAACAACACCACCTGTGCCCAGCCTTCTCTAGCACACAGAGGGAAAGGCAGGCCGCAGTCCAGAGGGAACAGGCTGGGCAGGGTGGCGGGGGACCCAATGGGGATTAGACTAAGGCGACCGGGGTGCAAACAGCACTGCAGCTATTCTACCAGCTGTGTGACCCCGGGCAAGTGGCTGCACTTCTCTGAGCCTCAGGCTTCTCATCTGCAAGATTAAGACAGTGATGACACCTGGACTCCCACGCAGGCAAGCGTCTGTAAGTTGAGGGTCATGTAACCTGGTGAAGGAGCTCAGGATAGGGGGTCAGATCCAGATTTGAATTCAGGGCCTATTACCTTACTGGCCATGTGACCTTGGCTGAGTCATCATCAGAGTCTCAGTAATCTGTCTCGTAAAATCGGGACGTGGCAGCCCCTGTGGGATCCCGTAAGTCAAAGAACGTGAAAGATAAGTGTCAACAGTGAAGCAGGACCTCAGTGTCCCTTGTGAATGGCAGCATGATACAGGCATGGGAAAACAGGCTCTGAGGGCAGACCACCTTGGCCTTGAATAATTTCCTCAGCAAATACTAAATGTGTGACCCTGGCTGAGCTATTTAACCTCTGAATCTCAATGTCCACATCTGTAAAGTGGGCAAGGGCTGAGGTTATTCGTCCTGCAGTGTCTTGACAAGACTGAATAAGAAGATACATATGACCACGCCTAGCCAAGTGCATGGTACAAAGTGACCGTGTGGCCAACGCTATTTCCACCTCATTTCTTGAAATAGAAAGAAGTGGGCCACAGCGTATCAGGTGTGGGGCAGAGGGTGCTCTAAAAGGGGCCTTCAGTACTTTGCATCTTAGAACAAGAGCTGAAAACTCCCTGGGAACAGGCAGCAAGCCATCCTAATGGAAACAGAAGGAATGAGCTGGGAACAGGGAAGAGCACATGCAACCAGGCTGCCCCGAAGACTCACCAACTAGGTGCCTGAGAAGCCATGGACCCTCCATGGCCGAGCTCCCTCCACCCCTTATCCTGCCTTCACCGTGCTGGAAGCATCCCTTGGCATCTCCGAAACAACTGCCTGGGTGCAAACAGTGCTGCAGCTATTTTGTTAACTTGTGACCCCAGCCAGGTGGCTGCACTTCTCCAGGCCTCACACTTCTCATCTGCAAGACTAAGACAATGACAGCTGATCTCCCGCTTAGGCAAACATCTGTACCTTAAGGGTCACAGTCTTGGCCAAACACTCCCCGTGCACTGATGCTCTTACCCATGGGGGCACCAACATCCCCTCCTCTGGTTGTGCTTGGCCAAAGCTCCTTGCACTGTTTGGTGTTTCTCTGTTGACGGGTTTGTCTCCCTACCAAACCACGACTTCCTGGAACATAAGGATTGTGTCCAATGTATCTTGGTGGCCCAGTGATAATATAGGGTACATGCCACGTGTTGACACCACCACACCCTTGTGTGTCCTATTGTCCCAACCTGGAAGGACATCCCCCTTCTCTGCCTACTGCTATGGTCTGAATGTCTGTGTCCTCCCAAAATTTATATGTTGAAACCTAATCCCCAATGTAATGGTATTTGGAGATGGTAGCTTTGGAAGGTAATATGGTTTGGCTGTGTCCCCACCCAAATCTCACCTTGAATTGCAGCTCCTATAATTCCCACGTGTCATAGGAGGAACCCAGTGGGAGGTAATTGAATCATGGGGGCGGGCCTTTCACGTGCTGTTCTTGTGATAGTGAACACATCTCATGAGATCTGGTTTTATAAATGGGAGTTTCCCTGAACAAGCTCTCTTGCCTGCCACCATGTAAGATGTGACTTTGCTCCTCCTTTGCCTTCTGACATGATTGTGAGGCCTCCCCAGCCATATGGAACTGTGAGTCCATTAAACCTCTTTCCTTTATAAATTACCCAGTCTTGGGTATGTCTTTATGAGCAGTGTGAGAATGGGTAACACAGAAGGTGATTAGGTCATGAGGGTAGAGTCCTCATGAACGGGAATGAGGGTAGAGCTTTTATGAATGGGAATGAGGGTAGAGCTCTCATAAGTGGGAATGAGAGTAGAGCTCCAGTGAATGGGAATGAGGGTAGAGCTCTCAACAATGGGAATGGTGCCCTTATAAAAGAGGCCAAAGATATCTCCATGTCCCAGATGGTTATTTATAAATAAATAAATATTTAAAAATAAAAGAGGTCCCAGAGAGCTGCCTCACCCTTTCCACCATGTGAGGACACAACTAGAAGTCGGCAGCCTACAACTTGGAAGAGGACTCTCATACCAGCACCCTGACCTTGAACTTCCAGCCTCCAGAACCGTGAGAAATCAGTTCCTGTTGTTTATAACCCACCCAGCTTAGGGTATTTTGTGATAGCTGCAGGAACAGACTGAAATACCTAGGAAACAGCTGTTTGTCCTTCCCCATGAGCTCGTGGAATGTCAACAAAATTCACACTCGCTCCTTCCATGAAAGGCTGCCCCGCTAGGGACTTCAGATTCCACAGTCCTTGCAGGTAACGTGACTAAGCTCTCATGCACAGAACAGTAGAGAAAAGGACGGGACAGCTGACTTGCTTACCAGAAACCATTTGCCCTGGACACCCTTGGACTTCCCGTGCTCTGAGCTGGAACTCGGATGTGCCTGAGACCAAGCGTCCACCACATAAACAAGGACAAAGCAAAGTCCCTTCACCGTTTTTGTGTAATGAGCTCCTTCAAAATCTGGGGAAAGCTACAGACCCTTTTCTCAGAATAATAATGCATAAAATTACAAAGGAAACTCAATTATATTGAAACATGATTAAGATATTAAATAAATATTTGCAATACACTAAAAGATGGGTTTCTTCATTAACATCTTAAATAAGATCTAGAGGCAGACCTAATAACCTCCATAATTCCAAAGTGATGACGAGCACAACATTATTTTGAAATATTTGCAATAACTGTAAACGGGATATGAAAACACTCATGACTTCTGCTGGTGACAGAGCCCGCAAGTGGCTTGCTGCCAATGTTCACAATGGAAGGAAGTATTAAGTTTTATGTACAGGTTAAACAAATAAAGATGTAATTTTTTTTCTGTTGAAGTTCACGTGCCCCTCTGATTCTAACCGTGGATTCTTCGGGGGTCTGTGAAACCCCAGTTGAAAACTGCTGCCCTGAGAGATGCTAGAGCAGAATGCGGGGGCCCCGGGTCCCTGAGTCACCTTGTGGGCTAGAGCTCAAAACTCACAGAACATTCTCCCTCGCATGGGGAAGAAATAAACTCTTCTGTGCTTTAAGCCACGGCATATATGGTCTCTTTATCCTAATAATTCAAAAATCCAAATGTTACCATGGCATCCCTAGGCACAGATATAATCACCCATCTCCCCTGCAGTGCTGGGAACATCAGCTCTATTGCTGCACTCAGCCTTTTCTAGCAACTGCCCGCCTCCCACACAACTGGAAGCTGCAATCACAGGAACAGCACCCAGGTCGCTGGACACCTCCAGCACCTCGCATGGGGCTGTCTCCGAGAGAGGATGGGGAAGGTTCACCAATGAACAAATGAACTATAACAGGTTAGCACTTAACGTAGCACCAACCACATGACAGGCGCAGTTGCACGCATTCTGCACGCCTTCCCTCACATCATGCTCCCAGCAAGCTAGCCAGATGAGTTCCAGTATTATCTCCCCCAGAGACTGGTGACAACAGAGGCTCCCAAAGGTTAATGACTTTGCCTAAGGTCACAGTGTTAGTAAGGAGAGCAGATTTGAGCCTGTGCAGTGGGACCTGGAGCAGGCCCAGTAGGACATAGAACTTGGTGAACGGGACCCAGAGCCGGGGAACCGAGCCACTGGGCTCCCTGGACAGCCAACAGCAGCACCCGGGGTGCCTACCTTGATGATGATCTTCTCCCGCAGCTGGCTGGGCGAGGGCAGCTGGTCAGCACTGGCCTCCGTGGGCTTCGTCAACAGCAGGTCGCCAAATACTTCCTTGAAGGCCTTGGCCATGTGACGCTGTTGCTCCACGCTGCAGTGCTCCTCGATGGACAGGATCACTGGGAAGCTGCAGGCAGAAGAGGGTGGGCAGCTCGGCAGGGGGAGCACACACCTCTGCATCTGCCCCACAGAGGGGCCAGGGCAGCTCCCTGGGACGACAGAAACCGGGCGCTGCTCGGGGGGCACAACCCCCACATCTGCCCTCCCAGAAGGAGAGGACCTCATCCTGGGTGTGAAGGCACAAGTCTTGGGACTCAGAACAGCTGCGATCTGATTCAGGAGCTTCCCCATACCCCAGAATGCACCTTTTCTCTGTATTTTTTTCCATCTATTCATATCTTTAAACTTACAGAAAAAAGTCTCTAATCTTTTTTTCAAGTTCAAACCTACAGAAAAGATGAACAGACAGCACAATAAGCACCCATGTGTGCTTCACCCAGGGTCACCAACAGGGACGCTGTTCCACGTGTGCATCCACCTACTTTAGTATGTTTATTACTTCCTCTATTTATAAAGTATATTGGTTTTATATATTCTCATTCATATGCACACATATGTAATTTGCATGTGTGCATGCATACATTTATTATTTGTATGTGTATATATGTATATTTCTATAAGGTGTCTGTGTATTTATAGATCATTTGTGTGTATCTGTAGTTGATTTTTCTTATCTATTGGGGTTATGGTTCATAAAGTCACCACCAACACTGATTGGCAAATACCTGAGCCATTGCTCCTAAGGGGAAATACAGGATCAGGGCCTTTTGAGCGTGTGGTCACAACATTTTCCTCAATGAATCAATATCTGACGTTGTTTTATGTGTGTTTCTGTTTAAAGACACCTGATTTGGTATATATTATTGACTGACACTGGGCTCACAGCCAGCATCACTGTAATTCGTGCCTGAACCAAGCGTATCTGACACAGGTGTTTTCTCCATCGGGCACATCACAGCCTTCTCCTGCTCAGGAACACCAGGCAGCCCTCACCACTGTGCTTCGGGCCATTTGAACAGCAAGATCACCAAGAAAAAGCTCAAAAACAGGAAAAACATGGCAGTCAACAGATGGTGAGGACACTTGTTGAAGCTTTCACGCTGTAGACCAGGAAGGGGAGCGCTGCTTTGCTCACCCTCAGCTGAACACGTGTGCATCGCATGAGTCTCATTTCCCACACTTTGTGCGTGTCTCAGAATGACCTCAGAGTGCTTTGAGATTTGATTTGGGGTTACAAGTCAATTTTAGCAAGTAGAATCCACCAATAAGGATCACCTGTATCCTTCTATATCATGTGAACGTGTATGTATAAATTCACATATCATTAGTACATGTATATACATATATACGTATATATACACACATATATATTTATGTGTGTGTGTGTGTATATATATATATATATATACACACATACTCCTCCTGAGGCAGGAGAAAAGTCATTTATTTATGTATTTATTTATTTTATTTTATTTATTTATTTTTCTTTTGGAAATGGAGTTTCACTCATTGCCCGGGATGGAGTGCAATGGCGTGACCTCAGCTCATTGCAACCTCCGCCTCCCAAGTTCAAGCAATTCTCCTGCCTCAGCCTCCTGAGTAGCTGAGATTACAGGTATCTGCCAGCATGCCCAGTTAATTTTTTGTATTTTTACTAAAGATAGGGTTTCACCATGTTGGCCAGGCTGCTGGTCTCAAACTCCTGAATTCAGTTGATCCACCCGCCTCAGCCTCCGAAAGTGCTGGGATTACAGGCGTGAGCCACTGTGCCCAGCCTATATTTGTATTTCATTTATACACATATTTACGTTTCCTCCTGAACCATCTGAAATAAGGCGCAGACATCCCCCACAGGTATCTCTTAAGAACATCCCCTGACATCACCACACCATATCACCTCAGGAAACTATCTTTAAATAATGATCATTAGACATACTGATCATTAGACATACTCAAATTTCCCCAGTTATCCAAGAAATATACTGTATAGATGGAGTTTTTCCCACCAAGAATCCATCTGAGGCTTGTGCATGGCATTTACTATGAAACAAAATTATTCTAAAGGCAGCTATGTCACTTCCATAAATAGGAAATCACGTCACTCAATAGAAATGAAGGCAAATGTGAAAATAAAGTGACGATGATAAAAATAAAATCCTTAACCATGTTCCAGCTCAAGTAAATCATAGCCTCATCACTCCTGGGAAGCGTGGACCCAGCTCACTCCCCGATCCTGATCCACACACCCTTACTAGAACATAACAGCTAAAAAGCTTTTACAACAAAGGCTACCTAGTAAGTTGGTATCAAAATGTAACTGACAGCAAAATCTGAACCATTCGAATGAACGCTGCTTGCAATCATTTTCTTAAATCCCTCTTAATACCAATAAGGATGGCTTTTGCTGCCAAAACATTAATGCATTAATGTTTGATTACAGAGTTCTAGCCCTATAGGTGTTAGATGATTCCAGCCCTATTTTAACCAGAAAAAACTTCCTCTAGTCATGAATGAGATAATGTTCGATGAATGACTGTCAGCTCACAACCATAAGCACCTATGTCCTGCAAATGAAAGCAAACTCTCAAAGCAGAGTGTAAGCTGCCACTGCACAGTGTCTGTTAATACCAGCTCCTTCCATCTGCCTGATGGAGGTTGGCACTTAGAAGGGCTAGGACCCCACAGGGGAGAATGCTGCGATGGAGAAATCATATGCCTTCATTGAAAGGTTTTCACCAAGTGCGAAAAGACGTCCATAATTTCATTGTCTCACAGCAACACCTCCACCCAGCTCAAGGGACATCTGCAGTAAATGCAATAAAAATAACCAATCGGGTTGGGCACGGTGGCTCATGCCCATAATCCCCACACTTTGGGAGGTTGAGGCGGGAGGATCACCTGAGGTCATGAGTTCAAGACCAACCTGGCCAACATAGTGAAACCCTATCTCTACCAAAATACACAAATTAGCCGGGCATGATGGTGGATGCCTATAATCCCAGCTACTCGGGAGGCTGAGACAGGGGAATTGCTCGAACTCAGGAGGTGGAGGTTGCAGTGAGCCGAGATCCTGCCATTGCACTCTAGCCTGGGCGACAGAGGGAGACTCCATCTCAAAAAAAAAAAAAAAGAAAAGAAAAGAAAAGAAAAAAAGAGAAAAAATAATCGATCTTATTGACTCAACAGTTACTCTATGCCAGGTGCAGGGTTAAGCACTTGCTGTAATGGCATCTCATTTAATCATCACAACCGCCCTGTGAGGTGCACACAGTTATCACCTCTATTTTTTAACATGGAAATTGAAGCATAGGATGGTAAGTGCTTTGCCCAAACTAGTACTCAACAGCTGGATTCAAACTCAGCGAGAAGGACTCAGAACCCATACTCGTAACTGCTATTCTACCCCAGAAAGTATAAAAAGACAACTATCATTCCAATGAGCCTATAGAAGGCCTCTTGCCAGCTCTCAGAAATAACAAGGAACCCAAACCAGGAGTCGGCATATGATGGCCTCTGCCCCAAATCTGGCCTGCCATCTATTTTTGTAATGTGTAATTCAAGTTTTAACTGGAACACAGCCAGACTCATGTGTTTACCTCTTGCCCATGGCTGCTTTGCACTTCAGCAACAGGGCTGAATAGTTGCAACAGAGACCACAGGGCCCATAAAGCCTGAAACATTTGTATCTGGCTCTTTATAGAACAATTTCGTTGACCTCCAGCCCAGACCAAGATCTTCTGGTGGGACAGAAAAGGATTACACCTGAGGTCAGAAACCCTTGAAATGAACCTAAATGTTCTCACCCATTTAACCCCTCCTTGTCTCAATTTACTCATCTGTTAAATGGGGATGACCATACTCACTTTGTGGCAAAGAATCAATATGATCACCTGTACAAAGAACCTAGCACAGAGCCTGGCCCCAGGTGGGTATTCAAAAAACACACCACCACCATTACTGGCTGCTTGGATTCCGCCTGTAGAAACAGGTTTGGTGGGGGTGAGAACTGGGCACAAAAGAGGGAATTAGGACAGAAGGGGAATTTTACTTTCCTTGCCTCACTTTTTTTTTGGTTTTTGTTTTTTTGGGTTTTTTTCCTTTGAGACAGGGTCTCGCTCTGTTGCCCAGGCTGCAGTGCAGTGGCGCAATGTGACCTCACTGTAACCTCTGCCTGCCAGGTTCAAGCAATCCTCCCACCTCAGCTTCCCAAGTAACTGGGACTACAGGCACATGCCACTACACCCAGATGATTTGTGTGTGTGTGTGTGTGTGTGTGTGTGTGTGTGTGTGTGTGTGTGTGTGTGTGTGTGTGTTTTGGTAGAGAAGGGGTTTCACCATGTTGCCCAGGCTCTTCTCGAACTCCTGACCTCAGTGATCACACCTCAGCCTCCCAAAGTGCCGGGATTACAGGCGTGAGCCACTGCGCCCAGCCTTTCCCTCTCTTTCGGGGGTTCTGAAAGTGGGGGCCAGACAGAATGAGGAGGTGGGGTGGGCACTGAGCAGCCACAGGGTTCCCCAGCCAGAGCCTCCTCGGGGCTCTAGAGCCCGGGAGCAACTTGCACTCTCGGCCTGCAGGGGGTGCCAACACTCGGGTGAGAACTTGATGGCAGTGGCTTTGGCCAAGATGGGGCCCAGGCCTTCCCGCATTTGGAGGGAGGTGTCTGTGTGTGTTTGCCTGTCTGTCCATCTGTCTATCCAACCCTAGCTGCCTTCCCCTTTAAGTCACACCACCCAGAAATCAGCCAACTGACCTCGAGGTAACAAAGGCGTGGTCTTTGATGGCCTGCACGACGTCGTCAAACTTGATCTTGGTAGTCCGCGTCCAGCCATGGTAGATGACCGGCTTCCCATCGGGCCCGTCCCAGCAGTCCACTACAGGGAGAAACGCGGCAGCCTCAATACCACGTGTGTTCACTGACAGCCCCGAGGTCAGCCCCCGGCCCACACACCAGTTCAGTTACTAGACAAGGACACCCACACTCCCTCCATTCGGCTGCCAACACGAGGACATGGCTTTCCCTGTATCCGCAGGGTTCCCTGTGCGCTTACATAATGCAAGTGCAGCTGTCCAAGACAAGCTAGTTTCAATGCTGCTTTTTTTTTCATTTTTTTTTTTTTTAAGACAGAGTCTCGCTCTGTTGCCCAGGCTGGAGTGCAGTGGCACAATCTCGGCCCATTGCAATCTCCGCCTCCCGGGTTGAAGCAATTCCCCTGCCTCAGCCTCCTGAGTAACTGGGACTACAGGCGCGTACCATCACGCTCGGCTAATTTTTTTGTATTTTAGTAGAGACAGGGTTGCACCATGTTGGCCAGGGTGGTCTCAATCTCCTGACCTCATGATCCATCCACCTCAGCTTCCCAAAGTGCTGAGATTACAGGCGTGAGCCACCACGCCCAACCTCAATGCTTCTTTTTAAAGAAGATTTTACCACGTGTTTTATTTTCTGACTTTACCTGTTGAAAACCTTGACTGCCTTTTCTGCCCGTGGAAATGATACAGAGCAATGAGAAATTTATTTGTAAAGGTTCACAGTAATATTTTCAAACAGAAATGGGTCATGTGGAAGATGAACATCCCCAATCTTTTGGACCCCTGGAGGGCACAGGAGCTGACTGCTTCAAGCTTTACTTTTAAACATTTGTTTTTTCCTGAGGGAGGAGAAAAATCATAAACGGGAAGAAAGTCTATAGAGTAACTGCTACAAAACGTTGCTTCCATGATGAGTCGTTTTGGTAACACTGGAGCCTAAGTCAGTAGTTGATGCCTTTTTTATTTTATTTATTTATTTTTTATTTTTATTTTTTTGAGACAAAGTCTCCCTCTGTTGCCCAGGCTGGCGTGCAGCGGCGCGATCTCAGCTTACTGCAACCTCTGCCTCCCAGGCTCAAGTGATTCCTGTGCCTCGGCCTCCCAAGCAGCTGGGATTACAGATGTGCACCACCACGCCTGGCTAATTTCTGTATTTTTAGTAGAGAAAGGGTTTCGCCATGTTGGCCAGACTGATCTCAAGCTCCTGATCTCAAGTGATCCGCCCACCTCGACCTCTCACAGTGCTGGGATTACAGGCATGAGACACCACGACAAGCTGGTTGTTGCCTTTTCTCAGCCAAATGCACCCATGAGCCTTTGGTGAGAGAGAGGCCGGAAGGAAAATAGCCAGAGAGGCTATGAGAAGGAAGGAGGGAAATAAGGCGTCTGCCATCTGCCCAGGCAGAGATGCCACCTGACCCTTCTTTTCTTTTCAGTTTAGACACAGAGTCTCGCTCTGTTGCCCAGGCTAGAGTGCAGTGGCACAATCACAGCTCACCACAGCCTCAACCTCCTGGGCTCAAGCGATCCTCCCACCTCAGCCTCCCAAGTTGTTGGGACCACAGGCGCATGCCACTACACACAGCTAATTTTTTTACTTTTCGTAATGATACGATCTCACCATGTCGCCCAGGCTGGTCTCAAACTCTTGGCCTCATACAATCCTCCCACTTCAGCCTCCTGAAGTGCTGGGATTACAGGCATGAGCCACCATATCCAGCCCTGACCATTCTTTTCACATTTGCTCAGAGACCCCCCAATCCAGGTGATACGCGGTACCTGTGCACACCTAGGACCCAGCTGCCAAAACACAGCGGGTGTCTGTTTGCCTTCCTCTAATACCAGCCCAGGAGGAAGCTGAGGAGATACAGATGACAGGGACTCCGTCTCAAAAAAAAAAAAAAAAAGAAAGAAAAAAGAAAACAAAGAAACATCACACTCTAACTCCATAAATATGCACAGTTATTATGTGTCCATTAAAACCTTTTTACAATTCGAAAGAAAACATGGAGCAACCACATGGTTATCCTCAATTTGCTGCGAGCCTGACCTCCACCAAGAAGGAGCTACTCACGTTCAATGCAGCGACAGCCCATGCGCAGGCAGCGGATGTAAGCTTCTGGGGACGACTCGCTCCGCAGCTGGTCACCTGTAAGGTACCTGCAGGAGAGAAGGCAGGTGGCCGTGTGAGAGTGGCAGCCACAGGGGTTGGGGGGCAAGCCTGCACCTCAGGGTGTTGTGGGGGAACTTCTCCGCCCGAGCCGCCAAAGCTCTGAGTTCTTCCATGTAGAAAGACTCAAAGCTAAGGCCTAGGACAGAAATACACAATCCCACGGTCACACTGGGCATGAGCTCTGAAGTCAGGCCACAATCGCAGGAAGTGACTGCTGACCACCTGGGCAATGCAAGCGTGGAGAGGACGTGTTCTTTTGAGGAGAAGTTGGTCAAAGCACGTCAGAAGCAAAAAAAGCTGCAGAAGATGAATTAACAAGGCCCCATGGCCGCTCTCTGGGTCCTCGGTCTAAACAAAGATGGGCACTTCTTTTGATATCAAGGCTTGAGGCCAGGCACAGAACAGATATTCAACAACTGTTGGTGCAATCGGCTATGCTAGGAGCCATATCCACCAAAACTGCCGTAAGAATGACTCTTTAATGCACTTTCCTCCTTGTCATGATTCACCCCAACTTTTTTAAAATTTGTGTTCCGAGGCCAAGCACGATGGCTCATGCCTGTAATCCCAGCACTTTGGCAGGCTGAGGCGGGCAGATCACGAGGTCAGGTGTTCAAGACCAGCCTGGCCAACATAGTGAAATTCTGTCTCTACTAAAAATACAAAAACAAAACAAAACAAAACAAAACAGGGCATGGTGGCTCGTGCCCGGAGTCCCAGCTACTCGGGAGGCTGAGGCAGGAGAATCTGTTGAACCGGGAAAGCGGAGGTTGTGAGCTGAGATCGCACCAATGCACTCCAGCCTGGGCAACAGAGTGAGACTCTGTCTCAAAAAAAAAAAAAAAAAAGTTTATGTTCCTCACACTAGGTTCTGTCAGAGGGTGGTAGGAGGGACAGGATCAGGAAAAATAACTAATGGGTAGTAAGTAGGCTTAATGCCTGGGTGACAAAATAATCTGCACAGCAAACCTCCATGACACAAGTTGACCCGTTTAACAAACCTGCACATGTACCTCTGAACTGAAAATAAAAGTTTTTTTTTTAAGTTTGTATTTCTTAACTGTCTTCTAGGTTTTCTAGAATTCACCATGCTGAAACACAAACTCTTAAAATGATGGGCATGGTGGGGAAGAGAGAACTGTGAAATCAATTTCCCCCTGAAAGACATTTTACCTTCCCAAATGCCTGGAGCATAACACCATAAAAAGCCTTTTCCCAGATGACCCCCTGGAATGTCACTTAGGAAAGTCCCCACCCACAGCTGTGGGGGCCATCACCCAAGGACTTCACCCCTCACCCAATAAGACAGACTAAATACTGGAACATCAGCGCAACATCCTGTATCCTCCTTCTGTTGCAATCAGAGTAACCATCCCAAGAGCCCCCTGTGAGCATCTCATCTTCTGGTTAAAAGTCGTCAGGGTCTCCCCGACAGCTCTCACGGTGACCTACAAGATCCTGCTCCAGCAGGACCTGCCTTCCTCCCCTCCTGACACCGCTCTCCTGGATTCTGCACTCCAGCCTTAGCAGACTCCTCTCAGTTGTTCCTGCCCCAGGGCCTTGGCACATGCTGCTCCTCTGTCTGAAACACTTCTCCTTGCCTTACCACCTGCTCCCCACATCAGCAAGTCCTATTCTGTGGTTAACTTTCAATGGAGGTCTTCCTCCCAGCACATGAGGACATGGCTGCTGCCGGTTCACAGCCACATCCCCAGCTCCCAGCAGGCACAGGGTACACACTCCCTATAAGTCAATTCAATGAGTCACTGAATTGCTTTGCTGTGGCTACTGTGAGATGCCCAAATCGTGAAAAACTAAGTTTACTATGTTACTTTAGTTACTAAGTTACATAAACTAAGTTACTTTTGTTTTTACTAGCTTTTTAGGGCCACAGAAAAGAGATTATTATTACAATGCCAGCTGACAAAGGGAAGTGTGTTCCCAGCCCCTTCCAGAAGCTTCTGTGTATTTTAGTCCAAGGAATGCGGTGCTACACCCTCCACCTGCTTCACAACAGGGCTCACCGGAGCGGCGTATCGGACCCCTGCCTCAACCCTCACGTGCTCTGTGCTGCCCAACCCATCACAGGCTCATCTGAAACTCACGTGTTATGTGACGAGGAGATCCAGTAATGAGACAGGGGGTTGTTCATGTCCTGCATGTCCACCGCGTCATACTTCTCATCCCAGATGCTGTTTTCTCGTGAAAACAGGTACGTGAGGAACTAAAAGAGTCAAACACGAAGACCGAATCATCACGTTGACGGGCAGGATGGTGTCTGCTTGTTTCTGGTCTGCGCCCACCAGGGGGGAAGAACAGCTCTGATGCGGGAAATCAACAGGCGGTCTCCAGACCTCAGTTACCCACGTTTTCAATACCGAAGGCTCAGGCTGCAATGGGCTGCAGCGACATATTTGTTCCATGGACCTAGACAATATTTTCCTTTGTAATGTTTATCCTAAAATATTTGCTACTGCAAGGGTTTATGCTTACCATATATACATTGTTGTTGGTTTTTCTTTCTTTGTTTTTTCACACTGAGTCATGCTCTGTTGCCCAGGCTGGAGTGCAGTGGCACAATTTCAGCTCACTGCAACCTCCACCTCCTGGGTTGAAGCGATTCTCCTGCCTCAACCTCCCAAGCAGCTAGGATAACAGGCGTGCACCACCACACCAGGCTAATTTTTGTATTTTTAGTAGAGACAGAATTTTACCATGTCGGCCAGGCTGGTCTCAAACTCCTAACCTCAAGCGATCCACCCGCCTCAGCCTCCCAAAGTGCTGGGATTACAGGCGTGAGCCACTGCACCCGGCCTCATATATACAATTTAAAGCATAATAGTAGCATGAATATTTGTGAACCCACGACCCAACTTAAGAAACAGAGTGTTATCCATATCAGAATGTTGAAAGGGCAGGAAATTTCAAGTTACAATTCCTGGCCCCTTAAAAAAAAATGCTTTAGCGATCTGGGCCTAATTTCTGCTGCGTGAGAACGACCTCATATGGGTCAGTCGCTCCCCAGTTCCACCTCCCCTCCTTCCCTATGCAAGGTCAAAGGCAACCATTCTGACCAGCAAGCACCCAGACACCTTCGCATTCTGTTTCTGTGCTTGCAATGGTTCAACTCTCCCTGGTGGCAGATGCCCTCTAGTGGCAAAATCAATAATCCCACCCAGGCAACACGGTCAGTAGAGAAGAGTAAGAAAGGGCTATGAAACTGCCTTTCCAAAATCAGAACAACAAGAAAATTATGACAGTGAAACAGATCTGATCTAACCAACCTCTATCTTGCCTTTAACCTCCAAACTGCCCTTAATTATTCCTGGGCTTGGGCCAAGCTAACTTTGGAAAACATTTAGTTTATAGTTTAAATACCAGCCCTTCCCCCAAAATAAACTGCCTTTGTAAAGCTAAGGTAAGACCAGGTTAGGAGGATGAGAGGAGCCTGGATTCTGCTAAGGTGGAGACTAACTGGTTACCAGCCATTTTTCTGGAGGTTACAAGATTAGCAACTTCCTCAGTTACTCCTACAGATAACATCACTGTGGTTTAACCTAAGATTGGCCTTTTGAGACGTCTTTTCGGGCGTTCGCATGGCTCTACCTGGACCGCCCACTGGTCCTGTGGCCCCACCCAGAAGCACACTATTTTCCACAACCATATGATTGCATCTCCAACCAATCAGCAGCACCCTTTCCCTGGCCCGCCAAACAATCTTTAAAAAAAAACCCTAGCCTCCGCCAGGTGCGGTGGCTCACACCTATAATCCCAGTACTTTGGGAAGCTGAGGCGGGCTGATCACAAGGGTCAGGAAGTCGACACCAGCCTGGCCAACATAGTGAAACCCTGTCTACTAAAAATACAAAAAAAATTAGCCAGACATGGTGGACAGCGCCTATAATCCCAGCTACTCGGGAGGCTGAGGCACGAGAATCACTTGAACCTGGGAGGCGGAGGTTGCAGTGAGGTGAGATCCCACCACTGCACTCCAGGCTGGGTGACAGACTGAGACTCCATCTCAAAAACAAACACACAAGCAAACAAACAAAAACATAAAAAAACGAAACTCCAGCCTCTGAAAGGGAGGATGATTTGAGTAATAATAAAACTCCAGTCTCCCATTCAGCTGGCTCTAAGTGAGTTAAGCTCTTTCCCTATTGCAATTCCCCTGCCTTGATCAATCGGTTCTGTCTAGGCAGCAGGCAAAATGAACCCACTGGGCAGTTACAGTTACAGTAATCTAGAACCTGGGAGAAAAAAGAAAAGAAAAGAAAAGAAACAATCCCAGCTAACCAGTCAGTCGAGGCAACATCATACAGCAAAGTTCTCCAAGGAAAGACAAACAGAAAATAAACCTCAGAAAGCACAGACATCAATCAAAAAGTCACCCCCAAGCGACAACAAGCCCAGCCTACTCACCTCATCCACAAACAAGAAAGGCTCAGCAGTTTCACGCATGGTGTCATCAATGAACTTTGTCATCCGCTCACGGACTTTGTTCAGATCCTGAGCCCAATGCTCCTTAAAATGACAAAGAGAACGAGAGATCAGCAAAGTGAGAACTGATAAAATTCTTCATTTCCCAGGGTCCATCCAGTCGCAATCGAAGACTGAAACATCAACCAATTCCGAATTCACTTGCAATCGACCACCACATGTTGAGGCCTCATTCTGCACATGGCCCTCTGCCAGGGGTCAGCAAATGTTCTCTGCAGAGAGCCAGAGGTAAATATTTTGGGCTCTCTGAGCCATACGGTGTCTGTCGCAACCACTCAACTCCGCTGTTGTGTTGCAAAAGCAGCCACAGATGATCCGTAGGCAAATGGGCATGGTTGTATTCCAACAATATTTTGTTTATAAAAACAAGTGGTCAGCTATATTTGGTCCATAGGTCATGGTTTGCCAGCTCCTGCCCTATGATAGCTCTTTACGTTTGTTAGTATGAAGCAGCCTGGGGGCATAGTAGTTACATCAGCCTTCCAGGTCACTTACCTGGGTTGGCATCTCATTCCACCTAGTTGACCTTGGGCAAGTTACATACCGTCTCTGTGCCTCCCCATCCATGAAGTGGGAATAAGAGTATCTACCACACAGTTTCTGTGAAGCATTGTATGAAATGTACACTGTATGAAGCATTGTATAAAATCTTATTAGGTTATGTGCCTAATGCAGCACCTGGTGCACAGAAAGTGCTCAGACCCACTTTGGTAGGCCGAGGCGGGTGGACTGCCTGAGCTCAGGAGTTTGAGACCAGCCTGGCCAACATGGTGAAACCCCATCTCTACTAAAATACAAACATTTTTTTTTTCTTTAAATCAGCTTGGCGTGGTGGCAGGTGCCTGTAATCCCAGCTACTCAGGAGGCTGAGGCAAGAGAATTGCTTGAACCCAAGAGGCGGAGGTTGCAATGAACCGAGGTTGTACCATTGCACTCCAGCCTGGACAACAGAGTGAAACTCTGTCTCAAAAAAAAAGAAAGTACTCTGACCGTGGCAGCTTGTGCAAACAAGCATCTTTCTTCCTCCTATGGTCATCTCACTTAGTCCACACAACTCCGCAAGTCATTTATTGCCATTGTCATTTTACAGAAAAGGAAACAGAGGCCCAGGAACAATACCTCATGATCCTAAGCTCACACAGCTTGTAAACTGCAGAGTCTCAGCTCCAAATAACGAAACTGATATGGAATGTAATCATATGCCCTCTTTTCAAAAGAATAGGCAAACAGGGCTGCTGAAACACTGATAACGTCTGAAATATACATGACCAGTTCCAAAGCAGCTGCTGCACAGTCCTAGACATTCTAGAAACCCTTTAAAAAAAGAATGCATAATATTAAGTAACTGTTGCTTTCCTCTCCATGCCCTGAAATCCCAAATATTCATAGGAAAAGGGGATGAAATATGACATGTAAATTCAACTTTGATCAATGCTTTCTTCACTTCAAATATTCTAACAACTTTATCTTTATGACTAATAGAAGCAAATATGCGACCAGATGTGTGTGTGCTTAGATGGGAAGGGCTGGATGCAATGTCCGAAACAATGAAAAATAGAAGAACAGACACAAATCAGGTGGTGACCAGCAGGCTGGTGACATGCATGGGTGCAAGACAAAAATGAACTGCTGTTGACTCTTGCAAATATGCCTGGATCAGGGGCCCAAAACAGCTAGGAAGGTGGGAAACTACAAGCTCATTTGAATACAGAGGTGTCAGAATCTTTGAATACTAGAACATGAAACCCAAATTGTGGGATATTTTATTAAAATACTAGGCCGGGCGTGGTGGCTCATGCCTGTAATCCTAGCACTTTGGGAGGCCGAGGTGGGCGGATCATGAGGTCAGGAGATCGAGACCATCCTGGCTAACACGGTGAAACCCCGTCTCTACTAAAAACACAAAAAATTAGCTGGGCGTGGTGGCGGGTGCCTGTAGTCCCAGGTACTCGGGAGGCTGAGGCAGGAGAATGGCGTGAACCCAGGAGACAGAGTTTGCGGTGAGCAGAGATCGCGCCACTGTACTCCAGCCTGTGTGACAGAGCGAGACTCCATCTCAAAAGAAAAAAAAAAAAAACAACTTTGCCTGGCCAAGATGTCCCAAAGAGGCTGGAGGCATTCTCCTTCCTTCCCCCTACAAAGTTTTTGCATTTATCAAAAGGCATGGGTACTTAGCTAATATAACCTGGCCCTGGACTGGCTGCAAAGAAAGAAATCTTCTACCTAAAGAAGACTGAAATGTCAATATTCTAGGGGTTATAAAATGCATCCACTTGGTGTAGGGTATTGCACTAGATACCTGTAATAGTGAAAATGGCAAAGAATAAGGATGAAAATAAAAATAAATGGCGATGGCCATCAACACTGAGCACTGACTCTATACTCGGCCCCACACGGTGTCTCATCTTGAACTTACCACCACCCCAGGAGGTACAGGTTATTCTCCATGTTATATAAATGGGGAAACAGAGGAGAGGCTTCTAGTCATTAAGTAAGTGGTCCCAGTCATGAGCCTCAGACTAAACCCAGAAACACTGATTCTAGAAACATACTTTTAACCCCCTTCCTATCCCATCACCCATCCATCCCAGAGCTGTACTATGGCGTACTTAACCAATCCTCTAAAGAAATTTAGATTACTTCCAAGTTTTCATTCCTATTAAAAATGCTGCCATTATTTCCTTAGGATAAGTGTCTGGGAGGGCAACTATTTACTCCAGATATAGAATCGAGTTGTAAAGCTTTCTTTTCATTGCATACAGCCAAAGTGTTTTCTAGAAAAGGCATACTAATTTGCACACAAAGTGCTGCAGTGATTATTCCATATGAGCATCTGTGTGACCAACAAACATCGCATGGATGCTCATGGCTGCTCGGGTCCTAACTCCCCAGATGCAGAGAGAGAGATTTCCTACACTTTCTCCTGGCCCCAGATCCCTGATCTCTAAGGGCAGCCCAGCAAAGGGCCCCGTTTGGGGAAAGCACGTAATAAAGTCAACCACCACTAGGTGGGGTAAATCTACACGCCCCAGTCTCCCTACCAGGTGGTGAATTCTAGGATGCGAGGCTACTTGTCCCCAAGAATTTAACCAATTTAACTTTAATCGTTCCCTACTAAACTGAATAATTTAGTGGAAGGAAAATAATGAAGGGAAAAAAGTGCATGAATTTCTCTCTACCTCACTCTAGCACCAGCTCAGACCTAACGTGACTGTGCCCAATAAAATTAACTTATTACCTTCATTTTACTTCCTCCCTCAAACTTAGTCTCAGGTTGGGCAAATAAGCCTTCTTTTGATCATCATCATTCAACCCCGGCACTAGGAAGGCATGATGATTACAACACGCATCAACATCCTCATTCACCATTTATCAGCCTACTAGGGTAGCTACGACCCTTTCCTGAGCCCTCAGTGTGGATGGCCTTGTGCAAAACATGTCTTCTCTACTCATAAGTTTCTCTTCCATCAATGAAATCCAAATGCAGGCTGGGTATCGGATGGCATTTAAAAATTACTGTTAATTGCACAAGCTGTAAGAGGAGTGTTATGGCTATATTTTAAAAAAAAAAGTTCTATCTGTGAGAGAAACATACAGAAGTATTTACAAACAAAATGACGCAAAGTCTGGGGTTTGCTTTAGAATTCTTCAGCAAAGAAATGAAGAAAGGGGAAGGGTAGGGAGATACAGGAGTGTAAAGTTAGAAGTGGATGAAATAAAACTGGCAAAGTGGGCCGGGCACAGTGCCTCACATCTGTAATCCCAGCAATTTGGGGAGCTGAGACAGGTGAGTCACTTGAGCCCAGGAGTTGGAGATCAGCCTGAGCAACATGGGGAAATCCTGTTTCTACTAAAGATACAAAATTAGTCGGGGCTGGGCGTGGTGGCTCACACCTGTAATCCCAGCACTTTGGGAGGCCAAGGCGGGTGGATCACCTGAGGCCAGGAGTTCAAGACCAGGCTGACCAACATTGTGAAACCCCGACTCTATTAAAAATACAAAAATACAGGTGTTGTGGCAGACGCCTGCAATCCCAGCTACTTGGGAGGCTGAGGCAGGAGAATCACTTGAACATGGGACAGAGCCATTGTACTCCAGCCTGGTGACAGAGCAAGACTCTATCTCAAAAAAAAAAAAAAAATTGTCAGGCATGGTGGCACATACCTGTAGTCCCAGCTATTCGGGAGGCTGAGGCAGGAGGATCGGTTGAGCCCAGGAGGTCGAGGCTGCAGTGAGCTGTTACCATGCCACTGCTCTCCAGCCTGGGCAAGGGGGTGAGTGAGACCTTATCTCAAACAAAAAAAAAATTGCAAAATGCTCGTAATTTTTAATCTGAGTGATGATACGTGGTGGTTCATTAAACCGTCTGTCTGCTTTTGTGTATGTTTGAAATGTTCTGCAAGACAAGAGGTTTTTTAAGTAAATGAACTTATTTTTGCTGCAACCCTAAAACTACTCTAAAATATAAACTCTATTTAAAAAAAAACAAATGAAGTAAAAGAAAAAAGTAAATGGAACTCCAATGATATAAACAAAAATTTGAGATTTATATGTGAAAAGACATGCATACATGTACACACACACACACACACAGATCCATACAATTGACTCTGATCCCCACAATTCTCAGAGGTAGATGCTCTCAATCCCACTTAAAGAGGGGGAAACTGGGGCACAAAAAGGGTAAACCACCTGTCGGTGGCTGTGCAGCTGGTAAGATGATTTCAAGTTGATCTCACTCTCACAGAGTTTCTTGTCCTCAGCACTGTAGGTACTTGGTGCTGAATACTTCTTTGACTTTTTTTTTTTTGGTGGGGTGGGGGTGTTTTTGTTTTTTGTTTTCTGAGACGGAGTCTTGCTCTGTTGCCCAGGCTGCAGTCCAGTGGCGCAATCTCGGCTCACTGCAACCTCTACCTCCCAGGTTCAAGCCATTCTCCTGCCTCAGCCTCCCAGGTAGCTGGGATTACAGGCACCCACCACAATGCCTGCCTAATTTTTGTATTTTTAGTAGAGATGGGGTTTCACCATGTTGGCCAGGTAGGTCTCGAACTCCTGGCTTCAAGTGATCCGCCCGCCTCGGCCTCCCAAAGTGCTGGGATTATAGGCGTGAGCCACCCTACCCGGCCCTGAATACTTCTTCGCTGGGGGGTAGGGGGGGCTGCCCTGTGCAATGTAGGATATTTAGGAACATCCCTGGTGTTGACCTGCTAGATGCCGGCAGCAGCCTCCCGCTGTGACACGCACCCATGTCGTCTCTGGACACTGCCCAGTGTCCTCTGGGGGCATCGTCACAGCAGTGGAAAACCAAGGCGCAACACAACCCCCCCTTGAGTCTATAGCTGGGCTCAGAGCCCACAGGCAAACCCTGTCCAGGGAGACTGTCCCAGGCATCACCTGTTTAAGGAAAGCTGTGCTAGTTTATCTCCCAGGGGACCTGGCAGGCTTGATGAATCTGATCCCATCCTCCCATCAGTCAAGGAAGGCTTCCCAGGCAGTGACACCTGAGATGATGGCCAGAAAAGGTGCACCCAGCCAGGTGAGGGCAGCCCCATCCTCAGGCCCTCACCCCTCCTGCCCTGCCATCTTCTCAGTCTTCTCATCCTCAATGTGTGCCTTCAAAAGAGGCCCGACATGAGGCTCTTCTCATCCAGAGTTTCAGTGGCATCAGACAGCAATCTGAAGTCTCTGGCATCTGGCAGACTGCAATCGTTCCATGAAGACAGGTGGCCAGGTGAGCACAGGTGGCCAGGTGAGCACAGGTGACCAGGTGAGCACAGGCGGCAGAAGGGTGAGACTAGTCCCCAGCAGCATCCCGCCAGCTCCCTCAGGCACCCACACACCTTGTGCTCTCACCTGCTGTTCATGTATGAGAAACCTCTGGAAGTCATGCAGGTAAACAGCAGAGGCATCCGGCCTGTCAGTGTTCCTATCCTCGGGGAAAGGGGGTGCAGTTAGAGACAGACACATTCAACAGAGGAGTCGAGAGGAGATGCCAGCCAATGGGGCAGCCTGCCACCCAGAACGCCCCACTTAGTCTGGCACTGTGTTAGGTACCAGGTTGGCCAACAGGAAGACACAGGTGAGTGACACAATGTCCCTCACCTACAAGGATTCAGAGGGACCCTGACATCGGAATCTCAAGGGGCAGGCCCTGGTGTCTACATTTAGCTGCTCCAAAATAGCTCTGGTGCACCCCAGAGTCTGAGGAGCCCCTCCAGGAGTGTGGCCATGGGGAAGACAGGTGAACCAGGCATATGGGATACAGTGTAGCAAGAGATGAGGGTGGGAAGGGAGGGGAAGAGTGGGAATGGCTGAGAAGGCCCCAAACCCAGACCTGGAGGACCAGAGGGGCTTTCCTGAGGAAAAGGCACCTACTTGAGCTCCAGAGAGTGAGGTGGGATGAGCCAGAACGAGGTGGGGTGAGCCAGAATGAGGTGGGGTGAGCAAGAATGAGGTGGGGTGAGCAAGAAGGAGGTGCAGAGAGTACCTGGCAAGGAAACCAGAGAAGCAGCGGCCTCGAGGAAAAAAGAGAAGGGAGGGGAGGAAAGAAAGAGGAGTAGGAGCGAGGGAACGCAGGCCAGAGGGAGGGATTGCAGAGCAAAAGGTGTGGGGAACACAGGGATGTGAGTGTGCCTATCCAATACCCAGACAGGGCTCGACACACCACCCGCCCGTAGAGGGAGAGCTGGTGTTGGAGAAAGGACAGGAGCCAGACCCAAGGGCCTCCTCAGAAGCCACGATCCAGAGTTCCCTGGGTCATTGAGTGCTCTGGAGTGGGAGCCACATGAGGCCCCACCAGACTCCAGGCCATCAGGGCAAAATTAACTGCAGTGTGAAAGACACTTCCCTGGACCAAGCAGAGGTTAGGTATCAGGTAGGGAACACTAGGGAACACTACACTCCGAATAAAGGCAGGACTCCCGCCTTGGCCAGCAGGCCACCAGAAAAACAGGGCCTCACTGGGCCAGCACGAGCCACCCCCGGGTTGGATGGGGAGTACATTCTGCTACACGGGGCTTCCCAGGGTAATGGGTATGTTTCCCTGAGCACTTGCAGGAGCCTGGGGAAAAGAGGTCTATTTCAAATAGTGTAAGAGATGAAACATGCCCTGAGCTTTCTCCCTTTACTAAACACTCAGGGTCCAGGAGTCTGTTGTCTTTGATTATGAGTACAATTCTAACCTTTCCCCACCAGCCTCACAGTCTAACACTAAGTTTTCATTAAAATACTACATAGAAATTATGGCTGGGCACAGTGGCACATGCCTGTAATCCCAGCACTTCGGGAGGCCAAGGCAGGTGGATCACCTGAGGTCATGAGTTCAACACCAGACTGGCCAACATGGTGAAACCCCATCTCTACCAAAAATACAAAAAAAAAAAAAACAATAGCTGGACATGATGGATGCCTGTAGTCCCAGCTATTCGGAGGATGAGGCAGGAGAATCGCTTGAACCTGGAAGGTGGAGGTTGCAGTGAGCCAAGATTGCGCCAGTGCACTCCAGCCTAGGCGACAAAGGGAGGCTCCGTCTCGAATATACATACTATATAAAAATTAGATTCATTTTATTTATACTTTGGAGTCTTGGAGTTTCTGATTTCAAAAGTGACAGAGGGAAAAGTTGCTCACCGATAAAGACTGGATCAACGTACCCCAGACCATTAACTCCAGGGCCAACATTTCTCCCAGTCAGATAGGCTGGGGAAACACATAACATCTCAGAAATTCCCCACTTGGGAAATCATGAGGCACAGTGAATGTCCTGATAAGTCCTGCAACTCTGACTTTTTAGTAATAATATTACTATCTATCAGCCCCTCATGGGTGCCAAGCATCATGTGAAGCAGTTTATACACCTGAACTCATTTTAATTCAGTTAAACCTGTTTAACAAGGAATTTTTCACTTATTTGATCATTAACATTAGTTTTTGTAATTAAAAAAAAAAACTATTAACCTGTCACATCTCATGAGGCACATTCGGGGAAAGGAGGCCCTGAGGCACACAGGCTTTTCTACAGAACTTTCTGGACCATCCTCCCAGTGCTCCACACCTTCCTGTTGCTACTGCTCATCTCTATCCACGCCACAGGCATGGGATGGCCAATTCCCCAGCAGGGGCCCCCTGCCCCTTTGGAGGTCAGCGCCTGCACACACAGGCATCCCCTCCTGGAGGCCGGCTGGGCACCAGGCACCGAGGTCCGGCACAGCCGCCCCGAACGACACACAAGAGCTGCCTCACCCCAGGATGAACACGGACGAATCCTTTTTGAATTCATCGAGAATCTGAAATGGAAAGCACACACAAAAAAAAGAACCTTAGACAAGTCACTTAATGCAAAAACGGAAAGATTTTTGTTGTTAAAAAAGCATCATTTTGTCAGATGCAACAAGATCATTAAAAATATCATTTTAGTTGATGTTAGTTGTAAATATTCAAATATAACAGAAACTTAAGAAGCAAAAGGTAGAAGCCCTCCTCATTCCCTCCACAGTCGTATTCCCAAGAAGCAGTCACCCTTAAGCATTTCATAGGTTTCCTTCTAGAATTTGTTTTAGGGATATTCATTTAATGGTATCATATCATATTATAACATTTACGTACATCTCACAATTTTTTGCTGTGTTTCAAGCTTTACATATTATTCTGCAACCTCAAATAACCCTGTTTCCTTTCTTTGAAAAACCATTGTATTCCACAATAAGCATGTCACTTGATTTTTGTAACATCTAGTATTATTTTTAAGTGTCCCTGTGTGCCTATTTCTCTATCTTTGCCCACTTGTGCCAGTTTTTCTACAGAGTAGAGTCCTAGAAGGAAAAGCGCGTAGACACAGCACATTGTAGGCACATTGGCTTTGATAAATTCTGCCAAGGTGCTCTCAAAACAGTTGAGATAGGCACCTCCACTGGGGTACACATACCTTTTTCTATATCCTCACTGCCAGGTTTCTTTAGAGATGGGGTCTCACTGTTACCCAGGCTGGAGTGCAGTGGCACGACCATAGTTCACCACAGCCTCACTCTCCTGAGCTCACATGATCTTCCTGTATTAGCTTCCTGCGTAACTAGGACTACAGGCATGCGCCACCATGCCCGGCTAATATTTTTTCTTTTTGTAGAGATGCAGGTCTTACTATGTTGCCCAGGATGGTCTTGAACTCCTGGCCTCAAGAGATGCTCCCTCCTGAGCCCCCTCAGTAGCTGGGATTACAGGCAACATTTCAAATCTTTAGTATTTCAAAGATGCATTTCTAATCTTCGAAGGCAAGAAGACGAAAGAAATATCGGACTGCTTCAGCTCCTCTCTTCACAGCCCACTGCCGTGCCAACTGTTGCATGATGAAGAGGCTCTTCCACCAAGGGGGGCGCCATGGAGCACCCCTCCCTCCAGCTTCTACTTGCACCAGCCCATTTTCTGTGCATTGTACACAGGCACCCTGCACACCCACATCTTGTCCATTTCTGCCCAGGTAGCCTTGCTTCAACAGTCTTCAATGACACTGCGATTGGATAAGCACTTAGGGAAATGTATCCACTATCACATGATCAATGCTAACGACATAAAACATCTCCTACCCCAGATGACCCAGGGTCCTCTTGCTGAACTCCTTGCAGCCCAGGACGTCATGGGGACTATCAGGGTTCTAGAAAGGGAATCGCAGGCCTCTGAGAAGCATCAGAGAGTCCACATCAGTTTGTGTGGGTGTGTGTTTCTTCTGGAGACATAATCAGCATCTCAAAGGAGTAGGTCCCACCAAAAGGTTAAGAGCCGCAAACTTAGCCTTTTTAGGCAAACTGAGAAGTACTTCCTTTCGTTGATGTGTAATTTACAGCATAGGTATTTCTTTTTAAAAAGGGGTGGTGTTGCAGATTTTAGACAGGGCATGTTGCTATTTGGACTCATTTACTGCTTAGGTCACCAAGTCAGCCTGCTGCTGAAGGCATCAGGGGCTAGAACACTTCCAAGCCCAAAGCCCCACACCCAGCTTATTTACATCTGGAGGGAGCCCAGTGTGTGGCCCCCCTCACTGACCACCACATGCAATTCTTCAGCCCTCTCCTTCCTTTACATTCCTTTCAACAAAGCACAGAAAAAGCCCGCACCGCATTCCCCCACTCAGGGAGCTCGGACAATGGCAGAGGTACCACCATGGTACAGATGCTCCCAGAACCAGGAAAGACCTGGCTTCCCCTCCTCTGCCAGGTCTTGCAACTCCCTGCCCGGACACTCTGCTTGTTGAAGCAACCGGAAGCTCATTGGCACAGGCACCTGGGAACGTGTTTGCAGGAATTGGCCCCTGGGACGCAGAGCAGGACAGAGAATGAAAAAGAACAAATGAAAGCCAAGAGCCACAAACGCTGCAAGAGAACCAACAGTGAGAGGCAAGATAAGGAAGACAGTCGGGCATCCCAAAGGCAAGTTACAACATCAAGGAGAGAGTGACCAGCTTTGACACGTGCTGCTGAGTGGACAAGATAAAGACCACGGGGCAGACTTCTGGATTCGCAACACATGGAGGTGATGGCTGACGTGCCAAGATGAAGTGCTCTAGGAGGCAGGGATGGAAACAAGACGGGAATAGACTCAAGAGACAGTAGGAAGAAGGGAAGCGTAGACAGCTCTTGGAGTAGGTTACTTTAAAGGGGGCAGATAAATGGGGCTGTAGTTGACAGTATGGGGCACAGGTGATCAAGGAAGACGTTCTAAAGATAGAAAAAGTTATAGCTAGTATTATGTATAGGATGGTGTCCCCGGGAATATATGTCCAAGTCCTAATACCCAGTACCCATGGGCATGACCTTCTTTGGAATTAGGGTCTTTGCAAGGTGCAATCAAGTTAAGATGAGGCCTTGCTGGGTTAGGGTGGACCCGAATCCAGTGCCTGGCTTCTTAAAAGAGGGAGATTTGGGCCGGGCACGGTGGCTCACACCTGTAATCCCAGCACTTTGTGAGGCCGAGGCAGGCGGATCACTAGGTCAGGAGATGGAGACCATCCTGGCTAACACAGTGAAACCCCATCTCTACTAAAAAAATACAAAAAATTAGCCAGGCGTGGTGGTGGGCGCCTGTAGTCCCCAGCTACTCGGGAGGCTGAGGCAGAAGAATGGCGTGAACCCGGGAGGCAGAGCTTGCAGTGAGCCGAGATGGCGCCACTACACTCCAGCCTGGGTGACAGAGCGAGACTCCCTCTCAAAAAAAAAAAAAAAAAAAAAAAAAATTAAAAAAAAAAGAGGGAGATTTGGAGACAGAGAAGCACACAGAGAAAAGGGGTCCATGTGATGATGGAGGCAGAGACTGGCACAATGACATCTACAAGCCAAGGAGCGATGCAATGACATCTACAAGCCAAGGAGCGATGCAATGACATCTACAAGCCAAGGAGCGATGCAATGACATCTACAAGCCAAGGAGCGATGCAATGACATCTACACGCCAAGAAGCGATGACGCCTACATGCCGAGGAGTGATGGTGTCTGCACACCAAAGAGCAATGCCATCTACACACCGAGGAACACTTGTAGGACTGCTGGCAGCCACCAGCAGCCAGGCGGTGTCCACACTCCGAGGAATGCTTGAAGCATTGCTGGCAGCCACTAGAAGCCATGAAAGATGTCTGGAACACATCCTTCCCTGGAGCCTTCCGAGGGGTGTGGCCCTGCCAACACCTGGATTTTGGACTTTTAACCTCCAGTACAGTGAGGGAATAAACTTCTGTGTTTTGTTGTTTTGTTTGTTTGAGACGGAGTCTCGCTGTGTCGCCCAGGCTGGAGTGCAGTGGCGCAATCTCGGCTCACTGTAAGTTCCGCCTCCAGGTTCACGCCATTCTCCTGCCTCAGCCTCCCAAGTAGCTGGGACTACAGGCACCCGCCACTATGCCCAGCTAATTTTTTTTGTATTTTTAGTAGAGACAGGGTTTCACCGTGTCAGCCAGGATGGTCTCGATCTCCTGACCTCGCGATCCGCCCGCCTTGGCCTCCCAAAGTGCTGGGATTACAGGCGTGAGCCACCGTGCCCGACACTTCTGTTATTTTTAAGCCACGAGTTGCAGTACTTGCCACAGCGGCCCCAGGAAATGAACATGGGCTCCATGAGCTGGGGCAAGACGGTGACAGTCTCAGTCACTCCTCCTGCTGATCCCATCAGGTAGTAAAATAAGCCCCATTTCAGAAACAAGAAACAGGCCCAGGGAGGCAAGGACTTTTCTCCTAACAAGTCCAAGGGCCAGAATTTCAACCCAGGCCCACCTTGGTAAATCTCTAGCATCCCACACTACACGTACATATGTACACACAATAAATGAGATTCCAGCAATCACAGAATATTCTAGATGCTACGGGTGCACCGTGGAGGCAGCAGTTAATTTATGTTCGGCATTACCATGGAGGGTTATGTGGTCAGATTCTACCTAACCAAGGGACAGGGGTGGCACTGGGCCTTATGTCACTCTGGGCAACATCCCAGGACCTTCCCACCCCAGCAAAGGGCCAGTGAGGTCAGGAGAAACAGCTGTATTGTTAACCACTGTGCCTCTTGGGTCACGCACACATTTACTGGATGAGTGACTAAAATAATAGATAAACTAATTTCTTCTGGTAGCTAAAAGGCTACAGGGAAATGTCATCTCTGAGTCGGGCCCCAGGAGAAGTTACCAGCTGGACAAGAGAAGGGGCCATGCCAGAGGCGGGGGTCACAGAAGCAGGGGCCAGGGCACTAAGAAAGGGAGGGAAAGGAATGGAGTTTTCCCACGTGGCTGAAGGCACACGCCCTTTCACAACCGAAGCTGGTCTTACGCACTCAGTGGTACTTAGGCTGTAGAAACCATTTGGTTCTGGAAGGCCAAGGGTAAAATCTCATCAATAGAAAAGCTAGGCCAGGCACAGTGGCTCATGTCTATAATCCCAGCACTATGGGAGGCCAAGGCGGGTGGATCACTTGAGCCCAGGAGTTCAAGCCTAGCCTGGGTAACATGGTGAAACTGTCTCTACAAAAAATACAAAAATTAGCCTGCATGGTGGCACACGCCTGTGGTCCCAGGTACTCCGGAGGCTGAGGTGGGAGAATCATCTGAGCCAGGGAGTTCGAGGCTGCAGTGAGCCATGATTGTACCACTGCACCCCAGCCTCGGTGACAAAGTGAGACCCTGTCTCAAAAACAAAAAAAAAAAAAAAAAAAAAGAAAGAAAAAGAAAAGCTAACCAGAGATTCTATCTAACTTCTCCACTGTGGACTCTCCTCTTGCCAGCCACTGACAATAAGAATAAACTGCAAGATCTCTGAGCTCCTCCACAAACATCGTCACAGAACGCTCATCACTCACTTCCCCCATGCTCACACCCATGTAAAATCCGGCAGAATAATCCTTCAATGCCTTACTGGATCATAGGAACAACCAGAGATACGTTAGCAGCCTTCTCAATTTTCTTTTTGATTTTTTGCAAGTGCTTTCTATTTTTATGTAAGAATGCTGTAACCACAGGGGACTTCACAGGTTTGATCAGGAGGTAGCAGGGTAGCAGTCACGTAGCCAGGTATTAAATTACAGTATTGGCAGATGACCTGATACGCTGCTTGATGTCTGCTGCAAAGTGTGAGAAAAGGGACTTGGGTGAGGGCAGTGACAAGGTGATAATGGCTGAAGTCAGCTGATGATACATGGGGGTCTGTTACGCTATTCTCTCTACTTCTATATGCTTTACATTTTCTTTAATACAAAGGATTCAAAAATTAAGAAGTATTCCATGGCTATGCGTCAAAGTTGGGCAGAAAATCAAATCCTAGCTCTGCAGCTTACTACCCTGCAGTAAACAGGCCTTCAGCAAAGTAACCTCTCTGGACCTCAGTTTCTTAATCCCTAAAATGGCAATAACAACAGTAGCTCTTGCACAGGCCTCTAGGGGGGAATTAAATGTATACAAAACACATAGAGCAGGTTGGGCATGATGGCTCACACCTGTAATCCCAGCACCTTGGGAGGCCAAGGCGGGAGGATCACCTGAGGTCAGGAGTTCGAGACTAGCCTGGCCAACACGGTGAAACCCCGTTTCAATTAAAAATACAAAAATTAGCCAGGCGTGATGGTGCATGCCTGTAATCCCAGCTACTCAGAAGGCTGAGGCAGGAGAATCGCTTGAACCCGGAAGGAAGAGGTTGCAGTGAATCAAGATCGTGCCATTGCACTCCAGCCTGGGCAACAGAGAAAGACTCTGTCTCAAATAAAAAAAAAAAAAAAAAAAAAAAAAAAAACACATAGGATAGTGCCTAGCAAATAGTCCACCTGAGAAAATGTTGGCTATCATCTTTGTTAATGATACTGTTATTACAGCCTAGTTAGAGGTATATCCCCTCACCAGGGAGACACAAACGTGAGATTACATTTCTTATCCTCCTGCTGCTGCCAAACTTTTGGAAACTCTGAAGCTCGAGAGGTGGAACGTAGGCAGGTGGTTAGACACAAAGAGGAACTAGCAAGCTCACGATGGAAACCATTTGGCTGCTGATAAGCATGAACCCACTCCCTGGATTTAGTTCTGGGGATTATAAGTCACCATAAATAGCTCTGTCTCCTGCAGGAGCCTGAGAAATCCAGCTAGGCCCTCATTCCCCCCAAATCACAAAACAGGTACTTTTCTCTGCCCTGTGCTTCCAGCCAGGAACAGGAAGTAAACAATTTGCTAACAGGTTAGGGGATGGGCATTTACCTACACAACAGCAGTGAGGTTCTTAGAGCTGGCCAGAAGCCATCTACATAGCTTGGGACTTTGTTATTCAAATCTGTCACTAAATTAAATTTTTAAAATGCAGTGACCAAACTGGAGAGTTATACCCTCAAACAGTGGAGATGAGGGTTGCCAAAGCAAAACTTCTTTGGGGTCAGGTAAGCAACATAAATGAGCAGACAGAGCTGTATGGGGCTGGGTCAATACAGAGAAAGTGGACCGTTCCATGGCGAGATGTGACCCTATTTATAGCCAGATCTCGATTTTTTTCCTAAGGGAAGCCAAATATCTAGATTTTAATATATAATATAATCTCTCAAGTTTTAAATGTAGGCAATTAATTTTTAACATATTTAAACCATTAGATCAAGTACAACCAGGGGCAGGCTCAATGTGGCATTCTGGCCACCAGGGGTCAACCTTTGGTATCGGCAGAATCTTTGCCATACAAAGTTCCACACGGGGCAATCTAGGGCACCCCAGAGGGTTCTGACATTTTGTAAAACTCTGATTCCAATTTATGTTTCTCCCTCATAGACACAAACACACAGACTAGCCTTAATAAGAGCCATAATTAAAGTACAGGTTGAAATACCTCTCATGTGGAATGTTACCACAGTGGAAACCATCAATGAATGGGTTAATCTGGTAGCAGGTGAAACAGCTTTTGTGCAAATCTTCTTTTTTTAATTTTTAATATTATTTAATAATACAGACTAGGTCTCACTATGTTGCCCAGGCTAGTCTCAAACTCCTGAGCTCAAAGGATCCTCCTGCCTTGGCCTCCCAAAGTGGTGGGATTACAGGCGTGAGCTACTGCTCCCAGCCATGTGCAAATCTTATTTTCAAACTTTGCCTGACATCTGTCTGACAACACAGCATCTTGAAATTTCAAGGTAAACTATTATTAAAAAAAAAAAAACTGTTATTTGCAACTACTTATCTTGAGTAAATCGAGCTTTTCTCAATCCTGGTCAATTGCATAAGATGACAATCGTCACCATTCCAAATTTCATACGCACACTGTCATCATTATTCTATGACATGTTCTATGTTCAATGACACACGTCATTGTTCTCAAGGACTATTTTTAAAGTTACAGGTTTTAACCTTAAAAAGTATTCTGATAAGCTTTTATGAATCATGGTTTTTGTTGTGGTTGTTACAGTTTCCTGTCTAAAGGAGAGGGGATTAAAGAGTATTAAAAGTTTTATAACCATTGATCTCATTTAATACCTTCATTTTATAGAAAAGGCTAAGTGAGAGGACAGAGATGGCTTCCCCCAACATTACTTGGTCAGTTAGAGGTCAAGTGGGTCTAGAATCCAGTTCTCCCAACTCCCAAGCCTGCAATCTTTCTATTTCATTTGGCAAACAAATAACTAATTATTATATATGAGAAAAAATGAACACATTGCAATTCAATGATCCACTCTAAGAAATATGTTTTCCCCAAATCTGGGCAGATAGGAAATGGCCCTCCCATTTCTCTAACTCAGATACATCCAAAGTCCCACGGCCAGTGGTCACCCATCAGGTGGCCTCACTGTGTGGCCAGCCCACAGCTCTGCATGCAGAAAGCAATTAATGACTGTCTTCTAGGAACATTCATGCTCATCACTTAAAAATGCCTGTCTTCACAACTCCCAACCTCCCATTGCACAGAGGAGAAGACTGAGGCTAGGAGCAGTCAGTGGTTCATCCAAGATCATGCAGCTAACTGCAGAAACCACAGCCACCTGACTCCAAGTTCCAGGTACTCCCCAAGCCCTCACACCTTTCTCTGGGAACTCTTTTGCAGTCTGCAAAGCCCTTTCCTGACAGCAACAACAGCAGCCCCTACTTATTGAATGTGTGCCACCTACCAGGTACTGTGCTAGGTGCATCGCACAGAATAGTCTCAATTTTAAAACTTTATGCTCTATGGAACTTTTTATTGCAAAGGTAACATGTTACTTGGAACATATCACAGAAAATGAGCTGTGCAAAGAAAAGGTAACTATCCTTCCTGCCTATCTTCCCAACCCCTTCCAGCACACACACACAAAATCAACATTAAATGTGAGGTGCTTTCTTCCATACTCTCCCCTTGCTCATAAAAAGGAGCAAAAGGAGGATTATTGCATTCTCTGTTTTTGTGTTTGTTTTGAGATGGAGTCTCACTCTGTTGCCCAGGCTGGAGTGCAGTAGTGCAATCTCGGCTCACTGCAACCTCCGCCTCCCAGGTTCAAGTGATTCTCCTGCCTTACCCTCCCAAGTAGCTGGGATTACGGGTGCACACCACCATGCCTGGCTAATTTTTGTATTTTTAGTAGAGATGGGGTTTTGCCATGTTGACCAGGCTCATCTCAAACTCCTGACCTCAAATGATCCACCCGCCTGGGCTCCCAAAGTGCTGGGGTTACAGGCGTCAACCACTGCACCTGGCCTGTATTCTATGATTTTTAACAAAATAGCAGACCTGACTCCTGATGTAAATCTGCTGCTGGCTTTCATCACAAAATGTCACAAATATCATCTCAGATTAATGGAAAGAGAACTGACACATGCTTCTTAATCAGCTGCATAATGTCACATAATATGGATAGACCATAATTTACCCAGCAATTCCTCCATTGAGACATTCAGATGGTGCCCAGGTACTTTGCCAGCATAAGTAATGCTGCAATAAACAATCCGATAATATATTCTCAGGCCCCGATGTTTTCCCTTTCATAAAACAGAGTCCCCAGGATGCCACTGTCAGATCAAAACATACACCCTCTTAATTTTTAAATAGTCTATTATTTTAATCAAAAAATATGCCCTCATAAAAAATATGAATAAAAGTATATAAAGGGCTGGGCACAGTGGCTCACACCTGTAATCCCAGCACTTTAGGAAGTGGAGGCGGGCCGATCAGTTGAGGTTAGAAGTTCGAGACCTGCCCACCCAATGCGGCAAAACCCCATCTCTACTAAAAATACAAAATTAGCTGGGCGTGGTGGCGCACGTCTGCAATCCCAGCTACTGGGGAGGCTAAGGCACAAGAATCGCTTGAACCCGGGAGGCAAAGGTTGCAGTGAACCAAGATCACACCACTGCACTCCAGCCTGGGCAACAGAGTGAGACTCTATCTCAAAACAAACAAACAAACGTGTAAAAAGAAGAAACATATATATAATTCCTCAATCTGGAGATGGCTATTAATAATAACAGCCATTTGCTAAATTTCCTTTCAGAATGAAATAATGCAGTAGAGTGAGTTGCACTTTTTTAACAGACTCAGATCAAATTCCAATCAAACTTATGGCCATTCGCATTTCCACCAGGAAGGCATATGAACACCATTTCTCTACATTTTGCCCACAGCTCTGTCATGGTTAAAGAATTTTGCCAATCTAATGGATGAAAATGGTATGCTTTCATCATTCTCATTTATGTTTCCTTGACTAAAATGGAGATTCAACACTTCTTGTGGGTTTCTTAGGAACATGCCAGACTTGGAAATACATGGAAAACAGAAACATCACTTGATCACTTGCTCAAGAATCATCTTACCGATTTTTGCTGTTCAAACATAAGTTTTTTATAGAAGAGATGGAACTGTTCAAAGCTGAGCTCATCTTTGTGTGCTCCTATTTCCTGTAAATATGAAAAAAGTGACCACATGATTTTTGATGTCCACCGTAAGAATGGCTCCATGCTATTTATAGAATAATTTTTGTTTCAGAAATGGCATGCTATTTTATTGGCATGCTGAAGAGACAGCTATGACCACATTGTTTCAGTGTCATGGCTTTTGAAAGGAAAAAGTCATGCTATTTAACATGGCTTTTCTACAACATTGGCTAAAATCAAATTCATATTCCTCTGAATCAAAACCCTCCACACGTTCCCTAATCCCCCTGTCTGGGAAAACATACTCACAGAGACACCTACCAAGTAAGACCCTCCTTTGAGCCCCAAAAGGGAAGAGTCTCAGCCAGGTTTCCAAGAGACATGATGCGTAACTCCTCCTTTTTTGGGCAGAAAACACTCTCTTTGGACTTCCAACTTCAGACATATTTGTAGAGTACGTACATATAGGTCATTTTGTAAAGCATTGGGAGTCAGACAGAACTCAGCTCCAATTAATTGCTTTATGGCTTTGGGCAATTTCCTTGACCCTTTCAAACCCTCAGTTTTCTTTACCTGTAAAATGGGAGAACCACTACTATGCTCCTAGGGCTTCCCTGAAAGTGAACAACATACCTGCAAAACACCTGGTTCAGTAAATACTTGATAAAGAATTAAATGGCAACTGTGTAGCAATCAATGGTAAATGCTTCTCCCATCTCTCTCCTCTTCTGACCTACCCTTTTCTCTTTTTCTATTATTGGATTAATGTGGAATATTGGGGGCAGGTCAAAGGATGCTTGATAAGCAATAAAATGGGATAATTTTTCCAGGAGCTCATTAATACAAAAATGAAATGAGCTTTTTGCACTGAGGAACCTTGTAATGGAGCTGATATTGAAAATGGGCATTGGAGTCCTCCAACTGGGGCTGTTTGGATGCAGGGTTGCTCATTTCCTAAGAAGAATGAGTATTTCCCTGTAAGCAAAAATCGGTGCCCATTGTCTCCATCCTTGCCTCACCTGCTCTACTATATCCCATCACTCATGGAGTGGCTTTACTGCCCAGACCCACCAATAACTTGATTACACAACAAAATAAATTTAATGATGTATGGAAGGATGGATGGTTGGAGAAACAGAAGAAAAAAGAGCCAACTCTGACAGCTACACTACCAGGACTTGCATACAAAATGCCACGGTCCTGGTACCCTACACAAGGAATCTTTCATAATATTTTCCAAAAGACATACATGCATTCATTTCACTAGGGAAAAAATGGGCTGCAGTATGGTCAGGGAAATAGGGAAAGCTGGACTAATGGAAAACAGGTCTGAGGGTAGATGTTCCAAGTCCAAGAGCTCAGTAAACATGGTCTTTATTGATTACATTCTCTGCTAGGATTGAGACGATGGTCCTCAGATATGTCCATGATCCCTCTGTCTGAACTAAGATGTACTCTGGAGGCAAAGGATTTTCTTGTGCACTATTCCACGGAACTCAAAGGCAAGCCACGGCTTCATGAGAGAGGCTAAGTCACTCCGCATTCATAAAATTCCCAGGCTGAGCCATGAAACTTACCACAAACTTATCTTTAAGGAACTTGGCACTGCTCACTTTAAAGTTGATCAGGGGCAAGATGGTCTTCAACTCTCGGAGACTGATGCTGCAAAAGAGGGAGACCCAGTTCTGTCACCTTGAGGGTTTTCAACAGCACAGGATTTAGCTGCTCCCATCAGTTCCCACCTCAGGCAGCCCTCTATGAGAGAGCCTGGTCAACAGTTATTTATGGACCACTAACTGGGAACAAGACATTGAGTCAAGGTAAGGGTGACACTTCAATGAGCAAGGCTCAAGCAATGTCCATGGACATGGGTCACATAGCAGACTCACAGGGTAGGGTGATGCCCCAATAAGGAGGGCTGGTCTCCACCCTTCAGGTATGTCCAGGGACATAGGTCACATAAGAGATTTATAGCGTACAGTGATGCCCCAATGAGGAGGCACCTACACTGGAGATCCCCAGTATAGGGTGATGTCCCAGTGAGAAGGGCTGGTCTCCACCCTTCAGGAATGGTCATGGAGGAAGGTCTTGCAGGAGATTCAGTGTGGGCAGAAAATGATGTCAAATGACCAGATAATCTCAATACAAAATGCCACAGAAATGCCAAAGGCCCAATATAGGTGTTGACATGATGTGATTTCTGCCCAGGACTCTGAATGTCAAAGTGAAGAAATTCAATGAAGCCTGGGTAAACATCAGGAGTAACTATGACACTCTTCATGTAGCCAAATGCTTTGTCACCTAATTAGCGACACACATGAATGGATGAACAAGACTCCTACTGACTCTACCTGCCACCCAGAGGAACCAAAACCACAGGACGGGCTTGGCAGAATCAGCCAGGAAAGACCCAGCTGAATTTGACTCTAGTCTGACACTGTGAAGAGACAAGAGGGATGCAGAGTAAGTGGGGACCCCCTGCACCCCCAAAAATAAGTAAAAAAATAAAGGTTTCTTTTAATGCCACTGGGGTTCAGAGCAAGGCAAGGTCACTAAGGGCCAGGGAGGGGAAGTGGGAAGGAACAAGGCCTACATGAGCACCTACTGTGTGCCAGGCTGCCCTGGGGTCATCCAGGCATTAAAGTTGCCTAATTGTTCACCAGATTCTACCTTCTGCAAAGTACACATGGTTGACCCCCAGGGCTCAGAACAGCCAAGGGTGGGGTGTCACATGGGTACACAACTCAGGGCTTAGAGCTGGATGGCAGGCAGCAGAGCCTGGATTTGAATCAAATTCCAGTGCTCGGTCACAGGAATCTGCATGAGTGTTTCTTCGAAGCCACATAGTGAGGTTCAGCTGAAGCGGGAAGCGAGGGCCAGGCACGGTGGTGGCTCACGCCTGTAATCCCAGCACTTTGGGAGGCTGAGGCGGGCGGATCACGAGGTCAGAGGATCGAGACCATCCTGGCTAACACGGTGAAACCCCGTCTCTACTAAAAATACAAAAAAAATTAGCCAGGCATGGTAGCAGGCGCCTGTAGTCCCAGCTACTCAGGAGGCTGAGGCAGAAGAATGGCGTGAATTCGGGAGGCGGAGCTTGCAGTGAGCCGAGATCACGCCACTGCACTCCAGCCTGGGTGACAGAGCAAGACTCCATCTCCAAAAATAAAAAAGAAAAGGGAGGGAAGCAAGGGAGAACACGTCCCAGGCAAAAGGAGCAGCAGCAGCAGTAACAATAGTAACAAAAGCTGAAACTTCAATAGTGCTTATCAGGTGACAGGTGTTGTTCTAGGTGGTGCCTTATATGCACATTCACCTGTTTGATGTTTGAACAATTTTACAAGGCAGGTACCATGATCATCTCCATCTTCCAGGTGAGGAAACTGAGGCACCGATCAGTTTGGTACCTTATCTGTGCTAGCCTCAAACTCCAACCCAGTGTGCCCATAATGACCACACCTGACTGCCTCCAAGCGAGTAGCTCACACAAGAAGGAGAAGTGAAATTAGTGGGGTGGGTGGGTCAAGAATATGAGATCCAGACCCTTCTGGCTGGAGCCAAGTGTCCAGCAGAGCTGAGACAGAGTGGTCAAGAGAGGAAGCTCGCCCCACCTTGCAGGAGAAAACCACCTAGTTTCCCTGTACCATCCTCCCAGCTTCTGCTGTGGCATGCGGAAGGAAGTAGCGCGTCACTGCCCAGCCGCTGCCCTGGAGACGGTCCAGTGTGACTCTGGCCATCCTGTGTCCCCACCTCCAGCCTTTCCTCTGGTTCTAAGGGCCTCTGTAACAGCACAGACTTCAAATGACAAGATGCTCCCCACCCACTTACTGGTACCACAGGGACAGCACCCACGGCTTTCACAGACAGACCTTGAGGGCAGAAAAAGTCCCTGTTGGGCCAGCTGGGGCTGGCTGGGCACAGCGGCCAGCAGGCTAGGGAAGTTGCCCCAGGGGCTTGCAAGAACCTTTCTGCCTCAGCCCTGGGAGTGGTCCAAGGAACAGCTGGGCCAGGGCAGGATGAAGGTGGAGGAGCAGTGGGAACAGGCGCTACCAGAGCGGCAGCGAGAGGGGTCGTGGGGAGAGGAGCCAGATCATGCTGGTGCCCCAGTGGAGCCCATCCTGGGAGCAAGGGAGAGGCCAGTGTCCTCTCATGCTGGTGCCCAGTGGAGCCCATCCTGGGAGCAAGGGAGAGGCCAGCGTCCTCTCACGCTGGTGCCCCAGTGGAGCTCATCCTGGGAGCAAGGGAGAGGCCAGCATCCTCTCATGCTAGTGCCCCAGTGGAGCTCATCTTGGGAGCAAGGGAGAGGCCACGTCCTCTCATGCTGGTGCCCCAGTGGAGCTCATCCTGGGAGCAAGGGAGAGGCCAGCGTCCTCTCATGCTGGTGCCCCAGTGGAGACCATCCTGGGAGAAAGGGAGAGGCTAGCGTCCTCTCATGCTGGTGCCCCAGTGGAGCTCATCCTGGGAGCAAGGGAGAGGCCAGCGTCCTCTCATGCTGGTGCCCCAGTGGAGCTCAACCTGGGAGCAAGGGAGAGGCCAGCGTCCTCTCATGCTGGTGCCCCAGTGGAGCCCATCCTGGGAGAAAGGGAGAGGCTAGCATCCTCTCATGCTGGTGCCCCAGTGGAGCTCATCCTGGGAGCAAGGGAGAGGCCAGCGTCCTCTCATGCTGGTGCCCCAGTGGAGCTCATCCTGGGAGCAAGGGAGAGGCCAGCGTCCTCTCATGCTGGTGCCCCAGTTGGAGCTCACCCTGGGAGCAAGGGAGAGACCAGCATCCTCTCATGCTGGTGCCCAGTGGAGCCCATCCTGGGAGCAAGGGAGAGGCCAGCGTCCTCTCATGCTGGTGCCCCAGTGGAGCCCATCCTGGGAGAAAGGGAGAGGCCAGCGTCCTCTCACGCTGGTGCCCCAGTGGAGCCCATCCTGGGAGAAAGGGAGAGGCCAGCGTCCTCTCATGCTGGTGCCCCAGTGGAGCTCATCCTGGGAGCAAGGGAGAGGCCAGCGTCCTCTCATGCTGGTGCCCCAGTTGGAGCTCACCCTGGGAGCAAGGGAGAGGCCAGCGTCCTCTCATGCTGGTGCCCAGTGGAGCCCATCCTGGGAGCAAGGGAGAGGCCAGCGTCCTCTCACGCTGCTGCCCCAGTGGAGCTCATCCTGGGAGCAAGGGAGAGGCCAGCGTCCTCTCATGCTGGTGCCCCAGTGGAGCCCATCCTGGGAGCAAGGAAGAGGCCAGGGCCCCCCAGGAGCCCAGACAGCAGCAGGGCAAAGGAACCATCCCATGTCCAGGAACAGAGAGACTGAGGGGCCTGGGGTGCCAGAGCAGCTGCTCAAGAACAAGTGGAGAAAACCCAGGAACCAGGGGCTTGAGCATCCAAGCACCTGGGACATGGGAGCCCACCTGGTCCAAAGGCCTCCCCTTACAATGTAAACACTGGAGGCTGAGAGCTTCTTTGGGCTCCTAGCTCTGGGACAGCCTCACCCGCTTTCTCCCTAGGCGAGCCCCTCCCTCACTCCCACCTCTGGATGTGTGTGTGTCGTGCTGCACAGCCCGACCAAAACCAGCACAGGCAGGCTGAGCCCCCATCGCTGCAGGGGAGGAAGCCAACGGCTCAGCTTCACCCCTCTCTGCAACCTGCCATCCCCTACAGAGAGTGCCTCGCCCAGGTCAAAGCCCCTTCCAAGGCAGCCAGCTCTGACCCAGTCCACGCAAGGGAACAAAGGCCTGGCCCTCTAGTCTCAATTCAGGACAGCTCCACAGGCCATGCTCAGAGCTCCCCATCAGGTGTGCCCAGGCCATGGTTGTGACTCCCCAGCTGCCTGTTCCAGCTGCCTTCCTTCCCCCAGGGTGATGACCCTGCACTCCCTAGTAAGCCTCCTGCACACAAACCTGCGTCTCAGATCATGTTTCCTGGGAGCTCAACCTAGGGCTGTGGGTTAGGAAACAAGGGAATCCCTTTGGAGAAGGACGGCAACTATTCCCTGAATGAGTTACCAACAGCCCCTCCCTCTCCCATGGCAGACAGCACTGAACAATCACAGTGTCCTCCCTGCTCAGCCCGGGAGGCCCCCAGGGTTCTTCAACTCCCGCACCCAGGCAGCCATCACCAAACCATTAAGGATGGCAGCCCCGTGACACTTACCAGCCATGCTGAGGCTGGGCCGGCACCTCCACTGCCCCCGGCTCTTTTGTAGCAACAATGGCAATAAGAAACATTCGTCAAGTGTTTACCATGAGCCAGGCAGGTCCACGCACCCTTCACATATTAACTCCTGAAGCCTCACATCTGCCCTGGGAGGCGGGAACTATTATTTTATCTTTTACACATGAGGAAACTGAGGCCCACAGAAATTAAATCATTTACCCCAATTCACACAATGAGTTAGTGTGAGATCTGAGATTTAAACCTCAGCACCATCTGACAGAACTTTCAACAATGATGGAGACATCTGTGCTGTCTGAGGTAGTAGCTGCTAGCCACACGGGGCTGCTGAGCCCCTGAAATGCAGCTAGTTCCACTGAGGAGCTAAGTATTTTATTTCATTTTGTTTTGTTTTGTTGAAATGGCCACCTGTGGTGAGGGGTGCCCTGCTGGACAGCGCAGCCCCAGAGTTCTGCTTCTCTAAGTAGCTCCCAGACCAGCAGCATCTACATCACCTGGGGATTGGTTGAAATGCAAATTCTTGAGCCCTGCCCACCACCTACTCAATCAGCCACTGTGAGATGGAGCCCAGCAGCCTCCACTTTCACAAATCCTCCAGGGGATTCCGGTGCATGCTCAGATTTGAAAATTGCCCTCTAGACAGCCCTAATTTTCAACCCCAGCTTCACAGAAGAATCTTATTTAAAAAATTTGCAACGCCAGAGGCCATGCCCAGAACAGTAAAACCCGAATCACTACTGCCGTGGCTCTGCCAAAGCTTCCCCAGGTGACTCTAACATTCTGGAGTCTCAAATAGGAAGCCTATTTGCATTCACGCTGAATGAGATAAATGGACTCACCCACCTGCCTTCCACCTGCAACCCCCTCACCCTTTGCCACCTCCTGGTAGAGTAGTTCCTCTGTCCCTGCCAGGGCTAAAGGACAAAGGGAAGTGCACATTCTACTTATGCAAATCCAATGTTATACGCCAAGGGGGCAAGGGCAGAGGAGGGAAAGGAAGTAAGTGTTGGTGAGGATATGAAGAAAACAGAAACCTGTGCACTGCCTTGGGAAGGTGTAGCTGCTACAGAAAACAGTATAGCAATCCGGCAAAATAAATCCAGCAATTCAGCTTCTGGATATATACACAGCAATCCAGCAACTGATCCAGCAATTCAGCTTCTGGATATATACACAGAGGAATTTAAAGCAGAGACTCAAACAGATTTGTACACCCATGTTCGCAGCAGCACTATTCACAATTGCCAAAACGTGGAAGCAACTCAAGTGTCCATCGATGGAGAAGTAGATAAGCAAAATGTGGTCTATCTGTACAATGGAATATTATTCAGCCTTAAAAAGGAAGAAGATTCTAACACATGCTACAACACAGATGAAACTTGGAGACATTACACTAAGTGAAATAAGCCAGATACAAAAGGACAAATATTCTGCTAGTCCACTTATATGAGGTACCTGGAGCAATCCAATCCAGAGAGACAGACAGTAGAGTGGTGATTTCCAGGGGCTAAAGAGAGAATCAATGGGGAGTTACTGCTTAATGGCTGCAGAGCCTCAGTTTGAGATGATAAAAAGTTCTGGAGATGGATGGTGGTGACGGGAGCATGACAACATGATATACTTCATCCCACAGAAGTACATATCTAAGAACGGTTAAAATGATCAATGTTGTTCTATGTTTCATTGTTGTTACCACAATAAAACAAATTTTAACATTTGTTTTTAATTTTTTTTAATCATAAGGTGATTGGTCAGGGTGGGGAAGGGAAGATTTCTGCATTTCCCCCAGCTCTCAACAGCACAATTGTTTTTATTTTCGTTGTTTTTGGTTTTGTTTTGTTTTGTTTTTGTTTTTGAGATGGGATCTCACTCTGTTGCCCAGGCTGGAGCTCAGTGGCACAATCATGGTTCACTGCAGCCTTGACCTCCCTGGGCTCAGATGATCCTCCCACCTCAGCCTCTCAAGTAGCAGGACTACAAATGTGCACCACTACACCCAGCTAACTTTTTTGTACTTTCTGTATAGACAGGGTTTCCCCATGTTGCCCAAGCTGGTCTCCAACTCCTGAGCTCAAGCGATCCACCCGCCTTGGCCTCCCAAACTGTTAGGATTACAGGTGTCAGCCACCATGCTCGGCCAGTAGCACATTTAAAAAAAGAAAAAAGAAAAAAGGAAAAGCAACACCAGTGGGGAAAGTAAGTCTGCAAACCCTGGTGCCACCCCTGACAACCTGGGCTGCTTTAGTCAAGTCACTTAACCTCTCTGGGCCTCAGTGTCCTCACATAGAAAACGTGTCTGAGAGCACCTAGCTCAACCGTCAGCCAAGAGCATATCCTAAGGATGTAAAGTGCTTATTACAGCCACGGCTGCAAAGAAGGCTGTAAACAAATGCCCGCTGCTACCATTTGCCTCTAGAAAAGTCAAAAAATGAAACAGCGTGCTTGGGCCAAGCAAAACACCTAAGACTTGTCCATTGCCCGGGCTGGGCCAGCCCTGAGCCTGCCCCCTCTCGCCTTCAGTCTTTCCTCTGCCTCTGTGGCTCCTTTGTTTTCCTTCAGGAAACACGATTCGTCTCGTGGGTGACAGGAAAGGGAGGGAAATTGGCAGGACAGAAGTCAGTTGCTCTTTCATTGGCATCTTGGTCAAAGTTTCTTTTGCAAAGCTCCCTCCAGGCTTCCCAGAACCACAGGAAAGGTGGGATTTTCCACATGTTGACAGAGAGCAGGGCTCTGCCCACTGGGAGGGAGGTAGAGGAGAGGAAGCCGGTGAGCACACAGGGATGAACTCAGTCCAGAAACAGAAAAGTTTCTCTCTGCAGAGGGTCCTGGACCAGCCGATGGGAAGATGGATCTCTATGCAGGACTTGCCAGAATGCCTCCTGAGCAAGAGGGTGGTATCCATTTCTTGACCTCACAAACGAAGAGCCGACTTCAGAGCCAGATTGGCCATACCATACCAGCACCGCGTGGAGAGAGGCACTGAGGGTGGCTCCCTCTCTCAGCCCTGTGCCAATCTCAGCTATGAATCATCATAAGCCACAGAGAAAGAAAAGTCAGAAGAGGCATCACCTCCGAGGCTGAAAGAGACCAGTGTGTACCAAATCTTCCAACACAAGCACCTCATTTGATCCACCTCAGTAACACGAGAGGGTGGCCCAGCGTGGCGGAGCAGGCAGGGCATTTTGGATGAGAAGAAGAGGACGGAGAGAAAGGCAGGTGGACAGAAAAACATGGAGTGAGCTAATGGCTGACCTAACATTACTAGACTTTTAACCACTTCCTAGTTAATAGTTCCAAATCCTCCCATCGGGCATGTGAAGAAACCAGGGAAGCTCACCCAAACCCTGAAGCTAACAAGTAACAGAGGACACTGACCAGACACGAAGTCACCTTCAAGATGGAAAGATTTTCAGGAACAAAATAAGAGAGCTGACAGAGTTTAGTTATTGGATATTAACTAGGATAATGACACATCTAGATGGGATAATGACATATCCACATAGGATAATGACATAAATAAATCAAGAATGAATGAAAGGAATATTTTACCAAAAAAATAAGGTGCCTCACGTGAGGCTAACATGAGACAAGGACTGAAGAGCTCAATGCAATCCCTGGCATGCCAAATACACGGTTGTTCAATAAATGGTAGGGTTTGGTTTTGGTTTTGGTTTTGGTTTTTTTGGTTTTTTCTTGTCGTGGTGGGTTTTTTTGTTGTTTTTTGTTTGGTTGGTTTTGTTTTGCTTTTTTGAGACGGAGTCTTGCTCTGTCACCCAGGCCACAGTAGAGTGGCGCGATCTCGGCTCACTGCAACCTCCACCTCCCGGGTTCAAGCAATTCTCCTGCCTCAGCCTCCTGAGGCTGAGTAGCTGGGACTACAGGAGCGTGCTACCATGCCTGGCTAATTTTTTGTATTTTAGTAGAGACAGGGTTTTACCGTGTTGCCCAGGCTGGTCTCGAACTCCTGAGCTCAGGCAATCTGCCTGCCTCTGCCTCCCAAAGTGCTGGGAATATAGGTGTACACCACTGCGCCTGGCCAAATGGTAGTTTTTATCATTACATTATCAAGAGCTGAATCATACCTCAAAAACATAATGAATTAAAAATGCTCAACCTCACCCATAAAGAAAGCAAGTTTAAGCAAAAACACTTGGTTGCCTCGGTTGCAGATGAACAAAGATCAAAGTCTAATGGCACAATAAATCATCAGGAAAGGGTGCCCTCTTGCCCCACTGGTAGAAATATTATACAAATTGCTACCTCTCGCTATCAAACTATTAGACCAGCAAACGCTGTGCTGCTGGTATTCGTTTCTGAGAATTTACCCCACTCACAGCTCCCTCAAATGAGTTTACAGAAAGATAGACCCAAAGGTTTCCACAGCAGCATTAATCACAGTAATGATAAAGGATTGGGAGCAGCGCTCTGTGCATCAACACGGAAATGATTTCCGAAATGACAATGCATTAATCTAAAGAAAAACCAAAACTGCGTTTGCTTTTTTTAAAAAAAAATGTCTGGGTAAGACTTCACCTTTACAAAAAAAAAAAAAAATAATAATAATAATAATAATAATAATAATAGTAAATAAGCCAGGCATGGTGAAACACACCTGTAGTTCCCAGCTACTCAGGAGGCTGAGGCGGGAGGATCGTTTGAGCCCAGGACTTTACGGCTGCAGCGAGCTATGACTGTGCCACTGCCCTCCAGTCTGGGCAACAGACAGAGACCCTGCCTCTAAAAAATAATAATAATAGTCCGTCATAGAGCTTTGTGCAGGACTGATAGGGAGCTTCTCCAAGAGGTACTTTTAAGTGAAAAAGTCAAGTAAACTGAATATACGTTATCACATCACCCAACACATCTCTACCAGCCCTTAGAACCACCTGGTGGCCGGGCGCGGTGGCTCATGCCTGTAATCCCAGGACTTTGGGAGGCCAAGGTGGGCGGATCACAAGGTCAGGAGTTCAAGACCATCCTGCCGAACATGGTGAAACCCTGTCTCTACTAAAAATACAAAAAAAATTAGCCGGGCATGGTGGCGGGTGCCTGTAGTCCTAGGTACTTGGGAGGCTGAGGCAGGAGAATGGCATGAACCCAGGAGGCGGAGCTCGCAGTGAGCTGAGATCATGCCACTGCACTCCAGCCTGGGCGAAAGAGCGAGACTCCGTCTCAAAAAAAAAAAAGAACCACCTGGTTTACTTCTTCACGGTCAATCAATCTCTCTCCTGTCACAAAGCATGGGCTGGTGCCATCAGGAGTGTGGTTACTGCTGTATTACCAGGACTTTAAAGGTGCTCAAATATTTGTGATGAGGTCCAAATGCCCCATGGCAGAGATCATCTCTGAGGCTGTACTTGAATTTTCTGCGGAATAGAGGCTCCCTCCAGGAGGAGGATTTTGTCATCCTCAACCCCAGGACCCAACATGGCATCCGCAGATCACAATGGACGCAGTGAGGACCTTGCTCCCGACAAGTCATGCTCCCACCCCCTTGGAAGGTTTAAAGATAGAATGAGGATCGAAATCCAAAGTGATCAGAAAAAAACTGAATGACTCTTACCTGTTTCTTCTGGTTTGATCCACAGAATATATCTGCTTTCTCAGCCAACTGGAAAGAAATATGAGACAAAAGAAAGAGAGAAAGAGAAAATTAGAAAATAGCACAAGTCTAAGTGAGTCCTACGGAATGTGCACAAAAGGAACTGGAACCAAAAGGAGGAGTCTTCCAACTTTCTAACAAGGGCAGCTTGGGAAGCAGTTTCCTCCTAGTGTGGAAAAGGCCTATCTAAGCCAAGATTTCAACTCAAAAAGGCCAGGTTTCTTTACATTGTCAATTCCTTCTGATGATAGTCATTTAATCCCCAAAAAGCTAGAAAGAAAAATAGTAAAAAGTAGAGGACTTTGATTTAGTGGAAGGAAAATAACTCACACCCCAATGCCCATCTAGACTCCCATGACACTGAAGAGACAGTCTTGAGGTCTTCATCAACCCAGGAGGGAGTGATAGGTGGAAAATTCCAGACCCTGTATCTGTCCTTTGATCAGTCCACTGAATCTCTTATTAAATCCTTTAAGAAGGAAGCCCTGTTTTCCCCCAGCACATACCCCAGGAATGTTTCTATCTCGAGTCCAATGCACCACTCACTCCAATAGGCCAACGCTGAAAACTAGCACAGGGAAATGCTCTTATTTGAAAAACTGTAGAGCCCACACCGCTACTAGGCACCCATTGCATACAAGACACTCAACGAGCCTCAAAAAACCAATGTCCCTTTTTTTTTTTTTCCCCCCTGTAGCCCATGTTGGCTAAAGGCAGCAGAATAAAGGAATCAGCAACTACGCAAATCAACAGGCAAAAGCCAACTACCTCTCGATAATGGTGGGCGTGGACGCATTCATCGCTTCCTGGTGTAAGATTTTCAAGCCAGAGAGCCAGTTAACTGCATCCTCTTTAGAGTCAGCTGGAGTGGAGAAAGGGAACAGAAATGCTGTGTTAATTCCTGGGAAGACGTCTGCTTACAAAGCCCTGCCCCATACAGATCACGAAGATGGGAGAAGCCTATGCTGGTTTCTAGTTTTGCAGAAGGCAAAGAAAGCATCCCCTTTCACACCGTCATGGCCCTAGGACCTGCTTTTTGTCTGAGATGGGGCCACACATTCATGATGAGCTTTGTACCACAGGGATGACAAGTGGGTTATTTCCTGTGCCAAATGGAATCAGCTAAGAATGGAGGGAGTGGTGGGAACTATCACTATGACATTGTTAACATCATTTGAGCACTAACTACATATATATACTAGACATTGTTCTAAGTGTTTTTCCTATATTGATCCCACAAGGGAAGTACTATTATATTCCCATTTAACACATGGAGAAACCACTGAACCTAAGACAGGTTCAGTCATGTGTCCAAGGCCACACAGCTCATAGCAGCCATTACAGACTGAATATTTGCATTCCTTCCGAATTCATATGTTGAATCTCTAACCCCTGAGGTAGGGCCTTTGTGAGGTATTTAGGTTTAGATGAAGTAATGAGAGTGGGGCCTCCATGAGGGGATTAATGCCTTTTTAGAGAAGAGAAAGAGAGACTAGAGCTCCCTCTCTATCCAAGCACACCCTGAGGAAAAGCCATGTGAGCACATGGCAAGAAGGCAGCTGTCTGCAAGTCAGGAAGAGAGCCCTCACCAGAACTCAACCATCCAGCATCTTGATCTTGGCATTCCCAGCCCCCAGAATTGTGAGAAAATAAATGCCTGATGTTTAAACCCCCAGTCTACAGCATTTCATTACAGTAGCCAGAGCACACTGAGACAGTGGAAGATACAGGATTTTAAACAAGAATCCATTATCTTACCCTGGCAGCACACTGACTCCAGGGATGAAAAAGCTGAGGAATTCAAACCCAGGTGTCCAACTCCAGAGCAGAGTTTCTCAACCCCAGCTGCTCAGGAGAATCACTTGAAGGCTTTTCAAAACCCCAATACTTAGGTCCCACCCTAAAGTAATTAAACCAGAAGAGAGGGATGACGGAGACATCAACAGGTGGAAACACCTGCCTGGTGCCAAAGTATATCAAAGGTTCAGTCATCAGTCTCCTCTGCTGCTATAACAAATGACCACAAACTTAGTGACTTAAAGTAATATAGATTTATTTTCAGACTGTTAGAGAGGCCAGAAGTCTAAAATAGACTGGTTGCATGAGATCTCTGAATTCCTTCTGAAAGCTCTGGGGAAGAATCTGTTTACTCACCTTTCCCAGCTTCTGGAGGCTGCCTACATTCCTTAGCTCATGGCCTCTCATCTGCTGACCTTTGTTTCCATCCTCACATCTCTTTCTCTGGGAATGACCTTCCCGGGTATCTAAGAACCCTTGTGATTCCACTAGACACCCAGATAGTCCAGGATATTTCCCATCTCAAGATCCTCAATTTAACCACACCCGCCAAGTCTCCTTTTCCATAGAGGATAATATATTCACAAGTTCCCGGGATTAGGACATGGGCATCGTGGGAGGGCAGTATTCAGCTTCCCATGGATGAGTACCACTGGCTTAGGGATTTAGCTTTTTGTTTTATTAAAGAGTGTTAGCTTTTAACCCTATGCTAACTAATAAAATGCAGAATCTGGAATAATCTGCACCACAACCCTAAGCAGCTGTCAGTATCTCCCCTGCTTCTAATCAAGATGGCACAGAGGGACAGCAAGTAGAGCTTGCTAATACCCAGGAGAGTATGGCTTGCTAATACCCATGGTTGCTATTACCCTTGTTAATAAGCGGCATTGAGGAGTGGTTAAGAGCTTGGCATCTGGCAAAAGGAAGATCATAGCTCAAGTCCCACTGCACCACTTCAGGGCTGTGTAACATTCAGGAGGTTACTTAACCCTACTCTGTGCCTCATCTCACCTGTAAAATGAAGCTAACAGTGCAAACACCTCATGGAACTATGAAGCCTCTCCTTAAGCACCAGGTACTTTATCAGTCCGTACACCCATGGCAGAGACTGCTGCTCTCATCTTCCCACACAGATGCGGAGGAAACTGAGGCTCTGAAGGGCTGAGTTTGTCTCAGAGCCAGTAAGTGAGAAGATGGAATGTGAATCAAAATCTTGACCATCACTGTGCTGACCTTGAATTTAGGGTTCCGGAAGAGGGACCAAGAGTGGGATATATATCAAAGTTCACATCCTGGCTTCCAAGACCCGGGTTCTTCTGGTCTCCTTACCAAATTAAGAACAGGGGGTCAGGGCTCAGCCTGCAGGTGGGGCTAAGGAGACAGAGGTGTGAAGCTTCACCGCCACGGGCCTTGCCCTCCTACCCCATCTCTACCAACTCCCCCTCCATATCATCAGTCAGACATTCGCTCCTCATTTCCTACATCCGACATGCTATTTCCCTCCTCCAAGCCCTGGCACACACCACAGCCTTTCCCTGGAGCACCCTCCCTCTCTTTCCTCCAAACTCCTACTGAAGCCTCAAAACCCAATGTAAAAGTCACCTTCTCTGCCAAGCTTCCCTGGAATTAAACATTCACAGCACACTGTATCATGCTTGCACTAGGTCTTATCCCAGTACACACATCTGTCTCCCCAAGTCGACTGAGAGCTTCTTAAAGGCGGCACCAGGTCCCATTCATCTTCCTAGCTCACTGGCATGTACACAACCTAACACAGAGTATAGGCTCAAAAGACATGTAGTAAAAGAATGAATGAGAAATTAATAAGTTATTTGACCGAAAAGTAAATGTCCCTATATTGCTCAACTTTGACAGCTGCCTCACCCACTTTGGTCTATTTTAATCGTATTTATTTTCTTAATTAATATACATATACTTCTAAGTCAATAAATTCTAGGACTGAACTTGAAAGTAGATACAAGCTTCTGCCCCTGAGTAAAGTGAGGAAAGTGCATGTGTGTGTGCAACAGAAGATCTCAGGACAGTTCCTTCAGATCAATCAGATTTGCTGAGCCACATCTGCTGGAAGAAAACAGGTTACATTTTTCTTTTTCTTCTCTTTTTTTTTTTTTTTTGAGACAGAGTCTTGCTCTGTCACCCAGACTGTAGGGGAGTGATGCAATCTTGGCTCACTGGTTCAAGCAATTCTTGTGCCTCAGCCTTTCAAATAGCTGTGACTACAGGTGCGCACCACCACACCCAGCTAGTTTTTGTATTTTTAGTAGAGACAGGGTTTCACCATGTTGGCCATGCTGGTCTCAAACTCCTGACCTCAAGTGATCTGCCCGCCTCAGGCTCCCAAAGTGCTGGGATTACAGGGATGAGCCCAGCGTACATTTTTCATCCAACAGAGCCTGGCCTTCAGTGTTAAAACTATCTAATCATCACTTATTCAGCTCTCAGCATGAGCCAGAGAGACACTTAACATACTCCTCACAATACCCCCATGAAATAGGCATTATTATTCTCCCCATTTCACAGCTGAGCAAACTGCAGCTCAGAGAGGTTAAGTCACTCACCTAAAGACACACAGCTAGAAAGGGGCAGGGCTGGGATTCAAAACCATGACCCCAAATACACATCAGTGAGCAGGCAGGGGTGAGCATTCTGCTATTAGCGAACTTCTTCAGGAAGACACTAAGGCACAGGGAAGGAGAAAGGCACAGAAACATGCACCTACCTGCCAAGCTGAGCGTGCTGAGGACGAACTGAGTGCCATATAGGATGGTGAAGCAGCAGTCTTCTTTCTGGCGAACTGCTTTTGCTCGCTCGAAATCTTTGGAGTTCTTCCCTGGGCGGATTTCTTTTATTTCCATGATATCCACTAAAATGAAATTAACATGAGCCAATTAGAAGCTGGAGTTCCCTCCACCTGAGGATGCAGCCACACAACTGCAGCCCAGGCACAGCCTGGCTCCTTCCTTCCCCAACAGGATCCCGCAAAGCTATCTCTGCGTCTGGACTCAGTGTCCCCTCCTTCTGGAAATGGACAAAGGGCTAAGACCCTACCCGGGCATTTGCTGCCACCCCACAAACCCCTGGAGTCTGAAGAGTTTGGGGTTTCCGCTCACCCTGTTTCTCAGACAGACACATTTTAAACTAGGACAATTAATTTTTGTAATGCAACTGAGATTTCAGGAAATAAGCACAGACTATTCTACCAAAAAAAAACAAGAGACCAAATTGATGCTCACTAGAGATCACTCTAGGCAGCCTAAAGGTCAACTGTCCGGTTGACCTTGACCTTGATGACCTTTTCCCTTGAGTCCCAAAAGCTACAAATGCTCTGTGGCTCAATTAAAGGGGGAAGAGGAAATGAAGGCACTAACTGATTCAAATTAAAAATAATAATAAGAGGCCAACCCCAGCGTTGGGGATGGTAACAGGGGTTCTGGATATCACAGGGCCTGTGAGAAGAGAGTGGTAAACTATGACTCTGGTAACAGTCCAGAGTAATGGACTGTTACTAATGGGCCACAGCCTCCAGTATTTATGCCTTATATAGCCAGCTGCCCTTCAATCCAGGTTGTCTCTGTGACCTGTTTTAACCAATAAAATGTAGTATAAATCAGGGATTCCCCAACCCCCAGGCCATGGACTGGTACCGGCAAGTAAGCACTATTATCTGAGCTCCACCAACTGTCAGATCAGCAGCGGCATCAGATTCTCATAGGGGCGCAAACCCTACGGTGAACTACGCATGCGAGGGATCCAGGTTGTGTGGTCCTTATTGGAATCTAATGCCTGATGATCTGAAGTAGAACAGTTTTATCCTAAAGCAATCCCCCCACTGCCCCCACCATCTGTGGAAAAACTGTCTTCTATGAAACTGGTCACTGGTACCAAAAAGGTTAGGAGCACTGGCACGCTGGCATAAATGATGCTGTACCAGTTCAGGGTCTAATGGTTTTTTTTTGTTGTTTTGTTTTTTTTTTTTGAGACAGAATCTCACTCTGTCACCCAGTCTGGAGTGCAGTGGCATGATCTCAGCTCACTGCAACGTCTGCCTCCCAGGTTCAAACAATTATCCTGCCTGAGCCTCAGGAGTAGCTGGGATTACAGGCATGTGCCACCATGCCCGGCTAGTTTTTGTATTTTTAGTAGAGATGGGGTTTCATCATGTTGGCCAGGCTGGTCTTGAATTCCTGACCTCAAGTGATCTGCCCACCTCAGCCTCCCAAAGTGCTAGGATTACAGGCGTGAGCCAGCGGGCCCAGCCTGGGGCCTAATACTTAAGAAGGCCTGGTACCTTCCATTTTGTGCTCTGGGGGAAGCCAGCCTCTGTGTAAGAAGTCAGACTACCTGGAGACCACCATGCTGTAAGAAGCCCAAGTTAGCCCTATGGAGAGGCCATGGAAGAAGAATCAATGCCCTCAGCCAACAGCCCAGCTGAGCCCCCAGCCAACAGCCACAGAGCACTGGACCATCTTAGAAGTGGATCCTCTGGCCCCAGTGAGCTGCCCCAGCTGACAACATGTGGAACACAGACAAGCTCTCCCAGTCCCCACCCATGCCCAGATTGTAGAAATATGTGCAATAAATAAAATGATTGTTGTCTTAAGCCACTAAACACTGGGATAGTTTGTTGTATAGCAATAGATAACAGAAACAAGTAAGAAATCCTTCCGTTCTGCAACTTCTGCTGCCATGTGACTCCATCTACTCCTGGTCAAAACCTACCAGGCAAGGATAGCAACCTGACTGACTCAAAGGTGACTCCTCCTTCCCCCTACAAGATGACCAGTGAACTCTGGACTGGCACAGAGACACAAGCTCAACAAGCTCAACCAGTCCCTTCTTTCCCTTTCTTCTGAAAAACTACAACAACAATCATCTTTTCATGGGATGCACCCATTCCATGTGCTTTAGATAGAGCTGATTCACCCCCACCACCTTCAACCACAAGCTGAAGGCGACAGCAGGGGCCAGGGAATGACCCAAGTGCCCTGGCTCAGTGACTGGTTCGGGGACAGACACATGGCCCAGCTGCACCATCAGCATCCTCCTGGGACTTATTTGGCCAGGACTACTGGTAAAACCTCCCCTCCACGGCTGCTCCCAAGCTGGTAAAACATGAGCCTGGGAGTGGCAGGGACCACCTTGTCTACCATGGAAGAAAGTGTTATCAAACCCTGGTGTACCTTTGAACTCCAGCACTCCTGGAGATGAGAGTGAGAAAGGAGATCTCAGCTTTGCAGCAAGAAGAGGTGGCTGTGGCCTGGAATTAAGGAAGAGGACAGAACGAAGTCCAGAGGTGAGCAAAGGCATCTTAGAGTCATAGTGAAACACAGGAGAGGTTCGTGGCCATTCACAGGCAACAATGGGAGCTAGAGGAGGAGAGCAGACAATTAAGTTAGAGGAGAGGGGATGGGATGCACTCAAAGCTTTCTGAGTTCTTACCGTGGGTCTAGCTCAATTAGAAACAGCTCAGTGGGCAAAAGCCATGTGAAAACAAGCCGGGCACTGGTGGCCCACGCCTGTAATCCCAGCACTTTGGGAGGCCAAGGCGGGCAGATCACTTGAGGTCAGGAATTCGAGACCAGCCTGGCCAACAAGGTGAAACCCCATCTCTAGTAAGAATACAAAAAGTAGCTGGGCTTGGTGGCACAGGCCAGTTGTACCAGCTACTTGGGAGGATGAGGCAGAAGAATCGCCTGAACTCGGGAGGCGGAGGTTGCAGGGAGCCGAGACCACGCCACTGCACTCCAGCCTGGGTGACAGAGTGAGACTTCGCCTCAACAACAACAACAACAACAACAAAAAGGCCATGTGAAAAGAGTAAAAAAACAGCACGTCATCTACATCCTGTGCATGTACGGTGGTAGACATACCCACCTACACGTGACAAGATTTCGTAGAACTACACACCAAAACAAATGCAAAATAACAAGAAAACGGAGTGTATGTAAAAAATGGTGAAAACCAATTAAGATCTGCAGTTTCATTAATAGCACTGCACCAGCGACCATGTCCAGGTTTTGATAACTATGGTTATGAAAGATGTTATCACTGGAGCAGCTAAATGAATGGTTCACAGAAACTGTACTATTTTTGCCAGGTCCACAAGAGTCTAAAATTATTTCAAAATAAAAAGTAACTAAAGACACTTCTCAATTATGGGTGGCCCTATTATTAGGGGGGTGGTATCTCTAAACCTTGTGGGGTAGAGTATTAGGGATGAAGGTGAGAGAAAGTAGAGAAAGGACTCATCCCCCGTCACACCCCACTGAGGACTTCTACTACAAGCTGGCTGGGGGGACCCATAACAAGTGGGGACCCCATCCAGACCTTGCACTATAAATCTTGTTCAAAGGGCCATTCCCACTGATTGCAGACCTCGAGGAAACAAAAATAAGCGGGCCCCATCTTAAATCTTACTCAAGGGAGTTAACCCTATTGCCCGCATGTGCAGGAGATCTGAAGAATGACCAGTCCTCCACCTTGGCTGCATTATAATACTAAACATCATGCCTAGGGGTGGGGATTTAACACGCTAATGAGATATGCAACACAGGAAGAAGCTCTCTATGCTGTTACACTGTGCAGGTGCCAGAAGTTCCCCGCTTCTACATGCTTAAATATCACTCCCTGCCTACTTTAGCCCCTTTAAAATTCCTCTCCTGACTGTCTTCGGGGAGCCAGGAAGAGAATTCTCTTTCTCTTGTGCTGCTTCTCTTATGCCTGGGCATAAGCTCCAATAAAGCCTTGTCTGGGAAAACTCTTTGGACCTCTTGTCAATTTCTATCACACTGAGAGCCCAAGAACGCACGGTCAGTAAAAGATGGACATGTCGCCACTCTTCACCCAAACCAGAAATCTGAGTCTTCCTTATCTCTTCTCTTTATCTTCACTCCTCAAAAACAAACAAACAGAAAGATCCTTTTCGTGCACTGAAACTTTTTTGTTTGTTTGTTTCATTTATCTGGGGGAAGCTTGAGTACTTTTACAGACTTCATGATGTTGCACCCCAAAATACTTAATTTATCTCAAAAAAATGAGCACACTTTCTTATAGAACCATAAAACCTTACACCTAACAAAACTGATGATAATTACATAACATAACCTAACACCTCATCTGTATTTAAATTTCCCCAGTTTTCTCCAAATCTTTTTACAGTAGACTTGAAGACAAATAAAATGCATACATCTTATCTCATTATGTCATTACATCTTCAATCCTACGGAGTCTCCTTGTTTACTTTTGTTTTCTCTTGTGCCTTTGACTTTTTAAAGACACTAGGCACTGGAATTCATTTTTAGAGGAAATCAACATGGCTGATATAACTGCTTTAGCAATTATCTAAAAACTTGAAAGGTATTAAGGTTTGTTTTCCAAAGTTAGTTATTCACCCACCCAGTTGACTGCCAGTGAAAGTCTAGTGACTTTAAGCAAACATTCTTTTCTCTTTCTGTCTAGTCTAACAATTCTCTTTCCCAGTAAAATGTCTTCAAGAGGGAATTTTTTTGGTTTTTTTTTTTTTTTTTTTTTTTTTTGAGACAGAGTTTTGCTCTTGTTGCCCAGGCTGGAGTGCAGTGGCACAATCTTGGCTCAGTGCAACCTCCGCCTCCTGGGTTCAAGTGATTCTCCTGCCTCAGCCTCCCGAGTAGCTGGGATTACAGGCATCCGCCACCAGACCTGGAAAATTTGTGTGTGTGTATGTGTATTTCTAGTAGAGACAGGGTTTCACCATATAGGTCAGGCTTGTCTCGAACTCCTGACCTCAGGTGATCCGCCTGTCTCGGCCTTCCAAAGTACAGAGATTACACGCATAAGCTACCACGCCCAGCCAAGAGGGGATCTTTGAACTGGCCTATGGTGAGCATCTGTCCTTACAGAAAAATTATACATAACTAAAGAAAAACTTTTTTAGACAAGGTAACATTGTCTTCCAGCAATAGCCAGATTTTAACAATTCTACTTCTGAAATTGCTCTGGAATCTGTCAACGTCTATCCATTTCCATGGCCAACACCACAATCCAAGCCACCATTATCTCTTGTCTATGGAGGCAGCTTCCTGACTTGTCTCCTTAAAGCAGTACGTTATCCCCACAGTCACCTTACGAAATACAAACAGGCTCATGCCACTCCTTGGGATCAAGCCTTCCCGTGACGTCCCATTGCTGTAAGGACTAAGAACCACAGCCCTGTGATGACCCCTCCAACCCCACGTGGCCTAAGCATCTGCCTCCCAGCCCTTGCACCACCCACACAGGCCCCTCCAAGCATCTCTTATAGGTCACACTCATTCCTACCATAGGACATTAGTGGTGTTGTTGGCACCACTGAAAATGTTCTTAGTCTGGTTAGTGCCAAGCTCTCCCTTCCAGTCTCAGCTCAATCAAACCAAACTCAGAAAACCTCCCAATGCCTGCTATGATCTATACCAAGCACCTCTCTTCCACAGCACTCAACAGAGGCAAATATGTATTAGATGGAATCTGTGGATCCACAGCCCTCCTTTCCTAGACTGTAAGCTCCATACACGCAGGGATTGTACACCCTTCTTCACCACTGAGCTCCACCCCTATCAGAGTAGCTGGCACACAGCGGGGCCCAATAAGTAGTTCTTGGAAAGAGGAAAGGGACAGAGAGAAATGGGGACCTCAAGAGGGATCAAATTACTGATGACTGAGCAGAGCAGGGGACAGAGAGGAAGAAGGACAGAGGAGGAGACAAGGGAGACCAAGGGAGACAGAGAGGGACAGAGAGACCAGGTACAGAAAAGCACAGGTTACCCAGACAAGGAGGGAGAGAAATGCAAACGCACATGTACAAAGGCAGAGAGACAGAGCATGGTAAGAAAGAAAGAATGAAATTCTAACAGCCATTCTAATGATACAAGCAGCCCTGCACATCCGCACACCCCCTTCCAAAGGGCCCAAACAAGCACCCTTTGGAAGCCAGCCCTGCCCCAGGAAAGAGCTGCAGGCATCTGCCTTCATCAACCAGGACTTTATCATCCTGAACACCCCTCTCTTGCTTCTTCCCAAGACAAGTATTAGCTTATTCATCATACTTCTGAAATGATTATCCTTTCTCCACTGAGTGGCCTCTGCCCCTTTGTCAAAGATCAGTTGATGATATTTGTGTGGGTCTATTTCTGCGCTCTTGATCCTGTTCTACTAATCTTTCTATTCTTCTGCCAACATCACCTGTACTGATTACTGGAACGTTAGAGTAAGTCTTGCAGTCCTCTGATTTCGTTCTACAATGCTGTGTTTGCTAGTCTATGTCTTCCACCTTTCCATATAACCTTTGGAATCACTTTGTCACTACCCACAGAATAACTTGCTGGGATTCTGTAATATTGTGACTTTTAATAAGATATACAGTCATCCCTCAGTGACTGTTGGGGATCGGTTCCAGGATCTTCCACAGATACCAAAATCCAAATAGATGCTCAAGCCTCTGATAAAAAATGGCAGAGAATTTGCATACAGCCTATGCACATCCCTCCATATACCTTAAATCCCTAGATTACTTTTAATACCTAATACAATGTAAATGTTATGTAAATAATTATACTGTATTGCTCAGGGAATAATGACAACAAAAAAGTTTGTCCATGTTCAGTAAGATGCAATTTTCTCAAATATTTTCAATCGACCATAGCTTAAATCCGCAGACGCAGAATCCACAAATACAGAGGACTGACTGCATATATTTGGTCTCCAACCCCATTTTCTGGCACACAACCCCTAACACCCTTGGAATCTGCAGTGATAAGTATCTTTTTGTAGGGCTGGGGGCTCCTAGATACCTCAGGATGAAGGTTGGCTGCCAGGGGAACCAACGATGTGATTAGAGGGTTGGAACTTTCAGCCCTACCCCCAACGTCCAGGAAGGAGAGAGGGGCTAAAGACTGAGTTGGTCACCAATGGCCAATGATTTAATCAATCATGCCTTTGTAATTAGGCTCTCATAAAAACCCAGGATGACAGGGCTTAGAGAGCTTCTTGGTTGCTAAACACATGGAAGTTTCTGGCGGGTGGCATGCCCAGAGAGAACATGGGAACCCTATGCCCTATGCATCTCTTCTATCAGGCTGATCATCTTTATCTTTTGTAATATCATTTTAATAAACTGGTATACATGTTTCCCTTAGTTGTGTCAGCCATTCTAGCAAATTAATCAAATCCAAGGAGTGGGTTATTGGAACCCCAATTTATAGCCAGTCAGTCAAAAGCATAGGCCACAACTTGGGCTTGTGACTGGCACCTGAAATGGGACAGAGTCTTGAGGGACTGAGCTCTCAACCTGTGGAATCTGATTCTAGCTCCAAGTAGATAGTATCAGAATTGAACTGAACTAGAGGACACCAAACTGGTGTCCAATGGAGAATTGTTTGCTTGATGCGTGGGGGGAAAACCATACACATCTGGTGTCAAAAGTGTTGAGTACAGAGGGAAGAGGAAAGAGAAAGAGAAAAAAAACACACCTTGATTTTTCCTTTCTCTGAGGTGAAGTGTTTCGTGCTGTATTGAATGTGAATTGAAAAAAACCTTTTCTTGTATCTCTATTAGATTTTGGTTGGGATTGTGTTGAATCTATAGATGAAGCCAGGAAGAACTGATATCTTGAAAATATTGAGTCTTCCTATCCATGAACATGGACTATCTACTCATGATCTTTTTAAGCATTAGCCATAAGCCCGATGTTCTGCTGGATGTACTTGATCCTGGCCCTCAAGGGTCTTACAGATACAGTAGCCTCATCCTTGAGGATAAAAATAAATGCTATATAGCAAAACTCTTACAGAGCACCTACTCTGTGTTAGGCAGAGTGCTAATGTTTTGCATGTTATCATAGGTTGGTTCCCTGGAAGTTGAGCCTGAGTCAGGAATTCTTGCTCAAGTGTTTACTGGGAGAGTGCAGGAGTGGGATGGCGAGCAGAATAAAGCTAAACAAGGCTGTGGTCCCACTTAGGGATGGGCTTCACCCTGACTGTATAGGGAGTGGCGGGGGGATGTCTGGAGCATGAATCACACCGGAAAAGTAGGTCCTCCTGAAGGAAGGGAGGCCAGTCCTCTTGTCCTCCCTGCCAGTCAGTCATTGGCTTGGCTTACAGCCACTACAACCTCCTAGGTGATGCAGATTTCTTCTAGTGAGAGCAGTGCCCTGAAGAAGGGGCACCTGTGAGCCACGACACCCAACACTCCTAGCAGCTGGGAAATGGAGCACAAGCCTGGTAATGGGAGCTGAGTGGGGCACAACAGCATCCTCTGTATTAACTCATCGTTCCTCACAAGAACACTATGAGGCAGGTACCATGACTGCCCCTATTTTACAAATGAGGAAACTGAGATGTGGAGAAGTGAAGTACCTTGGCCAGGGTCACCAGCCACAAGTGCAAGAGCCAGCATTTGAACTTTGACTCATAGTCAAGCAAGTGACTCTAAGAAGCCACATAAGAATATGCAGCTCTCTCCAGGGTTTTCTATCTGGTATTCAGCAAAGTCTGAGGGGGTCGGTGGGCATTTTTGTTGACATCTCCACCCCTTGATCTTACATCAGGCAGGGGCATCTTGGTGAATGATGATCCCACTACCCACAGGGGTGCAGAGCTGCACAGAGAGCGGTCAGGCCCACTGCGCTCAACGCAGTGCATTCAAGCCACCTTTCTGACCCGAGGCTGGGAACAAGATTCTAGTGCAGGGGCTGCAAATTCATGTTCCCAGGAGCTATCCAAGTCATGAGGAGCAGTGTCGCTACTGATGAGGTGGACAGACTCTGGAACCTGGAGTCCCAGCTCCCCAGCTTATAGCAGATAGCTTTGGACAGTAACTTCAATTCTCTGTGCCTCTGCTTCTTCATGTGAACAACAGGAGTGATAGTGATACTTACCACACAGTGCTCTTGTGGGGATTAAATGAGTGTGCGACTGTACATGTGTGTTTGTCAATTAAAATAGTACCTGGCAAAACAAAAATGTAGGGGAAAAAAAACAAAGATGTAGAAGCTTCTCTGTACTTGTTAGCAACTGAATCAAGCTGGACACATATAAGGCATAAGAAATAACACGGGACAGGGAACAATGGCTCATGCCTATAATTCCAGCACTTTGGGAGGTTGAAGTAGGAGGATCATTTGAAACCAGAGAGTTCAAGACCAACCTGGGCAACAAAGCAATACCCCATCTCTAAAAAAAAATACAAAAAATAAACGCAGTTAGCCAAGTGTGCTGGTGCACACTGGTAGTCTCAGCTACTCAAGAAGTTGAGGGAGGAGAATTGCTTGAGCTCAGGAGTTTGAGGCTGCAATGAGCTGTAATCACAACTCTGCACACCAGCCTGGCAAGAGAGCAAGACCCTGTCTCAGAAAAAAAGAAAGAACATGGTGTCTCAATTTATTTGCTGTGAACATTAAGGAGGCAGATCCTTATGTACCGACATGACAAAAACTCCTCGATGACCTGTGTAAATAGGAGACTAGATGTATGCATCCATGTGTGTACACACATACATGGCCATGTGTACATGTACATATTATATACAAGTGTCCATCACTATGCAAATTCTCACTATCTGAATGTCTACTATAACTTATTAACTCTTTTTTTATGCAAAATGCACAATCCAGATCATAGACCTGCTGTACGAGGTTCACGAGCACCTAGGTGCCAATGAAAACAGTGAAGGTGTGGGCCAGGCACAGTGGCTCACGCCGGTAATCCCAGCGATTTGGGAGGCCTAGGCAAGCAGATCACTTGAAGTTGGGAGTTTGAGACCAGCCTGGCCACCATGGCAAAACCCTGTCTCTACCAAAAATACAAAAATTAGCCGGGCATGGGGGCATGCACCTGTAATCGCAGTTACTAGGAAGTCTGAGGCAGGAGAATCACTTGAACCCATTGTGGGGGTGCAGAGGTTGCAGTGAGCCAAGATCACACCACTGCACTCCGGCCTGGGCAACAAGAGTGAAACTCCATCCGAAAGAAGAAAGAAAAGAAAGGAAAAGAAAAATGAAAAGGTGCCCGGGCGCGGTGGCTCACGCCTGTAATCCCAGCACTTTGGGAGGCCGAGGCGGGTGGATCACGAGGTCAGGAGATAGAGACCATCCTGGCTAACACGTGAAACCTCGTCTCTACTAAAAATACCAAAAAAAAAAAAAAAAAAAAAAATCAGCCGGGTGTGGTGGCGGGCACCTGTAGTCCCAGCTACTCGGGAGGCTGAGGCAGGAGAATGGCATAAACCCGGGAGGCAGAGCTTGTAGTGAGCCGACGTCACACCACTGCACTCCAGCCTGGGCCACAGAGCAAGACGCCTTCTCAAAAAAAAAAAGAAAGAAAGAAAAAGAAAACAAAAGAAAAACGAAAAGGAAAAAGGAAAAGGAAACAGAAACAGAAAAGGAAAGGAAAGGCGTGTCTGTCTGCAATGGAAGAGAAGCAGTTAGACACACAACCAACGGCACATCAAACCCGGCATCCTGCCCATTCTATTGAGTTCTTCTTTCATCCCAGCATTTGCTTCTGACAAGCAAACTACCAACCAGGGTCCAATTTAAATGAATCTTTAGTATTTTAAGCAGATCATTTCATTGTTTTTTCCATTACAGTACAAGGTAGTTGGAGGATAGAAGAATATCCTAATTCAGAAACATTACTGTATAGTATCCTATGTACTTTTTGCAAACATGCTTAGCAATGGGTTCATCAAAGCACCCAAAAATTGGGCATTTGTTGCTGTAGATGCTTTGTATTCACGCGAAAAATATTGGTAGGCTGATTTTAGGTACTTAAGGTTGTTAAGTGATACTAAGGAAATTGGCTGGGGTGTTTCAATCAGTTGGTAATGCATCAGCGCTTGTCTCTGTGTAATATGATGTAATATATTGCAATCCAAAAATGTTCCTCTCCAGTGTGTTTTCAGGAATGTACTGGATTCAGCTAAGAAGGAATGTGCCTATTTGTAAGTGTGCACGTATGAGTGTAAAGGTGTGAGAAAGGGTACCAAAAGATTTCCACCAACTTGCTGACAACAGGCACTACTAGTGAGAAGGAGATGGGCAAATGATGGTCAAGGAGGGCTTTGTCTGCATGGGTTCAAATTTTTGCCAAGGGCTCATAGTGACTGAAACAACACTTTATTCTCAAAGTAGGCTGTGGTCAGCAGACCTCAGGCCATGCACTCTTGCATGGTGGGGCTCAGTGGCCGAGTTTCCTGCTTGAAGAAAGTGAGATAACCCAGCCACAGAAATGAGGCTTCATCTTTGCACAACCCCACCCCCTTCCCAGCATCACCTCGGGTCTTCCCAGGTCCACCCCACCCCCACCACCCATCCCTCCACTCCCACCCCCTGCAAACAAACCCCCACACACTGAGTCTCCTAGAGTCAGCCTCAAAGGCCGGCACCCCACTCCAGCCACCCTCCCTCAGCCCTCCCTGCCTACCCATCACCTTCTGGCACAGCCTTGCGGACTTTTGGCCCCTCCGTACGTCTCATAGCTTCCTCTCACTCCCCGCTTTACACCACCGACCCCTTTGCTGGCCGGGCCATGACCCTGTTCTTCAAGCTCCCATTTCCTTCCTCCTCCCGCTACTGATTCTCTGTCTCTCTCAGGCTCCCTGCACCCACGGAACGTCCTCCCACCCCTGACACCAGGAACATGGCTTTTTCCCCAATTCCCATACATGACCTCAAGGGGCACCACACCTGACAATGAGCTTAACAAAAATTTCTCTCTGGAAGCTCAAGACATATTCAAGCGAGCAAACAGACAGACAGAAGGCTTGGGCACCTTCCCACACATACCCCAACCTCTTTTCCGACTTTCAGTTATTCAGTCAACCAGGCAGTCACAGAACCCCACGCTGAGCGCTAGGGATGCCACACTGCAGAGACAGACACAGTCCTGCCCTCAGACGGCTCCGAGTCTGGGAGGGAGGACAGGCCCTGTCCAGGCCGGCATATGATATGTGAATATCCACATCTCCATCCACATCAGGAGTGCAACAGAGTCCACACTGGGGCTCCTCCCCAGCAAGGGGAAGAAAGGCTTCTCTGAGCACATGCATCCTGGCTGAGTTCTGCAGACTGGAGCTCACCTGGGAAGAAGAGGAGAAAGCCTCCCTTTGTAGGGAGTTCTGGAGTACAAAGACCTTGGTTCAAATCCTGGCTTATGCTCCCCAGGGGTGCACAGGAACCAGGCACGTTGCATCCCTTCTCTTTGCTGTTTCCTCCGCTGTACAAGCAGTGATGCTTATCATTGAGTTGTCATGCAAACCAAATGAAATAACATGAAATAAAAATCACGTGGCCCCAGGAGGGCTCCACCAAGGTGAGTTTAGCTACTAGGCTGAATGGTTTTCTGTACCACCTTGCAACACCAGCTTCCCAGCTGCTGGTGGTTTCACTTTAAGTAAAAAGCCCCAGCGTTGCTTACTGATCTCAGCCAAGGACCCTGCTTTAAGAAAAACCAAAGGTGTTAGGTTACTTCACACATGTAGCAGCGTCTGACATGGCAGCTGGGGGAATAGGTGAGATACACAGCAGAAGAACATGTAATGACAAAAGGGGCTTCCGAGGCACACACGGTAGAGCAGAAAGAGCCCAGCTCTAGAAGGATCTAGCAGGCATGAGTTAAATCCAGCTCTTTCTCTCCTGGCTGTATGAAGAAGCCTCTATTCTGGCTTACTGTCTATTTTCTCATCTATGAAATGGAAAAAGAACATACACCCTATAGAGATATATCTGAAAAAAAACTTTGCAAAAAGTAAAGTTTACAGCCGGGCGCAGTGGTTCATGCCTGTAATCCCAGCACCTTGGGAGGCCGAAGTGGGCAGATCACTTGAGGTCAGGAGTTTGAAACCAGCCTGGCCAACATAGTGAAATGCTGTCTCTACTAAAAATACAAAAATTAGCTGGGCATGGTAGTAAGCGCCTGGGTGCCTGTAATCCCAGCTACTCAGGAGGCTGAGAAGAACGGCTTGAGCCCAGGAGACGGAGGTTGAAGTGAGCCAAGATCATGCCACTGCACTCCAGCCTAGGCGACTCAGTGAGACTCTATCTCAATAAATAAATAAATAAATAAATAAATAAATAAATAAATAAATAAATAAAGTTTACTTTTTGGCCTGCAGATAGGGGGTGGGCCTGCCCTTATCTTCTTTGTTAAAAAGATAATAAACAACAGAGTTGTTGCCACTGCGCTGACAGCAGAGGCGAAAATCAGTGTCCTGCTTCCATGTGAAGAGATTCTTCCCAGATCATTATGCTCAAATAATTAGGTCTGTGATTCTAATGCTTCATATTCATGCAGAACTATTCAATAGATAAGAGTTTTAAGTGATACTGGGGAAACTGGTGCTTCTCTCCCCTCTGGGACTCCCCATCCCCAAGGGAGGAAGGGACCACTCCCTGGAAAAAGGAACTGAGGATACTCAGCCTCTTCATCTTGTTCTAGCTGGATCCACCCCCAAGGGACCACGTGCCCTGCCCTGTTCCTTGCCACTCGGAAGGGAGCTGCCTCCAAGACAGGGGTCCCCAATCCCCAGGCCATGAACTGGCACCTGTCTGTGGCCCGTTAGGAATCGAGCCGCACAGCAGGAGGTGAGCAGGGGTCTAGCGAACATTACTGCCTGAGCTCCACCTCCTGTCAGATCATCAGCGGCGTTAGATTCTCATGGCAGCACAAACCTTATTGAGAACTGCACATGTGAGGGACCCAGGTTGTACACTCTTTATGAGAATCTAATGCCTGATGATCTGTCACTGTCTCCCATCACTCCCAGATAGAACTGTCTAGTTGCAGGAAAACAAGCTCAGGTCTCCCACTGATTCTATATTACGGTGAGTTGTATAATTATTTCATTATATATTACAATGTAATCATAATATAAATGAAGTACACAATCAATGTAATGCCCTTGAATCATCCTCACACTATCCCCCCAGGCCAATCTGGCCCATGGAAAAGTTATCTTCCACAAAACCGGCCCCTGGTGCCAAAAAAGTCTGGGACTGCTGCTCTGAGACACCTATGGGCATCCACCCAGGCCATGACAGGGTGGGCAGCTCAGGGGCCAGCTGTCAGGGCTCAATTCTAAGCATGCTCTCCAGGCAGCCATCTCATCGCCCTTCGTTGATTGCCGATGTTTCATTTCTCAATCATTTCCAAACTCAGGAGACAATGAGAAAATGAGGAGCTTTATGTGCTCACCACTAACACCCCCAGCATGGGCCATCAAATAATTCTTTAAGTTTTTTTGGAGACAAGGTCATGCCCTGTCACCCAGGCTGGAGTGCAGTGGCACAATCACAGCTCACTGCATCCTTGAACTCGTAGGCTCAAGGGACCCTCCTGCCTCAGCCTCCCAAAGCCAGGTGACTGGGACTACAGGCATGCACCATCACACCTACCTAAGTTTTCTCTTTTTAGTAGAGACAAGGTCTCACTATGTTGCCTAGGCTGGTCTCAAATCCCTGGCCTCAAGTGATCCTCCCATTTTGGTTTCCCCAAGTGTTGGGATTACAGGCATGAGCCACCATGCCCAGCCTAAATGTTCATCATTTTGGTGCCATTTAAACTTGGTGTTTTTCACCCTCCTGCTGGTAATTAAATTTAAATGGTGCCCACCCTTTGTTATGTCTTAACTGTAGTATATTTTAAAATATATTGAAAAAATACATACCTGGCACCTCTAAACTATGAAATCAAGTTTCTTTTCTATATAAAATTAAGTTTAAAAATAGTGAATCAATATTAAAATAAGTATTAGATATAAAATAGTACTCATGGTATGCAAATATAACAAAAATTATTAAGGCAATAAAGGAAGGGCTCATTACTTTATATACAGCCTATTAATATTTTAATAGGCTAATTCTGCTTTTCTTTAAACCAGTACTGTGTATCAAAATTACACAGAAAACTCTCATTATACAAAGACTATATAGAGATTTTTTTTTTTCCTCACACATGGATTGACCAGTTTTGGGGGGTGGTTTGGAGCCATATGACATTATTTCTCAAACTGCAAACATTTGTTTATCAACCTTATAAGGTTTGTTGTATCTGCCTACTGCTGATACTATTTATGTGATAGTTTTCTTTAAATCAACTCACCGTTTTCACCTGAACTGATGTATGTTAAGAGTGATTTTATGTTTTTGGCAAAAAGAAAACCAGTAACACTCACCATATACAATAGGAACTGCAAAATAATAAAATCAGTGGAAACGTGACAATATGATTAAATTCTACCTAGAAATAGTTGTCTGCTGGAAGCAAAACCCTCGGCTTGGTTCTGTGAGTCATAAAGGGAAATGAGAAGCCTTTAAGAGAGGCACAAAGCCAATTAGCCATGCAAGACTCACTGATGGGGTCAGAGTGGTGTCACCTAAAGAGAGGACTGGGTCACCGGGACCCGAGGAATGGCCACAGAGGTGGACCCATGCTTAAAGCCTTGAGCCTTACATGCACCATGTGTGCATTTTACCACATCTATGTTATTTACATATATATATATATATATATATATATATATTTAATTTTACTTTAAGTTCTGGGATACATGTGCGGAACGTGCAGGTTTGTTACATAGGCATACCTGTGCCATGGTGGCTTGCTGCACCTATCAACCCATCATCTAGGTTTTAAACCCTGCAGGCATTAGGTATTTGTCCTAACGCTCTCCCTCCCCTTGCCCCCACCCCCTGACAGGCCCTGGTGTGTGATGTTCCCCTCCCTCTGTCCATGTGTTCTCATTGTTCAACTCCCACTGATGAGTGAGAACATGCGGCGTTTGGTTTTCTGTTCCTGTGTTAGTTTGCTGAGAATGATGGCTTCCAGCTTCATCCATGTCCCTGCAAAGGACATGAACTCATTCTTTTTTATGTCTGCAAGTTATATTTTAATAAAGACATTTCATATCTTTCAGGCTGGCAACGGCGGCTCATGCCTGTAATCCCAGCACTTTGGGAGGCCAAGGCAGGCAGATCACATGAGGCCAGGAGCTCAAAACCTGCCTGGGAAACATGGTGAAACCCCATCTCTACTAAAAATATAAACATTAGCCAGGCATGGTGGCAGGTGCCTACAGTCCCAGGTGCTTGGGAAGCTGGGAGGTTGAGGCAAGAGAATCACTTGAACCCAGGAGGCAGAGGTTGCAGTGAGCCAAGATCAAGCCAGTGCACTCTAGCCTGGGCAACAGAGCCAGACTCCGCCTCAAAAAAAAAAGAAAATTAGTATCTTTCAAAGACAGACATGTTAAAATTTTGGAAATGGAATTGGTGTAAGAAATCATTACATTGCTTTAGTCTCTTGACTATGATGGCAGATATAGGATGCTATGCATGTGACCAAATTGTACATAACTAAATACACACAAGTACAAGGAAAATGGGGGAAAATCTGAATAAGACTGGTAGTGGGTTCTATGAATGTTGTGAATGTTAATATCCTGGCTGTGATACTGCACTACAGGTTTGCAAGATATTACCATTGGGGATAATTGGGTAACGTTCACATGAGATCTCTCTGTATCATTTCTTACATCTTTATGTGATTCTTCAATTATCTCAACAAAAATTCCAATGGAAAAAAATGCACAGCATCAAGGAGAAAAAAAAAAAAAAAAAACACATGTTGGTACCAAACAGATGTTCTTGTCATAATCAGGAAGACGGAAAGGGAACTGAGAAGGAAACCACACTCCCAACCTTGGTTCAGGCTCCCTAGGCACTGCCTGTTGTTAACGCTTTGCCATGGCACCCACGACACGGGGGTCCCTGCGGAGAGCATCCCTTACTCCTCCCAGGGGATTCTACCAGCCACCTCTGGGCTCCGCCTTCTGCCAGGACCCGTCCTATTTCCCGCCCAGCTAGAAATAGATGTTCATGCAGCCTCCTGATAAGCTGGGCACTGAAACCCAGAGGAAGTGGCCTGCAGGGTGCCCACTCGTTTGGAAAAGGCAAAGGTCACACAGCTATAGAAGCCAGCTGGGACCACAATTCCTAGGAATGTCAGCAAGGAGTTGAGGTAGTCTGAGAACTGGCAGAAGAGTAAATGCAGACTTCCCTTTCAACAACAGCCTTTCATTTGATCACACACTTTTCTGACTTCCATCTGAAGCAGCACTGCATGTATATGTATTCTCGTTCTTTGAGTTTGCTAGTTTGTCTTTTTTTGTTTTTGTTTGCTTTTTACAGCAAGAGAAAGGTTCTCAAAATACAGACAACTACCTTAACTTGGATGGCCTGGAATAAATTCTAGAGTTGTAACTGATGTTGAGTCTTCCCATGGAGAACGCTGGTCCTCAACTTCCTACTAAGGACCTTTCGGCTTCAGAGAAAACCAAACAGGAGGAAAGGGAAGGGAAACCACATGCACAGAAACACTGAGTACATGCCCGTGTGCACAGCAGGGGTCCTGACACCTGTGCACTCATGTAAGGCTGAGATGACTGTCTTCCTTCCACAGGTGGGGAGGCTGAAGCAGAGAGAGTCACTGACTCATTCAAGGTCACAATGGTTGAGCCAGAACTTGAACCTGAATGGCCAGGCTCCAAAGTTTGCACTCGTTTTTGAGACATAGTGTTGCTCTGTTGCTGAGGTTGGAGTGCAGTGGCACAATCTCAGCTCACTGCACCTCAGCCTCCTGAGTTCAAGCGATTCTCCTGCCTCAGTCTCCTAAGGAGCTGGGACCAAAGGAGTGTGCCATCATGCCCGGCTAACTTTTGTATTTTTGTTGGAGATGGCGTTTCACCATGTTAACCAGGCTGGTCTCAAACTCCTCACCTCAGGTGATCCACCCACCTCACCCTCCCAAAGTGCTGGAATTACAGGCATGAGTCACCTTGCCCGGCCCAAAGCTTGCACTCTTAACCACTACCAAGGGAAGGATGAAACGAGAAGCCAAGATCCAAAGTGCTCTCCCCTGCAGACAGCAAAAACCTCTTGGCTCCACCAGTGGGAATACGAGTCCATGGCTGACACGTGGGCCAATACAGGGCACCAGGAGATCCACGATCCAGTCCCACTGCCACTACCTTACTGTGTGACCTTGGGAGAGTCATTTTACCTCCCTGGGCCTCAGTTTCCCCCTCTGAGAAATGCAGGGATTGGGTCAGCTGTGTCATTTGGATAGTCTCTAGGGTATGAAAACACTAGTTGACACCAATTCAGGATGAAAATGACTCTGGTCTTGTCCTTGGTGGCCCTGGAAAGAAAGTATAAACGGGTAATGTTGGGGGTTGAACTGCATCCCCCAAAAACATACATAGAAGTCCAGTCCCTGGTATGTGTGAATGTGGCCTTCTTTGGAAATAGGGTCTTTGCAGATGTAGTCAAGATGAGCTCATGCTGGATTAGGGTGGGTCCTAACCCAAGACTACTGTCCTTGTAAGAGGGAAATTTGGACAGAGACACACTCAGAGGGAGAGATGGGAGTGCCAATATCCACCAGCCAAGGGACACCCAGGGTCACCAGCAGCTACCAGAGGCCAGGAAGAGGAGAGGAAGGATCCTCCCCTAGAGCCTCCAGCGGGAGCACTGCCCTACCAACACCTTGATTTCAGACTTCTAAGCTCCACACTGCAAGGGAATAAGTACATTTCTGTTTTAAGTCCCTCATTTTGTGGCACTTGTGTTATGGCAACCACAGGACACTAATATAGGTAATAACATGGTTTTCCTATTATCTTCAATTATTATCATTATTATTATGATTATTATTATTATTATATTTGAGACCGAGTCTTGCTCTGTCGCCCAGGCTAGAGAGCAATGGCACAATCTCAGCTCACAGCAACCTCCACCTCCCAGGTTTAAGCGATTCTCATACCTCAGCCTCCCAAGTAGTGTCACCACACCCGGCGAATTTTTGTATTTTTGGTAGAGATGGGGTTTCGCCATGTTGGCCAGGCTGCTTTCAAACTCCTGACCTCAGGTGATCTGCCCGCTTTGGCCTCCCAAAGTGCTGGGATTACAGGTGTGAGCCACCACACCCGGCCATCTTCATTATTATTATAACAGCTACTTACTAAGTGTTAGCTGTACGTAAGGTAGTATATTAACTGCTTCACCTAAATTATCCCATTTCGTGCCAGCCACCCTACGACAGAGGAGTCATTATTATACCCATTTTGCAGACATAAAATTCTAAGGCTCAAAGCAGACAAGGAGCTTGTCCAAGGTCACACAGTGAATCAATAACAGAGCTGACACCAAACCAAGTAAGTGGCACCTGGAAGGCCACTTCCTCCTCTTTGGGTACCTCCACCTCCTCCCACTGAGAAAAACAGTGTTCATGACACCAGGAGGTGGGCAATGGGCCTTTCCCCTGCCCACAGGGTCTGTTCTCCAGAGAGCAGATTACAGCAAGGACTTGGCACTTTTGCAGTAGTACCCAGTTCTACAATGGACCAAGGCTGCCTCCCCATCCACCCAAGAGGAATCCAGAGTTAGCCATAAAAGACCAAAGGAACAAATAAAAACTCCTCAGCTCATGGCCAAGAAGCTCTGGGGACTGGCAGGAGGTTTTGTTAAAGGAGATTGTCCTCGTCCTGGGAGCCCTTGTAAAGGGCAGCCATGCCTTGGTCCAGTGGGTTCTCCTCCCCACCCTGCTCAGATCTCACCCTGTCCCAGGTGGGTCCTACCAGAATCTTCCTCTCAGGAACATCCCTCAAGGAGCCCCAGCTCTGAAACTCCCAACAGCAGCAGCAGCAGCAGCAGCTCTGCAGATCCAGGGTCTATCAACCACGTGACGAGTGCTCTCTGTCCATCATCTCAGCGGTCTCTCCCAAAGCCCTAAGTAACTACCATTATCATCAACTCCATTTTGCAGAAGGGGAAACTGAGGCTCAGGCAGGTTGGGCAAGCTGGGGTCTGAGTCCTGCCAGTCTAGCTGCAGGCCCAGAGTTCTCCAACACCACCCGCGCCGGCTCCTGGGCTAAGACTCTCACACAGACCGCCCTCACAATTCTGCCAGCAGCCAGCAGAACACCGAGCCCTCCGAGGTCAAGTTCAGGGCAGAAACACCTACTGGGACAGAGAACAAACCAGGTCCCCCTTACTGAACATTTAATAGGTGTCAGAGTTGACCTCAACATCTCTTTAATCCTCCCACCAATCTTGGGAAGAAAGCCCCATTTTCCAGAGACAGCCCAGGAAGATGAAGTCACCCATTCAAGGCCACCTGGCTGGGTTTTGATGCCAAAGACACCAGGGTAGTCTGTGCGGGTGGCCCACAGTGGAAGGCCCGGAGACAAGGTAAGTCCAGTTACCTCCTGTCCCCATTCCCACGTTCCAGCAGCTGCTCCCTGAATGACCTCTCAGAAAACCTTGGGGTGAACCTGCTAGCTTCTGGCTAAAGATGAATGCTTCCTTTGAAGTCAGGTAAGCCTCTGCAGACAGAGAGATGCCAGAAGCATTCAGCACTCCCATCGCCAAAGGCAATCGTTAGGCAAGACACACAGGAGGCCGGGCGCCGTGGCTCATGCTTGTAACCCCACCACTTTGGGAGGCCAAGGCAGGAGGACAGCTCGAGCCCAGGAATTCCGAGACCAGCCTAGGCAACACCCTCACCTTGGCTGTAAGTTCCCACCTCTACAAAAAAATATATATAATAATTAGCCAGGAGTAGTGGTGCATGCCTGTGGTCCCAGCTACTCAGGAGGATGAGGTAGGAGCATTTCTTGATCCTAGGAGGTGGAAGGTACAGTGAGCTGTGATCACACCACCGCACTCCAGCCTGGGTGACAGAGTGAAATCCTGACTCAAAAAAAAAAAAGATTTTTTTAAATTTTGAAATTGAAAAAAAAAAAAACAGGCAGGAGTATCCTTTTACCTTGTCAGTGATTAACAGGAGAGGCCAGGGGCTTCCAGGTGCCTCCTCCTCACCCACAGGGAACGGCCACCCCGGGCCAGAATACTGGCTCAGGACCCGTGTACCGACCGGAGCCACAGTCCAGGAAAAAGGACCCTGGGGGTGTGGACAGATTGCGAAAGAAGGCCCCAGTCCTCCAGAAGCTTCTCCAGAGCCCAGTGACTCTAACACACAACCAGGCTGTGGCCCCCACAGAAAGGTAAAGCACTCCTTCTTTAAAGGGTGATTTTCATTCTGGGGTTGCTGAACCCCAAACGTGGTATCCTCATGCTGTGGGCTCTTCTCACAGACCAGACTCAGGGAAGGAATGGGTTCTGCGAGGTGGGTGCCAGCAGGAAAGCACCCTCACCTTGGCTGTAAGTCCCCACAAGACACCCCCTCTCTGAGAGGTTGCCTTCCGCTTCTGGACTTCCCTTTCCAGGTCCTCATCACATCTCACAAGCGTGACTTGTTTCCCTCAGTTACTGTCATGGCCCCAGCAGCAAGCTGGGCACACAGGAGGCCTTCAAGTATCGGCTGACCACTGGCTGCCTGGGCCTCACACGCTGACACCTTCCTATCTGGGCACTTAGCCTGCTCTCTTATGGCTAATGGGTCACCCACAGGGTCTCCCACTAGCTGCAAGGATGGCAGGCCTCTGCCTCATTCTCTAGCTTTGCAAGAATGGGATCTGATCCTCACGCAGTCAACTGGATATCATACCACTCACAGAAGTGTAATTAAAATGGTAGATTCTGCCTGGGCGCAATGGCTCATGCCTGTAATCCCAGCACTAAGGGAGGCTGAGGCAGGAGAATGGCTTCAGCTCTGCAGTTTAAGACCAGCCTGGGCAACACGGCAAAATCCCATCTCCACAAAAAATACATACACACACACACACAAATTAGCTGGGCATGGTAGTGCACATCAGTAGTCCCAGCTACCTGGGAGGCTGAGGTGGGAAGATAGCTTGAACCCAGGAGACAGAGGTTGCAGTGAGCCGTGATCATGCCACTGCGCTCCCACCTGGGTGATAGAGTGAGATCGTGTCTCAAAAAAAGGCAGGGTGGGGACAGATTCTACTCAAAAAGGAAAAGAAGAGCATGCATTAGGGAATATTCACTTAACCTCTTTTGCTTAATCTGAGGATTATTCCTAAAATGTGGCTGCCATGTGGAGCGGAGCCCAGGAGAGAGGCTCTGATGGTGACTGCCACCTCTGACCACTACCACTGTTAACAATGATGGTGAATATCCCCCCAAGTATTCACCATGAGTCAGGCACTGAGCAAAGGCTTTATGTGCATTTCCTCATTTGAGTGCCACAGAATCGCCACAATATCACTATTCCCCCCCTCCATTTATCAAAGGAGAAGACTGAGGCCGGAGGACGACAAAGCCCACTGCTGGTAACTGTGTCCGAGTGCCCAGGCTCAATGGTGGGGCATGACTGGCTCCAGCAAGACAGCAGCCTGCAGAAGTCAGTCCCTTCCGCTAGGGCAAGAGGAGTCACCCCTGCCCCCGCTTTGCCTGTGCAAATGAGTCTTCATTTGTGGTTAGCAAGCCAGCCCTTCATTTCCCCACCAGGCTCAGAGTTTTGCAAACCAAAGTTGGGGGATGGCTAGCGTGGCCTCCCGGCAGTTCCTGTTGCAGACAGCTAGAAGGTAAGAGCCTTCCTTCCCTTTCAGACAAGGCAGGATTGGGGCAAGAGCGGGGAGCCTCCTGGGGTCCCCATTACCCTCTAGCCCAGGCACTTCTGGCCTAAGTTCCCCCTAACACAAGGATCTGAGTCCCACTCGGGGTACAAATGCCTGCTGGACTCCACAGCTTGGGGCTGAAATCTACCTGCCTCCCTCTTTCCCAGCACTGGTCAGAGACCCAGCCAGGGGTCCCAACTGGAGTATGGGGTTGGATGAGGTTCAAATACTAACCCCACCATGTCCCCAGGTGTAAAACTGAGACAAATAGAGAGGGCCAGTTTCGTGGCATTGACATGAGGATTTAAGGAGACCAAGTTCATGGCCAAGTGCTTAGTGCAGTGCCTGGCACACAGCCTGTGTTTAAATGTTTGCTGCTATTATCCACAGATTCTCACGATGATGGTCACGTCCGTTCATTCAGCCATTAGGTCAACAAAGAGTAGGTAAAAGCCAGCGTGCCAGGCACTGTTCTGGGAGCTGGGGATACAGCTATGAATAAAACAGACCAAATTCCTGGCCTCGAAGAATTACATTCTAATAGGAGGAGACAGAGACAAGTCAATATTTATTACACTTGGCAATCACAAGTGCTACAAAAACTAAACCAAAGAAGAGCAAAGCATGGTGTGTGACCAGGAGGGAGGGGCTCTCATAGAAGGTGTTATCAGGGAGGCCTCCCCAGAGGTGGTGACATCTGGGCTGATGTCTGAGATAGAATATTTCAGGCAGAGCAAATAGTAAATGCAAAGGCCCCAAGATGGAAATGTGTATGGTTGGTTGTAGGAAGAGCAAGGTTGTCACCAGCTGGGACACACTGCGTATGCTCTCTGAAACCCTCATGACCCGCAGTGCCTGTCCATCTCCCCTCTCCTGCCTGGACATTCTAGTCACGCTGTCTCTGCACTTGCATATACCCTCAGTCATCCAGAAGCCCGATGCCCCCCTCACCCTTCCCATCCCCCTCCACTATCACACACTGTGTCTGTCAGTCTCCTCCAGGGTCCTCTGGAGTCAGCTGCAGCCCTTGGCAGATGATTTTGCCATTTCATTCATATATATACATATATAAAATATATGTGTGTATATATATATATACACACACACACACACACACCCCACACATTTTTTTGTTGTTGTTTTTTAAGACACAGTCTTACCAGGCATGGGGGCTTATGCCTGTAATCCCAGCACTTTGGGAGGCTGAGGCCTATGGATCACTTGAGGTCAGGAGTTCCAAGACCAGCATGGCCAACGTGGTGAAATCCTGTCTCTAATAAAAATACAAAAATTAGCCAGTGGTGGTGGCATGCGCCTATAATCCCAGCTACTTGGAAGGCTGAGGCACAAGAAACGCTTGAACCCAAGAAGTGGAGGTTGCAGTGAGCCAAAAGTAGCACCACTGCCCTCCAGCCTGGGCCACAGAGCAAGACTCTGTCTCAAGAAAAAAGAAGAAGAAAAAGACAAGACACTGCTGGAGTGAGTGGCATGATCACAGCTCACTACAGCCTCAACCTCCTGGGCTTAGGTGATCTTCCCACCTCAGACTCCTAAGTAGCTGGGACCACAGATGCGTGCCAACATGCCTGGCTAATTTTTGTACTTTTTGTAGAGACAGGGTTTCATCATGTTACCCAGGCTATTCTCAAATCCCTGGGCTCAAGTGATCCCCCTGCCTCAGCCTCCCAAAGTGCTGAGATTATAGGCATGAGCCACTGCACCCGGCCACTATTATATATTTAATCTCTCCACTCCTTGAAGGCAAGACAGCACTGCCCGTTCATGGGTCCACAGCAGGAAAGTGCCTGGCACCTAGTGGGGATGCCACCGAGAGGTAGAATAAGCCCCCTAGAGAGCGATTTGGCACTCACTACTGAGGCTGGAAATACACACGCCCCCCCACTCAGAGGTTCCTTCCCCATCCACAGCTACCACAGCACCCTCTGCAATTTCAAAGGAGAAAGGGACTCAGCACAAATGCCCAGCAGGAGAGAGTGGACAAAATGGCTCTTGTCACCAATGGAATGCTCTACAGCAATTCAAAAGAAAGAAACACCTCTACATATCGATGGAAATAAACAAAAACTAGGTGCAATGTGGTGTCCTGGATGAATCCTGGAACAGAAGGAGAACATACGAGGAGAAACTGTTAAAGTCCAAATAAATTCTGGAACTTTGATAGCGATGTGGTAATGTTAATTTCTCACTTTTGGCAAAGGTATCATGGCAATATAAAACAGAGAAATGGGCCGGGTGTGGTGGCTCACACCTGTAATCCCAACACTTCGGGAGGCCAAGGAGGGTGGATCACCTGAGCTTAGGAGTTCGAGACTAGCCTGGTCAACATGGTGAAACTGGCTAGGCACGGTGGCTCACGCCTGTAATCCCAGCACTTTGGGAGGCCGAGGCGGGCAGATCACCTGAAGTCAGGAGTTCAAGGCCAGCCTGACCAACAGGGTGAAATCCCATCTCTACTAAAAATACAAAAATTAGCCGGGCACGTTGGTGTGTGCATGTAATCCCAGCTACTCAGGAGGCTGAGGCAGGAGAATCGCTTGAACCCGGAAGACAGAGGTTGCAGTGAGCCGAGATCGTGCCACTGCACTCCAGCCTGGGTGACAGAGCCAGACTCCGTCTCAAAAAAAATAAAATAAAATAAAAACTACTAACTACCCCATTAATGAATGAAAATCACAGATACAAAAAAGACAGGGCAGAGGGGGCAGTCCTTGTCATCATTAAAAGCCAGGTCCTGTGCTTTTCTGACTATTCCTGAGACTAGCAATGTTTGAGAGAATGGCCCACACAGGAAATTCATTCTGTGATCTCCTGTAAAATCAGAATGCAGTTGGTAAGATACAGCCTCTTATCTCCTGAACTCATGATCCACCCACCTCGGCATTCAGAAAAGAAAAAGGAATGCAAGTTAAGGGGAAATAAATTCACATTTGTTGAAACCTTCTATGTACCCGACTTCACCAGGCACTCAGGAAAATGCCACATTGTTCAATCATCACAGCAGCTTCGGAAGGCTGAGGCTGTGACGGCTGGCTTCTATATGAGGAAACTGAGTCTCAGACGACTTTTATAACTTGCTTAAGGTTGTAAAAGCAACCTTTTCTCAAGACCCTCTGCTGACCCGCAAGGACTCGCTGATCAAAACTGCAGCTCATAAAAGCAAAGGAAGAGGCACCACACCACAGCACAGAATAAAAATGACGCTTCTCGGCCGGGTGCGGTGGCTCACGCCTGTAATCCCACCACTTTGGGAGGCCGAGATGGGTGGATCACGAGGTCAGGAGATCGAGACCATCCTGGCTAACATGGTGAAACCCAGTCTCTACTAAAAATACAAAAAAATTAGCCGGGCGTGGTGGCAGGCACCTGTAGTCCCAGGAGGCTGAGGCAGGAGAATGGCGTGTACTTGGGAGGCGGAGCTTGCAGTGAGCCGAGATCACACCACTGCATTCCAGCCTGGGTGACAGAGCAAGATTCTGTCTCAAAAAAAAAAAAAAAAAAAAAAAAAAAATGACATTTCTCAACAGTCTGGAACAGACTTCACAAGTTGTTGGCCTGGGAACTGCATCAGGGTACAGGAGTGTTTTGTCAGGTGAAGATCATTTTGCTTATTTGTGTGTTTCAATGAGTCAACTTTTTTTTTTTTTTTTTTTTTTGAGACGGAGTTTTGCTCTTGTTGCGCAGGCTGGAGTGCAATGGCATGATCTCGGCTCAGTGCAAGCTCCGCCTCCCAGGTGCAAGCAATTCTCCTTCCTCAGCCTCTCAAAGAGCTGGGATTACAGGCATCCGCCACCATGCCTGGCTACTTTTGTATTTTTAGTAGAGACGGGGTTTCTCCATGTTGATCAGGTTGGACTTGAACTCCCGACCTCAGGTGATCCACCCACCTTGGCCTCCCAAAGTGCTGGGATTACAGGCATGAACCACCGTGCCTGGCGGCGTCAACGCTTTTTTTTAAATGAGGAGATTTCACAGTAACAACCTACATTTCCAACTGCAGATCTGTGGACCCTGAGCCTGCAGCATGACGTAGGATCTGTCCACTTTACACCAGGCACACATGCACTGACTCCCCGTTAACCACGGTTCCCACCACCCTTAGAACTTTCCCAGTGTGCAGCCTGTGTTTATTGTCATTTGTCCCCTAGATACAACCTGCTTCTCTTATTTAGGTCACCTATCCAGCTGCCTGCAGGTATTTATGTTTCTGATCCCTCATCTGAAACAGAGGAAGTAGGATTTTAAAGAAATAAATGCAGGCCGGGTACAGTGACTCATGCCTGTAATCCCAGCCCTTTGGGAAGCCAAGACAGGTGAACTCCTTGAGCCTAGGAGTTCGAGATCAGCCTGGGAAACATGGCAAAACCCCAGCTCTACCAAAAAAAAAATACAAAAAATAGCTGCGCATGGGAGCATACACCTGTGGTCCCAGGTACTTGGGAGACTGAGATAAGATCACTTGATCCTGGGAAGCTGAGGCTGCAGTGAGCGATAGTGGCACCACTGCACTCCAGCCTCAGTGGCAGAGTGAGACCCTGTCCCCAAAAAAAAAAAAACCCAGCAATCCTCTATAATGTATGAGATTAACCATGCACCTTACCACACATCCCGTTGAGGGGCATCCCCTGAGTCTTATTTCAGCGCAAGGTCAACAAGGACATGCAGCCCTAGGCCACAGCACAATCATGGGGCTTAGGAATCTGCAAAACATGAGGAAATTCCCTAGGGGAACAGGGAGGCTGGAAGTAGAAACAAGTCCAGGATCAAGTGTCCTATCTTCAGTCATCTCATCGGATCCACAGGAGGCAGGAGGCTGGTTCTGCGGATCTCCAGCAGGGATAAACCAAGACCTCAAATGGATACAGAAGAAGAACTTTTTAAAAACCCAGCAATTACTCAAAATTGTCTCCGGCAGCCTTGAGAGTCATACTAGAAAATCACGGTAAAGCTGTTCCAGCTAAGTGGCTTTGGGAAGGTTCTTGCTACTTTATGAAACTCAGTTTCCCCATCTATAAAATGGGTAGACTCGTCAAAAAGCATGAGGAGGATTTTTAAAGCGCCAAGGACAGAGGTTAATAAGACCACTGAGAGGACGTGGTTAATGAGTGGCTGCTGCTATCACCATTTGAAGCACTGAGTATTGTAGAGAAGCTTCCTCCAACAACCACCACTATCACTGACTGAACATGTGTTATTCTAAGTGCTTGTTACATTGAATTCTAAAACACTGCTGTGAGATAGGTCCTACTATTATTGCGATTTTATCAGTGAGGAGACTGAGGCACACGAGGTCGAGCACTTTGACCTCAAGGTCACACTGGTAAGTGCAGAGCTGAAACTGGAGCCCAGGGAACCTGCCCATGGACCCCTACACTGACCTCCTACTGCACCTAGGTGAGGACACAGATCATACTTGATGCTTTTCTCGGTTCCCCCATCTCTGAGCCTAGGATCCTGGAGCCTTGCCGTGGCAGAGGGAAGCACATCTCCAAACAGTGATGAACCCCAAGAACCAGGAGGTGGACATGATGCCAGAAATGAAGGTGGCAAAGGGGCCGAGGAGGACTCTAGCTTTCTGGCATGGGGACCTGGCTGGATGGTGGTATCTCTTACCACAATGGGGAAAACTGGAGGAATAGGTTTTAAAGGCAGAGATCTCCGTTGTTTTGGTGACAAATTCCATTTTGGACACGTTGAGTTTGAAATATTTACTAGATACCCAGTGCGACCAGACAACATTTCCAGAGCTCGCTCCAAGTTCAAAGCTCCTTTCACTGACATCTGAGAAAATTTCTCTGGTCCAATGCCATCTGATTTCTATGTCTTCTTTCTCTACGATCCACCTAACACCCTATGTGACAATCTTAGCCTTGTCATCTTGTCTCTGTCTTCCTAAGACTTGAACCCCTGAAGGACAAGACCTTGCTTTGGTCAATCTGGTGACAAGCAGAGTCTCCAGCATGTGGAGGGGCTCAGTAAATATTTACCGAATGGGTCAAGGAAAGGGATCTCAGGAGATGGTTACGTGGGAGTGTGTTTCCTATTAGATGAGTGCAAAAGTTGTCACAATTTTTGCCATTAAAGTTACAATTAAACTGCAATTACATTTGCACCAACCTACTATTACTGCTCTAAAAGATTAGAGCATCTCGGGCTGGGCGCGGTGGCTCACGCCTATAATCCCAGCACTTTGGGAGACCGAGGCAGGTGGAACACCTGAGGTCAGGAGTTGGAGACCAGCCTGGCCAACATGGTGAAACCCTGTCTCTACTAAAAATACAAAAAACTAGCCAGGTGTGCTGGCGCATGCCATGCCTGTAGTCCCAGCTACTTGGGAAGCTGAAGCAAGAGAATGGCTTGAATCCAGGAGACAGAGGTTGCAGTGAGCTGTGATCATGCCATTGCACTCCAGCCTGGGTGACAGAGTGAGACTCTGTCTCAAAAAAAAAAAAAAAAAAAAAAATTAGAGCATCTCTTCAGATCTAATTTAAAAGATTAGAGCAGTAATAGGAAAAAAACACACTCCCAAATAAGCATCACTGAGGCCAGGATGGCCCCACAAACCTAGTGGCTTACAACAACACAAATTTACCATCTTGCAATTATGCAGGTCTGATTTCCAAAACGGGTCTCGCTGGGCTAAGACCAAGGAGTCAGCAGGGCTGTGTTCCTTCTGGAGGCTCCAAGGGGGAATCCACCCATTGCCTTTCCCAGCTCTAGAGGCCACCTGCATTTCTTGGCTTGTGGCCCCTTCCTCCACCTTCAAAGCCAGAATCCTGCTCTCTCTCCCTGACTGTGACCTCCTACCTTCCTCTTTTAAAGATCCTTGTAATTACATTGGGCCTACCTGGGTCATGCAGGAGAATCTCCCCATCTCAAGATCTTTCCCTTAATCACACATGCAAAAATCTCCTTTGCCACATAATGTAACATATCCACAGGTTCCAAAGATTAGGACATGGACACCTTTGGGGGTATGTGCAGGGAGTCACCATCCAATGAAAGGTGACATCATGGGGAAGGACAAAAAGGCCAGAGGTCACATGGCAGCTACGAGAGGATCCCAGCCATCCTGGCCTCAGTGTTGCCCTTTAATTATAACCGCTGAATCTGAATGCCCAGTCTCTCCCACACCCCGTTATCTCACCAGTGTGGCACACGAGGAACATGGTGAGAAGGCCTGAGGGAGATCCAAACATGATCCCAACGAAAAGTGCCAGCCACACCTGGCTCCACAAAAGCTGGAGGTGCTTTCCAGCAGTCACAACCCCAGAGGCTGTTTGCTGACAAATCACAAGAAAATAAGTGGCTGGGGCCATGTGCAGTGGCTCACGCTTGTAATCCCAGCACTTTGGGAGGTTGAGGTGGGTGGATTACTTAAGATCAGGAGTTCAAGACCAGCCTGGCCAACGTGGTGAAACCTTGTCTCTACTAAAAATACACAAATTAGCCAGGTGTGGTGACGCATGCCTATAATCCTAGTTACTTGGGAGGCTGAGGGAGGAGAATTGCTTGAAGCCGGGAGGTGGAGGTTGCGGTGAGCTGAGATCACGCCATTGCACTCCAGCCTGGGTGACAAGAGTGAAACTCCATGAAAGAAAGAAAGAGAGAAAGAGAGGGAGGGAGGGAGGGAAGGAGGGAAAGAAAGGAAAGGACAGGACAGGACAGGACAGGACAGGACAGGACAGGACAGGACAGGAAAGGAAAGGAAAGGAAAGGAAAGGAAAGGAAAGGAAAGGAAAAAGAAAAAGAAACAGAAAAAGAAGGAAAAGAAGGAAGGAAGGAAAGGGAAAGGGAAAGGAGGAAGGGAGGAAGGAAGGAAGAAAGGATGGAAGGAAAGGAAGGAAGGGAGGAAAGAAAAGAAGGAAGAAAAAAGAAAAGAAAAGAAGGAAGGAAAAAAAAGAAAAGAAAAGAATTGTCTGGGTGCAGTGGTTCATGCCTGGAATCCCAGCACTTTGGGACACCGAGGTCAGGGGATTGCTTGAGGCCAGGAATTCAAGGCCAGCCTGGGCAACATAGAGAGACCCTGTCTCTACAGGGAAAAAAAAAAAAAATTAGCTGGGCATGGTGGTGCACATCTGTAGTCTCAGCTACTTGAGAGACTGAGGCGGGAAGATCGCTTGAGCCCAGGAGTTTGAGGCTACAGTGAGCTATGATCACACTACTGCCCTCCAGCCTGGGCGACAGAGCCAGATCCTGTCTCTTAAAAGTAAATAAACAAGAAAACAGTCATCTTAAAGCCTTCAACACAAATCCAAGCTAGACAGGAAGGGGCTCACTTCAGAGATCAGACAGTGCAGCCCCTACCCCCACTCAATCTTCACCTGGACTCTCATGGGGCGAGGGGTGGGGAGCAGCATTTCAGGGACTGGCCAGACAGGAAGCCTGGCCTCTGCGAGCAAGCAGCTCACTTCTGCGTTTCTGTCGAGAGAGGAAGCCTCTCTGCTGCAGCTGCCCCGGCCACAGGGGCTCACCAGAGGCCTGACTGCAGAGATCCAGTCTCGAGGTAAAGCCCCGGGGAAGCCAGACCTCCCCTAGGCTGAACTGAAAACAATCCATCCAGATCAGAAGGGAAGAAACATAAAAATGACCATAAGGCGCCATCATCCAAGAGGCCACTTTCCTGTGAAACCACAGCCAACATAGGCCTCGCCTGCTTTATAAGTGCCCTACGGCTGCTGCACCAATTACTGCAAACTCAGTGGCTTAAAGCAACACACATTTATCAGCTTTCAGCTCCTAGGTCAAAACCAGTCTCACTGGGCTAAAACCAAGGTGTCGGCAGCACTGGCTCCTTCTGGAGGCTCCGAGGGAAAACCTGCTTCCTGGCCATTTTCACCTTGCAGTGGCCGCCTGCAATCGTGGCCGTGTGGCCTCTTCCTCTGCCTTTGAAGCACATCATTCCAACCTCTGTTGCCATCATCTTGCCATTGTCTTCTACTCACTCTGATCTCCTGCCTTTTTCTTTTTTTTTTTTTTTTTTTTGAGATGGAGTCTCGCTCTTGTCTCCCAGGCTGGAGTGCAGCGGCATGAACTCGGTTCACTCACTACAACCTTCACCTCCCGGGTTCAAGCGATTCTCCTGCCTCAGCCTTCTGAGTAGCTGGGATTACAGGTACACGCCACCATGCCCAGTTAATTTTTGCACTTTTAGTGGAGACGGGGTTTCGCCATATTGGCCAGGCTGGTCTCGAACTGCTGACCTCAGGTGATCCACCCGCCTCGGCCTCCCAAAGTGCTGGGATTACAGGCATGAGCCACTGCCCCCAGCCCCGCCTTTTTCTTAAAAGGACCCTGTGAACACACTGGATCCACCTGGGTAACCCAGAATACTCTCCCATCTCAACCTTCTTCACTTAATTTCATCTGCAAGGTCCTCTTTACCAAGTAACATGACATACCCACAGGTTCCGGGGAGCAGGACATGGACATCTCTGGGGGCCATCAATCATGCTTACCACCTATGCCGACCCTTCAACACCCTGTCCACTGATCTGCAGAGGAGGAGAGTATTATTTCAAAGACAGTTTTGGAACATCTTCCCAGGAAAGCCAAATCTCAATCCCCCACACCCCACCACAATTGACAAAGCTAAGAGAAATTGATAACAAGCTCTAGGGCAAGCACAGAGGATAAAATTGAAAAAGGAAGAAAAAAAAGACACTCCCTATTTGCAGCATCTCTGCAGCGTAAGGGTGCTTTGCATACACACTGGAGAGTCTAGTCTCATCTTCCCTAGTTAACACAGGAAAAGAGAAGGCTCAGCGAAGTTAAGGAATTTGCCCAAAATCACACAGCCTGCAAATGGTGGATCTGGGATGGAACCCCAGGCCTGTCTGGCTCTCTCTTTGTGCTGCTCTGGAAAAAAAAAAAAACATCTTGGATCTGTCTGAGATTATTTGAGAGGGGAGGGGTCCCCAAAAGTTGTTTGCAGTAAAACCTTTTCTTTTGGGTAGGAAGTTATGCAAAGCATTTGCCACTGCCCCCAGTTGCTTGGCAAGTTAGCGGAGAAAGATCTATTTTGGGGCTCTGCGCTCCACTGATCTGTTCACCACCCGCTGCTTATACATTTTTTTCTACAGAGGCCACTTCCTGAGGCTTAAATGGGTTGGTCAGCCCAGCAAGACCAAGCCTGGCTCAGAGCAGCACACAAGGCAACAAGTAGGGCCAGCACTGAGCAGCCAGGAGCCCCCAGGACCCACCTCAAAAGGAAAACCACCCATCTTAGAAGAGGCAACGGCTGCCTGTCAGCCGATCACCAAGACACACAGCATTCGAGCCCTCGAGGAAGGCAACAGCCACCGAGGCTGCCCAACTACACATGTACATTTGTATTATTTCATTCATTCACTCATATTATTCAAGAGCCCCAAACTGGAAATACCTCCAGTATTCACCACTATGCCTTGGGGTGGTTTGTTACACAGCAAGAGACAACAATCCATTATTATTACTATGATATTTAGCATCTGCTATGTGCCAGGCATTATTCTAATCACTCACATGTTAACTCACTGAATCCCCACAACAATCTGATAAAGCGGGTAATGTGGCCAGGCACGGCGGCTCACGCACGCCTGTAATCCCAGCACTTTGGGAGGCCGAGGCGGGCAGATCATTTGACATCAGGAGTTCTAGACCAGCCTAGCCAACATGATGAGACCCTGTCTCTACTAAAAATACAAAAATTAGCCAGGCATGATGGTGTGCACCTGTAATCCCAGCTACTCAGGAGGCTGAGGTGGGCGGATCATTTGACGTCAGGAGTTCTAGACCAGCCTAGCCAACATGATGAGGCCCCCATCTCTACTAAAAACACAAAAATTAGCCAGGCATGATGGTGTGCACCTGTAATCCCACCTACTCAGGAGGCTGAGGTGGGCGGATCATTTGACGTCAGGAGTTCTAGACTAGCCTAGCCAACATGATGAGACCCTGCCTCTACTAAAAATACAAAAATTAGCCAGGCATGATGGTGTGCACCTGTAATCCCAGCTACTCAGGAGGCTGAGGTGGGAGGATTGCTTGAACCTGGGAGGCGGAAGCTGCAGTGGGCCAAGATTGCGCCACTGCACTCCAGCCTGGGTAATAGAGTGAGACTCTGTCTCAAAAAAAAAAAAATTGGGTAATGTTTCCCCATTATACAGAGGGGAAAACTGATATGCCCAAGATCTCCCATGAGGAGAATGGGGGAGTAGGCAGTGGTATATTCGGTCACTGGAATGCTGCTCAGCAACAGAAAAGGAAAAACTACTGACACTAGCAACAACATGGGTGAACCTTGAGAACATCACACAAAAGAAGTCGAATGCAAAACACAGTCTACTGTTTCATTCCATGTTTATGAAATTCTAAAACCAAGGAAAAATCCTGGATGACTCAAAGTAGGTTGGGGTGGCCTGGGGCAGGGAGTGTGCATGCTGGGGAGGGTGGGGGGCTGCAGACTGCAGAGGGAAGTGAGGGAACCCTCTCTCCTGCGATGGAAGGTGTTCTGTGTCTCAATTAGGGTGGTGGTTACACATGTCTACACATGTGTCAAAATGCATCAAACTGTGTACTTAAAATGAGTGCCTTTTATTGTATATAAATTAAATATGAAATAAAGTTCATTTTAAAAAGTTCTTAAAATATGAAGCACAACTTCCATTACCTAAAAGATCATAATCCTTAAAGATGAAATAGGACATCTTCACAGAAAAGCAACCAGATCCTAGTTTGGGTCCAGTGCTCCCTGGAGGGTAGTCAATGGGAGATATTTTTCTTTTGTGTTTGTCTATCTTTTCCAAAGGTTCTAGAATGAATCTGCATTTCTCTGATAATGGAAAATAAGACCTACTAAATGTAATTTTTAAAACTGAGCTAGGGCTAGGCACAGTGGCTCACAGCTGTAATCCCAGCACTTTGGGAGGCTGAGGCGGGCAGATCACAAGGTCAGGAGTTCGAGACCAGCCTGGCCAACATGGTGAAACCCCCATCTCTGCTAAAAATACAAAAATTAGCCAGGCATGGTGGTGGGTACCTGTAATCCCAGCTGCTCAGGAGGCTGAGGCAGGATATTCGCTTGAAACCAGAAGGCGGAGGTTGCAGTGAGCCGAGATAGCGCCACCGCACTACAGCCTGGGCGAAAGAGCGAAGCTTGGTCTCAAAAAATAATAATAATAATAAATACATAAATAACTGAGCTGGGATAGAGTCCAGCCTTCCAGAGGTGGCTGGGAAGATCTCACACCTCAGGGCAGGGTGAAAAGCAGTGGGCGAGGAGCCAGGAGGTCCACCCAGCTAAGCCTCAGGCTTCCTGGGTGCCCCAAGCCAAATCCTTGACTTCTCCAAGCCTGGCTGCACAAGGGGATTCGCAGGAGCTCCCTCGCCTCACAGGGTTGGTACCAGATGAAGCCTCAGAAATGAGCTCTGAAAATGGATATGAGGCAGTGTTGTCACTCCACACCTGGGAATCCAACACCCCCAGGATGTCCTGACTCTGCCCAGCCATCTGACTCTGGAAAGAACACAAACCATCCTCCACCCACCACATCCATCTCTAGAAGCAGCCCGGCACCCAACAAGGTCTTTGTCTTCCATGCTCAAGCACCGCCAACCTCCACTGAACCCCACAGTCAGGCCGACCAGAATGTGGATCTGAACTCTGCCATGCCCCGCTGTGTAGACTTGAGCAAGTCACTGGACCTCTCTGAGCCTCAGCTTCCTCTGCAAATTGAAGGAGTTACACCTGCCTCATGGTGGGCCTAGAAGGATGAAATAAGATGACAGTGTTGGAAATACCCTAAGTTCTCACTAAAAAGCTGTATTTATTTTTGTGATTCAAAGAGCCCCACCACAGTAAAAAAAAAAAAAAAAAAAAAAAATCCATGAGCCCACACTAGCTTATGGAAAAGGAATCAAATCCCCCTATTCATATTCTACCTAAATACCAGTTCTCATGAGGCTGCCCTCCACACTCCTCCCTTATGCCAGAGTGACAGGCTCAGCAGCCCTCAGTTTCCATGGAAACTCATGACAAGGGGCATCATGATGGAAGTTATTTCAGCCATTTCCTGCTGCCCACAGTGCCAACAAGGCTTGCTGCTGCAGAGAAAAGGTATGCCCGGCTAGTTGGCTCTGTCCTGGCTATTGTTCAGGCCACTGAAGCCTCCAGAAACACAGCCCCCACCAAGCAGATAATTCCTGAAGCTCAGGCCTTCGGAGCTCCATTTCCGTGCAGCCGATGAGTATCCCCAAGATGCAAGCAGAGGAAGAATGGCATTCACCCATGCAGACAGCATCTATGGTCTACCTGGTATGTGCTAGTCATCATGCATGACACAGGAACAATGAATGGAACAAACAGCCCCCTTTCAAAGAGCTGACAGTCTGAGAAAGAGAGACATTAAATGCCCACATAAATATAAATAACCACCATATGACAATGCTCCCAAAGAGAAGAGCACGATGGAATGAGAGACTAATGGGATGTCCTCCAGAGGGGCAGGAAGTGAGGAGCTGACTGAGCCACAGACTTGATCAGGCAGAAAGGACCTCACCAGTGAGGAAACTGAGGCACAGAGGGCCGAAGCAATCCTAACGGGAGTAAGAGCTTAACACACTAGCTGGCTGAATACTCACGAGAGCCCTGTAAAGTAGGTGTTGTAATTCTCACTTCACAGATCAGGGGACACGAGCCGACAGAGAGGAAGTGACCGAGCCCAGGCCACATGAAAGGAAGGAACAGAGAGTAGATGACAACCAGGTCTCTCTAATCTTGCCCCTTCCCTCCCAGAATCTGTCTTCTCCTTTGGGTCTTTGCTCTCAACCCCAAGTGTTCACTTAACCCCCTTCTCCCCGAAACAGTAAGGAACGTGAGAACATGTTCATAAGCACAGGGAGCTTGTCTCATTTTTGCCTACCCTGGCCTGGGCCTGACATGTAATAACTTATCAATAAATGTGTTAAGTGAAAGAATCACAACCGAGTGCAGGGGCTTATGCCTGTAACCCCAGCTCTCTGAGAGGCCAAGGGCATGGGGGTCGCTTGAGTCTGGGAGTTTTAGACCAGCCTGGGCAACACAGTGAGACCCTATCTCTACTTGAAATTTTAAAAATAAATAGATAAAATAAAATAATCACAAGGTACCCTCTGATGTTCTACATACATCTTTGTCATCTTCTGGAAGGCCAGGTGCAGTTTGAGGGCTCTTGTTTTATCACTTGTGTTTACTGAAGCTGTAGCAACACCAAACACAGCTGACAAAAGGCGTTTAAAACCACCCTAGTGCCTTGCGCAGCACCCCTCAAGACGATGCACTCCAGCGTGCGCAACAAAAGCGAAACTCCTTCTCAAAAATAATAATAGTAATATCAACATCTAAAACAGCTTTCTGTTTTTAGTGGAAGATAGGTGCTTCACACGCACTAATTCATTTTACCTTCACAACTGCCTCACGGCACAGGTACTAATATTATTCCCATTTTATACATGGGGGATGGATGCATAGTCCTTCTCCACCTAGAGGATTCTTCCCATCGGATCTCGGCCTAAATATCAGCTCCTCAGAGAGGCCTTTTCTGACCACCCATCATGTGCGCTCTTCCTGTCCCTTGTGCTGACTTCGCTTGTAAAGAGAGGGCTTTGTCTTCACCTCCCTGTTTACCATCCGTCTCTCCCCACCAGCCTTCAAAACTCACAAGAAGGACACTGTGATGGTTGTGCCTCTATTTCCCCAGCATCTAACGCATCCAGTGCCCGTCACCTTCTGGGCAATAAATGGGTAACTGTGCAATGGGCATAGGAAAAAAAGCCCAGCTCAGAGAAGACTCTAGACCAGCTAGAAAGAGGCAGAACCGGATGTGGCCCCAGGTGCCTGAGTGTTTTCCCACTAATGATAACAGCGCAACCGCACTTTCAGTTCTTGCTTCTGGACATCAGGACCTTGGGAGTAAGTCATAATTTCTGGCTGGGCACCGTGGCTAATGCCTGTAATCCCAGCATTTTGGGAGGCTGAAATGCGAGGACTGCTTTAGCCCAGGAGTTTAAGACCAGCCTAGACAACATAGTGAGATCCCACCTCTACTAAAAAAAAAAAAAAAAAAAAAAAAAAAAAATTAAAATTAGCTGGGCATGGTGGTGCATGCCTGTAGTCCCAGCTACTTGTGAGGCTGAGGGAGGAGGATCATTTGAGCCCAGGAGGTCAAGGCAGTAGTTGAGCTGTGATTGCACCATGGCACTCCAACCTGGGCAACAGAATGAGACCGTGTCTCAAAAAAAAAAAATTATAATGAGGGAAAAGGTCTCCTTCTCAGACTTGCCAGGTCACCCTTTTCATGGTCCCAAAATAGGATATGCCAGATAGTTCAGTATCTGAAGCCTAATTTATTTGTTTTTTGAGACAGGGCCTTACTCTGTTGCCCAGGCTGGAGTGTAGTGGCACGATTTGGACTCACTGTAACTTCCATCTCCCAGGTTCAAGCAATTCTCCCACCTCTGCCTCCCAAGTAGCTGGGATTACAGGCATGTGCTGCCACACCCAGCTAATTTTTATATTTTTAGTAGAGGCAGAGTTTCACCATATTGGCCAGGCTGGTCTCGAACTCCTGACCTCAAGTGATCCTCCTGCCTCAGCCTCCCAAAGTGCTGGGATTACCGGCATAAGCCATCGTGCCTGTCCGTGAAGGCACATTTTTTTTTTTTTTTAAAGATGAAGTCATGCTCTGTCACCCAGGCTGAAGTGCAGTGGCACAATCTCGGCTCACCGCAACCTCCACCTCCCGGGTTCAAGCAATTCTCTTGCCTCAGCCTCCTGAGTAGCCAGGATTACAGGCGCAAGTCACCATGCCTGGCTAATTTTTGTATTTTTAGTAAAAAACGGGGTTTCACAATGTTGGCCGGGCTGGTCTCGAACTCCTGACCTCAAGTGATCCGCCCACCTTGGCCTCCCAAAGTGCTGGGATTACAGGCGTGAGCCACTGTGTCTGGTCATTTAAGACTGCTCAATTATAGCGCACTTAAGACCTACAAAGGTTTCCACCAAGAAGACCGCGAGAATCGAAGAAGCCACCACCTGCATGGGAACTGGAAAAAATCAGGCAGGATTTTCCCATGCTCAGACTCCCAGCAGCTGAAGAGGGACTTGTGTTCTGAGTGGCTTTTGAGCCCCCATGGCCTCTGAAAGGGCCAGGAGAACTTCAGAACAACAGGCTGAGTAGTCAACAGAGCCCAGGCAGGGCAGGCTGAAGAAGAAAACAGCCCCCAACCATGGCAGTGTTAAAGATGCAAATGAGGAAGCCTCTAGGGGGTGGTCTCTCAGCCCCTGCAGTTTCCCGCTGGAAAGACAGGGTCCCTGGGATACACTCTAAGACTGTATCTTCACCTCTGGGAATCAGAGGCTCAGCTACACAGAAGGATCTCACTGTGTTGTGTGGCTGCCAACCTGCTGAGGCTGAGACCCCTTGGTGAGGACTGGGAGACCCATGCTCTAGCCTGGGCCCACCAGGGAGAGCTGGGAACCCCCTCCCTTCACTGTCCAGTAAGGCCCCATATGCAATAAAACCTCCTCCCTTCGCATAACCACCCTCTGCATGAAGAGGCGTTCCAGAGCGTCATATCACAGGTGCTTCATTTTAAGCCTAAATTCCCCAATTATCATTCCTTCCATAACTCAGGAAAAAAAGGAAATGTTTAAAAGTTAACTTCAGCAACTCTGGTTTTGCCTTGGAAGATTTGTCAGGCTGGAACAGCCACTGGAACAAGCAGTCCTGATAATAATAAAAGTAACTTCTTATCGCCACCATCTCCAGCAGCTGACGTTTAGTCAGCACTTACTCTAGACAAACCCTGTGCTACAAACCTAATGTGTATTGGCTCATTTAATCTTTATCCCAACTCTATGGGGAGAGGATCATCATAATCCCCACTGCAGAGACAAAGAAACTAAGGTTCAGAGAGGTTAACTCCCTGTGGTCACACAGCAAGGGAACAGTGAGACAGGACAAAAGCCTTGGGTCCTTGCTCTCCATTCTGCCTGTGCTTCATGTCCCCCAGGGTGTCTTTTTTTTTTCTTTTGAGACAGAGTCTCGTACTGTTGCCCAGGCTGGAGTGCAGTGGCATGATCTTGGTTCACTGCAACCTCCACCTCCCGGGTTCAAGTGATTCTCCTGCCTCAGCCTCCCGAGTAGCTAGGATTACAGGCACATGCCACCATGCCTGGCTAATTTTCGTATTGTTTTAGTAGAGATGGGATTTCACCATTTTGGCCAGGCTGGTCTCGAACTCCTGACCTCATGTGATCTGCCCGCCTCAATCTCCACAAGTGCTGGGATTACAGGCATGAGCCACTGCACTCAGTCCCCATGGGTACCTTTCAATCCAATCCCGGCTACACCCCACCTCGCAGATCCTCCACTCCTAAACATTCTGACCCCAGACTATATCTCTGCCCCTGTCTCAGCTCCTGAAGCACTGCTAAAACAGGCAGGTCCCCTGAGAAGACCTTATTACCTATTGAGGAGAACAGTGAAATAACCAGAAAACAAGCAAAAAGACAGCCTATCCTTCAGACCCGGTACCATTCCCCTCCGCTGTATCTTAAGACATTTATATCCTAGCCCCAAAGTTTGGCACTAACACACAGACCCCAGCCTGGGTTCCCAGCCCCTTATCCTCTCTCCTTATGGAGGGCAGCCTTCTAATATCCAAGTACCAGACCTGCCTTCTAGATCACTCAACACACCCAAGGTCAAGGCTCAGAGAGATGCCCCTGAATACCATGGTCTCCATCTCTGGTGGATTCACGATAGCCACAAACTTCTTCCCATCAACAGGTAGAATCTATTTCCCTTCCCTGTGTCAGGGCTGGCCTTGTGACTTCCTTTTAACACAGCAAAAGCTTCAGGCTTCTGCTTTCTGTCCCTTGGAAGCCATCACAGAGAAGACTAGCTACTATGAGACCACCATGCTGTAAGGAAGCCCAAACTAGCCACAGAACAGGGAGAGACGCTGCACAAAGGAACACTGGTGGCCCAGAAAGCTGCCTGGGAACTTCCAGCCTGGCCATCCAATGAATATATTCAGGTAAGGGACTCCAGGCAACACCAAGTGAGACAGAACAGCAAATCCACTGACTGAGCTCTGCCCAAATTCCTGACCCACAGAATTGTTGTTTTAAGCTCCTGTGTTTTTACACTGTTATAGAAAAATCTCCTTCAGCTGATAAGCAATTTCAGCAGAGTCTCAGGATACAAAATCAATGTGCAAAAATCACAACCATTTCTACACCATGACAGACAAACACAGAGCTAAATCATGAGTGAACTCCCATTCACAATTGCTACTAAGAGAATAAAATACCTAGGAATACAACTTACAAGGGATGTGAAGGACCTCTTCAAAGAGAACTACAAACAACTGCTCAAGGAAATAAGAGAGGACACAAATAAATGAAAAAAGATTCCATGCTCATGGACAGGAAGCATCAATATGGTGAAAATGGCCATACTGCCCAAAGTAATTTATAGATTCAATGCTATTCCCATCAAGCTATCATTGACTTTCTTCACAGAATTAGAAACTACTTTAAATTTCATATGGAACCAAAAAAGAGACCACATAACCAAGACAACCCTAAGCAGAAAGAACAAGCTGCAGGCATCATGCTACCTGACTTCAAACTATACTACAAGGCTATGGTCAACAAAACAGCATGGTACTGGTACCAAAATAGATATACAGACCATTGCAACAGAACACAGACCTCAGAAATAACATCACACATCTACCACCATCTGATCTTTGACAAACTTGACAAAAACAAGCAACGGGGAAAGGATTCCCTACTTAATAAATGGTGTTGGGAAAACCAGCTAGCCATATGCAGAAAACTGAAACTGGACCCCTTCCTTACACCTTATACAAAAATTAACTCAAGATGGATAAAAGACTTAAACATAAGACCTAAAACCATAAAAAACCCTAGAAAAAAACCTAGGCAATACCATTCAGGACATAGGCATGGGCAAAGACTTCATGACTAAAACACCAAAAGCAATGGCAAAATTAACAAATGGGATCTAATTCAGCTAAAGAGCTTCTGCACAGCAAAAGAAACTATCATCAGAGTGAGCAGGCAACATACAGAATGGAAGAAAAATTTTGCAATCTATCCATCTGACAAATGGCTAATATCCAGAATCTACAAAGAACTTAAACAAATTTACAAGAAAAAACAACCCCATCAAAAAGTGGACAAAGGATATGAACAGACACTTCTCAAAAGAAGACATTTATGCAGCCAAGAAACGTAGGAAAAAAGCTCATCATCACTGGTCATTAGAGAAATGCAAATCAAAACTACAATGAGATACCATCTCATGCCAGTTAGAATGACGATCATTAAAAAGTCAGTAAACAACAGGCCGGGTGCGGTGGCTCACGCCTGTAATCTCAGCACTGTGGGAGGCTGAGGCGTGTGGATCACGAGGTCAGGAGATCAAGACCATCCTGGCTAACACGGTGAAACTTCGTCTCTACTAAAAATACAAAAAATTAGCCAGGCGCGGTGGCAGGTGCCTGTAGTCCCAGCTACTCAGGAGGCTGAGACAGGAGAATGGCGTGAACCCAGGAGGCGGAGCTTGCAGTGAGCTGAGATAGCGCCACTGCAGTCCAGCCTGGGCAAAAGAGCAAGACTCCGTCTCAAAAAAAAAAAAAAAAAAAAAAAAGTCAGGAAACAACAGATGCTGGAGAGGATGTAGAGAAATAGGAATGCTTTTACACTGTTGGTAGGAGTGTAAATCAGTTCAACCATTGTGGAAGACAGCGTTGCAATTCCTCGAGGATCTAGCACCAGAAATACCATTTGATCCAGCAATCCTATTACTGGGTATAAACCGAAAGGATTGTAAATCATTCTACTATAAAGACACATGCACACATATGTTTATTGCGGCACTATTCACAAGAGCAAAGACATGGAACCAATCCAAATGCCCATCGATGATAGACTGGATAAAGAAAATGTGGCACATATACACCATGGAATACTATGCAACCATAAAAAAGGATGAGCTCATGTCCTTTGCAGGGACATGGATGAAGCTGGAAACCATCATTCTCAGCAAACTAACACAAGAACAGGAAACCAAACACCACATTTTCTTACTCTTAAGTGCGAGTTGAACAATGAGAACCCATGCACACAGGGAGGGGAACACCACACACTGGGGCCTGTTAGGGGTTGGGGGACTAGAGGAGGGATAGCACTAGGAGAAATACCTAAAAAAAGAAAAAAGAAAACGGAAACATCATCCTGAAACCAGTTCCCAGCCTAGGGAATCCATCATCTTCTCAGGTGACTAACACTGGGAATGGCCTTCCCTTTTGAGTCCTGAACCCCGACGTGCAAAACCATCCCTTATCGATGATACTGCCAACCAAAGTGCTCATAACTGAGCACTAACCTAAAGGTTTTACATACCCGATCTCTAGTCTTTACACCCACACACGAGGAAGGTACCACCGGTGTGCCCATTTGACAGATGCAGACACTGAGACCCAAGGAGGGAGTCACACAGACAGAATGGGAGACTCAGGAGGCAAGCCCAGGCTTGTTCAACCCCAACACTGCTGTCATACGTGGTGCCATATGACCTTCCCCAGCACACTGAACACCTCAGGGTCATTCCAGGAAGTGCACACTCATGTCCCTCTGGTACACAGGTTAAATGTGGCCTTAGACCACAAAGCACAGCCACTAGGGCCAGGAAGGCCACTGTTAGATCAGTTTCGCTGCTGTTCCCTGGGCTGCTTCTCAGGTGCATAACCTCCCTTGGTGCCTCTTAGAGAGGGAAGCAAAAGTTACCTTCATTTTCGTTATAAATATAGTCATGTACAAAATTATTTGATCAATGTTGTGCTTGCCTCTCCCACTAAACAATAAGGTCGATGAAATTAAAGACCCTGTCTCCTTCTATCAGAACTCAATACAGTGCTTTGCCCTGAGCAAATGATCCATAGATAGTCACTGAATAAATCAATAACAGGAAGAATGAATTAATGAGAAATAAATGCACTTTGCTCAGGGCCATTTTAAAGAGCAACATCACCAGCAAAAAATAAAAAGAAAGAAATTGCAGAAAATAAGGCACTAAGTGGACGGCAGAAAGGACACCTGTTTGCAAAAAGAAAGCTAAAACAGGAAGGCAGAGTGTCATCTTGTTTGACCTCAGCAGGGCATGTGTGAATGGGTGACCCAAATTTTTCACCAGTCTGCATCACCAAGAATGACCACAGAAGGGCCAGAACTACTGGTTTGCAGGTTGCAAATAAGTTGGAGCAGAAAGGCAAATTCACCAATACTGATGCTGCAAATAACGAAGGCCAAGCATAGATGCTGAGAGAAAAACGGTCTCTTATGAGGCTGCTCATGGCCACGTTACGTGTTCTATAGACTAGAGTCGTCTGGGATAGGAGAGAAGCATGGGCTGGGCACGGTGGCTCACACCGTAATCCCAGCACTTCGGAAGGCTGAGGCATGCCACGAGAATCAAGAGATAGAAACCATCCTGGCCAAGATGGTGAAACCCCATCTCTACTAAAAATACAAAATTAGCTGGGCGTGGTGGTGAGTGCCTGTAGTCCCACCTACTCAGGAGGCTGAGGCAGGAGAATCACTTGAACCCAGGAGGAGGAGGTTGCAGTGAGCTGAGATCACGCCACTGAACTCCAGCCTGGTGACACAGGTAGGCTCCATCTCAAAAAAAAGAAAAAAAAAAGGAGAGAACCATGGTGGCAGACAAAGACTGGCAGAAAGATGAAGAGAGCATGGGAAAGGCATTGCATCTTGGATGCTGTGAGCTACACAGTATGCATCTCAGCCACACGTTCCAGTAAATTCTCTTTTTTTGCTTGAGCTGGTTTCTGACCCCACCCCCCGCCCCGGCCAAAAAATCCTGACTCTGCTGAGGGCAGCAATAACTGGGACATCAGACACTCCCTCTAGAATCAGGACAGAAGTGACAAGGCTAGCCAATCAGGGGCAAGAGGAGAAAGACACATGCATAGGCACACACAGGCTCACACACCGCAGGGAACAGAGAAAACAGCAAGTCCCAGGGTGGCCCAAGTCTGGTCCATGTGTTTCCTGACACAGGGTCTAAGTGGGTCTCTGTCTTCATCTGGGTTCCCCCAGAAACAGACTCTGAGGCAAGGATGTACATACAAGGAGTTTATTTGGGGGCTATCCCAGGAATCACTGCAAGGGGAATGGGGTGGTGGACAGGGAAGGAAGCGCAGCAAATAAAGGCTGTGTCATCAAGCTTATTATTCCTGTGAGTAAATAGAGCCGAAGTCCATTGGGGAAGCCTGGGAGTCAGTGCAGAACAAGCCAGGAGTGTCCTGACTGAGGGTGAGGGAGCTGGGGTATTGATCTGCCGATTCCCCACCCAGCCATGCCACCCCTGGAGGCACTAACACCCCAGCACTCCCAGCCTATCCTGCACCACAGGCTAGCAGAAGCCCTCAGGCATAGTCACAGGTGTTTCCAGCAAGTGGCTTGTGGTGTGCAGAGGTGTGTGCTGAGGGGATAAGGTCAGGCCAAGAGTGTCTGCAACAGTTTCAGTTCCCTGCCACAAAAGCAACAAGTCCAAGTCACCATGCTCAGAGAGACCAGGCCTGGCTTAGCACAGGTTCCCACTCTCTCATGAGCTACTCAGAACACACACCCACACTCCTTCCTCACCCCTAGAATAGGAGTATTATATTTTAGAGGACAATGCCTGGTAGACACCACCAACCTCACAGGCAGCAACCTTCATCAGGCAGGTCCAATAGGCCACAAACTACACCAAGCTCATGTCTCCCCTGATCTCATGGGAGCCCCTCCAGCATGCTCTGATAAGCCCCATTTTGCATAGGGGGAAACAGAGGCCAGGCCCACAGAGGCTATGGAGCTTGCTCAAGATTGCACAGTGGTGGCCAGGTGAGGTGGCTCACGCCTGTAATCCCAGCACTTTGGGAGGCAGAGGCAGGTGGATCACAAGGTCAGGAGATCGAGACCATCCTGGCTAACACAGTGAAACCCCATCTCTACTAAAAATAGAAAAAATTAGCCAGGCGTGGTGGCGGGCACCTGTAGTCCCAGCTACTCAGGAGGCTGAGACAGGAGAATGGCTTGAATCTGGGAGGCGGAGGTTGTAGCGAGCCGAGATCATGCCACCGCACTCCAGCCTGGGCGACAGAGGGAGACTCCATCTCAAAAATAAAATAAAATAAAATAAAATAAAAAGATTGCACAGTGGTAGGTGGCAGAGCTGAGACTCAAACTCAGTGCTGTGGGCTTGGGGCCACACAGCCTCTCCAGTACAGTCTCTCAGGACCCTCCTCCCTCTCTCTCTAAAAGGGTGCCCTGGACATTCTGACCTCAGGACACTGGGGATTCACTTCTTTGGAACTTAAGGGGAGGGGTTTGCCTCCAAAACAGCCAACAGGCCTTGGCAAATGCAAAACAGTGTAGCCCCGTTGGAAAACAGGCTGGTGGTGCCTCAAAAGGTTAAATGTAGTCACAAATGCTTAAATGAATGGTTACTGCATGGCCCAGCAATTCCACTCCTAGGTGTACACCCAAGAGAAAGGAAAACACATCTACACAAAATCCTGCATATGAATGTTCACAGCAGCACTATTCATAATAGCCAAAAGGTAGAAACAACCTAATATTGTTTGCATATCTGTCTCCGCAGCAGTCTCATGTTGAATTGTAACCCTCAGTACTGGAGGTGGGGTCTGGTGGAAGGTGACTGGATCATGGGGATGAATTGCTCATTAACGGTTTTGCACCATCTCTTGGTGCTGTCCTTGCAATATTCAGTGAGTTCTTGAGAGATCTGGCTGTTGAAAAGTATGTGGCACCTCCCTCCCTCTCTCTCTTGCTCCTGCTTTCTCCATGTCACATGCCAGCCCCGCCTTCACCTTCCACCATGATTGTAAGCTTCCTGGGGCCCCTCCAGCCATGCTGAACTGTGAGTCAATTAAACCTCTTTCCTTTTTATATTACCCAGTCTTTGGTAGCTCTTTATAGCCGTGAGAACAGACTAATACAGTGACCCTGGGCTATGCCTCAATGTTCTCATCTGTAAAATGGAAATAATGCGTATTGAACACATACAGTTGTGGAATTAAGTAAGCAATAATACAGGGAAAGCTCTTAGAGCTGTAACAGGTACATAAACATATACTACATAAATGTCAGCTCTTATGGTGGCGTTAGTGACAGTGATGACAATGATGACGATGTGGGGGCTTGATGGGCTTCCTGCCTTGTATGAAGCTGAAAAAATGCTTCAGCCTGAAACCAGCTCTTCCTTTGCAACTTGGATCTCAGATCCAGAAGGCAGAGCCCAGGATCTGAGAAGCCCATCCTCCTCAGTGCCCTCCTCGCAGAGATGCACACTGCCCCAATCCCTCAAGCCTGCAGAAGGGTTACCAAGGCACCCTGCCCTTTCTTGGGTCCCAGAGCTGACCTCCCTCTCCTGATGTAGGAGGAGGACACCGCTGGGACAAGACATGGGGAGCTGACCCTGTGAAATCACCACATGAATCACCACGTTCAACAAGATAAGCCTCTGCTGTGAGGTCTCCACTGACCACCTGGAGAAGGAAATGCATTGAACAGACTTGAAACATGACCTAGGAAGCCTTGGCGAGAAGGTAGAATGGACGACTCAGGAGAAAGCCAACCAGAGCAGCCCGAGGGGCCATATCAGTCATCCGTCATCCACTGCAAACTCTCCCATGGCTCCCGGCTCCCTGGAGGAAAAGCTTGAGTGCTATGGAGGCCTCCACAGCCCTGGGTCATGTGACCCCTGCTTCCTCCCCATAACTCTGCCCCCATCACCCTGCTTGGCTGGCTATCCCCAGAACATGCCCCACCTCGAAGGCTTTGTCCTGGCCATTCCTGAAGCCCTCAAAACACTTATCTACACAGCCCACTCCTTCAACTTTTCCAAGCCTTTGCTCAAATGCCAGCTTCTCAGTGAGGCCTTCCATGTCCCCAGCCCCACACCTGGACCCTCATGATCCCCCTTTCAGCATTCTATTTCTTTCCATATATAAAAATTTACTCAGTTACAACTTACAAGACACGAATCACATGTCTGCAGGCTATCCTATGATCATGTAATGGTGCAGACTCCTACTCTCAATGGTCATGAAGCTCCCTGGCCACAAGCTGAGCAGTGCTGCCTGGGTCAAAAGCAACCCCCAAGAAAGGTTCTACTGTGATTACCCAGTAATCTGCAGAAGTACAGCTGGCACTGGATGCTCGGGCCCAGCAATCAGATGTCACACCTAAATCTAGGACAGATGGCAAAGCTGGTAGACACACTTCCACATTTTCAGTCTCTGTGGGAAATTAAAGCTACCTGATCACACACACAGGGAGCACCACTATGATGATCATAGTACCTGCCACATGGAGAATGCCTTTGCTGCTTGGGGACCACGGAAGCAGGTAATGCAAAAGGACAAAAGAGGTATAATCTAGATCTGTGCTATCCAATATGGTAGCCACTAGCCACATGTGGCTTTTGAACACTCAGAATTGAATCTGTCTGAATCAAGATGTGTTATAGGTATAAAACACACACTGGATTTTGAAGACACAGACCAAAAACCAGAATCAAATATCTCGTTAATAATTATATTGCATACATGTTGAAATAATAATGCTTTGGATATACTGAGTTAAATAAAATTTATTAATAAAGTTAGTTTCACCTCTTTTTACCTTTATGAATGTGGCAACTAGAAAACTTTAAACTACACACATGACTGCGTACAGTGGCTCACACCTGTAATCCCAGCTACTCAGGAGGCTGAGCTGGGAGGATCACTTGAGCCCAGGAGTTTGATTCACTTCACCCAGAACAAAATCCCATCTCTATTTAAAAAACAAAACAACAATAACAGCAAAAAAAAAAAAAAACAAAAAAAAAAAAAAACAAAACAAAACACTACTCTCATGGCTGGTATTGGTGACTCACACTGTATTTCCATTGCACAGCAGTGGTCCAGAAGCAGCCAGCTTTGGCTACTGCAGGATGGAGACATGGATGGCAAAGCATTGTGAGTGGGGTGGGGGAAGGGGGTGTGAGGCATCTGTTCAGATCTTTCGCCCACTTTTTAATTGGGTTGTTTTCTTATTGTTGAGCTTTTGTTTTTGGTTTTTTTTGTTGTTTTCTTGCGTTTTGTTTTTTTTTTTTTTTTTTCTGAGATGGAGTCTCGCTCTGTTACCCAGGCTGAAGTGCAGTGGTGCAATCTCTGCTCACTGCAAGCTCCACCTCCTGGGTTAACGCCATTCTCCTGCCTCAGCCTCCTGAGTAGCTGGGACTATAGGCACCCGACACCACACCCGGCTAATTTTTTATATTTTTAGTAGAGACAGAGTTTCACCGTGTTAGTCAGGATGGTCTCGATCTCCTGACCTTGTGATCCATCCACCTTGGCCTCCCAAAGTGCTGGGATTACAGGCATGAGCTACCGAGCCTGGCCTTTTATTGTTGAGTTTTAAGAGTTGCCTATTTTGGATATGGGTCCTTTATCAGCTCTTGTTTCATAAATATTTTCCCCTATCTGTGGCTTGTCTTGTTAACCTCTTAACCTAAAGGTTTTCTGGCACATGGTGATTGGGGAAAAGTGTCTGATGTTGTTCCTCTGAAAACTTTGGTAACCTTGGGCAAATCACTGAAGCTCACTGTACTTAGGAGTAAACCAGGCAAAACTCACAGACAGATTGTAATGACTAGACACTACAAATAAATACCCATACACATGATCACATGGATACATGTGAGCTTGTAGTGCCCAGCACAATACTGACACATGGCAGATGCTCAATACTGCTCCCAAGCTTTCAAGAACACTCTCTCATCCTGGTGCCAGCAGCACTTCCCAATGACATTTCTCCAGGTTCCTCTTAGGAGGTAACTGATTGCCAAAGAGGAGGCAGAGGAGCTCAAAGTGGACAGTTAGGAAGAAGCATTTCCAGGGCTCTGGGAAAACGGTCACCAAATATACACTCCCTGGGCTGAGGCGTTAAACCTTGAAATGATGAAAAGTCTGTGCTATGCTTCACCGCAACATTTGGACAAACATCTACTGAGGGAACTAAGACAGGTTACTAACTTCAAAAAATGGTCCTTTTGTGCCACAAAAAAAGCAGAAGTGATGGTTAAAATGTATGATTCTTGACTCAAGCCAAGAAGCACATCCTTGCCAATCAGTGTCCATGCCCATGTGCTGCAAGCTAACATATCCAGAGTTGCCTCATTCATTTACGCCCTAGTCAGCACCAACCCCATGCCAGAAGACAATGCTGGGGCCCAGAAAAGTTGAAAATAGGACACTGTCTACAGAAAGCCAATGTTTAGAAGGAAATTATTACATCAACTATTTAAGATAGAGCAATGAGCAATCAGGAAAATGCAAATCAGAACCACAATGACATAACACTTCACCTCCACTAGGATGGTGATAACCAAAAAGACAGATACTAACATGTGTTGGCGAGGACATGGGGAAGTTGGAGCCCTCATACATTGCTGGTGGGAAAGTAAATGGTGCAACTGCTTTGGCAAACAGTCTTGGCAATTCCTTAAGTGATTAAACAGTTACAGATAACCTAGAATTCCACTCTTAGGCAAAGAGCCAAGAGAAATGGAAACATGTGTTCACACAAAAACTTGTACATGAATGTCCACCGCAGTATTATTCACAATAACCAAAAAGAGTCCAGGCACGGTGGCTCATACCTGTAATCCCAGCACTCTGGGAGGCAAGGCAGGTGGATCACTTGAGGCCAGGAGTTCAAGACTAGCTTGGCCAACATAGTGAAACCCTGTCTGTATTAAAAATACAAAACTTAGCCAGGTGTGGTGGTACACGCCTGTAATCCCAGCCACTCAGGAGGCTGAGGCACGAGAATCACTTGAATCCAGGAGGTAGAGGATGCAGTGAACCAAAATCGCACCACTGCCCTCCGGCCTGACCGACACAGTGAGACTGTAGAGAGTAAAGAAAGAAAGAAAAGGAAGGAAGGAAGGAAGGGAGGGAGGGAGGGAGGGAGGGAGGGAGGGAAGAAGAAAAGAAAGGAAAAGAAAAGAAAAGAAAAGGAGAAAAGAAAAGAAAGGAAAGGAAAGGAAAGGAAAGGAAGGAAAGAAAGGAAAGAAAGAAAAGAAAGAAAGGAAAGAAAGAACAAAGAAAATGAAAACAGTAACCAAAAAGAGAGAACTACCTAAATGTCCATCAAGTGATGAATGGATAAACAAAATATGGTCTATCCATGCAATGGAATATTAGTCTTAAAAAGGAATGAAGTGTTGATAATATGCTACAATATGAACGAACCTTATGTTAGGCTAAAGAAGTGAGATGCATCCTGGCTAACACAGCAAAACCCCATCTCTACTAAAAATACAAAAAAAATTAGACAGGCGTGGTGGTGGGCACCTGTAGTCCCAGCTACTCAGGAGGCTGAGGCAGGAGAATGGCATGAACCCATGAGGCAGAGCTTGCAGTGAGCCGAGATCATGCCACTGCACTCCAGCCTGGGCGACAGAGTGAGATTCCGTCTCACAAAAAAAAAAAAAAAAAAAAAGTGAAATGCAAAAAGCCATGTATTGTGAGAAATGTCCAGAATAGGAAACTCTGTAAAGGCAAAAAGTAGATTTGTCATTGCCAGGGATGGGGGAAAGTAAAGTAGAGGTGACTGCTAATGTATAGGATTTGGGGGAAATTATGAAACATTCTAAAACTGATTATGATAATGTTGGTACAACTCTGAATATACTAAAAACCACTTAACAGTATACATTAAGGGGTACATTATAGGGTATACAATGTTTTTATCTCAATAAAAGTATTAATTTCTTTTGCACTTTGGGAGGCTGAGGTGGGTGGATCACCTGAGGTCAGGAGTTCGAGACCAGCCTGATCAAAATGATGAAATGCCGTCCCTACTAAAAATACAAAATCAGCTGGGCGTGGTGGCGCATGCCTGTAATCCCAGCTACTTGGGAGGCTGAGGCATGAGAATTGCTTGAACCTGGGAGGCAGAGGTTGTAGTGAGCTGAGATTGCGCCACTGCACTCCAGCCCGGCGACAAGAGTGAAACTCCACTCAGTCTCAAAACAAAAACAAAAAAAGAAAGAAAACAAATCTATAGGTTCCTCATCAAGAGAAGGTGGTAGGTCAAGGTAGCAGTTACACATTCAATATCACATATCTACTAAGCATCTACTGGGAACACTTGGTAGCAAAAGCTGGAAGTACAGACATGAATAAGACTGTACCCACCTGAGGCCGGGCGCGGTGGCTCACGCCTGTAATCCCAGCACTTTGGGAGGCCGAGGCGGGTGGATCACGAGGTCAGGAGATCGAGACCATCCTGGCTAACACGGTGAAACCCCATCTCTACTAAAAATACAAAAAATTAGCTGGGCGCGGTGGCGGGCGCCTGTAATCCCAACTACTGTGGAGGCTGAGGCAAGAGAATGGTGTGAACCCGGGAGGCGGAGCTTGCAGTGAGCCAAGATAGCGCCACTGCACTCTGGCCTGGGCGAAAGAGCGAGATCCGTCTCAAAAAAAAAAAAAAAAAAAAAAAAAAAAAAAAAAAAAAGACTGTACTCACCTGAAGGAGCTAACTTCTAGTTTTTTCATTCCAGACAGAATGTTGGTGGGCACCTCTGCACAGCCACAGATTTTTTGGAAGCCATTTCAAAATGAAATGTTGGCCAGGTGTGATGGCTGATGCCTGTAATCCCAACACTTTGGGAGGCTGAGGTGGGTGGATCACTTGTGGTCAGGAGTTCGAGACCAGCCTGACCAACATAGTGAAACCCCGTCTCTACTAAAAGTACAAAAATTAACCAGGCGTGGTGGTGTACAACTGTAATCCCAGCTACTGGGGAAGCTGAAGCAAGAGAATCGCTTGAACCCTGGAGGCGGAGGTTGCAGTGAGCTGAGATTGTGCCACTGCACTCCAGCCTGGGTGACAAAGCAAGACACCACCTCAAGAAAAAAAAAATTAAAGAAAATAAAAAACAACTATCTAATATCGAAAAAATGGGAGATAGGTTTTTAAAAAATAAGGTAGAATCCTATAGTAATTTCAAACAATAGCGAAGACGTGTTTGCTGGAATCGGGAGTATCATGATTGGAAACAACCTAAATGTCCAGCATTGACAGGACAGATCAATCTATCGTGCTGTACTGTTGAGTGAAATTGCTCATGGATGTTAAAATAAAGCTACATCAACATGGAAAATCTTCACAAGGTCAAGCAAAAACATGCAAGTTGCTTGAGGGATACACACCACGCAGTGTCTTTTATGTAAAGACCTGCAAAACATATTATATGTTAATCATGGATGAAAATTTTTGAAATGGGAATTATAATTATTAAATCATGATACTGATTTCTCTAGGGAGGGAAGGGTACTTATGAGAACTTAACTATATTTTATTTCTTAAAAACAAAAAAGATCCAAAGCAAACATCACAACTCATCTAAGTTGGTTGCGGGGTTGGGGGTTATTTATTCTCAATCGCTACGCTACTGAATTCCCACATGCATAATAGCTTTACTCAAATTGATTATCTTGCAGCTCTGGAGACGAGCAAAAGTCATGAGTCTCATGGGGCTAAAATCAAGGCATCACTGGGACAAGCTTTCTCCAGACCCTCTAGGGGAGAATGAGTTCCTTTGCCTTTTCCAGCTTGCACAAGCCACCTGCATTCCTTGATTCATGGCCCCTTCCTCCATCTTCAGAGCCAGCTGGTGCCATCTTCCAGTCTCACTCTGACTCTGACCCTCCTGCCTCCCTCCTGCAAGGACCTTTGTGATTTCATCATATCCACCCAGATAATCCAGGATCATCTCCCCATCTCAAGATCTGTTCAATCTGCAAGGAGCATTTTGCCGTATAGAGTAATATATTCACAGGCTCCAGGGATTAAGACAAGGGCATCTTGGGAGCAGAGAGCGTTTATTCTGCCTATCATAGAGGGTTGGAAATAACAATAATAATAATAATAATAATAATAGCAATAGTATCACAATAGCGAAGATAGGGAATCAACCCAAATGCCCATCAACAATAGACTGGATAAAGAAAATATGGTACATATACACCATGGAATACTATGCAGCCATAAAACGGAACGAGATCGTGTCCTTCGCAGGGACATAGATGAAGCTGGAAGCCATCATCCTCAGCAAACTAACACGGGAACAGAAAACCAAACACTGCATGTTCTCAATCATAAGTGGGAGCTGATCAATGAGAACACATGGACACAGGGAGGAGAACAACACACACCAGGGCCTGTTGGGGAGCAGGGTAAGGATGGAGGAGAGCATCAGAATAAATAGCTAATACATGCAGGGCTTAATATCTAGGTGATGAGCTGATAGGTGCAGCAAGCCACGATGGCAAACGCTTACCTATGTATCCCACACATTCTGCACATGTATCCCAGAACTTACAATAAAAGTAAATTTAAACAATAATAATAGCAATAGTAGCTCTTATAGAGTGCTTGGGATATTTGCCAGGTACTATGATACCCAAAGTATGATACATAATTAACTCCCCTAATCCTCATGAGAGTCCAGTGTAATAGGTACCATTATTATCCTATTTTACAGATGAGTGCAATGAAAAGTTAAGTAACTTGTCCATGGCCACAAATGGGATAAGTGGCATAGCCAAGATCTGAACCCAGGCAGTCAGACCCTGGATCCCTTGCTCTTGAGTATGTGGGGTCTGTCATATTATTTTTTAAACCAACATCGACATTTAAAATAGTTAATAACAGGCTGGGCTCAGTGGTTCACACCTGTAATCCCAGCACTTTAGGAGGCCAAGGTGGGAGGATCACGAGGTCAGGAGATCGAGACCATCCTGGCTAACACGGTGAAACCCCATCTCCACTAAAAATACAAAAAAATTAGCCAAGTGTGGTGGCGGGCGCCTGTAGTCCCAGCTACTCGGGAGGTTGAGGCAGGAGAATGGTGTGAACCTGGGAGGCGGAGCTTGCAGTGAGCCAAGATGGTGCCATTGCACCTGGGCAATAGAGCGAGACTCTGTCTCAAAAAAAAAAAAAAAAAATTAATAACAGGCCAGGCTCAGTGGCTTGCACCTGTAATCCCAGCACTTTGGGAGGCCAAGATGGGAGGATCTCTTGAGGCCAGGAGTTCAAGGCTACAGTGACCTATGGTCACACCACTGCACACCAACCTGGGTGACAGAGCAAGACCCTGCCTCAAAAAATTAATTAATTCATTAACTAAAATAAATTAGTTAATAATACTAACATGGTCACAAAGTAGTACAAAATGAAAAAGGCAGATTACTAAAGTACATTACAAAAGGGTCGCATGTTGTGAAAATGTCTTGTGAATAAAGTTTTGTTGGACAAAAAGATTTGGAAGGTGGTACACCAGGTGTTAACACCATCTCTCTGGGTAGGGGGGTGGCGGGGGCTAAGGGGTTGTTTTTCTCACCCAGAAGTAGGTTAAAATGTGTCTACCAATGAACACATAGTACTTCTATAATGAGGGGGAAAAAGCAGTTGTTTTAATTAGGAGAAATATGCAAGGCCAGAGGGAAGCAGCTCAGAGCTGTCTAAACAGGAAACTGGCGTAACGTTCACTCTGCGCCACGCTGGGCTTGGGCCCTTCTTGCCTCCCCAGGGACACGGGCCCTCCTTCAGTCATGCTACTACCTGGTGTAGGGGCTTTTCCCACTGGTGGAGGCTGGTGGCAGGCCAGGGACATCCTGGAGTGGCTGGTAGTGCTGGGGAGAGAGACACCTGGCCGGTGAAATCCAGCCGAAGCAGGAGCAGAGAAGACGCAGTGGGATCCCTGAAGTCCTGAGGCCGGGGAGGCCAGCCCCTCCTCCACCTCTTCTGAGCTCTGCGGGGTCTCCTCTTCCTGCTGCACATGCTCTCACCATGCCTTGCCTAATTTTGCTAGTTTCCATTCTACAAATTAGTAAGTTCCCATTTCCTTCTTTCTCAAAACAGAATCCTTCACACACACAGATACTTCACCTCCCAAAACTCACGCCTACCCCTGGCCTCCAGCACAACTTGTATAGATGAAAGCAGCACCTTACAGCTTCTTCCCAACAGCCCTGTGACAGTGGAGTGGCCCCCAGGCTGTGATGTGGTATCATCACTGTTTCTATTTCCAGAACTTCACCTTCACCCTGTCGACGCTCCTTCTCCAAGCCCAGGCCTCCCCAGCCTCCCAGAAGCACTGGGCTGCTTTTATATCCAGGCTCAGGTCCAAGAGCACTTAACCCCAGAGGACCCCTAGCTGTGTGCTACAGAAGAGCAGGAGGAGGACACCCCCTACACATGCGAGCTATGTCTCAGCCTGTCCCATGTCCCCCACGCAAACACAAATGCAGGCACCTGCTGCCTGAGGAGACATATGGCAGCATGGCTGGGAGGCACCCTGTGTTAAGTACATACTGGACTTGTGACAATCACTTACAAACTGAATCCTCCCAGTGATCTGATGGGGTAAGCTCCACTATTACCCCATCTTATAGATAAGAAAACTGAGACTCAGGCCAGGCGCGGTGACTCACACCTGTAATCCCAACACTTTGGGAGGCCAATGCAGGCAGATCACTTGAGGTCAGAAGTTCAAGGCCAGCCTGGTCAACATGGTGGAACCCCATCTCTACTAAAAATACAAAAATTAGCCAGGTGAGGTGGAGGGTACCTGTAATCCCAGCTACTCAGGAGGCTGAGGCAGAATAATTGCTTGAACCCGGGAGGCAGAGGTTGCAGTGAACTGAAATTGTGCCGCTGCACTTCAGCCTGGGGACAGAGTGAGACTCCATCTCAAAAAAAAAAAAGACAAGAAAAAAGAAAACTGAGACTCAAAGAGGCCAAGTAGATTGCCTAAGGTCACACAGTCACTAAGTGCCAGGACCACGAGTGGAACCACGGTGTATGGTTAAAGAGGAAGTTGTCACAGAGGTGCCCTATCTCAACCCCAGATACTGCTGCCATGGTTAGGAAGAAACCGGAAGTCCGAGGCTGAAAGGGGCAGCCAGGGCCTTTTCCTGATTCATCTGTTAACCAGGTATCTGAGGAGCACCAGCCACAGGCCAGATATGGGCCAGGTGCTGGGAAGTCCCCCTTATGAACAGAACAGACAGGGTCCCTGGCCTCCCAGCACTCTTAGTCTGTGGGTCAGGACTACCGAAGGCCTGGCCCCAAGATCGGGCCTTGCATGAAAGCAGGAAAAGTCAACCCCAGGATTTCTGATTTCAACCCCAAACTGCACAGCACCTAAATCTCTCCCAAGACAAATCAAGACACATAATTTTGCGAGCCTGATATACAAAAACCCGCATTTATATCTAAGACAGACTAGGGGACAGGTAGTGGAGATAATTTTTTTTTTTTCAAAAATGATTCACCAAGGGACATCTTTAACTAGATCCCTCCCCCAACTCAGCACAATCCCTAAGACGTTGGACCTGCACTGACTTGTCAGGAACTCCAAATATACCTGCATTCCCAGAACTTGGTGCTATTTTGAGGGACAAATGCTGCCTCCCTCGTTTACCCACTACACTGTATTCCCTCTTACACCCTCAGGGCCCAGGCCAGAACCAACGCAGCTAGAAAATAACATGACACGTGGAAGAAAGCAACGCCTCTTAAATTCCGTTATGACAAACCACAACCCATCCATAGTATCAGTGGCTGAATGGGTAGGTCAATCCCTGTACTCACCCCGTTGCCCTCAGGCCCCTGTTACATGAGAGTGTATTTGTGTGTTAGGCCTGCCACTCATGAAATACCAAAAATTGGATGGCCGAAACAACAGAAGTTTGTCTCACAGTTCTGGAGACCAGAAGTCCAAAATCAAAGTGTTGGCGAGGCTGGTTCCTCCTGAGGGAGCACCCCTGGTGTTCCTTAGCTTGCAGATGCATGACTCAGATTTCTGTATCTGTCTTCACATGGCCTTCTCTCCCTGTGTCTCTCTCTCCTCTTCTCATAAGGAAACCAGTCATATTGGATTAGGGCCCACTCTATTCCATTATGATTTCATCTCAACTAATTACATCTGCAAAGACCCTCTTTCCAAATAAGATCACATTCTGAGTATGGGGATTAGGACCTTGACATATGAAATTGGTAAGGACAATTCAATCCGTAACAGGCACCCACCACTGCCCACAGCCCGGGAGCCAGACGATGTCCTCTTACAGGAGACCACCTCCAATCCACCCCTATGCCCAGGAAAGGCTGGCCGTGCCAAAGGATACTGATCTCCAAAGCAGCCTGCTCATGTGTGCTGGCTTTAAAAGGCATGGCCCATAGGAGGCCTCTCTCTCAGGGGTCCATCCTTGGGAGGTTGCAAAACCAAAGCTGTCACTGATGTGGCAGCAACAGAAAAAGCCAAGGTTTGGAGACAGTCTGTGCTGGGGAGGGGAGGGCCACATCTGTGAGAGAAACCCAAGAGGGCAGATGAGGCTGTCTAAGAGACATCACCATCAGCAGCTCTAGTTACAGACAGGAAAGTCCTCAGTGCCAGTGGCTCACCACTTCCCTTTCCATGCAGCCCAGCGATGAGACTGTTCATTCTCCTGGATTCCTACAAGACTCCCAAACCCTTACCATCAACCTGCTTATCAGCCTTCACTGGGGCACCTAGAGCTGCCTCTGTACCCTCCAAAATTAGGGGTTACAGAAAAGCCTGGAAGGATGCCCCCCAACTTAGGCCCTGTTCTTCTAGCATGCGGCTAGGGCATGTTTCCCAGCATCCCTTGCACTTGGTCACATGCCAAATTCTGTTCAATAGAAGGTGGGAGGGGGCCGGGCACAGTGGCCCATGCCTGTGATCCCAGCTCTTTGGGAGGCCAAAGCAGGAGGATCACTTGATCCGAGGAGTTCAAGGCTGCAGTGAGCTGTGATCACACCACTGTACTCCAGCCTGGGCAATAAGCAAGACCCCATCTCTTGGGGAGAAAAAAAAAAAGCAGGTGGGAGGAAACAGGTACATCCACTTCAGGTATGGCCCATAGAAACCTCCAACCTCCTGAGCCATCCTCTGCTCTTCCTCTTCCTCCATGCAGTGGTCACACAAAGGATCCTGCGGTAGCCTCCAACACCTTTGGAGATGATAGCACAGAGTCCCATTGTGATCAGACAGCAGAGTCCCACCCCCAATCCCACTGGATCATGATTTGAGTGAGTGAGAGATAAACTTACAGGAAGAAATAACTTGTTACTGCAATTAGGCTACCTTCACTAATAGGAAAGCTTTGTTGCTATGCCCTATGCCAGAATGCTCTCCCCACAGAGCTTCCCATGGCTCCCTCCTTCTCACCCTTCAAGTCTCAGCTCAAACATCACCTCTACAGAGAGGCCACCCTGAGGCCTTCCCCAGCTAGGCTAGTGCTCCTGACTAATGACTCCTTATTACAGTACCCTGTTCCTTTCCTTCCTAGCGTCTATCACGATCCAACATGATTGAATGTGTTAGTCTGACTTTTTCTGCTTTTCCTACAAGATTGTAAGATCCTCTAGAGATCTTCAGGGTCCTGTTCACTACTTTATCCCCAGTGACAAGCACATTGCCCAACACACATCAGGTCCTCTTTGAGTATTTGCTAAATCAACAAAGGAACAAATTCTAAGAACATTCTAAGGTTGTCATCCAGGATAGAAGACAACTCTTGAAAACAAGACAAGCAATTCCTCAGCTATTCAGCATAAGAGAAGGGCTATAGCACCATCAAGAATAAAAATGTCAACTCTACTTTTCACACTGGCATGCTCCAAAGTGGAGGACACATACTCCAGGGGGAGCAGGACAATCCATCGGGTGCAGGAAGGAAAATCCTCATATAAATGGAAAATGTAGTATTTATCCCATCCTTTCTACAATGCCATCTTGCCTTTATGCTGGATGATGATAATGATGACATCAACGACAGCAAGAGCAAAAAATACTTAAGCACATCCTCTGTGCCAGATACTATTGAAGGATTTTACATATATCACGTCATTTACTTATCACAAGAGTCTTATGGGGTGTGTTCTTCAACTATTCTCATTTTATAGATAAGGAAATGGAGGCCCAAAGAGGTGACATGAGAGACCCAAGGTCACACCCCTACCAAGTGCAGGACCAGGATTTGACAGCCCTTCTTTATACCATCACCGCATACCAGTAACTGAAAGGCAAATACATTTATGGACACTTCAGGCATTGGTTGCGTCTTATTTCTGATGAGACGCTTCATTGCAGGGGCTTGGGGACCACCCTCAGACAATGGATTTCTTCTTAGGAGATGCCAGCGAGAAAATAATTCATTTATTATTATTATTAATAGTAATTTCACATTTATTTCAAAAACATTTTGATAAAATAATAACTTTCAAAAATATTCATTTTTTCCATGAAAAGAAGTCCAAGAGTGGATTTCAGGATGAGCCAAAATACAGTAAACTCTCACTTCGGCACCCTTGTCCCCAACAGCCCTTTTCCAGGCTGTGTTTGTGGTCTTTTCCTAGCATCTCCCCACAAATCCGGCGCCTCTAGGATGAGCACTGAGTCTCCTTTCTCTTGGTACCTCCAGCACCTGGCAGAGCAAGTCCTCTGCACACGTAAGGAATTCATGTGTTTCTGTCCTGCTGTCACAAAGAAACTCTAAATGAAGCTGCCATTCTTTGGTCTCAGGCAGGGTGTTTATGACACACAGATCTGATACGTCTTTGAGATCATTTAGGAGAAGAAAACAACACAGAGCAGGAAGAAGACTTGAGACTGAAACTGGGAAGAACAAGTTCAAATTGTAGCTCTGCCCTTTCCTTAACTTGGGCATGTCATCTCATCTCCCCAAGACTCAATCTCTTTATGAATAAAGCAGGGATAGCTCCCCCTTCACTGGACCACTGCGGGGATTAAGGAGTTATCTTTGATGTGCCTTCACAGAGACTAGGACACAGTGAGCATTCATTAGAAGAGGCTCTCATCAACGGTATCACTATTATCATTATTAAGTGGGAACCCCAAGAACCTAATACCAAGGAAACAGACAGCTCATATGTTTGAGAATCCGTCACTCATGGGCAGCCACCACTTGCCACAAATAAGCAGACAGAGAAGATATGCCTAAGCAAAAGTGAAAATGTCAGGATAAAAAGCCTACACAGTTGAGATGGACGCATCCAGGCCCTCAAAAGGGCCCATCACCACAGCCGACCCTAAAATTCCAGACCCACAAACAGGTGGCACCACATCGGCTCCTGAGACAAAATCCAAGCCTTTCAAATGCACAAGATGCAAGAGGACACCTAAGGCTCAACTCAGAAAGGCCCCAGAGCAGACCCCTTCCCACCTGAAGACTGCTCAACTAGGTCCCTCAGAAAGGAAAGAAAACCAACATGCCCAACAGTACCACAAGCTCCCTCCCGACATTCACAGACAACCAGCTCCTTAACTCTATGCAGAAGGCTGGGGATGGAAGGAATCCCAGCACCATCTTATCCAACACCCCTGGAAAGCAATAGGGAACCTGGAGGCCAGGAAGTGAGGTGTTGTGCTTCAGACTCAGTCTTCTCTGCCAGAGGCCAGGCCTTGGGGGTCCTCACCAGGGGGCCTTTTTTCTTTCTGGTCTTATTGTATTAAGTTTCGATTATGCAATATTTCCCACATCTTAAAAAGAACATAAAATAAAATCCATTTAATTCTCACCCAATAAGATAGAAACTACTATTATCTCACTTGACAGATATGGAAACTGAGGCACAGAAATATAACAAAAGAATTAGCTTCCAGTCACACTTCTAGTAAGTGGCTGATATGGTCTGGCTCTCTCCCCACCCAAATCTCATCTTAAATTGTCGTTCCCATAATCCTCATGTGTCATAGGAGGGACCCAGTGGGAGGTAATTGAATCATAGGGCCGGTTACCTCCATGCTGTTCTCGTGATAGTGAGTAAATTCTCATGAGGGCTGATAGTTTTACAAGAGGCTTCCCCCTTCACTCAGCTCTCCTTCTCCTTGCTGCCACCATGTGAAGAAGGCTTCTCCTTCCACCATGATTGTAAGTTTCCTGAGGCCTCCCCAGCCATATTGTGTGTGAGTCAATTAAACCTCTTTCCTTTATAAATTACTCAGTCTTGGGTTTTGTTTGCTTGTTTTTGTTTTGTTTTGTCTTTTTTTTTTTTTTTTTTTTTTTTTTTTTTTGAGACAGAGCCTTGCTCTGTCACCCAGGCTGGAGTGCAGTGGAGTGATCTCGGCTCACTGCAGCCTCCGCCTTGCACATTCAAGCAATTCTGTGCCTCAGCCTCCCAAGTAGCTGGGACTACAGGCATGTGCCACTACACCCAGCCAATTTTAATATTTTTAGTAGAGATGGGGCTTCGCCATGTTGGCTAGGCTGGTCTCGAACTCCTGACCCCAGGTGGTCCATTTGCCTTGGCCTCCCAAAGTCCTGGGATTACAGGTGTGAGCCACTGTGCCCAGGCTGGAGTATGTCTTTATTAGCACCATAAGAATGGACTAATACAGTGGCAGAGCAGGGATTTGCATCATAAATTGGGATTCAGAGTCGACATGCTCATGTGGGAGCTTGGCTGCTGGTGGCCACCATCAGTTCCTGCCTACCATCGATATGCATGCCATTCCTTCTCTAAGAGAGAAATTTCCTTTCCTTGAAGCTGAGCTGGGCTTGCTGATCTGAGTTGGTGCAAGTGATGTCCTCGGATTTATGAGGCTGTCGTAAGAAGCCTGTAGCTTCTGCCTGGGACTCTTCTGCCTGAGACCACCACATGGTAGATGTTTGGTCAACAGTCCCAGCTAAGGCTGGGTGCAGTGGTTCATGCCTGTAATCCCAGCACTTTGGGAGGCCAGGGTGGGCAGATCACGAGAGGTCAGGAGCTCAAGACCAGCCTGGCCAACATGGTGAAAGCCCATCTCTACTAAAAATACAAAAATTAGCTGCATGTGATGGTACCCACCTGTAATCCCAGCTACTCGGGGGGCTGAGGTGGGAGAATAGCTTGAACCCAGGAGGCAAAGGTTGCAGTGAGCCGAGGCTGCACCATTGCACTCCAGCCTGGGTGACAGAGATTCCGTCTGAAAAACAAACAAACAAAAAATAATCCCAGCTAAGCTCAGTCTTCCAGCCATCACCACTAAGGTATCAGATGTGTGAGTGAAGATTCTGGAACCTTCCAGGCGAGGTGACACCAAATGACCTCAGTCCAGGCTACAAAGAGTAGAAGAATTGCCCAGCTGAGCTCTGCCCAGATCTATGACCCACAAATCTGCTTGTTTATATTACATGACACCCATTAATCCCACAGGATCAGGGCAGCCATCCCTGCTAACCATCTAGCAAATCTCTCTAAACTCCACCCAAGCAGCTCCTCCACAATGAGCCCTCCCCATTCCTCACCACCTCCCCCACATCCAAATGGACAAAAACCTTCCCTCCTCACACCACATCCAGTGAAAACTCCTGCTATGGTACTAAGCACACAATCTTGCAAGGGCAAGTTTGAGTCTGTCTCCCCCTCTTGCAAGCTGGGACTCCATCCTCCTCCTCCCTCTCTCTGCAGAGTTTAGCACTCAATATGATGGCAAACATGTGCTGAACAAATGAGAAAATTCCATCCAAACAGGGTTCAGAGCAAAACCCTATTTTACCCAGTGACATTTTATTGCTGTGAGCAAAGCAAACACATGACTCTAGAGCAGTTTCTCAACCCCTGCACCACTGACACGTTTGCTGGATCACTCTCTGTGGTGCGGACTGTCCTGTGCACTACAGAACATTTAACAGCCTCTCTGGCCTCTACACACTAGATGCCAGTAGCACCCTGTATCCCAGGTGAGAAAATCAACACGTCTCCAGACTTTGCCAAATGCCCCCTACCCTGGAGTAGGGAGGGAGAGGCAAAAATCACCCTGGTTGAGAACCACACGCTGCTTTAGACAGTAGGACCTAGGTATTTTACCCAGGTCTGCACAGGGATTGTAACACCTGTCCAAAAGTCACACACCATTTGCCAACTATTCCAAAACCAGGTGCCGGTGCTCCTCTCATGTGCACCTGCCCCTGCAGACCCCACAGTAACCAGCAAGTTCCTGCTAACCAGAACCCCGTGAGGAAATTGCCAGAGCTGGGAGTTCTTCTTGAGATAAAACGTCACCCTTCTCAGCAGGAGACTGAGCGGTGACACTGACAGTCCCCACCCAGGGCCTGAAGGCCTGCTCTCTCAAGGTGTGAGGGAGAAGCACCATTTCTAAGCTCTTCACACATAATTGGCTTTCCCTGTCACTTTACCAACACCATCATTGCAAACAGGACCTCCACTGCATGCTCAAAGATGCAAATCCAATCACGTCATCCCTCTTCTGAAAACCTGAGAATGGACCCTACTCCCCTCCAGTCCAAACCCCTAAGGAAGACTACATAGGCTGGACTCCACTAGTTAGCAACAACAGCAAACATCCTGAAAGTGGTGGTTCCCAACAACTGAGTGCCTGTCACACACTATGAATTCAGCCGAGCCTCTCCAATGCATCTTCTCATTTGCTTCTTCCCAACCATGAGCCTGTGGGGTAGACACCAATGTTATTTCCAGTCCACAGATAAGGGAATTAAAGTTCAGAGAGTGGAGGTAACTTGCCCAAGATCACACAGCAAAGCTCATCCAAGGGCACTGGAAGTCAAGCCCCAGACTGCTCATACCTAATAAAGCAATATAGGCTCCACGGAGATTTGAATCCAATTTAATAACTGCTGTATCTCTAGCGCCTAGGGCGGCGCCTACAGTGGGCATCCAAATGACAGAGGGGAGGCAATGGAGGGGGGGCAAAGGTGGGAAGGGAAGGAGAAAGAAAGGGAAAGTGGGAGGGAGAAGAGGAGGGAGAGGAGGGGGAAGGTGGAGGAAGGGCAGTGTCTCTCCAGTGGCATATGTGTGAAACCTGCCTAGTTACCAGACCATCCGGGGGACTTATTATAATAATACGCCCCAGCCAAAGTGGTGAAATATCATCATTCTTGGTCTCTCCAGGGAGAAAGAAGAAGGAAATAAAGAGGCTGAACAGATAAATAAAAGAATGAATTGAGGCCGGGCATGGTAGTTCCTGTCTGTAATCCCAGCACTTTCGGAGACCAAGGTGGGAGGATCACTTGAGGCCAGGAGTTGGAGACCAGCCTCGGCAACATAGCAAGACCCTATCTACACAAAAGTTAAAAAATCAGCCAGGCATGGTGGCACTCACCTGTAGTCTCAGCTACTTGGGAGACTGGGCAGGAGGATCACTTGAGCCCAGGAGTTCACAACTATAGTGAACCATGATCAGGCCATTGCTCTCTAGCCTGGGCAACAGAGCAAGACCCTGTCTCTAAAACAGAGAGCGAGAGAGCGCATCCGCGTAAGCGAGTGAAATGGTATTACTCAGCAGAAGGGGAGAATGACAGGGCATAGATTTCAAGCCAAAATCCTGTCTCATGCCCATCACAATGAGCTTCAGAAGAAGGTTCTAATACCCTGTAATTTCTTTTTTGTATATATTTATTTTATTTTATTTTACTTTAAGTTCCGGGATACATGTGAAGAGCATGCAGGTTTGTTACACAGGTGTATACACATGCCATGGTTAATACCCTATACTTACAAGATCCCCCCTGGGTGTTTCTGATGGGCAGCTAGGTTTGGGATGGGCAGGTTGAGAAGAGAAAGGAACAACCTGCAGTCCAGTCTCAACGTGGCCCATCTGTATTTACCATCAGTGCCAACCCTCTCACCCCTTGTGGGGGAAGGGAGGGTGGCCACCCCAGCTGCAACAGGTTTCTGGGCCACCTGGGGGTGGAGCCGGCCAATGCAAACAGTCAAGAGGGAAGATGGCCACCTCCACATGGGCAGTTCCAAAGCAGGGCTCTGGCTCTGTGCCACAAGAGACCCACTGGGCTCCAAAACCAGGAAAAGCCTTTCAGAAAGCAGTTTGATCACACTCATGATAGGATACATCAAATTAAGGATGACACCAAGCTACCAAAGTCTACCTGTGGATGGCCAAGTTCAGCAGCCACGCAGCATAGATGAGGGTTCAGGCAACAGGTACTTTTACATCCTGTGGCTGAAACAGACAGTGGGGGCAACCTCTTTTGTGGGGTGCTGCCAAACTTCCCTTTAAAGTTAAAATATGCCATACCCCCATCCTGCCTAACACAGTGAGACCCCGTCTCTACTAAAAATACAAAAAATTAGCCGGGCGTGGTGGCGGGCGCCTGTAGTCCCAGCTACTCGGGAGGCTGAGGCAGGAGAATGGCATGAATCCGGGAGGCGGAGCTTGCAGTGAGCTGACATTGTACTACTGCACTCCAGCCTGGGCAACAGAGCGAGACTCTGTCTATTAAAATATATATATGCCATATCCTTCAGCTCAGAAATAAACCTTCAGGAAGCTGTCCTTCAGATATACCCATATATACAAATGAAGAATAATGCAACGATCACCCTTTTCTACCACTGGAAGGAATATAAATGGTGCAGCCACTTTAGAAAACAGTCTGACAGTTCCTAAAATGATGAAACTGAGTTAGTGTATGACCCAGCAATTCCACTCCTAGGTATATACCCAAAACAAATAAAAACAGACATCCACACAAAAACTTGTAGAGAAACATTCTTAGCAGCACTATTTATATTAGCCAAAAGGTGGCAACAACCCAAGGGTCCGTCAACAGATGACTGAATAAACTGTGGAATACCCATACAACGTATCGTGATTCTGCCACAAAAAGGAAAATTTCTGATCCACGCAACAAAGTGGATGAACCTTGAAAAATGCTGAGTCAAAGAAGCCAGTCACAAAAGCCCACATACATAGGATCCATTTCTATGAAATGTCCAGAATAGAGAGGTTTATAGAAACAGAATTAAATTTAACGGTTGCTTACGTCTGGTAGGGGGGATGAGGGGATGGGGTGATGGTGAAAGGTATGGGGTTTCATCTTGAGGTGATATAAAGGTTCTACTTTTGATTGGAGTGGTGCTTGCACATTTATATAAATATACTAAAACCACCACACTATACATGCTGCATACAATGGGTGAATTCTATGTATACTATGTGAATTATGTCTCAATCAATCTATTATAAAAAAAAAAAAAAAGAGTGCAAGGCTGGGTGAGGTGGCTCATGCCTGTAATCCCAATGCTTTGGGAGGCCAAGGAGGGAGGATCACTTGAGCACAGGAATTGGAGACAAGCCTGGACATAGTGAGATCCCATCTCTACAAAAAAAAAAAAAAAAAATTAAATTATCCAGGCATGGCGGTGCATTCCCATGGTCCCAGCTACTTGGGAGACTGAGGCAGGAAGATCACTTGAGCCCAGGGGGCTGAGGCTGCAGTGAGCCATGATCATGCCATTGCACTCCAGCCTGGGTAAAAGAAAGAGACCTTGTCTCAAAAAAATTAATTTTGTTTTAAAAAAAAAAGAGTACAATGATAGTCACTTCGAATAATAACAAAAGCCTGGAAATAGCATGAAATGCCCTTCTCTGGAGTTAAACTGTTACATTGAGGCCTGTGCCATTACATGTCATGTGTCCAAGAAAGAATGAGATCAATGTGTGCTGATAAGAAACCACCGCCAACATCATTATTAATTAACAAAAAGAAGTCAAGGTGCAGAAGTGTACAAGAGTTCCCAATTGTTTTCTTTTTAAACCCACACATTATGCAAGCATAGACTATTTTGGAAGATAAAAGTAACTGGTAATGAGCTTGCCTCAGTAGGATGGTTTAGGGAGGAGAAATATTTGAGTTGACTCCTTAACCCCCAGGAATATATATTTCAATTAAAAACTAGTTAATTTAAAAACACAAATTAGAGCAAATATTTGCAACTGAAAATTGCTTAAGTGCCTTTACTCTATTTGTTAAAAACAGTCTTAGAAACTTTAGGATCTGAACCAGCTGCCCAATCAAACGGAGGTAGGGGAGGAGGGACACCTCTACCAAGACCAGACCTGCATTTGAAAGCTACAAAACGTTCAACAACTCACTCTCCCTGCTTGGAGACTAAAGCAAAGGCCCCTCACTGCTATGGTATGCAGTAAAACAAGGTAGCATTTGGCGACCAAGCTATGAGTTTCTGCAGGCTTGGGCTAATTCGCCCTTAAGAGGAAAGATGACTCGACCAGTTGTGGGAACCAGACGATCCCTGATGCTGTCAGACAGGGCACAGAACCACCAGGCAAGGAGAGCTGCCTGAATGCCATTTCCATGTTGGCTGACCTCAGCTTCAGTTCTTTCACCAGAGTTTTCCCAGCTGAACTTCCTCCACCTGGTGTAAACCTCATCAGAGATCCACACAAACTGGCAATGCTTTCATTTTAAGACGAATAAAAGAACACATCAAACCAACAACAATCACAGTAATGACAAGACAGGAAGGTGGACAGGTGCTCAGGCCAGGGCCCCAGAGGACGGGCCACACTGCCCCACCCAGCGAGTACTCACAGAAGCCCTCGATCTTGTCAGCGGTCTTGCTCCAGGCCACCTGCCGCGTCTCCATGATCACCTGGACGGTTCTCCGCTCGGGGGTGGACTTGCGGAAGCTGAACACAGTCATCACCGTCCCCAGCTCCAGGGCTCTCTTGATCTGGCTCTTCTCATATTCCGCAAGGGAATCTACATTGACCGTGGTGGACATTGTCGGCCGCTCCAGGGAGAAGGAAGGAATCGGGAGAAATCAGGAAGCTGAAAGGGCAGAATTAAAGAGTGAACTGATTTTAGTACTGAAAGGGGTTTAGTTAACAGGGCATGAACTTCAGGAACCAAAATCCTGTCTCATGTCAATCAGGATGAGTTTTAGGAGAAGGTTCTAGTGGCAAGGCATCGCTGGCCACTCAGAGAGCTAAGGCAGGACACAAAGGTTTAAATGGAAACTGAAGTGTGAGAAGAGCCCCTGACCTCAAGGACCCAACCGTTACGTGGGCTTTGAATAACCAAATCACCCTGACCTGGCAGTGAGTCCCCTCTCTCCCCACCCACTCTTATCCTAAAGAATATTTGAATAGCCAAAGCAGCCCAGCCTGGCTCCCACCTCTCACCCCTAATCTCCAACATCCTTCTCTATCCTGTCTAGAGATTTCTAACCATCTCTTTATTCCTGAGCAAAATTAAGAACAAAAAAAAAAAAAAAATGAAATAAACGAAAAACAAACTAAACCTTCAGAATCATCCATGGAGACTTTGGCAAATGGTTCCTCTGCATAGAAATGAGGATGAAAGGCAGGAAATGTCAGGTCTTGGCAGCTTCACGTTCAAACCCTAGAGAAGGTTCCTGCTGACTGTGTAGCTCTGGGTAGACTGCTTGACCTCTCTGTGCCTCAGTTTTAGCCTTTTTAAAATGGGAGTGTTCAGAAATGCCCCAGCAAAGCACCTGGGGTGACGGCCAGCACCTAGGAGGTGTCCTTGATTGCTGTTTATGCTTGTGGGTGGTCAGTGTCAGAGAGGTGCTTGGGCCCAAAACCTTGGAGGAATCCTTGCGTGGACTCTCTCACGACCACTTCCAACGCATCTCACCCTTTCACCGGCTCCTCCTAGGATCTCATACTTGAACTATTCTAATCCTGCTCTCCCCACTTCTTCCCTGACCTGCTAGGGTCAATTCTCAGATGCAGAGCCAGAAGGATCCTTTTAGAACATGAATCAAATCATGTCACTCCTCTGCTCAAAATCCCTTAGTCCCTCCCTGAGCCCTCACTCTGTACCATTCCCTCATTCTGCCTCCCAAATCCCCAGAAACACATTGCCTGCCCCCAAAATAGGACTTAGAGTGAAGGCGCTCCCCAGGCCCTGGAGCTGAACCACCAGGGACCCCCTTGCCAGCTAGGCTGCAAGAAGTCACTTAGATCCTCTGGGCTCATTTCCAGTCCCATAAAAGAAGGTAACAGTATCCACCATCTAAATGTTTTTGTAAGGCTTAAACAAGATAATGTATCTCAGGCCCTTAAAACAATGATACAAAGTCAGCACTCCTTAGATTAAGCTATTGTTAAAATTACCATTATTTGTTCTGTTTCTTATCTCCTCCTTTCCCTCCAAGTCCCTGGAGGTGCCTGGAGTTGTTACTCTGTAGCTCTCAAGGTTACAGAGTAGCACTAGAGAGACCCTCCCAGGATCCAAAGAAGGAGGAGTGAGAGGCTGGTGTTCAGCCAGGGCTGTCTGTGCTTCCAGCCGGGCTCAGCCTTCTGCCAAGCTGCTCTAAATCTGTGGCTCGGTTCCCTCATCTGTAAAATGGAGGTTAAATGCCCACAAGGGGCAGCTGGGAAGACAAAAAGCTACAATGTATGCACAGCCTGCAGCATTTACCAGGGTCTCAGTTAGCATTAATCAGCCATTGGGGAAGGCATTAATCAAATGTCAACTCTATGCCAGGCACTGAGGTGGGGACTAGGATGCAAATGAGGGGAATGGGGAGGGGCCCAGGATTTGCCCTTTGCCCCCACCTCCCTCTACTGCACACCCATACCAAAGGGACCTCCTCGGTCAGCCATGCCAGCAGCAGGAGATAATTACACCTGCTCTCTGCCCATGGGGAAACAGACTAATCAACTGAGAATTCTAATGTAGTTACAAGTGCAGCAGCAGAAGCATGCACTGGGGGCACGGCGGGCAGAGAGCAGCAAGAAGGAATCCTAAATTTAATCTGGAGTGTGGCTAGGCACTTAAAGGGCTCAGAAAAAGCTTTCAGGGGAAAAAAGCAGGCATCTGAACTCAATCTTTCAAAAAAGATGAAGCAGGAGGAACTGGCTTTAAGTTTAAGCAAAGGCTAGGAGGCAGAACAGAGTATGCTAAAAAAAAACCCTGCTGAGAGTTAATGTGCATCTTACCTTATCAGGAGAAACCCAAAATGACCTCCTGATCATTAGCCAGGACAAAGGGATGAACAAGGTGCCCCCATGGTCCATTTCATCCTTGTTAAGCAGCCATTTATTGGGCCCTTCCCCAGGTGCCAAGCACCTGTTGTGTCTGGTTCGTCTCATTTATCTCAATGGGAAATACGGCAGCGGAAAACTGAAATCCCAAGAGGTCACATTACTTGATCAAAGTCATGTAGACCAGCAGCAGCACAAAGATCAAAACCCTCACCTGAGTCCCAAGCCCCTAGTCCAGAATCCTGTGGCAGCATCTGGCCAGATATTAACTGATTTGCCAGTACTTGCCACTCTCAAAAGAGGTTAAGGGACTTATCCGAGGTCACACAGATAGAAAGTAGCAAAACGAGTTAATGGGTGCAGCACACCAACATGGCACGTGTATATATATGTAACAAACCTGCACGTTGTGCACATGTACCCTAAAACTTAAAGCATAATAATAATATAATAATAAAATTTTAAAAAAGTAGCTGAAACTGGATTTGACCCAGCTGCCAACCACAGAGCTCTTCACTATGTTGACTGTTCCCAGCCATGCATCCTGGAGTTCCCCACTCCCAGGTCTCTAGGCCATAGTCCACTGGAACATAAGTAGGAAACACAAGCCCCATTATAACACCTTCAATTAGACAGAAACCAGGACAAGGGACCAGGCTCCTCAGTTCTTTCCAGCCCTCACTCTGGGAGGGCCTTGGACTTAACCTTCCCCAGGGTCCCAGTTACTTCCAGCTTCGAAGCCCAGTGGATCAACTCAGCCATAAACACCAGACTTCCATGCTGCGTCTCACCAATTGCTTTGTAATAGCTGCTCACAGGTTGCCCTAAAGGAGCAGGGGTGGAATTTACACTCTCACCTGCAGTGGCTGACACCGTTCCTTTGAAAACACTGTATCCCCTCTGATGCTGCAGGGTGGGTGTAAGGTGCAGCAGTAATGTCCATTCAACTGTTGGAGGGGCCCTTACCACTCAAGTATTTGCCTGTGCCCCATTTTAACAGAATCGTTTTGTGGGATTTTGGATGAAATCCTGTACTGGCTTAACATGCACAGAGCACTGAAGAGAAAAACTTCCTTGATTTCTGGTTTGGGGTTCTTGTATCTCACGAAATGCCCTTCTAAATAAGCTTGTGAGATACAAGAACATGAATGAGCTTATGAGATGCAATTGGAAACAGATCTTCACGGCCAAAAGATCCCTGGAGTCCACCATTCAAATCCTGCCAGCACCCAGCTCAGGTCTCCAGCGTTCCACGCTTTATCAACTATGGCAGGGAGGTCTCCAAGACCTTGAGCCCAGGAGAGAGCACCAGCCACCACAGCAACTTCCATTTTGCTTCTGCTTTTTTTGGTTTTTTCAAAAAAAGAAAAAAAAAAGCCTTGAAATCCCTTTTTTGTTCCTGTTTCCCATTCTTAATGGGTAATTCTATAAAATGACTTATTTTGTAAATACAAATATGGCTGAGTTTGAATAACTGATTTTTGCCATTTTTACATTTCATGTCCTTCTAAAGGTTTTTCTTGTATCTCATAAGCTCATTCATGTTCTTGTATCTCATAAGCTTATTTAGAAAGGCATAAAATGGGCCAGGCACGGTGGCTTATGACTGTAATTCCAGCACTTTGGGAGGCCGAGGTGGGCGGATCATGAGGTCAGGAGATCAAGACCATCCTGGCTAACACGATGAAACCCCGTCTCTACTAAAAAAAAATACAAAACAATTAGCCGGGTGTGGTGGCACATGCCTGTAATCCCAGCTACTCGTGAGGCTGAGGCAGGAGAAAGGCGTGAACCCGGGAGGCGGAGCTTGCAGTGAGCCGAGATCGCGCCACTGCACTCCAGCCTGGGCGACAGAGCAAGACTCCGTCTCGGGGGCGGGCGGGGGGGGGGGGGGAAAGGACATGAAATGAGATGCGAGGACCCAAAACCAGAAATCAAGGAAGTTTTTGTCTCTTCAGTGCTCTGTGCATGGTAAGCCAGTACAGGATTTCATCCAAAAATCCCACAAGACAATTGTGTTAAAATGGAGCACAGGCAAATACTTGAGTGGTAAGGGCCCCTCCAACAGTTCAAGGGACATTACTGCTGCACCTTACACCCACCCTGCAGCATTAGAGGGAATACACTATTTTCAAAGGAATGGTGTCAGCCACTGCAAGTGAGAGTGTAAATTCCACCCCTGCTCCTTTAGGGCAACCTGTGAGCAGCTACTAAAAAGCAAAACACGCATATGCTTCGATCCTGCAATTGTACATGTAAAGAAAGACATGCACAAAGATGCAATATGTACGACAGAAAATCACGGAAGCAATAGTTGCAATAGAAATACAAAAAAAGAAAAAAAAACAGAAAACAACTGCTCATCAATGTGGGGGGCCTCCTGGATAAATAATGGTGCACATGCACTGAAGAACGCTCAGTAGCCATCAGAAAGAATGAGGATGATAGATAAGCAATTTGATCTGGAAAGATTTGTGAGGTCAATAAAAAAATAGCTTCAGACAATAGTTGCAACTGTATGAGTATAATACAATTCCCTTTTTATAAAGGTGATCTTCTGGTAAATCCAGGAGAGTGGTTACTATTTATCGGAGGCTGGGAGAGGGTAGAGGATACAACTTGACTTTATTTATATTAACTGATGATGTAACGGGCAAATTTTTCTCTTTGTGTTCTTGCTGTTTTCTAAATTAAGAAGTGTTTGTGTGTGTTTGTTTGTTTGTTTGTTTGTCTTGAGATGGAGTCTCTCTTGTCACCCAGGCTGGAGTGCAGTGGCATGATCTGGGTTCACTGCAACCTCCACCTCCTGGGTTCAAGTGATTCTCCTGCCTCAGCCTCCTGGGTAGCTGGGATTACAGGCGGCCACCACCACGCCCAGGTAATTTTTGTAGTTTTAGTAGAGATGGGGTTTCACCATGTTGGTGAGGCTGGTCTGGAACGCTTGACCTCAAGTGATCAGCCCAGCTCGGCCTCCCAAAGTGCTGGGATTACAGGTGTGAGCCACCGTGCCTGACCAAGAAATGTTTTCAAAAGTTTTCTCACCAGCAGCTTTTCATTGACTCTACCCAATGAGTGCAAAAGGGCTATTCATGGGGTCTGTGCTTTTCCACTTCCAGAGGAACTGCCCATACTCCAGTCGCTGGTGGGGGAAGGCAGCTGCATCATTAGGTGACTTAAACATCAGTGAGGCTCACAATGACGATTGTCCCTGAGCTGGTATACACGTGACTGCACACACACCTTTGCAAGAGAAACTGCTTGAGGCTGGCATAGACTTCAAAATTCTGTAAAACTTCCCCGCAGAACTGTAGTCAAGGACGAGGGCCCATGCCCCAGAGAATGCCCTTGAACCAGAGAGTCAGGAACTGCCCAAGGACTCTCCATGGATGCGCCCCGATTCTCAGCGAACCTCGTGGAACAGCAATAAGCCCCAATTCTCGACACAGCCCTGGAAAATTGGGTGGCTCCAGTATCCAGAGGGGGAAACAGACTCAAAAAGGTTCTTCAACTTGCCCAGGGTCCCACTGATGGAACTGAAATTCAAATTAAGTTCCGACGGGCAAGGCCACCTGTTTCCCTCGCGCCATGTCACCCCTTTACCACCCCGCCCCCCATAGTTTCTCACCCTAGTTCAAGATTAGGGTACCAAGAGAGCCCCGCCCCACCGTCCTGCTGGAATCCAGGAGCTCCCCGTCCAAACGGGGCACGTCTTTAACCTGAACTCTTGCGCTGTGCGGGTAATGCCCTCTTTGGGATTCCAAAACACAACAAAACACAACACGCACAGACACACGCATAATTACGCAGACAGCTGCGGAGCGGGCATCGCGAGTGTCCTGCAAGCTCTCCAAAAGTCTCCGGGAAGGACTGCGCCTCCCGCGGTATCGCTCCCACCCGCCACCCGCAACCACCGAAGTGAGACAGGGAAGTGTGGCTCCGAGCGTCCGCGAGCTCTGGGCACAAGGGCCGTCAAGAGAGACGGCGCCACCCCACGCAGAGCCGCTCGAAAAGAGGAGTTTTGAACGCCAGCCCCCACACGACCCCTGACCTTCCTCCCGGTCCCCATTCAAAGCTGGGGCCGCCCCACCGCACGGACCGGAGAGGTGGCGCCGGCCCGGGGTGAGGAAGTGGCCAGCGGCTGGGCCAGGATCCCTGCCGTCACCAAACGGACCCCGGGCACGGCGGGCCGGGGTCCCCGAGGGTGCGCCCCGTCCCTGCCCGCTCCGGCTGAGCCAGGACGCAGACCCCCTCGGACGCAGCGCCCTGGGAGCCGGTCCCCGCGGGGCGCAGGTCCCTGGGCGCCCTGCCTGCCTCGCTCCCGGCCGGGCAGCTCACCTGGCCGTGCCGCCCGGGCACAGCTGCCCGCCTGCCCCGGGTTTGGGCTCCGGGGTCCCGCGCGCGCAGCCCGCGTCCCGACTCGGGTCACTCAGCGCCGCTCACGCCCTCCGCCGCCGGCGCTCGCTACTTCTGCTTCGGCCGCGGCGCCGCGCCACGTGATCCTCGGGGGCCGCCCCCCGCACCGCCCAGCCTCGCCCCGCCTCGCCCCGCCCCAGGCGCGCCCAGCCGGGTCCGCCTCTCGGAGCGCACCCCGAGTGCAGCGTCCCCGCGCCCTCCCCGCCATGGAGCGGCCCAGGCCTGGAGCCCCGCCTCTGCGTGCCAAAGAAGAAACTGAGGCAACCCGAGGGGAGGCTACCTGCCCGAGGCCACTTGGCCAGGTGCAAAGGGAATTCCCCAATATCATGGCATTCCTGGAGAGCCGGCCGCAGTCCAGGTGTTTGCCGTATACTTAACACACTCCCGGCCGGGCGCCCGGGCTCACGCCTGTCATCCCAGCTCTTTGGGAAGCCTAGACGGGAGGATCGTCTGAGCTCGAGAGTTCGAGACAGCAATGAGCTAGGATGGGTGTGGCCGAGAGACACTCCGTCTCAAAAATAAATAAATAAAAATTAAAAATAAATATACTCTTCACAATTACCCGCCAGGAATTGCCAATTCATGGCCCTAATTTGAAGCCCTCGTTGAGGCTGCGCTGGAGTCAGACCAACCCTTACTGCTACCTTAGGCAGACCACTTAAAAACCGACAGCCTCAGTTTCCCCATCTGTAAAACGTGATCAACATAGTGCCAGCCCCAAAGGGAGTCAGGAGCAAAGAACCCCAGACAATTGATGTCCCGTTTTCCTGATCTCATGGGAAGAAGCTAATATGTTCTTTAAGAAATTTATTTTTCCGTTCGTGTGTTGCATGAAGCTATCTGATTCAAACCCTTCCTATGCTCTTTGATGGAGGTATCTTTGTTGTGACTAGAGGCAGTTTCAGGGGCACCTAGACAGCTGTCAGGCACTTGAATTTCACTTCCAAGTTGCTTGAGTTATAGCTTCTGTTTTCTAAGAGGCAGGGTCTCACTCTGTCACCCAGGCTGGAGTGCAGTGGTGCCATCATAGCTCACCACATCCTCGAACTCCGGGACTCAAGCGATCCTCCTGCTTCTGCCTCCTGAAGAGCTGGGACTATAGAGGCACACCACACTTGGCTAATTTTCTCTTTTTTCGACATGAGGTCTCACTATGTGTCCCAGGCTGTTCTTGAACTCCTGACCTCAAGCAATCCTCCTGCCTCTACCTCCCAAAGCACTGGGATCACAGGCATGTGCCACTGGTCTGTTATAGCGTTTTTTTTGTGTGTGTGTGTTTTTGGTTTTTTTTGTTTTTTTTTTTGTTTTTTTTTTGTTTTTTTTTTTTTTTGAGACAAAGTCTTGCTCTCTTGCCCAGGCTGGAGTGCAGTGGCACGATCTCGGCTCACTGCAACCTCCACCTCCCAGGTTTAAGCGATTCTCCTGCCTCAGCCTCCTGAGTAGCTGGGATTATAGGTGTATGCCATCATGCTTGGCTAATTTTTTGTATTTTTACTAGAGACGCGGTTTCACTATGTTGGCCAGATTGGTCTCAAACTCCTGACCTCAAGTGATCCACCCACCTTGGCCTCCCAAAGTGCTGGGATTACAGGCATGAGCCACTGCACCCGGCCTGTTATAGCGTTTTTTAATTGAGGAATATCACTCTCACTGTCAATGTTGTATCCCAAGCCATAGGACTCGTTTGTGACTTCACAAGATCTGTGGATTCATTTCTTTCAGCACTCCCAACTGGCGTGTATAGCTGTGCTCATCACCACAGATCACTTAACACATCAATTTTTTAAAGAGATCTTGGAAGGACTCATTATGACATCAACCACTTGAAGTCATTGGGCCAATTCCCCAGGAAAAATGACTACATCTAGGGGCAATTCCTTTGCCTCACTTTTTTTTTTTTTTTTTTTTTAGAACTTCAGCTTGTATTTATTTCAACCAATCTTTTTCACACTTTTGTTTTAGTATGTGTTATATAAAGTACATAATATATTAGTTCAGTCATATATATGTATAATTTATTATTACAAAGTCTACATGGATAGGGGAGTGGGTTAAGTCTCTTGATGGCAAAATGAGATTGCATATAATCAGAATGTGTGGAGACCACTCTAGGGAGCCGTGGCTCCTAAAAGCCTATCTTGACAGATGCCAATTCTGGCTGGATTTTTCTCTCATCTGTGGGAAGCAAGCAAAAAAATAAGAACATGAAGAACAGGTTTCTCTGTTTAATCTATGCCTGTGAGCCTATAGTATTTTTGAGTTAAAATGTCCACTGTGTGTGAGATAATGGTCATCGTAAATGGCAGTTTGCTTTTTTTTCTTTCATGTTTTTAATTCATTTTCTTCTTTGGCTCATTTTTTGCTAACCAACCCCTAGCCCAACCCCACCCCCCAGGTGAACGACTGAAGGAATCAGTGGATTGAAAGAGAGTACTGGAGGCCCTTCATCTCTTTCTCAAACTCTAACTTGGTTGTTCAAAATAAAAATAATCTGCCAGGTGCAGTGGCTCATACCTGTAATCCCAGCACTTTGGGAGGCCAAGGCAGGCGGCTTACCTGAGATCAGGAGTTCACGACTATCCTGGCCAACATGGTAAAACACCCTCTCTACTAAAAATACAAAAATTACCCAGGCATGGTGGCACACACCTGTAGTGTCAGCTACTCACGAGTCTGAGGTAGCAGAATCGTTTGAACCCAGAAGGCAGAGGTTGCAGTGAGCCAAGATGGTGCCACTGCACTCCAGCATAGGTGATAGATCAAGACTCCATCTCAGAATTAACAATCGTCGTCATCATCAAGGCGGCAGGCGCTGTTCTGGGAGGACTCTAATGTAAAATGACACTTCTTTTCCCAAGGATAATAGGTGGGGAAGGAACCATTCTGTGTATTCTTTCTTTTCCATGGAATAAAATAGGTAGGGAAAGAAACCACTCTGAGCCGGGCGCGGTGGCTCACGCCTGTAATCCCAGCACCCTGGGAGGCTGAGGCGGGCGGATCACGAGGTTGGAAGATCAAGACCATCCTGCTTAACATGGTGAAAACCCGTCTCTACTGAAAATACAAAAACATTAGCCTGGCCTGGTGGTGGGTGCCTATAATCCCACCTACTCAGGAGGCTGAGGCAGGAGAATGGCCTGAACCCAGGAGGTGGAGCTTGCAGTGAGCCGAGATTGTACCACTGCACTCTAGCCTGGGCAACAGAGTGAGACTCCGTCAAAAAAAACAAAAAAGAAAGAAGGAAAAAAAGAAAGAAAGAGAGAGAGAGAGAGAAAGAAACCACTCTGTGGGTTCAGACATATGAGGTAGAAAGGCCCTGTCACAGGTTAGCTGTCAGAGGGCTAGAGTGGGTTAAGTCAGTGGGTGGTGGGGGCTGGATTTGAACCTCAGCCTGTCTGGTGTCAGAGCCCATGGGCATGCTGACCTGCCACCCATCCCCAGATTAATAAGAGGCATTCAGGCAGGGAGATGTGAGTTTGTAACCACTCTACATAGATGCACAAATGGGTCAGGAAGTGACCTCAAAGGGTAGAGGGATCTTTCTTTTCCTTTTCCTACAAAAGAAAGAAAAAGGGAAGTGGATAGGTAAGAAAGAATAACCTGAAAGAAAATTACATTTTAAGCTGAATCATCTTGACTCTTTGTATTCTGTGTTGCTCACCAGTCCTTGGGCATACAAATGCTTTTCCCTATTACCCTCTTCTCTTTGCTGGCAGCCATGGTGCATTGGACCATTAGCCTCTCTGGGTATCAGTTTCCTCATTATTATACCTATGGGTATCAGAAATGTACCTACATCTGAGGGGGACTGTGAGATGAGGGAGGTAAAGCCCTCATCCCCATGGGGCAAAACCAAGGCTGACTATTTTAGGAATTGTTACTGGGAAGAAGAAGACCTCCTGTGAAAGCATGAACTTGGAAACAAGGAATCTGGGCTCCAGTTCCAAGTCTGCCCCTTCCTTAGTTTTATGGCTGTGGGCTGCTCAGCCACCCTCTTTGGACTTAATTTCCCCATCATAAGACCCACCTATAGCATATGCAGAATTAGCAAATCTACAGAGACAGAACGTAGATCAGTGGTTGCCAAGGACCAGGAAAGCAGAGAGCGGGCCTATCGGAAGGTAAAAGATAAGGGGTACAGGGCTGCTCTTTGGGATGATAAGAATGTTCTAAAATGGATTGTGACGATGGCTGCTCAGCTCTGTGAATGTGCTGAAGCCTCTGTACTGTACACTTTACATGCATGAGTTGCATGGGATGTGAATTATATCTCAAGAAAGCTGTTTTGAAAAATATCTGTGGACTGGGCACATTGGCTCATACCTGTAATCTCAGCTATTTGGGAGGCTAAGGAGGGTGGACCACTTGAGCCCAGGAGTTCAAGACTAGCCTGGACAACATGATGAGACCTCCATCTCTACAAAAAACTTTAAAAATTAGCCAGGCCTGGTGGAGTGAGCCTGAGTCACAGCTACTCGGGAAGCTGAGGCAAGAGGATCACTTAAGCCCAGGAGGCAGAGGTTGCAGGCAGTGAGCCGAGATCATGTGCCACTGCATTCCAGCCTGGGCAACAGAGTAAGACCCTGACCAAAAAAAAAAAAACACCCTTAGAGGGTTATTTCAAACCCAGACCTCCTTTCCCCTCCTCCACCACCACCTCCAAAGGCAGTGACCAGGCTGAGGTCCACCGCCCTGCCCCAGGGAACCTCGCCAACCCTACCCCTCTACCCCCACAGCCAAAATGACCAGAAAACCCCCTGGAGCCCTTGAGTCTAGTTTCCTTTCCCAACATTGTTCAGAGAAGCACACATCCGTGGCGACGAGCCGAGTCCCAGCTGCTGGCTGGCAGGCCTCTGTGAGAGGAAGTACCACCCAGAATGGGCTTTCAATGGGGTTAGGCCTCACTGCTTCTGGAGGTAGGGGAGGGCAGACCCCTCTGCTATTTAAATTGTGGCCAGCTTGGTGGAGCCCCCGGTTTAATGGTTTTGTGGGTTTTGTTTTGTTTTGTTTTTTTTACTGCCCAGGCTGGAGTGCAGTGGTTGGATCTCAGCTCACTGCAACCTCTGCCTCCTGGGCTCAAGTGATTCTTGTGCCTTAGCCTCCTGAGTAGTTGGGACTACAGGCGTGCATCACCACGCCTGGCTTTTTTTTTTTTTTTTTTTTTTTTTTGTATTTTTAGTAGAGACGGGATTTCACCGTGTTACCCAGGCTGATCTCAAACTCCTGAGCTCTGGCAGTCCACCCACCTCAGCTTCCCAAAGTGCTAGGATTACAGGCATAAGTCACTGTGCCCGACCCATGGTTTTGCTTTGAGCACCTCTAACCTGGAGTCCTGGTGGAGCTCATTTATTCATTCAACAAACATTTGCGGAGTGCCTGCAAGGGGCCAGGCACTCCCAGGCTCCAGGGATATAGCAGCAACCATCAAAGTCCTGCATGATGGGCACAGAGTGTAGTTGGAGGAACACAAAAAGGGGGCTTTGGAGTGAGACAGAGCTGGTTCCAGTCCCAGTCGCTCACTCTCTGTAGCTCTGCACAGCATTTGCAGCCGCTGTAAGCTTCACTTTCTTCTTTGGTAAATAGGGCTGCTGTGGAGGAGTGAGTCTGCGAACGCATATCCAAGTCCTGGGCATGGATCCTGGTTAGATGGGACCCCTGGAGCTGACTCAGTAGTCACTACATTGCAATGAACTCTCAACATGCGGACCCTGTTATGCTAAGAACCAGACTGCAACCAGGCATTTGCCAGGCCCCAAACCTCATGTAAAATCAAGACAGCCAGTTGAAAGCCAAGAGCAATAGTGTACAAGAGCAGCTGAAAACATGGGACACAGAGACAGGTGGGCCTCAGTGTGAATCCCAGCTCTGCCTCTTACCCCCCTGTGTCTCCAACAATGTAATAGTCTCTGAGCCTCAGTTTCCCAATCTGCACTGCTGAAGACAAAAGCCCCTCGTTCTCATGTCTGGAGTCTCCACTAGGACGTATTCAGCTTCCACAAAAAGGCTATCAATGATCTCACATTGCTGGAAGCCCAGGAGTGGTTGGGGTGCAGACAAGGTACACTGAGAAGTTCAAGTGTGTCAACAGGGACACCGATTATTTCCACATCTGCCACTCCTGGCAACCAGACCTGAAAGGGAAGAGACTGAAAAGAGTACACCTTTTCCCAACGCCCCCCCACACCCAGCATGCTTTCCCTCTGTCTCATTGGCCAGAAATGGGTCACAAAGCCTGCTCTGCCTCAGTCACTCTCCAAGAAAATGGGATTTTCCACATTTGGCAGTATATTTAGGATGGATCAGCTTCCCCCACATCATGAGAGGATGCCCAAGAGTATGTGGCCAAACAGGGCAGCTGTCGGCAGGGGCAAGGGGAGATGGTGTCAGGCAGGCAGTCTGCAGGGTCCTGCAGTGGTCATAGGCTGCACCAGGCAGCTGGCACAGAGCAAGAAGGCATCCGAAGGTCTCCCTTTTGTTCCCACCACAGACCAGCAAGCCAAGCTTCCTTTCTTAGCCTTTTCAGTCATTCTTTTTTTTGGAGATGGAGTCTCACTCTATTGCCCAGGCTGGAGCACAGTGGCATGATCTTGGCTCACTGCAACCTCCACCTCCCTGGTTATCCTGCCTCAGCCTCCCGAGTAGCTGGGATTACAGGCATGCACCACCACACCCAGCTTTTTTTTTTTTTTTTGTATTTTTAGTAGAAACAGGGTTTCACCATGTTGGCCAGGCTGGTCTTGAACTCCTGACCTCAGGTGATCCACCCACCTCGGCCTCCCAAAGTGCTGGGATTATAGGCGTGAGCCACCGTGCCTGGCCCCTTTCATTCATTGGACAAACACTGAGCCCTTATTTAATACCAGGCCCCGTGTCTTACCTTCCAAAGGCTGCCGTAACAAATTACCATGAACTTGGTGACTTAAAAAAAAATAGAGATATATCATCTCACAGTTCTGGAGGCCAGAAGTCTGAATGCAAGGTGCCAGCAGCAGCACTGGTTCCCTCCTTAGGCCCTAGGTGAGAATCTGCCCCACGCCTTTCTCCCGGGTTCTGTGGTTGGTGGTGATCATGCGCTCCTTGGCTTGGAGCTGCATCACTCTAACTCTGCCTCTGTCTTCTCATGGCCCTCTGCTCTCTGTCTCAAATACCCCTCTCCTTTCTCTGGTAAGAACACCAGTCCTCTGATTGAGTGTCCACCCTGAATCCAGGATGTTCTCATCTTGAGATCCTTAACTTAATTACCTCCATAAAGACCCTATTTCCAGCCTTGCACCAGTGGCTCACACCTGTAATCCCAGCACTTTGGGAAGCCGAAGTGGGCAGATCACTTAAGGCCAGGAGTTTAAGACCAGCCTGGCCAACATGGTGAAACCCCGTCTCTACTAAAAATACAAAAAGTAGCCAGGCGTAGAGGCACAGCCTGTAGTCCCAGCTAGTTGGGAAGCTGAGGCAGGAGAATCATTTGAGCCCAGGAGGTGGAGGTTGCAGTGAGCGGAGATCCTGCCCTGGCACTCCAGCTTGGGCAAGAGAGAGAGACTCCAACTCAAAAAAACAAACAAACAAGCAAACAAAAACAAAAACAAACCTTATTTCCAAGTAAGGTTACATTCACAGGTGCAGGGTTTAGGACTTAGTTTTTTTGTTGTTGTTTTTTTTGGGTGGGGGGTTGGGGGGGGTCACAATTCAACCCACTGTACCCTATATTAGGCAAATAGATTAGACCTATTTACCTCTCAATGGGGAGACAGCAGGAAGAGGCATTTACTATCACAGAATGGCAAGAGCTGAATTAGAGGGACAAATCAGGCAAGGGCTAATCCTCTGCCTCATGGAGCTGCGAAGACTTCTCAGAGGAGGTAACCTCAGAACTGGGTCCTGAGGGATGAGCAAGAGTTCTCCAACAGCACCAGAGAGAGGGAAGCTTTGTCTAAAACAAGGCTGTGTTTCACAAAACTCATCAGTGCTTTTAGAAGTCAGAATAGTCCTGGCTACTTGGGAGGCTGAGATGGGAGGATCCCTTGAGCACAGGCGTTTAAGGCTGCAGTGAGCTGTGACAACACCAGTGTACTCCAGCCTGAGCAACAGAAAGAGACTTTTTCTCACACACAAAAAGAAGTCAGAATAGAGAATCTCACTGCCTTGGAGGCAGCAGAAGGAAGGACCTTGAGGGCTGCGATGTTCTAGGTTTTGATCTTGTGGTCACATGGGTTAGTCACTTTATGAAAATGTACTGAGCTCTGTACTTATGATCTGGGCCTTTTATTTATTTATTTATTTTTTTTTTTTTTTGAGATGGAGTCTCGCTCTGTCACCAAGGCTGGAGTGCAGGGGCATAATCTCGGCTCACGGCAAGCTCCACCTCCCGGGTTCACACCATTCTCCTGCCTCAGCCTCCCGAGTAGCTGGGACCACAGGCACCTGCAACCACGCCCAGCTAATTTTTTGTTTTTTTAGTAGAGATGGGATTTCACCGTGTTAGCCAGGATGGTCTCGATCTCCTGACCTCACGATCCGCCCGCCTCGGCCCCGCAAAGTGCTGGGATAACAGGCGTGAGCCACCGCGCCCGGCCTGATCTGGGCCATTTTATGCACGTTATACCTCAACAGAAAGTTAGTATTATTATTTTGATACAGGGTCTCACTCTGTAGCCCAAGCAGGAGGGCAGTGGCGCAATCTCAGCTCACTGCAACCTCTGCCCTCTCCGCCGGGCTCATACAATCCTCCCACCTCAGCCTCCCAAGTAGTTGGGACTACATGCACACATCACCAAGCCTGGCTAGATGTTTGTATTTATTTATAGAGACAAGGTTTCATCGTGTTACCCAGGCTGGTCCTGAACTCCTGAGCTCAAACGACTCTCCCACCTAAGCCTCCCAAAGGGCTGGGATTACAGGCATGTGCTACCACACCAGGCCAAAAAATTAATATTTTTTAAAGGCTGTTCAATATGTTCACATGTCTCTGACTTTTCTCTTGTCATTGTTTTCTAAATATTCTTTACTATGCATGTCTTAGTTGTTATAGAAAACTAAAACTGTTTCAAAAACAAGGCTGCTAGTAGTCAGAACGGTTGCCCTTGGGAAGGTGGTGATGAGCAGCACCCAGGCGAGTCCTGAGGGGTGCTGGTTTCTCGGTTGGGGTGTGGGTGATGTGGGCGTGGGTGTGTTCAGTGTGTGAAGATCCAGTGAACTGTACACTTCTCTGCGTTGTTATGCATCAATAAAAATTAAAATATAAGGCAGTTAGCGAAGGGGGTGGAGAGAAAGCATTTGGAATCTTTTTGGCTTACCAAAATCCACAACATTTATTGAATATCTACCTTGCATCAGGGCCCTTCGTGCAGTCAATGTATTTCATCCTCACAGTGGAACTGGGAAGCTCCATTACTTTCAGGACAGCTTTACAGATAAGAAAACCGAGGCTCAGAGGCATTAAGCGACCGGCAGGTGTGAAACACCAGTGGTGGCAGAACTAGAATCTGAAGGCCCATGTCTTTTTCTTTTTTTTTTTTTTTTTTTTTTTTTTTGAGACGGAGTCTCGCTCTGTCGCCCAGGCTGGAGTGCAGTGGCGGGATCTCGGCTCACTGCAAGCTCCGCCTCCCGGGTTCACGCCATTCTCCTGCCTCAGCCTCCCAAGTAGCTGGGACTACAGGCGCCCGCCACTACGCCCGGCTAATTTTTTTTTGTATTTTTAGTAGAGACGGGGTTTCACCGTTTTTTTAGCCGGGATGGTCTCGATCTCCTGACCTCGTGATCCGCCCGCCTCGGCCTCCCAAAGTGCTGGGATTACAGGCGTGAGCCACCGCGCCCGGCCCCATGTCTTTTTCAAGACCTAGAATTATTTACACTTCTACAGAGGACTCTCACCTCTCCTGGGGGGCCTTAGAAAAGTCTGAGATGCGCCGGGAGTTATTGGCCTTACTGAATCAGAACGTAGGGGCAGGGCCTAGGGATCCGCATTTAACTGCCGCCCGCCGCTATCATTCTCTTGCACCCTCTAGTATGGGCACCAGTGCCTTTCACTGAAACAACAGGGAAGAAACCCAGGCAAGCCTGTTCAGAGGTAGAAGCAGTCTGGGCACTTTGGGCAGATACAGGAAGATATTAGACGTAATGGTAAGGGGGTTTTACCTGCGGCAACCATTTCAGAAAGACCAGCTCATCACTCATGGTGAGTTCCTTTGTGGGGGAGCAGAGAAACTCACATGGCATCTGAGACAAACTTACCTTAAGCACTGTTTCAATAGAACCCTCATTCATGCAGTCAAGAAATTCATTCATTCCATGAATGGACTCATTCAATCAGCCCACAGCATTTCTTGAGCACCTACCACATGTCAGTTACTACTACAGGCTCTGAGGATAAGGAGATGAAAGATTTATTCTCTGTCAGGAGTCCCAGGCTGCTGGGGAAGACCAACTGGTTGAACAAAAAATACGCACCTATTAAAATGGTTAAAATAAAAAACCACTGACAATAGGCTGGGCACGGTGGCTCACACCTGTAATCCCAGTACTTTGGGAGGCCGAGGTGCATGAATCACCTGAGGTCAGGAGCTGGAGACCAGCGTGGCCAACATGGTGAAACCCCATCTCTACTAAAAATACAAAAAATTTCCCAGGTATGGTGGGGGAAACCTGTAATCCCAGCTACTCGGAAGGCTGAGGCAGGAGGGTCGCTTGAACCCGGGAGGCGGAGGTTGCAGTGAGCTGAGATCGCACCATTGCACTCCAGCCTGGGCAACAAGAGCGAAACTCCATCTCGGGAAAAAAAAAAAAAAAAAAAAAAAAAAACTGAGGATAACACCGAGTGCTGGTGAGGATGTGGATCCACTGGTGGAAATGCAAAACAGTGCAGCCTCGTTGGAAAACAGCTGGGCAGTTTCTTTAAAAAGTTAAACATTCACTTACCATATGACCCAGCAAACTCACCTGTATTTACCTAAGAGATATGAAAACATATGTCCACAGAAAAACACTAATGTTTACAGTAGTTTCATTCATAATCACTGCAAACTGGAAACAACCCAAATGTCCTTCATTTGTGACTGGATAAACAAACATTCATACAGTGAAGTAGCACTCGGCTATAAAAAGTAATTATTGATACACACAAGACCAAGGCTGAATCTCAAATGCATGACTAAGCTGAGTGAAAGACACCAGCATTAGGCCGGGCATGGTGGCTCACGCCTATAATCCCAGCACTTTTGGAGGCCGAGGTGGGTCAGAAGTTCAAGACCAGCCTGGTCAACATGGTGAAACCCCATCTGTACTAAATATACAAAAACTAGGTGGGCATGGTGGCGGGTGCCTGTAATCCCAGCTACTCAGGAGGCTGAGGAAGGAGAATCGCTTGAACCCTGGAGGTAGAGGTTGCAGTGAGCTGAGATTGTGCCATTGAGCTCCAGCCTAGGCAACAAGAGCAAAACTTCGTCCCACTCCCTCACCGACTCCCCCCAAAAAAGACACCAGCATTAAAGGTTATAAACAGCGTGATTTTATATATGACATTCTGGAAGAGGCAGTGTTGTACAGACAGAAAGCAAATCCGTGGTTGCCAGGGGCTGGAGTGGGAAGAAGTGTTGGATACAAAAGAGCATAAGGGAATTGGGGAGGGGTGAGGAAATTGTTTTATATTTTGATTGTGTTGGAGATTACAACTTTACATATTTGACAAAACTTATAGAACTAAAAAAAACCTCAGAACTGTATATCAAAAAGGGTGAATTTTGCTGAATGCAAATAATATTTTTTAAAGAAAAAAAACAAGATTTTATTACAATACAAGTGATAATCCCAAAGAGAAGAAGAAGAAGTGATCAGTGCAGGTTGGGAAGGCTTCCTGGAGGTGACGGTCCCTAAGCTGAGCCTAGTAAAAGGACAAGAGTGTATCAGTTGAGGCCAGGCACAGTGGTTCACGCCTGTAATTCCAGCACTTTGGTAGGCCAAGGCGGGGGGATCCCTTTAGGTCAGGAGTTTGAGAAGAGCCTGGCCAACATGGTGAAACCCCATCTCTATTAAAAATACAAAAATTAGCCAGGCATGTTGGCAGACGCCCGTAACCCCAGCTATTCGGGAGGCTGAGGCACAAGAATCTCTTGAACCCAGGAAGCAGAAGTTGCAGTGAGCCGAGATTGCACCACTGCACTCCAGCGTGGGTGATAGATCGAGACTCAGTCTCAAAAAAAAAAAAAAAAAAAAAAAAAACCACGAGTTTATCAGTTGAATGGGGTGGAGAGGAGCAGGAATCCAGGCAATGGGAACAGCATGAATGACATCCACTCTGGGGAAAGACTCAGCTGTGCACGAGTGACTAGCAAGGAAAGCAGGGCTCACCAAGTGTTCCTTGACACTTGTTAAGGCATTTGGACTTCCTCCTGGGGATAAGGGGGAGCTACTGAAAGCCTTAGAGCAGAAGAATGACCTGGACAGACTTCCAGTTTGGAAAAGATCTTCTGTGGGCTGTAGGGAGGTGGGAGAAGGGAACCAGGCTGGAAGCAGGTTGAAGTCAAGACCAGTTGAAGTCATTCTTCCCTGTGATTGTACCTTCTTGGCTGAGACATCTGTCACTCCATGAACAATACTGAACACTTGCTGTGTTCCAGGGAATGTTCTAGAAGCTGAGGATATAAGAATGGACAAGGGGAAAAAAAGACAAAATACCGATGGCTCTTCCATTCTACTGAAGACAGACAGTAAACAAGGAAACACATAAACAAGATCATTTCCAGTGGGGTGAGCACTTTAGCAGAGCAGATGAATATAATGGGGGAGGAAGGGCTGGGTTTTTGTGTGGTGGTCACAAAGGCTTCTTGGAGGAGGGTGACCTGAGGAGGAGGAGGAAGAGGAGGAGGAGGAGGAAGAGGAGGAGGAGGAGGCGCTGGCTAAGTGAGGGCCTGGAAAATGGACTTCTCAGGCAGTGGGCTCAGCAAGTACAGAGGCCTGATTGCTTTTGAGGGTTACAAAATGGTGCAGAGCTTGAGGGCAGGGTTGGGGGCACAGCCAGGTGTCCACCTGTGTCTCCAGCCCTGCAGAGGAGAAACAGAGTGGCTTCCCCTAGGAGAGGCTGTGTTTCCCTCCTATGCCTCCCCCATGTTTTGGTGAATAACAGTTTATGGCCCCACTTGGAGAGAAAGGCCTGAGTCCCTGTAGGTGGATTTCCTCTTGACTCTAAAGGTCACAGCTGTTGCCATCATAAACAGTGCCCATGTTGACAAAATCAAACCAGCTCCAGGAGACAGGACACAGAGATGGGAGACAGGAGACAGAAGAGGTAGGACACACCTGGGAAGGCTAAGCCTCATTTACAAAGTTAAAAAACAAAAAGTAAAAAAATACCCAAGCAAGCAAACACACATCAGTGTCTTGTGACTCACAGCAAATGCCTGCATCTGTTACCTGGGTCCCCCGTCAATAGAGTTAGCTCCCTGTGGGGGCCCCCAGGGCCCTTTCCTAGTATGTAACCCACCTTGGCTACACAGCAGCTGTCCACAGGGGACATTCCTACATAGACTGGGCTTTTGCATCGGGTCTGAACTTAGCTGTCAACCAGCCATCCAGACCATTCAGAAGGGGCTAAAATGTCACTGAAAACATGCATTAGTTTCCCAGAGCTGCTATAACAAACACCATAACTCGCTGATGTGGTGGCTAAAAGTCTGAGACCCCGGGGTCAAAAGGGTTGGTTTCTTCTTTATTATTTATTTATTTATTGAGACCGAGTCTCACTCTGTCATCCAGGCTGGAGGGCACTAGCACCACCTCAGCTCACAGCAACCTCTGCTTCTCGGGTCCAAGCAATTCTCCTGCCTCAGCCTCCCGGGTAGCTGGGATTACAGGTGCCCATCATGACGCCCAGCTAATTTTTGTATTTTATGTAGAAACAGGGTTTCATCATGTAGCCCAGGCTGGTCTTGAACTCCTGACCTCAAGTGATCTGCCCTCCTGGGCCTCCCAAAGTGCTGGAATTACAGGCATGAGCCTCCACACCTGGCCGGCATGGTTGCTTTCTTCCGGAGGCTCTGCGGGAGATTGTCCCATGCCTCTCTCCAAGCTTTGGGTGGTTGCTGGGAATCTTTTGTGTGTTCTGGTTTGCAGATGCCTCTCCCCATCCTCTGCCTCAGTTGTCACATGGTGCTCTCCCTGTGTGTCGCTGTGTTGCCTTCATATCATCTTCCCTCTGTGCATGTCTCTGTGTCCAAATGTCCCTCTTCTTATGACACACCAGTCATTGATTTATTTTTTTTGTGGGGGGACAGTGTCTCATCTCACTCTGTCACCCAGGCTGGAGTGCAATGGGGTGATCACGGTTCACTGCGGCCTTCACCTCTAGGCTAAACCAATGCTCCCACCTCAGCCTCCCGAGTAGCTGGGACCACAGGTGCACACTACTATGCCCGGCTAATTTTTTATATTTTTTGTAGAGACAGGGTCTCAGTTTTGTCCAGGCTGGTCTCGAACTCCTGAGCTCAAGTGATCTGCCCACTTAGGCCTCCCAAAGTACTGGGATTACGGGATTGAACCACCACACCCAGCCTCATCAATTTAGGATGTACCCTAATGCAGTATGACCACATATTAACTTGATTACATCTGCAAAGACCCTCTTTCCAAATACAGCTATGTTCTGAGGTTCCAGCTGGACATAAATTTGGGGGACACTGTTCAACCTGGTCCACAAGGTAATAAAAAAGATGGAGAAAATTAGGCTTGCCAAAGTCCTCTGACACAGCTGGGATGGCCAGTGTTCAGCCTGTGGCTGAAAGACAACTGCATGGGCTGGAGGGTGAGACCTGCACGGGGCACGCTTGGCCAGTGATCAGTGTCGCAAAAGTGTCTTTGAGGAGAGTGAATCTATTCAGATGCCAGCTGTGGGCAATTGCACTTTCCAAAGACACATCCCCTGATTCTTCCTCCATCCCACATGCTCTTCTACACTGTCACATTGACATTCGTCCATGGAGAGATGGGGTCCAGGTTTCCTTTCCTTGAATCTGCCAGATCTTTGTAACTTTTCACTTTTTATTACTTATTTATTTATTTATTTTGAGACAGGATCTCACTCTGTCCCCCAGGGTGCAGTACAGTGGCTCAATCAATCACAGCTTACTCCAGCCTCGACCTCCTGGGCTCCAGCAATCCTCCCACTCAGCCTCCGGAGTAGCTAGGGATACAGGCTCACACCATCACACCTGGCTAATTTTTTAAATTTTTTATAGAAATGGGGTCTCACCATGTTACCCAGGCTGGTCTCGAACTCCTGGGCTTAAGCAATCCTCCTGCCTCAGCCTCCCAAAGTGCTGGGATTACAGGCTTGAACCACTGCACCCAGCCTCAGAACTTCGTAACTATTTTTTGTTTGTTTTTGTTTTTGTTTTTTGAGACAGAGTCTCTCTGTCGCCCAGGCTGGAGTGCAGTGGCAAAATCTTGGCTCACTGAAACCTCCGACTCCTGGGTTCAAGCGACTCTCATGCCTCAGCCTCCCGAGTAGCTGAGATTACAAGTGCCTGCCACCACGCCCAGCTAATTTTTCTATTTTTAGTAGAGATGGGGTTTCACCATGTTGGCCAGGCTGGTCTCGAACTCCAGACCTCAGGTGATCCACCCACCTCAGCCTCCCAAAGTGCTGGGATTACAGGCATGAGCCACCACACCCGGCCCCCTTTGTAACTTTTTATAGCTGCCTCAATAGAATGTAGTAAAAGGGACAATGTGTGACAGCTTCTGCCTGGCTTGAGGCACACAACTTAGGAGCCCCAAGATGACGTTAGAAGACCAGCTACCCTGACCTCACCATGCTGGAGAGGTGCCCGGGGAGCCTCACCTGTAAAGTTCACCTCTGCTCACATCTTCCCAGCCCAGGCACAGGCCGTGAGAGGGAGGACACCTTGGAGATGGCCCCAGCCCAAGTTGGCATCCACCTGCAGCTGGACAAGAGACCTTGCAGAGAGCTGGAACTTCCCAGCCACTCCCAAATACCCGACCCACAGAAACCATGAGAAAATCTGAGTTATTGTTGCTTTAGGCCACTGCATTTTGGAGTCATCTGTTATGCAGCAATGGATGACTGATACAGGGAGATTATTTTGCTGAGTGGAGCTTGCAAATCTGGGCTACAGCAGAATCATCTGCGGCAGTGGAGGAGAGGCTGGGTTCTCCCATCTGGAACTTTCCTTCTTTGCCTTCTGTAAGGCCTCTTCTTCAGTCTCCTCTAAATCAAATCTGAGCAAGCAAGTATTTTTATCTTTTGTATTTTATCTTATTTTTTGTTGATTTAATTATTTTTAAGAGACAGGGTCTCACTCTGTTGCCCAGGCTAGAATACAGTGGCATGATCATATCTCACTGCAGCCTTTAACTCCTGGGCTTAAGGGATCCTCCTGCCTCAGTCTCCTGAGTAGCTGGGACTACAGGCATGTGCTACCATTCCCGCTAATTAAAAATTTGTTTGTAGAGGTGAGGTTTCACTATGTTGCTGAGGCTGATCTTAAACTCCTGGCCTCAAGTGATCCTCCTGCCTTGGCCACCCAAAACCTTGGGATTAGCAAGTATTTTTAATGCCCATTTGAAGGGGCTCTGCCTGATCAGCCAGCCTTGGGGACTTGGGGGGATATTGCAGTGGTGTATTCTTTTGCTCAGGCTTTTCCCATTGTCAGGAAGTCCCTTGGCCTGCCTTTTCACTCTCCCCTCAACCTAATGATTCTGTTTCATCTATAGGACTCTGTTCCTTATGTTAAAGGAAAATACAGACAATTTTATACACTTTTTTTTTTTTTGAGACGGAGTCTCACTCTATTGCCCAGGCTGGAATGCAGTGATGCAATCTTGGCTCACTGTAACCTCCACCTACCAGGATCAAGCGATTCTCATGCCTCAGCCTCCCGAGTACCTGGGACTATAGGAGCATGCCATCACACCAGGCTAATTTTTGTGTTTTTAGTAGAGACAGGATATTCCCATGTTGGCCAGGCTGGTCTTGAACTCCTGACCTCAGGTGATCCGCCTACCTTGACCTCCCAAAGTGCTGGGATTACAGGCGTGAGCCACCATGCCCAGACCATTTTAACAGTTGACAGTTTCTTTTTAAAAAAATAATAGCAACATATGTATGCATTTGCCATTACTTTGAAATGCATTAAAATTAACATGCATTAATAATTGGAAAGAGGCATAGACAGATGTGACAAAGCAAACAGAGTAAATGTTCAGGGGCCATGCGTGGTGGCTCATGCCTGTAATCTGAGCACTTTGGGAGGACGAGGTACACAGGTCACCTGAGGTCAGGAGTTCCAGACAACCCTAGCCACCACATAGGGAAACCCCATCTCTACTAAAAAATACAAAAAGTAGCTGGGCGTGGTGGTGCATGCCTGTAGTCCCAACTACTTGGGAAACTGAGGCAGGAGAATCACTTGAACCTAGGAGGCAGAGGTTAGAGTGAGCCGAGATCACACCACTGCACTCCAGCCTGGGTGACAGAACAAGACTCCATGCGCAAAAAAAAAAAAAAAAAAATGTGCAGGGTGAAATCATAGGTAGTGACTAGATGGATGCTTGCTATACAACCCTTTTTACTTTTCTGTATGTTTTAAAATTTTTATAATAAAAGATTGGAAAAATGAGAAGAGCAAACAACTACATAGCAAATACAATGAGCTAGATATGGTTCTAAGCCTTATGTCTGTTAACTCATCCCATCCTCAGCCCAACCCATGAGGGGTGTTCTATTTTGATCCCCATTTTACAAAGGAGGAAACTGGGGCATAATGAAGTTCGAGCCATGGTCAAGTTTGAAAGGCTAGCCGAGGGAAAGACATATGACTCTAACCTAGGCAGTCAGCTCCCAGGCTGCTGCCCAAGCTTAACCATTACAACGCGTCACCTCTCACCCATGTACTGTGTTATAATCAGAAGAATTACACTTTCATAATTACAATACACTTACATTTAAGTATTATCATTACTATTATTATTACTTTAAAGACAAGGTCTGGCCCTGTTGCCCAGGCTGGAGTGTAGCGGCTTGACCATAGCTCACTGCATCCTTGAACTCCTGGGTTTAAGAGATCCTCCTGCCTCAGCCTTCTGAGTAGCTAGGACTACAAGTATGCACAACCACACCCAGCTAACTTTAAAAACATTTTTGTAGCTGGGCGCAAGTGGCTCATACCTGTAAGGCCAGCAGTTTGGGAGGCTAAGGTGGGAGGATCACTTGAGCCCAGAAGTTTGAGACCAGCCTGGGCAACATAGTGAAACCTTGTTACTACAAAAAATACAAAAATTAGCCAAGTGTGGTGGTGCGCACTTATAGTCCCAGCTACTGAGAAGTAGGAGAATCACCTGAGCCCAGGAGGTCGCTGTTGCCGTGAGCTGAGATCACGCCACTGCATTCTAGCCTGGGTGACAGAGTGAAACTCTGTCCTCAAACAAACAAACAAAAATTTTAAGCCAGGGATCTCACTATATTGCACAGGCTGGCCTTGAGCTCCTAGCCAGAGATGAGCCTCCTGCCTTAGCCTACCAAAGTGCTGGGATTATAGGTACTTGCCACCATGCTCAGCTAATTATTATTATTATTATTATTATTTTTTTTTTTAATAGAGACGGGGTCTCACTATGTTGCCCAGGCTGCTCTTGAACTCCTGCCCTCAAGTGATCCTCCCACCTTGACCTCCCAAAGGGTTGGGATTATAGGCATGTGCCATTGTGCTCAGCCCATATAAGTATTATGTAGTGGGCTCTGCCATTCTTTTTGGGTGCCCAGCAAAATTTGACCTCCTATGTTTGACTGCCTCCCCATATAAGGCCACACCTAGCCAAAGAAAAAGCCAGATCTTGTTTTCCCACACTCCCTTGCAGCTTGGGTAGGGACGCTCAGCTCTGCCCCATAGTCAGACGTACCAGCATCAGGCTTGTGTCCAAAAGCCACCAACAAGAGAAGCAGGTGTCAGAGGGTACATATCTGGCAAAGGTAGTGGCAGAAACACCTGGTATCTGGAGGGAGAGAACCAGAGGGTGCAGCACCCTGAGCCCAGCAGAACCAGCCATGCTCTGTGCCCAGTCCTGGCAGTGGGCACTGCTCTACTCGAGCAATCCCACCTGTGGTTGTGCTTTGTTTCTGGCTATGTAGACTCCAGACCTGGATCTCTGCCCTCCTGGAGACTCTCCAAGCCACCTAATGTCCTTTAATAAATTCCTCATTCTTCCTAACACTAGAATGAATTCCTGCTGTGCCTCCTACAACTGATAGATGAGCAGTGGCGCGATCTCGGCTCACTGCAAGCTCCGCCTTCCAGGTTCACGCCATTCTCCTGCCTCAGCCTCCCCAGCAGCTGGGACTACAGGCGCCCGCCACCACTCCCGGCTAATTTTTCGTATTTTTAGTAGAGACGGGGTTTCACCGTGTTAGCCAGGATGGTCTCGATCTCCTGACCTTGTGATCTGCCCGCCTCGGCCTCCCAAAGTGCTGGGATTACAGGCGTGAGCCACCACGCCCGGCCTACATTGTATTCTTAACTATAGAAAGAAAACTCAGCAGAGCTACAAGACTGGAAAGGAGCTACGGACAAGTGCTCAGTGCAATGGGTAACGTACAATTTAAGGGAAATTTGACAAGTATATGTCCATATATACAAGCTATAAGCTATCCTTGGAAGATCATCTAGAAAGCGGCAACAGTAGCGGTCCCTAGGAGGAGTTTGGATGACAGGGGCTCCAGGCACTGGGGGTCTCAAGACAGATCAGACTAGAAAGAAACTTTGGAGGAAGTAGGATACGGTGGCAGAGGCACTGAAAGAGCCAGGCTTTGCAGTAGATCTATTCAGGTTGAAAATGCAGCTTTCCTGCTTGGGAGACTCATTGAATCTGTGATTTTAGACCTTTAGAATTCTGCAGCAGTGCAGATATTACCTATCAAAGAATAAATAACATAAGTAAATATATTTAAAAGGGAAATAAAAAAGATTAAATATTAATCATAGTGGTCTGTGGGAGGTTCTTTTTCCATCTCTTTATACATTTTTGGCTTTTTCAAATATCTTAGCATGAGGATGTGTGCTTTAAAAACCAAAAACAAAACAAAACAATGAGAAGGAACTGGAGCCTACAGAATAGGAAAGAATATTTGCAAATCATGTATCTGATAAAGGACTAGTATCTAGAATCTATAAAGAACTCTTACAACTCAATAATGAAAAGACAACCCAATTAACAGTGGGTAAAGAATCCAAATGGACATTTCTTCAAAGAAAATATACAAATGACTGATAATAACACGTAAAGATACTTCCTGGGAAATGTAAATTAAAACCATAATGAGGTTTCACTTCACACCTGCTAGAAAGGCTAAATTTAAAAAGATGGACGATAGCCGGGTGCGGTGGCTCACGCCTGTAATCTCAGCACTTTGGGAGGCCGAGGCAGGTGGATCACCTGAGGTCAGGAGTTCGAGACCAGCCTGGCCAACATGGTGAAACCCCGTCTCTACTAAAAATATAAAAATTAGCTGGGCATGGTGGTGTGCACCTGTAATCCCAGCTACTCGGGAGGCTGAGGCAGGAGAATCGCTTGAACCTGGGAGGCAAAGGTTGCAGTGAGCTGAGATTGTGCCACTGCACTCTAGCCTGGGCAACAGAGTGAGACTCTGTCTCAGGAAAAAAAAAAAAAAAGAGAGATGGACAATAACAAGTATTGGTGAGGATATGGAGAAATTGGAAGCTTCCTACACTGCTGGTGGGAGTAGTAAATGTTGCAGCTGCTGTGGAAAATAGTTTAGCAGTTCCTCAAAAGGTCAAACGCAGAGCTACTGTATGACTCAGCAAGGCCACTCCTAGGTAAATACCAAAAAGAAATGAAAGCTCATCCACACAAACACTTACACATAAATGTTAACAGCAGCATTATTTATAATAGCCAAAAGGAGAGGCAACCCAAATGTCCGTCAACTGATGAACAAATGAACCAGATGTGATCTATCCATAAAATGGAATATTACTCAGCAATAAAAAGAAACGATTTGCTGATCCACGCTACAAAATGAATAAACGTTGAAAATGCAATGCTAAGTGAGCCTGGGCACGAGGGTTCACACCTCTAATCCCAGCACTTTGGGAGGCCCAGGCAGGCAGATCGCTTGAGCCCAGGACTTTGAAATCAGCCTGAGGAACACCGCGAAACCCCATCTCTGCAAAATAATACAAAAATCTAGCCAGGCCTGGTGGCGAGCGCCTGTGGTCCCAGTTACTCAGGAGGCTGAGGTGGGAGGATCGCTTGAGCCCGTGAGGTGGAAGCTGCAGAGAGCTGAGATCACACCACTGCGCTCCAGCCTGGGTGACAGATCGAGACAGTGCCTCAAAAAACAAAACAAAACAAAACAGCAACAATAACGACAGCACATGATGCTAAGTGAAAGAAGCCTGACACAAAAGGCCACATATTATATGATTCTATGTACATGAAATGTCCGGAATAGGCAAATCCACAGAGAAAGAAAGTAGATGAGTAATTGAAGGGGTGGGGGAAGGGGGTATAGGGAGTGACGGCCTAAGGGGTACTGGGTTTCTGTTTGGGGGTGATGAAAAGTTTCAAAAATTGATTGTGGTGATGATGTCAGTGCTCTGTGAATACACTATAAGCCATCGAATCACACTTTAAATGGGTGAATTGCGTGATACATGAATTATATCTCAATAAAGCTCTTTTCCAAATGTAAAAAATAGGAAGTGCTGGAGGAAAATGTGAAACAACAGCTTTTTTTCTTTTTTCTTGTCTTTTTTCTTTTTTGAGACAGAGTCTCACTCTGTCACCCAGGCTGGAGTACAGTGGCGCTTTCTCGGCTCTTCTGCACCTCTGTCTCCTGGATTCAAGCGATTCTCTTGCCTCAGCCTCCCAAGTAGCTGGGATTACAGCCACCTGCCACCGCGCCCGGCTAATGTTTATATTTTTAGTAGAGACGGGGTTTCACCATCTTGGCCAGGCTGGTCACTAAACAGCTTTTTTTTCTATGAGGCTTTTACTCTTTTGTTTTTTTGTTTGTTTGGGGGTTTTGTGTGTTTTGTTTCCAGGGCCTAGCAGAAAATTGGAGCCCAGAAAATGGGTGGGTGGATGGATGAATGGATGAATGATTGGATAAAGAGATGATTGAATGATCGGATGGGTGGATGAGTGGGTGGATGGAATTTCCAATGTGGTCCCTCCTAGAGCTCCCTTTTTCCTTTGACTCACCCAAAAGTAAAAGAGATGCAACTATTCCAAAATGATTGTCTTTTCAAAACTCTTCATTCCAGCAGCATCTGAGCTCAGGCAAACAACCACTCACCAAGATACAGAGTCACTACACTTCCTACCACATTTCCTCTCCTTTGCCCAAAGTAGCAGCAAGTAGGAACCACTGGAATCCCATACACAATTTCTAAAAACAGGCGTAGAGGCGCGGTGTGTGTGTTCCAGGCCTGTGCCCCAGGCTGTGGGGCTCTCAAGACAGATCAGACTCGGAACAAACTGCTGAAGAAGCAGGATAAGGCAGCAAGCTCACTGAAGAGCCAGGCTGTGCAGTAGACACATCTAGGCTCAAACGCAGCTTTGTTGTTTGGGCAACTCACTGTCTCTCTGGGCTCTCAGCTCCTTATCTGTAAAACAGTGCCAATAACACCCGCCTCACGAAGTCCACGCCTCTTCAACACCAGTATTAATGAGGGGTTCACTTGGGACCTGGTACCTCTCACTTAGCTTCCTTCTTTCCCCCACCACCTCTGTGCCTGGCCTCCCCTGTCCTGAGACACTGTATGGTGTGGTCACCTTCATAAGCTCTGGTTTCAGATGACCTGGATTGAGTACAGGCTTGGCTCCTCCACTGTGTGACCTTGGGCAACATACTTAACCTCTCTCTGCCTCCGTTCCCTCATCTGTAAAATGGGGTTAATAATAATAGCTGCCGTATAAGATAGCAGTTTGTTCTGAGGATTAAAGGAGATAAATCTTACAGATCGCTGAGGTCAGTGACTGGCATATACTATGCACTCAGTGAATACTGACAATAATAGCCCGGCATAGCAGCATACTCCTACAGGAAGCCCTATCTGAAAGGCGGTAGGGGGCAGTGGCCACTTGCCAGTTGGCCTTGCAGGGGAAATGTGGCCCATCCATTGGGCCTCCCCGACGGTTCCTGGGCTTAGCAGCCCTATTTGATCTTGCGGAATAATGACAATTCTACTACCCTGCTTTATGGCCATCCTATCTGTGGCTTTGAACAGGAAGCCGTCTTTCCTCCCAGACACACTGGTGCCTTTCCTGTTCTCCATGGAAACAGGCCAGGCTCGGTGCTGCTGACTGGCCTGGAGTCAGGGTTTGGTCGAGGACAGATTGGAGGCCATGTGCTTACCTGGGGGCAGCAGGGAAAGGACCGTCTTCCAGATGGACTTCGTGGAATGTTCTTTTCCTGACGCCTGGAGCTTGAGTGAGGGGTACCCTCAGAACTTCTGCAGAGATAGTTTCAGAAGCTGATGTTAAAGGAACAGGCTGAGGCTGGGTGCAGTGGCTCACACCTGTAGTCCCAGCACTTTGGGAGGCCGAGGCAGGCGGATCACTTGAGGTCAGGAATTGGAGACTAGCCTGGCCAACATGGTAAAACCCCATCTCTACTAAAAATACAAAAATTAACTGCATGTGGTGGCGGGTGCCTGTAATCCCAGCTACTCGGGACGCTGAGGGACGAGAATCACTTGAACCCAGGAGGCAGAGGTTACAGTGAGCCAAGATCACACCACCCCACTCCAGCTTGGGCGACAGAGTGAAACTCTGTCTCAAAAAATAAGAGAAGCTGACGTTAAAGAAACAGGCTGAAGCCAGGTTTGGTGGCTCACGCTTGTAATCCCAGCACTTTGGGAGGCCGAGGTGGGCAGATCACTAGAGCTCAGAAGTTTGAGACCAGCCTGGGCAACATAGTGACACCTCATCTCTACCAAAAAAAAAAAAAAATACAAAATTAGCCAGGCATGGTGGTGCATGCCTGTAGCCCCAGCTACTTGGGAGACTGAGGCGGGAGGATCACTTGAGCCCAGGAGGTCAAGGCTGCAGTGAGCCACGATGACGGCACCGTACTCCAGCCTGGGTGACAGAGTGAGGCCTTGTCTCAAAAAATATATATATAAATAAAAATAAAAAATAAAGGAACAGGCTTGGGGTGGTTTCCCATTGTCAGCCACCTCTCAGCTCAGCTGGGCTTCTCTTCCCTGCTTGCTAAGACTGAACTCATCTTTTATCTCATCTGATGCCTACCACAATAGCAGAGGAAGTGAGGATTTCCAGACCCATTTGACAGATCAGGCAATGGGGGCTCAGAGAGGGTAAGCAATTTGCCTAAGGACACACAGCTGGTTCTTCCTCTGCCAATGTTCTCTCACTTTGCACCATTCCCTTTTTGATGACCTTTGTGGGAGTCACTGCTTCTGATCCAGAATCAGATTATTCTTTAAAATAAAAGATAATAATGATAACTAAAGTTTGAATACCTACAATGTAGCAGGCATTTCCTACACATTATTCCATTCAATCTTCATAGCATATTTTATTAAATATCCCAGAGCAGTTATTGGTGTCCCTTTTGGGGATCCCTCCCACACATACTTCAGACAGGCCTTTGACATTGCTAGGGAGACACGTGAGGTTCCCACTAGTGAGCTCTGCCATGGGGCCCCACAGTCATTCATTCACTAAAGCAAGTATTGAGCACCTACACCTTACCAGGTCCTTGACAAACTGTGAAGTGCTGTGCACTGCTTTGTGAATTTCCAAGTGGATCACCACCCAGCTTGGTACAAGGTATAGGCAAAAGGAAATGGAAAGGAGATGGGAAAGGAGGGGAATGAGGTGAGGAGGGGTGGAAATGAGGTGGTGGGGAGGAGGTGGGGAGGAGGTGGGGAGGGGTGGGGAGGAGGTGGGGAGGGGAGGGGAGGAGGTGGGGAGGGGTGGGGAGGAGGTGGGGAGGGGAGGGGAGGAGGTGGGGATGGGCGGGAAGGAGGTGACAGGGGAAGGAGGTGGGGGAGGCGAGGGAAGGAGGTGGGGAGGGGAGGGAATGAGATGGGGAGGGAAGGGAAGGAGGTGGGGATGGGTGGAGAAGGGCAGAGTTTCCCCAGGAAGCTTCTCCATCCCCTCTCAACTCAGGTGGAGGTGGAGACGGAGATGGAGATGGAGGCGGCAAACCTAGAAGTGGGTCCCTAGAACCTGTGTCACTGGGTCAACCCTGAGGGATAGTTACCAAGGAGCGAAGTCCTTTCAGGCCTGGCCTGGACTTTCCTCCTAGAATCTTCTCCCCGGGGGTGGGCCTGTGATGGCGGCCAGGCCAGGCAAGAGAAGACACAGGGCAGCGCCTCACACAGGCTCAGCCTCCACCCAAGGTGGGACCATCTAGCCCAACCATGGAGCCCTGGCTGTTGGCCCAGGGATGGGGGAGTCTCACCTCCGCAGCCACTTCCCACTCCCCAGGCCCTCTCCCAGCCCTCCAGCTGCTTCTCCTGGAGATAAAACGGCTGAGCTCCCTTCATATTTTCCCCATCCTACAGTCATGGCTGTGGCATCTGCATTAGTGGCTGTGGCATCTGTCACCTCCTGGTTCCCTCATCCCCTCCCAAAAGTCAGCACTGCTGGGTGCAGTGGCTCATGCCTGTAATCCCAGTACTTTGGGAGGCCAAGGCAGGGAGATCACTTGAGGCCAGGTCAGCCTGGCCAACATGGTGAAACCCTTCTCTACTGAAAATACAAAAATTAGCTGGGCGTGGTAATGTGCGCCTATAATCCCAGCTACTAATGAGGCTGATACAGGAGAATCGCTTGAACCTGGGAGGTGGAGGCATCAGTGAGCCAAGATACAACTACTGCACTCCAGCTTGGGCAACAGAGTGAGACTCCATCTCAAAAAAAAAAAAAATTAAATTAAATGGTCAAAATGGTAAATTTTATATTATACATATTTAACCAGAATACAAAAAAAAAAAAAAAAAAAAAAAACCTGCCAGGACTTTAACACAATGCTGAACTTGGCATAACCCACCAATGACCAATGTGGATGTTTTACCAAATTGGCTCAATGGGGCTGTGAGTGGGAAAACTAAAGCTCGTGCTGTGTGGACCTGAGCTTGGTTGCACCTGCCACAGGTGGGAAGCCAGGCTGAGGTGGCGGGGAGAGGCAGGGCCGAGGGGGTGTGGAAGGGTGCGAGGCCGGGAGCAGAGCTGAGCTGCCACTGGCCATCCTCAGCAGAAGCTGGTGGGGCACCCTGGACAGCTCAGACTGAGCCACAGGCACTAGCTAATAGTAGCTCATACCATTATTAAGCACTTGCTGTGTACCAGGAATTTCTACAGACCTTCGAAGTACCGTGGTTGGTCTCCACTACACAGATGAGGAAACTGAGGCCCAAAGGAGAAAAGCAGCCTGCCCAAAGCCCCGAGTTGACAGGTGGCAGTGCAAGGCCTGGAGCCACGTCTTTCATAGCTGTCCTCTCCCTGCTGGCAGCTCTGCCCCCAACAGCCACTCACCGGGGAGGTGCCCAGTGCTAGGCTGGAGCTTCCAGCACTGGCCCTCACTTCCCTGGGCACCCTGAGGGCCCTGGCCGTGCAAGGAGTGGGCCTCGTCTACAGTCACGTCCTTCATGGAAGTTGCTGGAAGCAGATGCAGCCCAGGCCAAGCCTCAGGGTCAGTGATTCTGTTCTGGCTGGGGAGGGGGAGCTAAGGGGACCACCTCTCCCAGCCCCTCCTTTGGGGGCTCACAGAGACCTCAGATGGAAGCTGAAGTGGACTCTTGCTCTCCTGCCCTCAGCCGAGGGGCTGAGCCACTCCGGGAGGGTTTTTGGAGGCCTGCTCCGCCCCCAGCTGCTATTAGTGCTGCCACGGCCAGCCGCCTCCACCCCAGGAAAAAGAGGAAGTGGTCAGAAGCCAGCAAGAGAGAGCCTTAAAAGAGGACGTGTCCCAACCCTCACAGTCCCCTCCCTGTCAGGCAGAGTGGAGGAGCTGGCCGGGTACTTCTCAGAGCTGGCCGGGTGCTTCTTGGAACCTTCCACCTGGGGAAGCTGGAACCTGCTTTCACCCCACAATGATATTCTAAAAACACCCTAGAATTGTGAGGGCCTCCAGGCTTCCAGCATCAGGGAACTCTGAGACGCAGTGTTGGGGAACAGTGGGAGCTCCCAGCTCAGCACCCAGCACTCAGCAGGCTCATAGTTCATACGTGATAGACGGGGCCTACATCACAGTGAAGAGTTGCAGGTTCAAATCCTAGCTCTTTTATATATATTATATACATATATTATATTTTTTTTATATTTATTTTTTGAGATAGACTCTTGCTTTGTTGGCCAGGCTGGAGTGCAGTGGCACAATCTCGGCTCACTGCAACCTCCGCCTCCCAGGCTCAAGCAAATCTCCCACCTCAGCCTCCCGAGTAGCTAAGATTACAGACGCCTGCCACCATATCCACCTAATGTTTATATTTTTAGTAGAGACAAGATTTCACCATGGTGGCCAGGCTGCTCTTGAACTCCTGACCTCAGGTGATCCACCCACCGTGACTTCCCAAAGGGCTAGGATTACAGCTGTGAGCCACTGCACCCGGACTCTTTTACATATTTATAGGGTAAAAAGTGACATTATGATCTATGAATACAACGTGGAATAATTAAAGCTAGTTAACATATCCATCACCTCAAACACTTAACTTTTTTGTGATGAGACTGTTTGAATTTACTCTCTTAGCAATTTTGAAATGTACCATACTCTATTATTAATGACATTTACCACGCCATACAATAGGTCTCAAAAAAAACCCATATTCCTCCTATCTGAGATTTTGTATGCTTTGACCACCATCTCCCCATTTCCCGTCCTCGAGCCTCTGTAACCACCATTCTACTCTCTGCTTCTATGAGTTTGACTGTTTTAGATTCCACATATAAGTGAGAACATGTGACACTTGTCTTTCTGGGCCTGGCTTATTTCACTTAGCATAATGTTCTCCATCTTTATCCATGTTGTCGCAAATGACAGAATTTCCCTGGCCATCAATCTCTAGTTCCAGGCTGGAGGCAGTGGCTCATGCCTGTAATCCCAGCACTATGGGAGGCTGAGGCAGGTGGATCACCTGAGGTCAGGAGTTTGAGACCAGCCTGGCCAACATAGTGAAACCCCATCTCTACTAAACATACTAAAATTAGCTGGGCATGGTGGAATGCACCTGTAATACCAGCTACTGAGGAGGCTGAGGCAGGAGAATCACTTAAACCCTGGAGGTGGAGGTTGTAGTGAGCCAAGATTGCACTACCGTACTCCAGTCTGGACAACAAGAGTGAAACTCTGTTTGAAAAAAAAAAAAAAAAAAAAAAAAAAGCTGGGTGCGGTGGCTCACGCCTGTAATCCCAGCACTTTGGGAGGCTGAGGTGGGTGGATCTTGAGGTCAGGAGATCGAGACCAACCTGGCTAACATGTTGAAACCCCATCTCTACTAAAAATACAAAAAATTAGCCAGGTGCAGGTGTGGTGGCAGGCGCCTGTAGTCCCAAGTACTCGGGAGGCTGAGGCAGGAGAATGGCATGAACCCGGGAGGCGGAGCTTGCAGTGAGCCGAGATCGCGCCACTGCACTCCAGCCTGGGCAAAAGAGGGAGACTCTATCTCAAAAAAAAAAAAAAAAAAAAAATCTCCAGTCCCCATTCTGCTTTTTAAATGCTGAATAGTAGTCCATTGTAAATATGTGGCACGTTTTCTTTATGCATTAATCTGTTGATGGACATTTAGGTTGATTCCATAACTCAGCTATTATGAATGATGCTGCAATGAACCTGACAGTGCAGACATCTTTCAACAAACTGATTTCAAATCTTTTGGGTAAATATCCAGAAGTGGGATTGCTGTGCTGGATTTTTTTTTTTTTTTTTTTTGAGACAGAGTCTCACTCTATCACCACCCAGGCTGGAGTGCAGTGGTGAGATCTCAGCTCACTGCAATCTTCCCCTCCCAGGTTCAAGGGATTCTTCTGTCTCAACCTCCTGAGTAGCTAGGATTACGGATGCCCGCCACCATGTCCAGCTAATTTTTGTTGTTGTTGTTGTATTTTTAGCAGAGATGGAATTTCACCATGTTGGCCAAGCTGGTCTTGAACTCCTGGCCTGAGGTGATCTGTCCGCCTTGTTCTCCCAAAGTGCTGGGATTACAGGCATGAGCCACCACACCCAGCCAAATTGCTGGATCTTATACATTGTTTTCTATGTTTGCTAAAACATAGATACCTCTATGTGTTTTTAACTTTTTTTTTTTCACAATGGGATCATATTATTCTACTGTTGTTTTTACTTAACGGTATATTGCAGATCTCTTTCTAGGTCAGCAAATCCAGCCAGCTTTCTTTTTCTCAACCATGGTACCTTGCATTCCGCCGCGTAGATGGATTACACTTAAGTGAAGCAGCTGTCCATTGAGGGACATCTCAGCTCTTTCTAGGTTTGTGTCTTTGCTTCATAAGCAATGCATCTTTGGACATGTATCCTTGAACAGTGGGGTGAGTATATCCACAGGGAAAGATAAATCATTTGCTGTGTAAATGCTGGACACATACCAAAACAATTTTGACAGAAACACCAAATTGCCCTCCAAATACTTCATTGCTTGAATTGGTAACACTCATCTATTTCTTTAAATTTATTTAATGAAGGCCAGGCACAGTGGCTCACGCCTGTCATTCCAGCAGTTTGGGAGGCCAAGGCGGATGGATCACTTGAGGTCAGGAGTTTGAGACAAGCCTGGCCAACATGGTAAAACCTCGTCTCTACTAAAAATACACATAATTAGCTGGGCTTGGTGGCAGGCGCCTGTAATCCCAGCTACTCAGGAGGCTGAGGCAGGAGAATTGCTTGAACCCAGGAGGCAGAGGTTGCCAGGAGCCAAGATCACACCACTGCACTCCGGCCTGGATGACAGAGTGAATGAGACTCCATCGCAAAAAAATAAAAAATAAAATATAATTTATTTAATGAAAAAGTTTAGTTTGTTTAAGGCATATAATTTGACAAAAATCAATCAAGTGATTTTTTAAAATCTACATCTTCAGGGATTATAGAGATGTTAAAAAGCAACCCAGATGGGTTCAGAGAACAGGATCTTTGGCTGAGTTAGCTCCTACCTTCCCAAATAAACCACCCAACCAGTAGTGTGAGAACATGTAAATCAAACCCTGGTTTGGCTGCCCGGCATCCTAGACTGCTGTTTCCTGACTGAGGGGCCCCCTTGTGAAAGTCGCAGTGGAAAGGAGCTTTAGTGAGCACCACAGCCTGGAAGTAAACCTCACCCACATCTTCCACCCTGAGCTCTCTCCTGCCACCCCCCGCCACAGGCCTCAGTGCCTGGAGAGGTCCCCTGCAGGAGGGAAGGAGCCAGGTACAGTCATAGTCAAGACTGTTTCAATCCCAGCTCTGCCAGCATCTCACCGAGCCTCTCTGAGCCTCAATTTTCCTAATCTGTCAAATGTGCCCGATAAAACCTAACTGGTTCACAGGGTTGTAATGAGGATAAGATGTGGAAACAGATATGAAAGTCACTGGCTTTCCTTCCTTCTGTTTGGGTTTACCATCAAGTCTACAAATGGGGAATAGGAGATCCGAGTCTGGGGTTTTCTGACCACAAGTGCTTTCCCAGAAACAGTCTTCTTTGAAGTTATTTTTTTGCAATTTGAATAGTTTATACAGGCACATGGCATGCCATTCAAAAGGTCTCAAGGGGTAAGTGCAAGAAGTCCCCTGTTTACCCCTAATGTCCCCTCCCCCAAACCAGTTCTCCTCTCCGAGACATCCTTAGTCACCTCTTTCTTGTGTCTCCTTTCAGACTCAGTCTTTGAGCATTTCCACAAAAATGCAGCATTCTGCATACTCTGCTCTGCACCTTTCTTTTTTCATTTTTTTTTTTTTAATTTTTTAAGTTTGAGACAAAGTCTCACTCTGTCACCCAGGCTAGAGTACAGTGGCACCATCTCGACTTACTGCAACTTCCACCTTCCAGGTTCAAGCAATTCTCATGCCTCAGCCTCCTGAGTAGCTGGGATTATACGCATGTGCCACCAAGCCCAGCTAAATTTTGTATTTTTAGTAGAGATGGAGTTTCACCATGTTGGCCAGGCTATCTCAAACTAAGGGCCTTGGCCGGGTGCGGTGGCGCAGGCTTGCAATCCCAGCACTTTGGGAGGTCGAGGTGGGCGGATCATCTGAGGTCAGGAGTTCAAGACCAGCCTGGCCAATATGGGGCCACCCTGTTTCTACTAAAAATACAAAAATTAGCTGAGTGTGCTTGCAGGTGCCTGTAATCCCAGCTACTTGGGAGGCCGAGGCAGGAGAATCACTTGAACCTGGGACGCAGAGGTTGCAGTGACCCAAGATCACGCTACTGCACTCCAGCCTGGGTGATTCCATCTCAAAAAAAAATGGAAAGAAAAAAAGTCATTCATTTAACAGTCATGTCTCTAGTCTACTGTAATCTAAAACAGTCCGCCAGTCCATATTGTCTTTTATGACACTGACATTTTTGAGTGTCCAGGCATTTTGCAAATCTCTCTTAACTTGAATTTCTGTTTCTTTCCTCATAATAGATTTAGGTTAAACATTTTTTTGCAAGAATATTATATAGATGATGTTGCACCTTATTATTTTAAATGGCTGCATGGTATTCCAGTATATGGATACATCACAATTGATGTAACTCATCCTCTATCCACAGATGTGTAGATGACTTCCAATCATTTATTTAAAAAACAATACTACCATTAATAATATTATTATTATTTCAGACAGAGTCTTCCTCTGTCGCCCAGGCTGGAGTGCAGGGGCACAATCTCACCTCACTGCAACCTCCACCTCCCGGGTTCAAGGAATTCTTGTGCCTCAGTGTCCCGTGTAGCTGGGACTACAGGCACCCACCATCACGCCAGGCTAGTTTCTGTATTTTTAGTAAAGATGGGGTTTCAACATGTTGGCCAGGCTGGTCTCAAACACCTAACCTCAAGTGATCTGCCCGCCTCAGCCTCCCAAAGTGCTGGGCTTACAGGTGTGAGCCACCGCGCCCAGTCCCATTAATATTCTTAAACTTTTGTCATTTTGAAAATCTTGGAGTATGTCTGCAGGAGAAATTCCTAGAGGGGGAATCACTGAAGCTGCACATATATGCCTTTGTAATTTTGAAAGCTATTGCCAAATTACTCTTTATAGAGGATAAACCCATTAATACTATCGCTAGTACTGTTTGAGAATGCTTGACCCAGAAGCTTGTCATATGCTTTTAACTTTCATCTCACTGTGTCCTGGCTAGCAAGGTGGTTGGTGTACCTTTGCTGAATCCCTTTATGTGACAAGATTTCCTTAAGTTTTTGCCTATGAATTTTGGCTGGAATTTAATGAAATTACAACTCCCAAAATATGACAAAGTCCCCCGTGCTCTCCTGGAGCAGAATTCATACTCCTGGTTACAAAGCACATCTGTTTGCTTTGTAGGCTCCACTGGTTCCAAGAGAAGAGGGCAATGAAGGTGTGTCAGGCACTGTACCAGTTACCTGATTGACGTTATCAAGCCTGAGAAGTGGGAATTATTAATATGCCCACTTTACAGATGCTTGGGAGGTTAAACTGCCTGTTTACTCAAGTTCGACGGAGAAATAATCAATGCAGACATGAATGGCATCACAGAAGTGTATATTGCTCTTATTCTCTGCCTCCTTGGGTGTTAGGGTTGGAGATTGACAAAACGAAATCCTACACTTAAATTCAAAATCCAAAAGTTGTTCATCCCCTCCCGGCGCTGGGGTGAGAGCCCCGCGGTTCCCACCCCTGGCTCTTGGACTACGTGAAAACGACCCTCCCCAGAAGGCACCACTGTGGGTGCTCACTCTGCCCCAGCGGCCGTTTCGACTACATTTCCCAGAATGCAGTGCGTTCACCGCTGCGGCCATGCTTCCGTTTCCGCCCCAGATGTTTTCTGGGAGTTGGGTTCTCCACCTGTGCTGGGGGCGAAAACTCAAGCACTCAAGGCACCCTGCCAGTGGCGGCGGCGGACCCCCACGTGTCACGAGTAGATGAAGTTATAAACCGGGAAGCACCGGGGAGGGCTGAAAGCGTTTCTACCTCCCTTTATCCAGCAGGCCGGCCTTGTTTGTGCCACAGTGCCCTGAGCACCCATGGGCTGGTCCTGTCTGACTTTGGGGTTAATAGAGGTTCCATTCGACTATGGCATCCTCTTGCCTATTGAGTTTTCTAGGGGCCATGAAATTCCTTCCCTGGTTCTGTGACATTATGTTGTCCCCAGAAGTGCACCCTTGTTCTTCCTCCTTTACACACTTGCTCCCTTCTAAAGAAAAAGGAAGGACGCACCTCTGAATGGGCTAGTCTCGCCCCTACAGAGAGTCAGGTCGTTCGCTGTATGACAGCCAGGAGGCTCAGGAATAACGTCTGGCCGCTGAACTCGGCCTCTGAATGGATAGCTGAAAGCAGAGGTTCCCAACTGGGACTTTGTTTAAACATACATGCCCATGCCCCTCCAGATCTGCTGAATCAGCCTGGGCCAAGCTCCCCCCTGACCCTAATGTCAGCCAAGGTCAGAACCTGAGATTTACAGGGAAAATGCGAAACATTGGCATTCTAGACCTAACCTACTTTTTCTTACAGAAGCTACCAGACTGCCCACCTTGAGAACAGTAAATCCACATAATTTATCTCTGTATCCCCAGGAGCCAACTACATGCAGCCCATAATAGGGAGCAGACTTGGGGTTGACATCCAGCTGGTAATTACCATATGGCCTGCAGTCTGTGGCCAGTGGCTATTAGTTAGTCAGGGTCCATGTTATCTCGGTTGTTAAATATGTTGAATGCAACCCTGAGTTATAGTCGTTGTTTGGATGAAACTGAGCAAAATTCAACTTGGGAAAGGCAGAGGATGGTCAAACATGAAGATTTTCAGTGACTACCCTAAGGGATATTGCAACTTACAGAAAAGAGAGGTTCCTGTGGCCACAGGTCATCCAAGAAGGCTTCCGGCAACTCTCCTTACCTCTCATGGGTCAGCACTAGGTCATATGCCCTTCCCGGCCAATCAGTGGGAGGGAGGCTAGGAATGCCACCACTGGCTTAGACCGATTAAGATTGAATCTTGGGCTGGGTTACCCAACACAACCTTTTCTAGTTCAGCCCTGCAGTGACCTGGATGCAAAACCCAGCCCCGTTGCTGGAGGTCATTTACAACCAGCACTTAATCATCTTATATTCTTTGCTGAATGTTTATGGAATCAACAGGAAAAAGGTTCCACTGCATAACATTATTTTTAAAGTCCAGGGTTGGAGTTAAGATGAGACACTTTGAATCCAGAAAAACCAACCCTTCTTCCTTTCCCCTTCCTTCCTGCAGCATCCAGCCTGTTGGCCCCCTTTTTCACCTCTCCAGATGCCCTAAAAAATTCCAATTCCTGGGCTGGGAGCAGTAGCTCATGTCTGTAATCCCAGCACTTTGGGAGGCTGAGGCGGAAGAATTGTTTGAGTCCAGGAGTTCAAGATCAGCCTGGGCAACATAGTGAGACTTTGCCTGTAAAAAAAAAATTAGCTGGGTATGGTGACCCATGCCTGTAGACCCAGCTACTCAAGAGGCTGAGGTAGGAGATCACTTGAGCCCAGGAGGTCAAGGCTGCAGAGAGCCATGGTCTGGGTGACAGAGCACGACTATCTTAAAAAAAACAAACTTGCCTCCTTATCATCCCCACCAGCTTCACCATCATGACTGCTATTTATGGAGTGCCAAAAGATTTGGAATTTTTTTGGTTACAAGTGAGAAGAAAAGTCACCTCAATCTGTTTTAATCAAAAAGGGAAGTTGGGGGACTGGGTGCGGTGGCTCACGCCTGTAATCCCAACACTTTGGGAGGGCAAGGCGGGCAGATCAAGAGGTCAGGAGATTGAGACCATCCTGGCTAATATGGTGAAACCCCGTCTCTACTAAAAATACAAAAATTAGCCAGGCTTGGTGGCGGGCACCTGTAATCCCAGCTACTTGGGAGGCTGAGGCAGAATGGCGTGAACCCAGGAGCCGGAGCTGACAGTGAGCCAAAATCACTCCACTGCACACCAGCCTGGTGACAGAGTGAGACTCCATCTCAAACAAAAAAAAAAAAAAAAAGGGAAGTTGGCTGGGCACGGTGGCTCACACCTGTAATCCCAGCACTTTGGGAGGCCGAGGCGGGTGGATTACGAGGTCAGGAGTTTGAGACCATCCTGGCCAACACAGTGAAACCCTGTCTTTACTAAAAATACAAAAAATTAGCTGGGTGCAGTGGCGGATGCCTGTAATCTCAGCTACTTGGGAGGCCGAGGCAGGAGAATTGCTTGAACCCAGGAGGTGGAGGTTGCAGTGAGCCAAGATCGTACCACTGCACTCCAGCCTGGATAACAGTGCAAGACTCTGTCTTAAAAAAAAAAAGAAAAAGAAAAAAAAGGAGGTTATCCCCTCATGTAACTGAAAACCAAGGGCCACAGTCACAGCTGGATCAAGGGGCTCCAACAATGTCATTGGGACTTAGTCTTTCTTCATCTCGCCACTCTCCCTCCCTTGGGATGGGCCTCACCTCCAGGCAGGCTGTCTCCCACAGGAGCCCTGCATAGCTGCAGCTTTCCTTTCTCCTGGCTTCACATCCACAAGAGAGAGGATCTCCTAACCCACCAGTTCCAATAAAAGCCCTAAGTCTGGTTCTCATCAGCTCAGGGTGCATGAGGTGCCCATTCCTGAGCCCAACCTCACCCCTTTCACTCCCCTCTGGCCACTGTGGCCTCTGGCTCCGGAAATGTCCCTCACTCCTTCCAGCCTCCTGGCTTTTGACCACGCAGGTCGCTCTACCTGGGCTCTTTGCCTGGGTGACCAGTGTTCCAGCAAGTCTGTGCCAGTCGGTCCAGTCAAGAGACAGAGCACACCGGTTCTTTTGTTTTGTTTTTGTTTTTGAGATAGGGTCTGTCTCTGTCATCCAGACTGGAAGGCCGTGGTGCTACTGTGGCTCACTGCAGCCTCAACCTCCCATGCTCGTGTGAACCTCCCACCTTAGCCTCGCTAGTAGCTGTGACTACAGGTGTGCACCACCATGCCCAGCTATCTTTTTCTTCCTTTCCTTTCCTTCCTTCCTTCTTTCCTTTCCTTTTCTGTCTTTTCTTTTTTTAGTAGAGACAGAGACTCACTATGTTGCCCAGGCTGGTCTCAAACTCCTGGGCTAAAGTGATCCCCCCACTTCAGCATCCCAAAGTGCTGGGACTACAGGCATGAGCCACCGAACCCAGCTAGACTGGTTCTTCTGTCGATAAAACATAATAGGTGAACTGTGAAGCAGGTATCGAGAACCAAAAAGATGAAATGGGACACTAAGTTATTGCAAGTTGATAATGACACAGAGCAGGCCCTCTTCACACGTCTGGAAGAACAAGAGGAGCGGGACCAATGATAAGAACTTCAAAGCTGGGAGGACGAGGGGCCCTGTGAAGCTGGGTCCCAGAACCTGAGGAAGTCTGGCCAGATGGGAAGTGAGGCTCCCGGCCCCTGTTCACTCCCGTCTCGTAGCACCTGGCTCTTTCCTTCATAGCACCCACCGTGGGGTAACAAATGATTATATGTGCTATCATCTGTCTTGAGTTCTCCCCACCAGCTCCCTGAAAGCAGTGGGATGCCTGTGGTCACTCCTGTCCACCCCAGTTCCCAGCACATACTAAGCGCTCCTGAAACCACTGTTGATGGAGTCATTTCTCAGGGGTAGTGCATGGGACGTTCCTTTCCTGGCTGGACTAAGACTCTGCCAAGTCATCTAAACCCTCCTTCACCCTGCATGGGGGCTGGGGCTCCAGGGAGATAGGCTGGGCCCCAGGAGTAGGATGGAAGATGGCAGTCACTCTTAGAGTCATACACAGGCAGGGTCATCACCTGTGAAGCAGCACCATCCTCAACTCTGCACCTGGAGCCCTCATTGGTCTCATCCCAGTCAGGCCCTTCCTTGAGCACTGCCTGGCACCTAGCAGGTTGAATGCATGAATGAGACCTAACCCCTATTTTCCAGGGGTACTATGTACTCGGAGTAATGGACTCTCTAGGTCATCTTTTGACTGAGAGGTACTCTGCTACCTTTTCAATTTTAGCCAACACCGCCCCCCCCCCCGCCCCCACAATGGTAACTTTTGTGTGCTTTGTACCACAATTAAAATCTGTGTTTAAATGTTGAGCACATGGAGGAAGCGAGTAGAATTTTGAATACTGGAGGCTGGGAAGGGGAGGAGGGAGGGGAGGATAGGGAGAAGTTGGTGAATGCACACAAATTTCAGCTAGGTAGGAGGAACGCGCTCTGGCGTTCTGCATCACTGTAGGGTGAATATGGTTAACTATGGCTTATTGTATATTTTCAAAAAGCTAGAAGAGATTTTCAATGTTCACAACACAAAGAAATGACAAACGTTTGAAGTGATGGATATGATAATGACTCTGATTTGATCATTATACATTTTTTTTTTGAGACAGTCTCTCTTCGCCCAGGCTAGAGTTCAGTGGCACAATCTCAGCTCACTGCAACCTCTGCCTCCCGGGTTCAAGCGATTCTCTTGCCTCAGCCTCCCAAGGAGCTGGGGACTACAGGCTTGCACCACCACACCAAGTTCATTTTTGTATTTTTCGTAGAGACAGGGTTTCACCATGTTGGCCAGGCTGGTCTTGAACTCCTGGCCTCAACTGATCTGCCCGCCTTGGCCTCCCAAAGGGCTGGGATCAAAGGTGTGAGCCACCACGTCTGGCCTGATCATTACATATTTTATATGTGTATCAAAATGTCACTCTGTAACCCATAAATATGTACAAATTGGGGAAAATCCAAAGGGCAAAAATTTTTGACGGAAAAAAAATCTTCCTCCTGCAAGTAATAAGCCATATGATATAGTGGATGCTTTGGAACCAGACTGGGTTCAAATAGAAGCGATTCTACTTCCTGGCTGTGTGAGCTTGAACAAGTCACTTTACCTCTCTGAGCTATAGTTTCCTCATCTGTAAAATACAACTAAAATAACCTCAAAGCCCCAGCACAATACCTGGCACACAGCAGGTATTTAATACAAGTTTGTTTGTTTCCTCTTATAAGCGAGCTCTAATCACATCAGACCTGGAGGACCCACCTCCCTGAGAGTGGGCCAGTGTCTCGGTGTGAGGCTGGGCCTGGATGTCGGGGCAGCAGGTGGATCAAAACAAAGGCCAAGAGCGCTGGTCTATGGAGGAAGGGGACTGCCTTGGGGGAACCCCTCTTGCTCTATGGGGCACAGAGGGTGCATGGATTAGAACTCTATTCAAACTTGCTTAAGCAAACTGGGAGATTCACTGTCTCACATCTGTGGGAATTCCAGGGAGGATTCTGCCTGGCAGGCAAGGTGAATCCAGGGACTCAAGAGAACCCTCAATGGGTTGGTTTCATTCTTTTTAAGCCCCATGTGCTAGGGATGCTGACCACAGCCCCAGGCCTCTGCACCCACAGTGGGAAGAGGAAGCTTTGGTTGTGTTTTGGTTTGGTTTCGGTTTTTTTTTTTTTTTTTTTTTTTTTTTTTTTTTTTTGAGATGGAGTCTGGCTCTGTTGCCTAAGCTGGAGTGCACTGGCACTATCTCAACTCAGTGCAACCTATGCCTCCCAAGTTCTCCTGCCTCAGCCTCCTGGGTAGCTGGGATTGCAGGCACATACCACCACACCCGGCTAATTTTTTGTACTTTTATTAGAGATGGGGTTTCACCCAGGCTGGTCTCAAACTCCCGACTTCAGGCGATCTGCCTGCTTGGGACTCCAAAGTGCTGGGATTACAGGTGTGAGCCACTGCACCTGGCCAGGGAAAAGGAAGCTTTACTCCCAGAGCCTCTGCACGCCAGCCCCAGGGATGTGCTCATTTGCTGGGGTCACGTGCTCACCCTTGACCCTGTGACTGGTCGAAGCACTGGGATGCAGTCATTGGCTGTGCCTACGTCACATACTCTGTAGGGGAGGGCAGGGTTGGTACCTGTGGTCGACAGCCCCACTGAACCAGCTTCCTAAGGAAGACAGTAAATGTCACTAGAAGAAAAGTAAACCTTACTACCTGCGTACCTGCCACACACTGGTTTTCTTCTTTTCTTTTTGTTTCTTTTCTTTCTTTTTTTTTTTTTTTTTTTTGGAGACAGAGTCTTGCTTTGTTACCCAGGCTGGTATGCACTGGCGCTGTCTCAGCTCACTGCAACCCCCACCTCCCAGGCTCAAGTGATTCTCCTGCCTCAGCCTCCCGAGTAACTGTGATTGCAGGCATGGGCCACCACACACAGCTAATTTTTGTACTTTTAGTAGAGACAGGGTTTCACTATCTTGGCCAGGCTGGTTTCAAATTCCTGACCTCAAGTGATCCACCTGCCTTGGCCTCCCAAAGCGCTGGGATTACAGGCATGTGCCACTGTGCCCGGCCCCACACACTGTTCTGAGCACTTACTAATTCATTTCATTCTTCTAACAACCCTACGGAGTAGGTGTCATTTCATCATGCCCATTTCATGGATTAAGAATGGAGGCACAGGGTGTTTAAGTACCTTGCCCAAGGTCACAGTTGGTGAGAGGCGGAGCCAGGATTCAGCCCCAGGCCGTCTGGCTCCAAGTCCACGTGCTTAACCACCATGCCACATTGTCTCTCCTCATCCCACAAAAGCAACAATCTGTCCTTTTAGGGGCAGCCGCAGGAGAAGGGGTCCCAGCCCTTCCCTGGAGGAGTACGGGGGAGCAGCTGGACCTCAGGTGACCCATCCTCAGCACAAAGCCTGTCTTCAGTGCCCTCTGTCTGGAAAATACTGGGGGCTCCCAGAGAATGTACCAGAAATAGAGGCCACTTACCAGGCTCCACTCGAGCGGAAAATGCCGTGGCCTGAAGACTCAGATACTCACCAACCTTGCCACTGCCACAAGCGCAAGTTGGCTGTGTGACTGCAGACCCGCCACTGTTGCTCTCTGGGCCTATTTCTTCCGCTTGCACGTAAGCAGATAGAGGCTTAATCCCCTGTGCCCAAGGGCCCTGGGGTCTCGCTGGGGAGAAGCTAGGGGTGAACTAATACCCCAGGCTGTGGTCGACCACCAGCTTCTCTGGTCTCAACAGCCGCAGGTGCTGGGAGAACAAAAATCCCCCCTGCCCCCACCCAGACACTGAGTACCAGTGGCTCTTGGGCCCCTGGAGGGAGAAGGCCCGACGGCGGCCCCAGCTTCCTCCTGCACAGCACTCTCTAGTTCACGCTTATCACTCCTGGGCCTGCCTGTCCCACTCCCGCAAGACGGCACCCCTCCCCCTGCCAGGCTGGGGCAAGTTCCGCCCCTGCCACAACTTCCCCATCTGCCGCCTTAGCCCCCAGCCTGGTGTGAGTTCTTGAAACAGGTGTCAAAAACTCACAAGGGCACTGGCTAGTGCCAGCTGGAGTGATTTTGTCCCTCAGGAAGGGTTTCCAGATTTAGGAAATAAAAATGCAGTCTTTGGACATAATTATACAAAAACATTATGTGCTTATCTGAAATTCAAATTTTCAAAGTTAAATTCAAATTTAACTATTTTATTTGGCAATCCTGCACTCAGGGGACATTGCCCCTATCTGGAGACAGTTTTTGATTATCCCAGCTCAGGGATGCTACTGGCATCTAGGAGGTCAAGGCCAGGGAAGCTGTTCAGCACCCTACAGTGCACGGACGGTCCCCACCAAGTGATCTGGCCCCTAATGGCAATTATGCTGAGGGTACGAAACCTCCCCGCGGTGGCCTCCCCAGCCCTAACACGCATGCTTGCCTGCCATCTCAGGAACTTGACAGAGGAAACCGTGGTGATCCTTGCGTGAAAGTCAGGGAAACTGAGGCACGGGCGAACTGTCTTATTCAAGGTCACACAGTGCAGTCTTTCCTTCTCTAATAAACTCGTCGGTTCTTCTAAACACAGAGGCACGCAAGGCCAGCCAGGAAATACAGGTGGGGAGAGGGGTCAGACAAGAGCCTTCAGGGTCCCCAGACCCCCGGGAGTGGGGTCCTTTGGGGCTGGGTAAGCCAGCCCTGGAGAGGAAGAGGAACCATGCTGACAGGCGTCACTACCCGACTGTTGTCAATTGTGCCACCAGGAGGCAGCAGAGACTGGGAAATAATTCTGCACACCTTGCCCTCCCCCGCGCTGCAAGGAACTCAATTCCTGGCTAGCCCCACCTCTCCCCCAGCCCAGAATCTGATGCAGCTGCTCTAGGACAGGCGCCAGCCATCCGCATTGTTTAAAACAGCTCTCAGGTGATTCTATTGTGCAGAGAGGATTTGCGAAATGCTGGACTTATGCCTTGGTTTTTTCTTTCTTTTCTTTTTTATGTAACAGAGTCTCACTCTGTCGCCCAGACTGGAGTGCAGTGACGCGATCTCGGCTCACCGCAACCTCTGCCTCCTGGGTTCAAGCAATTCTTGTGCCTCAGCCTCCTGAGTAGCTGGGATTACAGGTGCCCACCACTACACCTGGCTAATTTTTTGTATTTTTAGTAGAGACGGGGTTTCGCCATGTTGGCCAAGCTGGTCTCCAACTCCTGACCTCAAAGTGATCCACCCGCTTTGGCCTCCCAAAGTGCTGGGATTACAGGCATGAGCCACCGTGCCATCCAGGCTTTGGTTTTCATCACTGATTGCACAGCAGCACCACCAGGACACTTTAAAAACCCACCGCTGTGGATTTTTAAAGTCTATCCACAGGTGCATGGATAAAGAAATGTGGTCTAGACAGACAACAGAATATTAGTCAACTGTAAAAGAAATAAAACTCTGACACATGGCCAGGCGCGGTGGCTCATGCCTGTAATCCCAGCACTTTGGGAGGCCAACGCAGGCGGATCACCTGAAGTCAGGAGTTGGAGACCAACCTGGCCAACATGGTGAAACCCCGTCTCTAGTAAAAATACAAAAATTAGCTGGGCGTCGTGGTGCACACCTGTAATTCCAGCTACTCAGGAGGCTGAGGCAGGAGAATCACTTGAACCTGGGAGGCGGAGGTTGTAGTGAGCCGAGATTGCGCCACTGCACTCCCGTGGGCAACAGAGCAAGACTCCATCTCAAAGAAACAAACAAACAAAAAACAAAACAAAAAAAATTGACACACGGTACAATATGGATAAACCTCAGAGATATTGTGCTAAGTGAAGTAAACCAGACACAGAAGGACAAATACTGTAGTTTCTGCAAACAGGAGACTCCTAGAGTAGTCGGATTCATAGAGGCAGAAAGCAGGACGGTGGCTGCCAGGGGCTGCAGGAGGAGGCGGAAATGGGGAACTTGTGTTTAATGGGCCCAGAGTTTCCCTTTGGGAAGATGAAAGTGTACTGAGGGGGATGGTTGCATGGCAGTGTGAATGTACAGAGTGCCACTGAATGGGACACTCAAAAATTGTTAAAATGGGCCAGGCACAGTGGCTCACACCTATGATCCCAGCACTTTGGGAGACTGAGGTGGATGGATCACCTGAGCTCAGGAGTTCCAGACCAGCCTGCGCAACATGGAGAAACCTCATCTCTACCAAAAATACAAAAAAATTAGCCAGGTGTGGTGGCGGGCACCTGTGGTCCCAGCTACTCGGGAGGGTGAAGTAGGAGGATTGCTTAAGCCTGGGAGGCGAAGGTTGCAGTGAGCTGAAATTGCGCCACTGCACTCCAACCTGGGTGACAGAGTGAGACCCTGTCTTGAAAATAAATAAATAAATAAATAGTTAAAATGGTAACTTTTATGTTATATTTTTATTATAATTTTAAAAAGCAGAACATATATGCTGGGTTTCACAATTAAAGCTTAAAATCATTCCACAAAACAAAAGCACAGATGCCAATGTCCAAGTCACTCCCCAGACTAATAAGAATGTCAAGGTTGATTCCCCAAAACTGATATTTTCTTAGTGTCCCAGAGGAATTTAACATGAAGTTACTGTTGAGAATCCCTGGTTTAAAATCATTCTAAGATTTCAGCACCCTGGAAGAATTATTGCTGCTCTAGCCATTTATCTCTTGTGATGGTATTAAACTGTGCCCACACATTCTTTCATACTCCTCCTTCAAGAGGTAGAAACTAATCGGGCATATTGGCTCACGGCTGTAATCCAACACTTTGGGAGGTCGAGGCAGGAGGATCCCTTGAGCTCAAGAGTTTGAGACCTCTCTCTCTCTCTCTACTAAAAATACCAAAAATTAGTTGGACATGGTGGTATGTTCCTGTAGTCCCAGCTTCTTGGGAGGCTGAGGCAGCAGGATCGCTTAAGCCCAGGAGGTCAAGGCTGCAGTGAGCTATGACTGCGCCACCGCACTTCAGCCTGAGCAACAGAGTGAGACCCTGTCTTAAAAAAAAAACACAAAGAGGTGGAAATTACTTCCTTTCCCCTTGAGTTTGGGTGGAACTTTGTGACTTGCTTCTAACAGGTAAAAAAAAAAAAAAGGAAAAACCAGAAGTAATGGTGTAAGACCCGGAGACAAGGTCATCAGAGGCACTTTGGCTTCCATCTTGGTCTTTCTCTTTCTCTCTAGAATCACTGACCTTGAATACAGCCAGCTGCCATCATGAGGGCACTCACATAGCCTACAGAGAGGCCAGTGTAATGAGAAACCAAGGCCTCCTGTTAATAGCTGTGCAAGGGATCCATCATTAAGTGGATCCTCCAGCCCCAGGCGAGCTGTCATATGAAACTGCAGACCAAGCCACCATCCTGCAGCAGCCGTGTGAGAGGCCCTGAGCCAGAACAACCCAGCTAGGCAATCCCAAATTCCTGAGCCAGAGACATAGTGAGATAATAAATATTTTCTGCTTTAAGCCACAAATTTTAAAATGATTTGTTAAATAGCAATAAACAACTAATATATATCCATCCATGAGTCACTCAACAATCCACACATCCATCTATACACCCACCCATTTATTCACCCATCCACTCACCCACCAATCTATTCATCCATCATCCATCTATCTATCCATTGATCCAGCTACCCATCCACCCAGTCATCCACTCATTCATTTACCCACCCATCCACCCACTCACTCATCATCTACTCAGTACAGAACCCAGGGCCTAGCACACAGTAGACGCATGTAAATATTTGTCAAATGAATAACCAAACATTTTGTAAATGTCTGCTCTCTATTTCTTGCCAAGACAGGCCAAGGGAGGCTCAAATGTGGCCCCTGGACCACTGTGAGATGGAGCCAGTGCCTGGTTCTGCCAGAGCAGCTCTGGCCTCTGGATGCTATTGGCCACCTCCTGGGCCCATTTGGCATCATCTCCTTCTGCTAAGAACCACCCACCCTTCTCTCACCCACCCACGCGCAAGCTGCATGGGCCTGCCTGGTAGGAAAAACCTGGCTCTGTCCCTCCCTCTCCCCCACCCCACCACACACACGCCCGCTGGGGCTGGTCATCCTGGAAGGCTGGGAACAGAGAAGCTTCTTGCCTCCCCAAGAGAGTTTGTGACAAGAAGATTTGGGTTCTTCTAGGTTCAAGAACCTGGGCCAACTGGGGCAGCCATAGGGAGGTTTTTGGCAAAGGCCTGGCTGCCTCTTCCCAGAGAATGTCATGTAGGCCTGGGCTCTGCCCGACCCACCCCAAATACCCACTTCCAGCCTATTCCCTTCTCATCCCTCATGGTTCACCTTACAGGCTCAGGCCTCAGTTTTCTCATCTATAAAATGAGAATGATGAGACTATTTTGGAGATGAGATGACACGTGCACAGGGGAACCCTCAGCAAGGGGCCCGGTGAGCAGCAAGTGCTGCAGTGCATGTGGAGCTACTGTGGACCGAGCGGATGGACAGTGAAACCAATGACACCCAGAGGCCCGCAAGCAGCCGCTGACCCGGCCCTCCCCTCTCCTCCCCTGTGCCCACTCTGCCCTGGCTGCATCCCCTCCTCCTGCTCCTCACACTCTGTGCCCACTCCCACCTCTGGGCTTCTGCACTGGCTGTTCCCTCTGCCTAGAATACTCTTTCCCCAAATACCCACTCAGCTCCCTTCTCCCTTCCCTCAGGTTTTTGCTCAAATGTCACCTTCTCAGTGAGCCCCACCTGGATACCCCTCCTCAACTCTCACCAGTCCCCTGTTTGGATTAATTTTTCTCTACCGTATTTATCCTTTTAAGGTACTACATCTTTTCCATCTCTCTCTTTTTTTTTTTTTTTGAGATGGAGTCTCGCTCTGTCACCCAGACTGGAGTGCAATGGCACCATCTCAGCTCCCTGCAAACTCTGCCTCCCGGGTTCAAGCGATTCTTGTGCCTCAGCCTCCCGAGTAGCTAGGTCCCACCAAACCTGGCTAATTTTTGTATTTTTAGTAGAGATGGGGTTTCACCATGTTGGCCAGGTAGGTCTCCAACTCCTGACCTCAAGTGATCTACCGCCTCAGCCTCCCAAAGTGCTGGGATTACAGGCACCAGCCACCACGCCTGGCCCACTATATCTTTTCATTGTTGATTTTGTTATTGCCTGACTCCTCCCAGAACATAAGCTTTATAAGCATGGGAATTTTGGTCTTGCTTGTTCATTGCTAGATCCTCAGCATCTACCAGAGTGACTGGCACATAGTAGGTGTACAGTCAACGTCGATGAATGGAGGGTGAATGGATGAATGGATGGATGGTGAATGTATGTATGGATAGATGAATGAATGAGTGAATGGATAGATGGATGGGTGGCTGGATAGATGAATAGATGGATAGGTGGGTGGATGGATAGATGGATGGGTGGGTGGATGATGGTGAATGGATGGATAGATGGATGGGTAGATAGATAAATGAATGGGTGGGTGGATGGACGGATGGATGGATGGATGGATGGATGGATGGGTGAGTGGGTGGATGGGTAGGTGGAAGGGTGGATGGAGAGAGGATGGACAGATGGATGAATAAGTAGATGGCTGGATGGATGGAGAATAGATGGATAGAGGGTGGGTGGATGGATCATTGGGTAGATGGATGGTCAAAATAAGAGGAGACTGAGTGAGCCTTCTCTAGCAGTCTAGAAATCACCATCTAGGCATGAGTTCCCCATGTTCTAAAGGTAGAAAACTAAAAGACGACTTCAGGGCTTATTAAAAAGTGGTGCAAAATGTTCCACTCTCTCCATATGTCATCCCACCTCCAACAGAAGACTTGAGGTCCATGAGCAGGGAGAGAAAAAGAGGGAAATCTCCTTCCCAGGTTCCGGGTTCACTCCTGTCCTCCAGCCACCCCCAGCCCAAGGCAGGTGATGCTTGATCTTCATGCTGCCTGCCTGGACTAGAGAAAGGCAGCTAGCAAGAGGTGCCTGGGTGGGGAGAGGTGACCACAGCAATGTCCTCCAGTCTACAGGTCAGGGCAGTGTGACTTTCTGGGAGTCAAGTGGACACCAGGAGGCAGTAAGCCTGAGATAGCTTCCTGTTATGCCACCCAGAAAGGAAGAAGAGACCCAGCAGGGGGCAGCGGGAGGTGGCCCACAGGGGGAAGGGGCTGGGGGGAATATGGCCTGGGGACCATCACCTCCACCCCTGCCTCATGGGGTCTCTCCCAAAGCTCACACCTGGACCACCATTTGAACATCCCTGTTGTCAGCCAGAGAAGCAGCAATGGCCTACGGAGGACAAGGGCAACCCCAGCAAAATGAGGCAGGTGCTCAGAAAAGGGAGGGGCTGAAGGAAACGTGAACTGAGTTTTGAGGCCAAAGTCTTAACTAGCTTAGACTGACTTTGTGCTACTAAAGGTATTTTAAGAAACTGGAAAAGCCCAGGCATGGCGGCTCACACCTGTAATCCCAGTGCTTTAAGAAGCCAAGGCAGGAGGATCACTGAAGGCCAGGAGTTTGAAACCAGCCTGGGCAACGTGGTGAGACCCCGTCTCTATAAAAAATTTAAAAATAGGCATGGTAGCACTGGCCTGTAGTCCCAGCTACTCAGGAGGCTGATGTGGGAGGATCACTTGAGCCCAGGAGGTGGAGGGTGCGGTGAGCTATGATGGTGCCAGTGCACCTCAGCCTGGGTGACAGAGTGAGACCCTGTCTCCAAAAACAAAAAATACATCTATTAAAAAAACAAACTGGAAAGATTTGACAGAGCAGTCCATAGCGCCAAGAAGAACACCATTTCACACATGTGCTCCAGGGAACACATGTGTGAACACATATGTGCTCAACAATAAATAAACCAGCGGCTTCCAAAATGTCCCTTGTAGGTCCTGGGGCCACAGGGAGGATTCCGTGACCTCATAAAGCATTCAGGACACTGCTTGGCACAAGGAGGGGCTCGGTCAATGTTCCTTAGTGAATAGGCATTGGAAACAGAACGGGGGGAGTGGAAGGAGGTCAGTAAGAGGCTTCTGGTTCCCTCTTCATGTGCTCCTGTGCAGGCCGGGTCTCACTAACGCAGGCTTCATCACAACGGCTTCGGCACTGACCGAGTAGTTCAGTGAAACATTAATAGCTGAGAGAGCCAGTGCCCTTCTACAAAGGCTGGAATGTCACAAAAGCCCACCAAGAGTTTTGCCTGGGCCTTTCCTGGGCCTTGAAGCATGACAGGATAACGAAGGAATTCTTAACAGGACCTGTTTAGGATTAAACAAGTTTTACTGGGGGTCTGAAATAACTCCCCAGGCCTCCACAGGCAAGTTTATTGGGGGTCTGAAGGAACTCCCCAAACCCCCATGATTTAGCAGGAGACAAGATAAGGGTAATCACCGCAGCACCTGGACCCATTTAGATTAAATAAATTTACTGAGGCTCCAGAGGAAGAGCTTCAGGACTCAGACCTTAGTTATAGAAGTTAATCACGGCTAGGCATGGTGGCTCAAGCCTGTAATCCCAGCACTTTGGGAGGCCCAGGTGGTTGGATCACAAGATCAGAAGGTCGAGACCAGCCTGACCAACATGGTGAAACCCTGTCTCTACTAAAAATAGAAAAATTAGCCTGGGCGGGGTGGTGCATGCCTGTAATCCCAGCTACTCAGGAGGCTGAGGCAGGAGAATTGCTTGAACACAGGAGGCACAGGTTGCAGTGAACTGCAGTGCACTGCACTCCAGCCTGGGTGACAGAGTGAAACTCCGTCTCCAAAAAAAAAAAAGAAAGAAAGAAAGAAGTTAATCACTTATGTCTTTAGATGAATACACACTCAGACGTAGACATATAGCTTAGAAGGTACATAATCTCTGGAAAACTTTGTAATTTTGAGTTGGTCTGGGGATAATTTCCAGGCCTTCTCCCTGCACCCGGTTACAGAAATCAACTCCTTCCTTTCCCCGTTCATCTGCATCTCGTTATTGGGCCGCGAGAATAAGCAGCCCCACCCTCAGTTTGGTCCGGAAACACTCCTGTTAAGGGGACGACGACAGGAGCATGCCAGAACACTCTTATGCCAAGACAACTTCCAGATTGGGGACTGAGTCCGCCCCTGAGAGGGCAGTCCCTGGACCCCAAGGTGGGGAAGCCTGGGCCCCCATCTCAGGGGGTTCCCCATCCGCTACCCCAGGAGCCAGCGCAAGGCCGAAGCCACGTCTGGGCGGCAAGGGTCGGGGCGGGCTGGGTGCAGCAGGGAGCCCCGCCCATTCTGGGCATCCTGCCTCTGGCAGGGTTGTGCTCTTAGGTGGAGCCACCGCCTGCAGGACCCAGGTCTGTGCCCTCTGCTTCCCTCAGCCTCACAGAGCCTCCCAGCCCGGGCTCCCGCAGCTGCAACGCTGGGCAGGGAAGCCGGGTCTCCATGACAACGTTGACGTCACCGGCCCGGGGCTGGGAATTGCCTCCCGCCCCCAGCAGCGGCCAGGCCCAGCCCCAGCCCGGATCTGCAGCAGCTGGGACCCCAGGAGCGTTGGCGCCTCCGACCCTGTCCTCTGACCTTCCCGTCCTGGCCACCAGGGGCAGACAGGCGTGAACGGGCCAGCCAGGCTCTCACCTGCCTGCCACCTTCCCGAGATCCCGCTTCTTCCCGCCCTTCCCTTTTGTCCTCAAATTGCTCTCAGCTGGTTGCAAGCTCAACAGACCTCGCTTCCTGTTTCATTAACTGGAAACCCCCTCCCGGGAGAATGTGCATTTTAATAGAATGTGGGGAGCGATGAGCTCGCTGCTCTCTCGATGGCTTCACCTCTGCCTCCCTTTACTCCACAATACAGAACAACTCCCAGGCCGGGCGCAGTGGCTCACGCCTGCAATCCCAGCACTTTGGGAGGCCAAGGCGGGCGCATCATCTATGGTCGGGAGTTCGAGACCAGCCTGACCAACAAGGTGAAACCCCCGTCTCTACTAAAAGTACAAAAATTAGCTGGGCATGGTGGCGCATGCCTGTAATCCCAGCTACACGGGAGGCTGAGGCAGAAGAATCACTAGAACCCGGGAGGCGGAGGTTGCGGTGAGCCGAGATCACGCCATTGCACTCCAGCTTGGGCAACAAGAGCAAAACTCCATCTCAAAAAAAAAAAAAAAAAAAAACAAAAAACCTCCCAGATTATCATATAGCCCCTCCCACATCCCGGGCGTCTACCCTGTAACAGCTTCCCACTGCCCTAGTGCTGAGACTTCAGAGGCCTCGGCTCTCTACAGCGGCCCAGACCCCCGTACCTCCTCCTGTTCCTCCTCCTCCTCCTCCCCACTTCCAGCATCTGTTCCGCCGACGAATTGCCAGGCTCTGCCTCGGGGCCTCCGCACATGCTCTTCCCTCTGCCTGCAAGGCAGTTTCCTCCTCCGCCTCCCCTCGGGCTGGAGACTCCAGCTGCTCTCCAGGCCTAGGCTCGCAGGTGAGCTCAGTGCTGCCCCCTCTTGAAGGCGCTCACAGCAGCCTGCACTTCCTTTCGGCCCTCCTTGCTGTCCCCAGGGTGAGGACAGTTAACAATAACGTGGTGTGTGTTTCCAAACAGCGACAAGAGACGTCTGAATGTTCTCACCACAAAGAAATGATCAAGGTTTGGGGTGATGGATTTGCTGGTTACCCTGATTTGATCATTACACAATGTATACATGTATGGAAACCATAAATATGTACCATTGCCAAGTATTGTGAACCCCAAAGTATCTGAGACAGGGCTCAATCAATTTAGAGAGTTTATTTTGCCAAGTTTAAGGACGTGCCGGTGACACAGCCTCAGGAGATCCTGAATGTGTCGAAGGAGGTCAAGGTACAGCTTGTTTTTATACATTTTAGGGAGGCGTAATACGTCAATATGTGTAAGACTGACATTGGTTCCATCTGGAAGCGTGGGACAACTCAAAGTGTGCAGGGCCTTCCAGGTTGTAGATGGATGTAAATTTTTCTGATTGCCAATTGGTTGAAAAGTTATTATCGGTAGTAAGAAATGTCTGAGTCGTGGCCGGGTGCCGTGGCTCACGCCTGTAATCTCAGCAGTTTGGGAGGCTGAGGTGAGTGGATCACTTGGGGTCAGGAGTTCGAGACCAGCCTGCACAACATGGTAAAACCCCATCTCTACTAAAAATACAAAAATTAGCCAGGTGTGGGGTCACATGCCTGTAACTGCAGCTACTTGGCAGGTTGAGGTGGGTTGAACCTGGGAGGTGGAGGTTACAGTAAGACAAGATCATGCCACTGCAGTCCAGCCTGGGCAACACAGTGAGACCCTGTGAAGAAAGAAAGAGAAAGAAAGGAAGGAAGGAAGGAAAGAAGGAAAGAGAGGGAGGGAAGAAAGGAAGGAAGGAAAGAAAGGAAGAAAAGAAGGAAGGAAGGGAAGGAAGGAAAGAAAGGCAGGGAGGAAGGAAGGAAGGAGAGAGAGAGGAAGGAAGGAAGGAAGGGAGGGAGGGAGGAGGGAGGAAGGGCATGCTGGCTCACGGAAAGGAAGGAAGGAAGAAAGAAAGAAAGACAGCCGGGCGTGGTGGCTCACGCTTGTAATCCCAGCACTTTGGGAGGCCGAGGCAGGCTGATCATGAGGTCAGGAGATCAAGACCATCTTGGCTAACACAGTGAAACCCCGTCTCTACTAAAAATACAAAAAAATTAGCCAGGCATGGTGGCAGGCACCTGTAGTCCCAGCTACTCGGCAGGCTGAGGCAGGAGAATGGCGTGAACCCAGGAGGCGGAGCTTGCAGTGAGCCGAGATGGCGCCACTGCACTCCAGCCTGGGCGACAGAGAGAGACTCTGTCTCAAAAAAAAAAAAAAAGGAAGGAAGGAGAAAGACAGAAAGACAGAAAGAAAGGGAGGGAGGGAGGGATGGAGGAAGGAAGGAAAGAAGGAAGGAAAGAAAGAAAGAAAGAAAGAAAGAAAAGAAAAGAAAAGAAAAGAAAAGAAAAGGTCTGAGTTGCCATATGGGTTGTAGAGACCAAGGTGTTATCATGCAGATGGTGCCTTCACGTAACAGGCTTCAGAGAGAATAGATTGTAAATGTTTCTTATCAGACTTAAGGTCTGTGTTAAAGCTGGAGGGTATAATAAGAAATGTCCAACCCCCTCTTCCATGACGGCCTGAACTAGATTTTCAGGTTCATTCTAGAATGTCCTTGGCCTAGAGGAGGGGTCCATTCAGAAGGTTGCAGGGCCTTACAATTTTATTTTTGGTTTACAGTGTCCATTAAAAACAAAATAGAATGCAAAACAAAAAGGAAAATGATTTGTATGATCATTTGTTTAGCAGCTGCCTCCATCCCCACACTGTATGTGGCCTGAGGGTGAGGATGGCATTAGTTCCATTCACTCCTGAGTCCCCAGTGTGCCCAACACACAGTAAGTGCTCAACACATATTTTTAGATGGCCTTATTGAGGTTTAATTGACACACCGTTCAATTCACCCTTAGAAAGTGTGCACTGCAATGGTATTTAGTGTATTCAGAACTGTGCAGACATCATCATGGTCGATTTTAGAACCTTTTCATTACCCAAAAATGATACCCTGTACCTGTGGGCAGTCACCCTCCTATCCCCCATCCCCCTCAGCCCTAAGCAAGCACTAACCTACTTTCTGTTTCTATAGACACTCTGGATGTTCGTATAAATGGAATCACACATTATGTGGACTTTTGTGACTGGCCTCTTCCACTTAGCACAACTTTTTAAAGGTTCTACTTGATACATTGTGCTCAGTGAATAAATGAATGGGTGACTGGATGAATGAAAGGCTGTGAGAAGCAAAGGCAGGGCCCTCTCCTGATGGGATGATGGGCAGTGGAAACGGGGGCTCTGGATGCACTTTGGGATCCACGTCTAATAAGGATGCAGCTCTGACTGAGTCTACAACTGCCTGCCCCAGGCACATCTCTGATGGTCTGCAGCCCAAGATCAAAATTCCAGTCTCGTTGCCCAACCCCTGAGTTTAGATGTAGGTCAGATGCCCGATCCACCGCCCCTCATTCCATGAGAAGAGCTGCTTTCTGTTCTTCACACTGGCATTTTTCATTCATTCATTCATTTATTCCACGGGTGCACGGTTATGATCTACAAGTCCTTTGTAAATGAATATACTCTTATTTTAAAAAATCAATTGCAAGAGACAGATGCTGGCTCTCAATTGAGACTTTGGGGTAGACCTGGGAATCTTACCTCTGCAAGTCCATTCTGCCAGAACCCATTCCAGGAGGTCATGCCTGAGACCTTTAGTGCTTGGGGTTTGATGGGACAGTGCTCCCCGGTGGCTTGGAAAGCCTCTCCGTAAACATGCATGCTAAGTAGAAAGATTTTACCAACATGTAAATGCTGTCTCAATTCCTGCCCCCTCAGTGCCCCAATTCCTTTTCTTGTGTTTGTTTGTTTTTTGTTTTGTTTTGTTTTTGAGATGAAGTCTTGCTCCGTCGCCTAGGTTGGAGTGCAGTGGCATGATCTTGGCTCACTGCAACCTCTGCCTCCGGGGTTCAAGCAATTCTCCTGCCTCAGCCTCTCAAGTAGCTGGGACTACAGGCACCTGCCACCATGCCCGGCTAAGTTTTCTATTTTTAGTAGAGATGGGGTTTCACTGTGTTGGCCAGCCTGATCTCAAACTCCTGATCTCAAGTGATCCGCCTGCCTCAGCCTCCCAAAGTGTTGGGATTACAGGCATGAGCCACTGCACCCGGTCAGTGCCACACTCCTTATTATGTGGCCACTGCCTTGGCTACTGGTTTATAGAAATTCTAGAACTGCATTGTCTACACAGCAGCCACCAGGTATAGATGGCCGCTACTGAGCACTTGAAATGTAGCTGGTGTGAACTGAGTCGTGCTCTAAATGCAAGACACACACCAGATTTTGAGACTTAGTATGGGGGAAAAATACATAAACTATCTCATTAGTCATTTTTTATATTGACTACACATTGAAATGATAATATTTTGGATATGTGAGGTTAAATAAAATATATTGTCACAGCATTTTGGGAGGCCAAGGCAGGCGGATCACCTGAGGTCAGGAGTTTGAGACCAGCCTGGCCAACATGGTGAAACCCCATCTCTACTAAAAATACAAAAAAATTAGCCAGGTGTGGAGGTGAGCCCCTATAATCCCAGCTACTTGGGAGGCTGAGGCAGGAGAATCGCTTGAACCCAGGAGGCAGAGGTTGCAGTGAGCCGAGAACATACCATTGCATTCCAGCCTGGGTGACAAGAACGAAACTCCGTCTCAATCAAAAAAAAAAAAGGAAGGAAGGAAGGAAGGAAGGAAGAAAGAAAGAAAGAAAGAAAGAAAGAAAGAAAGAAAGAAAGAAAGAAAGAAAGAAAGAAAGGAAAGAAAGAAAGAAAATAAAATGTATTGTCAAAATTAATTTCACCTATTTCTTCTTAATTTTTAAAATGCGGCTACCATAACATTTAAATTTATCTACGTGGCTTGTCTTCTATTTCTTTTGAACAGGGGTGGCCTGGAGCATCCCCTATCTGTGATGGACACGTCTCCAGGGCTGTGAAATGCATTACTGCTATTCACAAAACAGCCCACAAGGGAATCACTGTCCCCCACCTGCCCTGCCCAGCAGTAGCCAGTGGATGGATAGGGAGAGCCCCAGAGAGGAGCTGCTTCTAGGGTAATCCTGGTCCCAGCAAGTAGCTGGGATTGCAGAGCCTCCTTCCCAGTGGATCTGAAAGCCCCTTCTCCTCCCTGGCAAATCAAAGAGGAGGAACATGCCTGGTGTTCTCGGGGCGGGGAAACAGTGCATTGCTCTTACCGGCACAGTTACAGAACAAACAGCCTAGAGAACTGTCGCCGGGTGCGAGAAGGAGTCTCTTCCATCCTGTCCTCATCCTTGTCGTTCTGCAGAGATGACCCAAAACGCTCCAGGGAAAGTTTCATGGCCCCGAAAGGCAGGTTTCAGTACAGTGATGAGTGGATCCTGCACATGGATTTGTTTGCTGACAGGCATCTCCCTGACAAATCAGAGGGAAGCTAGCCCAGGCTTCTTGGACATGCAACCTGCGCAGTCACACAGAACTGAGCTTCGAAGGGTCCTGTGCTTGGTTTAATGCTCTGCTAATGCTTTCTTAAAATTCTTAATCATTTTTTGAACAGGGAGCTTGCATTGTCACTTTACACTGGGCTCTGCAATCGACATCGCCAGCTCTGAGCCCAGGGCTGCTCCAAATTGAAAGTGCACAAGAAACACCTGAAGATCTTGTTGAAACATAGATTCTGACTCAGGAGGTCTGGGGTGAGCCCTGAAGCTCTGCATTTATCATGAGCTCTCCACAGGCCACACATTGAGCAGCAAGGCTTCTAGACCAGCGGTTTCAGCCCTGGCTGCACATGAGAATCAGTTAAGAAGCTTTTCCAAGTCACACATCCAGGCCCCATCCCAGAGTCAGCATGTTTTAAAGCTCTTCAGGTGATTCCAATGTGTAGCCAAGGCTTCTAGGGCAGCGCTTCTCAAATTCTGTGTGCACGCGAATCACCAGGAGACCTTGTTAACAATGCAGATTTGGCAAGGTGTGGTGGCTCATGTCTGTATTCCAAGCACTTTGGGAGGCCGAAGTGGGCAGATCACCTGAGGCCAGGAGTTCGAGACCAGCCTGGTCAACATGGCGAAACCCTGTCTCTACTAAAAATACAAAAAATTAGCCAGGTGTGGTGGCGGGCACCTGTAATCCCAGCTACTCAAGAGGCTGAGGCAGGAGCATTGCTTGAACCCGAGAGGCAGAGGCATAGACTGCAGTGAGCCGAGATCATGCCATTGCACTCCAGCCTGTGCAACAAGAGTGAAACTCCATCTCAAAGAAAAAAACAAAAAACAAAAAAAACCAATGCAGATTCAGGCCTGGTGTGGTGGCTCACACCTGTAACCCCAGTACTTTAGGAGTCTGAGGTGGGAGGATCGATGGGGCCCATGAGCCCAGGAGTTCAAGGCTGCAATGAGGTATGATCACTGCTTTGCACTCCAGCCTGGATGATAGAGTCAGATCGTATCTCTAAAATAAACTCGGCTGGGCACAGTGGCTCACGCCTGTAATCCCAGCACTTTGGGAAGCCAAGGCAGGCAGATCGCTTGAGACCAGGAGTTCAAGACCAGCCTGGCCAAAACGGTGAAACCTTGTCTCTACTAAAAATACAAAAAATAGCTGAATGTGGTGGTAGGTGCCTGTAGTCCCAGCTACTTGGGAGGCTGAGGCAGGAGAATCACTTGAACCTGGGAGGTGGAGGCTGCAGTGAGCCAACATTGTACTACTACACTCCAGCCTGGGTGACAGAATGAGACTCCATCTTAAAAAAAAAATAAAATAATTAAAATGCAGATTCTGATTCGTCATGTCCAGGTGGATCCTGAGACTGCATTTCTAGCAGACTCTCCCACCATACGAAGGCTGTGCATCCGTGGATCACATTTTGAGTAGCAAAGCTCTAGACTCAGTCAATTTTCTATTTCTAGTTAGTATCAGCATTGGAGTGGGGACAGAAAGGAAAGGCAACACTAGATTTTTCACGGCCTCGTCTACATGTGGATAGAGTACACTGAAAAAATAAAGTCAAATATCCTACCATGTATACACGTGCAGGTTGTGCACTGCACAAGTGTGCCACATCTATGGGAGTCTGTTCACACCATAGGTTTGTATATTTATGGTGACAGTTTTCCAGCAGATGGCAGTAGAGTGTTTTAAGAAAGGGACACAATGTTCACCCAGAGGCTTCACTAGGATGGACGAGTGTTGCTTTGATAGAAGTCAGGGTGCCACCACTCCCCATCCTGAGTCCAGACACAACAGAGGGGAGGAGCAGCCATCTTTTCATTGAAAGGAAAAATCTTGCCTGGCACAGTGGCTCACGCCTGTAATCCCAGTACTTTGGGAGGCTGAGGCAGGAGGATTGCTTGAAGCCAGGAGTTTGAGACCAGCCTGGACAATGAAGTGAGGCTCTTGTCTCTTAAAAATAAAAAATAAAAAATTAGCAAGGCATGGGGGTGTGCACCTGGAGTCCCACCTGCTCAGGAGGCTGAGGCAGGAGTATCTCTTGAGATCAGAAGCTGGAGGCTGCAGTGAGCTAAGAGGTACGATCGAACCACTGCACTGCACCCTGAGTAACAGAGCAAGACCCTATCTCAAAACAAAAACAAACAATCTTTATTGATGTTGCTTTTTTTATTGAGGTGAAATACATGAAACATAAACCATTTAACGTTTTTATTTCAGTGATGTTTAGAATATTCGCAATGTGTGCAACCACCACCTCTAGTTACAAAACATCTTCCTCATCCTAAAAGAAAACCCCACAACCACTAAGCAATCACTGCCCATTCTTCCTTCCCTCCCACCCCTGGCAAACACCAATCTGCTTTGTATCCCTATACATTTGCCCGTTTTGGATATTCCAAATGCAGAATCCTACAATATGTGGTCTTTTGTGTTTGGCTCATTTCACCTAGCATGAGGTTTTTGAAGTTCATCTGAATCATAGAATGTATCAGTATTTCATTCCTTTTTATGACCAAATAGTAGTATTCCATTGTCTATGTGTACCACATTTATATATTTATTTATTTGTGATGGACAAAATTTCTCTTTTAATTTTTTTTTTTTTTTTTCACACAGAGTTTTGCTCTTGTTGCCCAGGCTGGAGTGCAATGGGGCAATCTTGGCTCACTGCAACCTTTGCCTCACGGATTCAAGCAATTGTCCTGTCTCAGCCTCCCAAGTAGCTGGGATTACAGGCATGCACCACCATACCTGGCTAATTTTGTATTTTTAGTAGAGACGAGGTTTCTCTGTGTTGGTCAGGCTGGTCTCCAACTCCTGACCTCAGGTGATCCACCTGCCCCGGCCTCCCAAAGTGCTGGGATTACAGGTATTAGCTACCGTGACTGGCCCCTGTTTTATAATTTTATTTATTTTTTCTTATGCTTTTAAAGGCAACATAAATGGACAAAATTTTGAGTGTTTCCACTTGATGCCACTTTTTAAGATTTGATGTGCAACATATATGGTAACTTACACAAATCTGAAGAGTAGAGTTTTGTGAATGTGTAAACGTCTGTGTAGCCACAGATCAAGATGTGGAACCCAGAAGGTTCCCTCCTCCCCTTTGTATTTGTCCATTTTTACACTGCTATAAAGATACTAGCCAAGATTGGCTAATTTATAAACAAAGGAACTTTAATTGACTCACAGTTCTGCATGGCTGGGGAGGCCTCAGGAAACTTACAATCATGGCGGAAGGGGAAGCAAACACGTCCTTCTTCACAAGGTGGCAGGAGAGAGAAGAATAAATGAAAGAGGAACTTCCAAACAGTTACAAAACCATCAGTCTCATGAGAACTCACTCACTATCATAAGAACAGCATGGGCAAAACTGTTCCCATGATCCAATCGCCTCCACAAGGTTTCTCCCTCAACACCTGGGGATTACAATTCAAGATGCGATTTGGGTGGGGACACAAAGCCTAATTGTATCACCCTTCCCAGTCAATAATAATCCCCCTTACAGAGATAACCAGTGTTGTGACTTCTGTCATCATAGGTGATTTGTGCCTATTCACGAATTTCTACAAATTGAATCATACAGCAAATCCTTTGTTTCTGGCTCCTGCCACACAACATAATACTTACCCAATTAATTCATGTCATTGTGCATATCAGTCGTCGGTTCTTTTTCTCCTGTTTTGTAGAATTCCATCTTATGAATATGTCACCGTTTATGTTTTCATTCTCCCGTTAATGGAGACATTGGTATTGCTCCACTGTTTGGCTCTCCCACAGTTTGTTTATTCATTCTCCTGTCAGTGGACATTTGGGTTGCTTCCACTTTTTGGCTATTGTAACTAATGCCACTATAAACATTCTTATTTGCGTCTTCTGGTGGATGGATGAGCTCAGTGCTCTTGAGCTCTTCTCCTGCACATCCAGGAGTGAAGTTGCAGGGTCCTAGGGTAGGCATATGTTTAACTTTAGTAGGTTGGCTCTCCAAAGTGGTTGAACCCATCTATCCTCCCTTAGTGATGCATGAGAGTTTCTTTCAGCAACCACCCCCATCTCTGAAAACAATGCAAACTGGTTCTCAGGCTCCCAATGGCAGACACCTACCAGGTTGGCCAGGAGGCCCCTCTGTCACTGATGGTCCAGGAAGGTATACCTGGTGACTGTGCAGTTTTCCTGGTAGAGTCTTCCTGGCCTGCCTTGGGAAGGGCTGCCCCTTCAACCTATTCCTCTGTCTTCTAACATAGTTAGTCACTGTCTTAGTCTGGACTTCCCTAGAAGCAGACACTGAGATAAAGATTTTCATTTGAGAGTTGGTCCCAGGAAATACCAATGGGACAATGGAAAATGAGGTGGAGAAGGGAAGGAAATCCTAACAAGCCCGTGAGCACTGAGGGCAGCTGGAGATTAATCCCAGGGAGGGACCCTGGGAGCCAGAGGAGAACATGGGCCTCAGAACTCTCCACTTCCCATGAGGAGTGAGGGAGCCGGGGTATTGATACACCACCTCCCATCTGTCATTGGTTGAGGGCTGCTGCCTGGGCAGAGGTGTTAATTCTAGGCCCTTGCAGCCTGTCTTAGGAAATAAGCCAAGGAAACTGAAAGTCACCCTTGACTCCATGTGCACCCTCCCTCCGTACCAACCACCATGTGCTGCTATTTTAAGCCTGAGCTTCCCTTGAATCTGTCTATTTTCTCCACAGGGTCCAAGTCCCAGACCCACACCCATCCATTTACCAACAGTGGAGGGATCTTCCTATAGTGCCTGGCTTATAACCTTGGCTCTGTGCCCTGCTTACTGTGGGACCTTGACCAAGAGATCCAGACTTTCCTGGCTTCCACTTCCCCATCAATAAGGGGTCATATAAGCGCCTGCCTTGTAGGCATGCTAGGAATAGTACATCAGTGTAGTCCTATAAAACCCTTCCTACTGTGCCTGGTGCACAGACAGTGCTATATAAGTGTTTTGTTTTAAAAATCAGTAAAATAATTGCAACCTTTTTTTTTTTTACAATTGCACATACCTCTCAGGACAAATCCCAGACTCCTAAATATGATTCATTAGGTTTTGGCTGGTCTCACCTCCACCTTCCTCTCACAGTGTGCTGCATGATGGCCCCCAGACATACATCCACGCGGAACCCGTGAATGTGACCTTATTTGGAAAAACAGTCTTTGGGGCCTGGTGTGGTGGCTCATGCCTGTAATCTCAAAACTTAAGGAGGCTGAGGTGGGAGGATCACTTGAGCCCAGGAGTTCAAGATGAGACTGGGCAACACAGTGAGACCCCATCTCTACAAAACATTTTTAAAAATTAGCTGGACATGGTAGTGCACGCCTGTAGTCCCAGCTACTCGTGAGATTGAGGCAGGAAGATTACTTGAGCATGGGAGATTGAGGCTGCAGTGAGTCATGACTGTGCCACTATACTGTAGCCTGGGTGGCAGAGCCAGACCCAGAAAGAGAGGAGGGGAAGGGAAGAGAGGGGAAGGGAGGGGAAGGGAGGGGAAGGGAGGGGAAGGGAGGGGAGGGGAGGGGAGGGGAGGAGAGGAGAGGGGAGGAGACGGGACGGGACGGGACGAGACGAGACGAGACGGGACGAGACGAGACGAGACGAGACGAGACGAGACTGGAACTGCAAAGATTGCAGCTGTGATAAAGGATCTCAAGACAAAGTCATCCCGGATCATCCAGGTGAGCCCTGGTTTGCTTCCACTTTTTGGCTATTAAGTCCAGTGGCATGTGTCCTTATAAGAAGGGAGAGAACAGACAGGTGACGAGGCCATGCGAAGATGGAGGTGGAGGCTAGCGCTGTAGCCACAAGCTAAGGAGCACCCAGAGCCACCGGAAGCTGCAGGGGCAGGGCATGTGTCCTCCCCCGTGCTTTCAGAGGAAGCACAGCTCTGTCTACAACTTGATTTTAGGCTTCTCCAAACTGCTAGAGAACAAGTTTCTATTGTTTTAGGCCACCCAGTTTGCGATAAGTTGCTACAACTGATATATTCTGTAACTAAGTACTTAGTAACAAAGTATCCAAAAGAAGATGCCTTAAAATAAGAGATTCACCTTCATCCTCTCACAGTCTGGCAGCTGGAAATCGCAGTCTTGGTGTCTTTCTGAGGGCTGCGAAGGGGAAGCTGCCACGTCCTCCCTCCTGGCTTCTGGTGTTCACTGGCCATCTTTGGCTTGCAGCTGTACCACTCCAGGCTCTGTCTTCATCCTCATGTGGCCTCTTCCTGTCTCTGTCCTTTCACTCTGACTTCCCTCTATGCATATCTCTGTGTCCAAATTTCTCCTTCCAGCTGTGCATGATGGCTCACGCCTGTAATCCCAGCACTTTGGAAGGCCAAGGCAGGTGGATCACCTGAGGCCAGGAGTTCGAGACTGCCTGGCTAACATGGTGAAACCCCGTCTCTACTAAAAATACAAAAAAATAATTAGCCCGCCATGATGGTACACGCATGTAATTGCAGCTACTCGGGAGACTGAAGCAGGAGAATCACTTGAACCTGGGAGGCAGAGGTTGCAGTGAGCTGAGATCATGCCACTGCACTCCAGCCTGGGCGACAGAGCAAGACTCCAAAAAAATAAAAATAAAAATAAAAATAAATAAATAAATAAATTTCTCCTTCTCAAATGGGTATCAGTCATATTAAACTTGTGCTCACCCTAATGATCTCACTTTAATTTGATCACCTCTGTAAAAACCCTATTCCCAAATAAAGTCGCATTCTGAGGAACTGCAGTTTAGGACTTCAATGTCTCTTTTCTGGGGGATACAATTCAACCCTGACAACCGTACACCCCCAAGCCCATCACACTTCCCACTGGCCGTTCCCAGCCTATATCCGGCTCTGGTCTGTTGCCAAGTCTTTGCACACTCCCTTTTCCCCTCTGGTGACTCAGCAAACATTTTCATTCTTCATTCTCAACAATACCACCTCCTCCAGGAAGTCTCCCGTGATGCCCATAGGCCTGGGTTCACTGCCCACCATCTGTGCCTGCCTTAGTGTCCTGTCATGGCATTTGCCATGCAGTATGTGACTGACTCCTTGCCAGCATGCTTGGGTGCTGAGCCCCTGGAGGACAAGGGCCATGTCTCTTGCTGCTGTTTCTTCTTTCTCTAAACCACTTTATTGTGGTCTAATTAACACAGAGGAAGCCATGCATATTTAACGCTTACAACTTGATGATTACGGAGATGAGTATACAGCCGTGAAACCATGCTGAAACAGCCTTTGCAAAATTATAACAGGAAAAATGACGGCAGTGAAAGAAATCAGACCTAACCAAATCAATCTTGCTTCTAACCTTTAAGCTGTCCTTGCTCATTCCTGGGTGTAGGCCGAACTAACTTTAGGAAGGAATTCAGTTCATGGTTTGACTCTGAAACAAAATTGATAAGAGCCCTTTCCCAGAAAGACCCCCTTCTTGCCTGGGGACCAGACTGCCTTTGCAGGACTAACAAATTAGCTACAAGGTTAGAAATTACAGTTTAGGGCCAGGCACAGTGGCTCATGCCTGTAATCCCAGCACTTTGGGAGGTCGAGGCGGGCGGATCACCTGAGGTCAGGAAGGTCAGGAGTTCGAGATCAGCCTGGGCAACACGGTGAAACCCCGCCTTTACTAAAAATACAAAATTAGCCGGGCATGGTGGCACATGCCTTTAATCCCAGCTACTCGGGAGGCTGAGGCAGGAGAATCGCTTGAACCTGGGAGGTGGAGGATGTGGTGAGCCGAGATTGTGCCATTGCACTCCAGCCTGGGAAACAAGAGTAAATCTCCGTCTCACAAAAAAAAAAAAAAAAAAAAAATTTCAGTTTAGGGATCATGCAGCCTCTGGCTCCAAGAGTATGAACCTTCCCCAGATTGCTCCTGGGCATAACATCACTATCGTAAAACCTAAGATCAGTGCTTGAGATATGTTGCAGACCCTGCACTCATGGATCAGCTGACACCACCCAGACAGGTAATCTGGCTCAACCAGTTCTGCCATCCCACCCAGGGACAGAAAACAGCAAGAAAACCTCACTTCAACCCCCTGTGATTCCATCTCCAGCCCCACCAATCAGCCCTCCCCACTTCCCAAGCCCCCACTCGCCAAATTATCTTTAAAAACTCTGATTCCCAAATATTCAGGGAGACTGATTTGAATAAAAATGAAACTCTGGGCTCCCGCACAGCTGGCTCTGTGTAAATTACTCTTTCTCCATTGCATTTCCCCTGTCTTGATCAATTGGCCCTATCTTGATCAATTGGCCCTGTCTAGGCAGTGGGCGTGGTGAACCTGTTGGGTGGTTACATACAAGAAGCCGTACATATTTAACACATACAACTCGGTGAGTGTGGGGATGAGCATACACCCGTGAAACCATACTGAAACTGCCTTTGCAAAATTTTAACAGGAGAAATGATGGCAGTGAAAGAAATCAGACCTAACCGACTCTATCTTGCTTCTAACCTTTAAGTTGTCCTTGTTCATTCCTGAACGTAAGTCAAACTAACTTTGGGAAGGAATTCAGTTCATGGCTTGACTCTGAAACAAAATTGGTAACAGCCCTTTCCTGAAAAGACCTCCTTCTTGCCTGGGGACCAGACTGCCTTTGCAGGACTAACAAATTAGCTACAAGATTAGAAATTTCAGTTTAGGGGTCATGCAGCGTCTGGCTCCAAGAGTCTGAACCTCCCCAAATTGCTCCTGGGGATAACATCATAGTCTATGCCATAAACCTTTCCATCTCCTTCAAAAGTTTCCTCCCGCCCCAGTTATTTGTTATTACGATTGTGTGTGATAATAACATCTCCATGCTTAGCAAATCTTAAGTATATACTGTAATATTGTTAACTATGGTCATTATGCGTATGGTACTTCTCAAGGGTTTTTCCATCTTGCATACCTGAAACTTCGTTCCCTTTGACCAATACCTCCCCACTTCCCCCTCCCTTCAGCCCTTGGCAACCACCATTCCACTTTCTGTTTCTATGAGTTTGATTATTTTAGATTCCTCATAGAAGTGGTATTATGCAGTATCTGTCCTCCTGTGCCTGGTTTATTTCACTTAGCACACATGCCCTCCAGTTCCTCCACGATGCTGCAAAGAGCAGGATTCCCTTCTTTGTAAAGGCGTAAAGGACACCACTTTGGAATGGTGTTCCATTGTGTGTATATATCACATTTTCTTTATCCATTCATCTGCTGAGGGACAATTGGGCCGATTCTGTATCTTGACAGTTGTGGACAGTCCTGCAGTGAACATGACAGTGCAGATCTCTTCTCTAGATCCTGATTTCAATTCCTTTGGATATGTTCCCAGAAGTGCGATTGCTGGATCATATATGGTAGTTCTGTTTTTCATTTTTTGAGGAAGCTCCCTGCTGTTTTCCACAGTGGCTATCCACCAATTTCCATTCTCACCAACAACGTACCAGGGTTCCCCTGTTCTCCACACACTCACCAACCTTTGTTTTCTTTTGTTTTTGATGATGGCCACACCTCACAGGTGTCAGGTGGTATCTCATTGTGGTTTTCATTTGCATTTCCTTGACGATTAGTGACTTTTTTTTTTTTTTTTTTTAGACAGAATCTCGCTCTGTCACACAGGCTGGAGTGCAGTGGCGCGATCTCAGCTCACTGCAACCTCTGCCTCCCCGGTTCAAGCAATTCTCCTGGCTCAGCCTCCCGAGTAGCTGGTATTACAGGCGTTCACCATTACGCCGAGCTAATTTTTTGTATTTTTAGTAGAGGTGGTGTTTCACTATGTTGGCCAGGCTTGTCTTGAACTCCTGACCTTGTGATCTGCCTGCCTCGGCCTCCCAAAGTGTTGGGATTACTGGCATGAGCCACCGCGCCTGGCCCCTTTGCCCATGTTTATTTCTATCGAATTCTGACAGACCTTTGCCCATTTTTTAATTGGGTTATTTGGTTTTTTGTTATTGAGCTGTAGGTCTTTTGCTTCTTCTCACATGTTTTCTAGCACTCCCCCTGGACCTGTTGGAAGCAGGTCCTCAATAATGAATTGCTGAATGCATGAATGGATGAATGAATGAATGAGGCCAAGCCCTTTTCCAAGATTCTCTGATCTCTTTTTTCTTATTGTGCTCTGGGGGAGCTTCTAGCAAAGTCTAGCTAGCTTTAGAGCAGCCTGTCAGTCACAAATGACAGCTCAGCTCACCAGGTTCTCATGCTGCACAACTCTGGGGAGCGCCATTCACACTGCAGTGTAAGAGACCGGAAGACAGCGCGTTCTAAGGCAGGCGCTGTAAGTGGGGCAACGTGGAGATGTGCATTGCCAGGCAGCCCCAGAGCTGTTTGTAAGAATCCAATTGTTGCCCTCTTGGTTGAGCTTCACACTGCTCCCAATGACAGGATTTGCCTTAAATTTTCTGAATTAGGCCGGGCCCGGTGGCTCATGCCTGTAATCCCAGCACTTTGGGAGGCCGAGGCAGGCGGATCACCAGGTCAGGAGATCGAGACCATCCTGGCTAACACGGTGAAACCCCGTCTCTAATAAAAATACAAAAAATTAGCCGGGCGTGGTGGCGGCGCCTGTAGTCCCAGCTACTCGGGAGGCTGAGGCGGGAGAATGGCGTGAACCCGGGAGGTGGAGCTTGCAGTGAGCCGAGATCGCGCCACTGCCCTCCAGCCTGGGCGACAGAGCGAGACTCCGTCTCAAAAAAAAAAAAAAAAAAAAAAATTCTGAATTAATACCGCTGTCCCCAGCACGGGGTTAGATCTCTGTTGGACTCTCACTGGGCCCATTTGGGGCTGGCACCAACAGTTGCTGGTTTTACTTGGAGGTGGGGGATGGTCATTGAGGTAGGTCCTCGCAGAGACCCCTCAGAGAGAAGAGAATTCTGGAGAGAAGGAAAGAAGCGCTAGCTATGAAGGGTGGGCGGGGCTCCAGGCTAGGTAATTAGCAAGGGATGCAGAGGCACCCGGGAACCCAGGAACCAGTAACCAGTAACCAGGGGAGCTATCACCACCCCTGGGTTGAAGGGCGAGGGGAGTACGTGGTGTAACTCAGTGCAGCTGGGAGGAGGCACAGGCCAGGTGTGAGCATCGCAGAGGTGCAGGCAGGGTTAGGGACGCTGAGGCACCCAGGAACCAGCGAGGGGCAGTTCCCAGGCTAAGGCTGAAGGGGCGAGACAGGGAGCTGTGTTACCTCGAAAGCTGGAATCCTGGTGAGCAGCCCACGGAGGGAGGCAACTCCTGCCAGCAACGGGCACAGCGGCTGGGATGCCAGGGAAGACACCCCCTACTTCTTCCAGCGGGGAGCCTGCATTCTCCAGCTTCACCCAGTGGGCAGAGGAGCCCAGCTGCTGCGGGGCAGAGCAGGGAGGAAGGCTGAGAGTGGCCCCCGGCTACATCTTCCCCCAACCCTTGGAGCAATGAACACCTGTGGTGAGCCAGGCCCTACGCCGGTGGAGAAGGCAACATGGAGCAGGCTGAAGCGTCTGGCTCGCGCATGCACACGTCTATACCACTAGCTGGTCCTCTGGCCTGAGGATGGGAGCTCAGGCAGCCAAGGGCTCTTTGGACTGTTCATTTGATGTCCTTGGTGAGGCCTCTCACCCCCGCAGTCAAGAGCCCTCCTGTCCTTTTTCCATAGCGCCTGCTCTCCGTGTGACCTGAGGAAGGCGCCGCTGAGTGACTGACACTATTTTTTTTTTTTTTTTTTTGAGATGAAGTCTCACTCTGTCACCCAAGCTGGAGTGTAATGGCGAGATCTCGGGTCACTGCAACCTCCGCCTCCCAGGTTCAAGTGATTCTCATGTCTCAGCCTCCTCAGTAGCTGGGATTACAGGTGTGGGCCACTATACCCGGCTAATTTTTGTATTTTTAGTAGAGATAGGGTTTTACTACATTGGCCAGGCTGGTCTCGAACTCCTGACCTCAGGTGATGTACCCGCCTCGGGCTCCCAAAGTGCTGGGGTTACAGGCATGAGCCACCGCACCCAGCCTTCTCACCTGTCTTAAAAAGACCTGGCAGAGGCCTCTGGAAGGAGGCCACCAGGGCATAGAGAGAGGTGGGGCAGGTAGCAGAGGGAGCTGGATGGTGTGGGGACGGTGGGGGCTGGCAGGGGGCAACTCCAGACACAGAGTCTCTGGAGAGCTGGTTTCGGGCCGGGCCCATGGTGGAGAGGCAGAGGACTGGCTCGTGGACATCCTGGATTTCTGTCAGCATGTGGAGGCAGGACATGCCTGGGCTGAGGACAAGGATACCCCTGCTGAGCTGGGGGACCCTGAAGGGTGACTGGTTTAGGAAGAGGGGTGAAGATAAAGCATTTTTTCTTTACTTTTTTTTTTTTGAGACGGAGTCCTGCTCTGTCGCCAGGCTAGAGTGCAGAGGCGCAATCTCGGCTTGCTGCAACCTCTGCCTCCCGGGTTTAAGCGATTCTCCTGCCTCAGCCTCCCGAATAGCTGGGACTACAGGCACACGCCACCACGCCCAGCTAATTTTTGTATTTTTAGTAGAGACAGGGTTTCACCATGTTGGCCAGGATGGTCTCGATCTCTTGACCTTGTGATCCACCCGCCTCGGCCTCCCAAAGTATTGGGATTACAGGAGTGAGCCACCGTGCCTGGCCAAGATAAAGCATTTATTTTTGGACTTGTCAAGATTGCCTCTTGGAGACATCTAGGGGGAGGAGGCAGCTGAAGTGTGGGTCTAGGAACCTGGCATTGACCAGCAGCACAGCATCACCTGGAAACTCGTCAGGAATGCAGATTCCCAGGCACCACCTAGCGCTATGGCGTCAGTATCTGCGTTTTCACAAGACCCCCTAGGTGGATGGAAGGCACATTCCTTGGAGTAGCTCTGGGCTACAGCTTTCGTAAGGCCCTGCTGAACAGCAGCACTGACCTCAGTCTATGACACGGAGTCTCAGCTGGGGAGCGAACTATCCCCCCACGGGACACGTGGCAACATCTGGAGACACTCTGGTTGTCATAAATGGGGAAGGGGTGCTACTGCTGGGTAGAAGCCAAGGATGCTGTTCAATGTCTGGCAATGAACACAACAGCCCCCCTGCAACGAAGACAGCTCCGGCCCCAGTGGCCAACAGCAGCCAGGATGCTGAGCCCTGGTCCTCAGGAAGTGCGCACAGAAGGTGGCGAGGGCATCCCGGCACTGTCTTGAGCCTCAGATTTCCCGCCTGGGCTTCGCCCCCTCCTTGGACCTTCTCCCGCTGGGCGCCGAGAAACCACACAAAGGCCAGACATTGATGAGTCACTTACAGTTTATTTTTGCCTGAAAGTATTTCACATCTCTTTGTACACAGCTACGTGACAGTAGTATTAACCATCAGGAAAAGCAACAGTGCGAGGGGAAAGGTGGCATGTCTTGTTTCTTCTTTTTTTTTTTTCCTTTTTTATTTTTTTTATTTTTATTTATTTTTTTATTTTTATTTTTTTTGCTTCTGCTTCTTCCCGCACCAGAGTGCTGTGAAGTATGGGACCGGAGGGGGGAAAGAAAAGAAAACCAAACAACTAAAAACAACAACAAAAAACAAAACACAAAACAGAACACACTCACACACACACGAAATAAAACCTGGCACGGAAAATGAATTAAGACTGGAACCCAGTTTCTTTTTTTTTTCCTTTTTTAAAAAAATGAGGGCATAGTGGGGGGGTAATAAAGTCTACCTAGCAAAGTATAAAACGACAAAAGCATGGTTTCCATTGAATAAGATTAAATATATATAAAACAAGTACACTGACTGTGGGGTAGGTTTGGAGGTGCCGGAGGAGGGAAGTATTTGTGCTAAACCAACAGAAAAAAGGGCTGGGGGGAGAGGGGGACCCCAAATAAACCATCAACGGGCTGTTCTGTACAGTGAGGGCTTATTAAGAAAAAGCCGACTGTTTATAAAAGAAACGGAGGTTGGTTTGTCTTCGGAGCAGGTGGGGACAGAAGGAGTGTCTTCGTTGCAGTGGTCACATGTGGGGGGTGGCGGGGGTGGGGTGGGGAGGGCAGTCGGACTGGCGGAGGCGACACATCTCTCTTTTCCCAAGAGACCATGCAGAGAGGCGGGCATGCATGGGGCCACGTGAAGCACACGATGGCAGGGGGAGCCCAGGGGTGACAGAGTCTCCGTTGGGGACAGGGGACAGCAAAGGCTGACAGGGACAGGAGCTCCCTGGGGGTGGGGAACAGCTCTTTTACCGGGGTGGACTGGAGAGGGCGGGTTAGCAGCCTCCCATTCAAGTCTAAAAGGTGCCGAGAGAAAGAGCTTGGGCCTTAGTGGAGCAAGGGGATCTTAATCCCTCCTCCTCCAGCCTGAGCCCCACCTCGTGAGGGAGTTGGAGACATTTGGAAATCAGAAACGCACAGTGGTGGGTGGGGGAGTGGGCAGACAGACAGACAGACGAGAGAGCATTAGCATAGAGAATCCATTACGAAAAAGCAATTAATTTTTCCAAGGAGGTTCTTTTTTTTTTTCTTCTTTTTGTTGTCTGTTTGTTTCCTTTAAAAAAATAACAATAATACTACCACTAACCCGACAGCTGACTGGTTTATACAGTACTACACGCCAGGTGGGGGCGGGAGGGCGGTGGGGTCGGGCGGGGGGGACGGTCAAAGACTTCATAAATAAGAGGCGGGTCCCAGACCCGCAATTTGTCAACATGTCTTAAATAGGTGCATTATTTAAATCTTATGTACAACAAGAATCACTTTGCATAGCAATGGTGAGGACACAGGACGGGTGCAGTGATGTGACTGGGTCTTCTTGTCCCAAGGGCGGGGGGCGAGTTCGCAGCTCAGCTCGGAGCCTCTAGGAAGAAAGCATCCTTCGTCCGGCCCGCAATGGTGGCATCGGAGTTGACTTTTCCCACACGACGGCATCAAACACAAAGGCAAAGAAAATCCACAAAGGGTCCCCCACCCCCCAGCCCACCCCCAAACCCCTCCCCGACCCGCTGATGCTCCTCTTGTTGCTACAAAGTCCACTTTAGATCAGGTCAAAGGTTCCAATTACGAAGCTAAAAGAATTCGGCGGGGGCTGGGCGTGCTTGTGGGCCCCCTCCCCACCCCCTCCCCCCTCCGCCCCCAGAAAGACTCCCCATCTATCTCACAGCCAGGGCACCAGGGTGGGACCCCAGGACCGGCTGCTCTGCGGCTGTTAGTCAAGAGTTATTTTGTCGCGGTTGCAAACGTCTTCCTGCCTTGAGCTGGGAGCTTCACCAGGCTTCGGTGTAGCGGACGTCCACTTCCTTCAAATTGGGAAGCTTGGCCTGGGGGTGGCAATAAGAGTCCTTGTCACGTGTAGGCCATTCCCTTGCAGAAGCTGCCAGTGCCTGGCTCCACCCGCATTGCCGGCTGGGGGTCTCTGCCACCCTCTCCCCACCTTGGTGCTGTGGGCTACCTGGGCTCTTGGAGGGGTGGGTGGCCTTAGGCAGAGAACAGAGCAGGTGGGATGTGCCCTGGCCCCGGAGAAACCAGGCAGCGGGGTTCCCATGCCCCCGCCTCAGATGGCCTTTGGTCTCTGTCTTCGCAGGTGGAAGCACTGGGGTTTGAATCCAGGCCCTGCCACTTGCTGCTGCGTGACCGTGGGCAGATAACCCAGCCTCTAGGGGCCTCAGTTTCTTCCTCTGTGGGCCCATCTGACTCTAGTCCCTGGCTCAAAGGATGGTGCTAGGGGTTAAATACCAAATGTAGAAAGCCCAGGGCACCGTATATGCCCTATGAAAGGAAATTGTTCTCATTTTTACTGTTAGTGATATTCTCATCGTTATCAGAGAATGGACAGGGTGAGTGACGTGGATCCCAGGAAATCCCAGGTACCCAGGGTTTGGCTTAGATTCTTCCCACTTGAGGCTCCCCCTAGGCTGGATGCATTACTCGACTCTGTGATTCCACCTGCTATGTCTCTCCATTGTTTTCTGCTTTCTGTTTCTGCTACCCAGACTTCCACTTTTCTTTATGAACAGTTGGCTTTTTTTCTTAACAAGCCTCCACTATACAGAGAGGTAGCTGCCTCCTAACTGGCCTCATGCCTTTACATCCTCCCTCCCAACTTTCCTGTACACTGGCCAGCACACTTTTTGGATACATGTACACGTATGTATGCATGAACACACACACATACACACATGCACATGCAATTCCTCGCTGCTGCTCTCCTGTGCTCAACAACCCTCAATGGCTCCCCACTGCCCAGGCAGAGGTTACAGGTGGGGACCTGCAGCCACCTGCAGTGCTATAAAGCATACTAAGCCAGCCTTTCAAAATTAGGAGACTTCACAGACGAATCTAGATTTCAAGGTTCTCTTGAAAAATGGGAAGGTCTGGCCAGACTGGGCAGTGAACAGTGGGGCGTGGCCTGCCTGGCACTGAGCAGAGGCCCCTCCTCCAAAGGACAGGCAGCTGCTGTTTGCTCGAGTCCCCTCCACAGGGAGGCCGGTCACAGGCTGGCAGCATTAAGTTGGCACCATGTCTCTCTCAAATGTGTGAAAATAAAAAAATCGACTGAAAGTGATTTTTCTTCCCAAGGGGCCTTTCCTGCACTCCCCATGTTCTCTTTCCAGCTTGGTCTCACAGTAGCATCTGACTTTCAGCACTTTGAACTCAAGATAATCCAGGCAGCATTTCTCAAACACGAGTGTGCCCAGAAATCCCCCAGGGTGGGGTTACCTGGGGTGGCCTGGATCCTGCATTTCTGTTGGCCCCCGAGTGGTGCCGAGGGTGCTGGTCTGCAGACGCCACCCTGAGGGCTGAGGTCTAAACGCTGGGATGGGTGATCTGCTGGCTGTGCCCCTGCCACCTTCTGTGTCCCATACGTCCTCTCTTGGACCTCGCTCTCTACCGACTGTCCCTCCTGGCCCCACCAGGCCCTCTGCCCGCCTTGGTTTGCTGAGCTTGCCTGTGCCTGCCAGGAGGGACTATCCCCCGGAAGGGGACTGTGGCAGCCACACCTCGGTGTCCCTGTCCCTGACATGGGCCTGGTACACAGCAGAGGCTCCAGAAGCATCTGGAGGATGCCCCAGTGAGCACGCCCTGGCGGCAGGAGGCCTGGCTGTAGGAGGTGGGCCCCGGCCAAGGGCTGCCGGGGGATTCCCTCTAAGTAGCTTCCAGAGCACGAAGGTGCCAGCGTGGCTCACGGGTGCCATCTGTGCCTTCTCACCTTTGAGCCCAGCCCTTCTCTCCCAGGATGCTGGCCCTCTGCCAGTCCCGCCCGCTCCTTCTGGGGCAGCTGGTACAGGCCCAGGAGGACGGGGTGACAGGAGGCGACTGAGGGCCTGGCTCCTCCAACCTTCCCAAGATGTGCACGTGTGTTTCTTAAAACGCCCCTGCCTTCCACCCTCCGATCCTTTTTCTTTCCCGGATTTCACTTGCTGGCCTAGTGCCGGTGCAGCGCAGCCCTCAGTGGTGAGGCACCAGCCCTGCTCAACCCTCCCTGCTTCTACTCCTGCTCCCTCTCAAAATATTTATTTCCTAACAGCCAGAGCATGCTTTGAAAAGCATGACTCGCTGCTCTGCTGTGACCTGTGAGGGCTTTTTCCATCCGGCCCCAGCCCATTCCCTCTCTCAGTTCCTGGTTACATTTGCTGCAAAGCCAGGCCTCGCCCATCTCTTCTGTCTCAGGACCTTGGCACTTGCTTTTCCTCTCGCCCTTGGTATTTCTGGCTTCTTATGTTTTGGGTCTCAGCTCCTGCGGCCTCTTCATCAAAGGCACCATCCCTGATCACCCCAGGCCACACAGGCCTTCCTATTTCCAATTACTTCCCTGCTGCTTCCTCTTTGTCACTCTTTTTGATCTGCCATTATTTTATGTATTGATCTGTAGATGTCATCATCCTTTACTGGAGAACGAGCTCTGTGCAGGAGATGCACCAGCATCCAGATGCTGGCTAGAAGAAGGAGGGGAGGAGAGTGGGGAGGAAGGAGGGAATTACCTTCAGATCTTCGTAGGTGTCAGCTGAGAGCTTGGTGCTGTTCATGTTTAAACTGCAGAGACTCTTCATGGCTGCACAAGAGACAGATACAGTTGTTAGGAGAGCGAGGCCCCAAAGGTATGAAGGTATGGGATGGCCAAGCTGGAGGAGCTCAATGCAGGTGCCAGGCCCCCTGTTAGGAGATGGGGCTGGGGAGGGAGGTTTCGTAGACACAGCCAGGGTAGGTGGCCCACTAGACACCGAAAGTCTATTTCAGGCACGTGCTGGTCTGAACAGAGCCTTCGTTTTCTTCCCACCCTCTGAGCCTCCCTCCCTTCTGGTCCCTCTGTCGTGTGCCCCCACTGCCTGGACCTGATGTCCCCAGAGCTTGCCTGCCACACCCCAGATCAGGCCCGAGGCCTCCCCACTAAGGGAACCCCGGATGGTCCCCCCGTCGTCATTGACTCGGTGCTGCTTCTTGAAAGCAAGCCTCAACCTCTGGTTTGTGTTGGAGTCGCACGGGGGGCAGACCCCTCCACCCACTCCCAGAGACGCTGAGCAGGGCCGCAGCAGGGACCAGGAATCTGTGCTGTTGATGAGGACCGCGCCCCCCCGGGGGACTCCAGTGGAAGCAGCGCATCTGCATTTGCAGCCAAACTGGCCGAGCGCTGCCGCTCTGCCTCCACTGACCCAGTCACCTGCTCCCACCTCCTCCCAAGCCACCCAGCATTTGCCAGCGGCCCGGTAGGAGTCATGGCCCCTGCTCAGGGTGCCTCCCCCTTGGCCAACTCCCACAAATCTGTCTTCACACCCAGACTCAACAGCACCTCCCCGGGAAGCCTTTTCTGACTCTTCCCACTGAGCCACGGGTCTTCCCGTCTAAAGCAGTGGGCCTGGAAAAGGGAAAGCTGGTCAAATACAGAATCCCGGGCTCAATATCCCTGAGGCTAGTTCAGTCACCTGGGGTTTGGCACACAGGAACTGGCCTTTCTAGGTTCCTTGAGAATTCTGTGCCTCCTTCTATTATGACAGGGCTTCTCAAATGTCAACGGGCACGGGAGCCTCCCAGGCATCTGCTTACCGTACGGTGTCTGAGTCAGGAGGTCTGGAGTGGGCTTGGGAATGTACATTTCTGACCAGCCCCCAGAAGACGCTGCCACCACTGGTCAGGGGACCACAGTGGCAATGTACTACAGCCCCGTCCTTGAACTCGACCCCTCAGTGGACTGTGAGTGTCAAGAGGCTATGGGCTGGCCTTACTCATTTTTTCTATTGCCTCTAGAATATAAGCTCTCTGAGGTTAGGGATATTTTTCCCTGTGTTGTTCCTGGCACATGGAATGGTGCCTGGTCCACAGCAGGTGTGCAGTGAACACGTTTGTGAATGAACGAATTTCTCTATCTGTGCATGGTGCAAAGTCAGTGCTTGGCCAGTTTGGCTGAAGCAAGGAAGGAATGAATCAAGCGGCCCCTCACCCCCCAGCTGCCCCGGAGGCACTCACAGCTCAGGGCCAGCAGGCCAGCGTCTGTGACCGGGGTCTCGCACAGGTTCAGCACCTGGAGCATGGTGAGGTGTTCCGACAGGAGCCGAAGGCCAGCGTCTCCAAACTGTAGAGCACAGAAACTCTCAGCCCTCTCCCGGCCACTCCTGGGGAAGTGACTCTGAGGCTGGGGCAGAGGTGGAGGAAAGGGATGGGGACAGAGCCTGGCTCTGAGGCCCATGGCCCACCAAGCCCTGGGGTCTGGGCTGCGTTCACGTCCCCTAAACAATCCCACGCCTCTCTGAACCGGGTTAGAATCCAGCTTCTGCTGTTGGGAGTGGAGCCAGGCCAGGGCCCCCTTGGAGTCAGTTTTGCCTCCATGAAGGAGGGCTTTGAACTTGTCTCTCCCTAGCTTCGAGATGCTGCCTAGGTGGCTTTCTCCTGCTGGGTGGACAGTGGAAGGACAGGGCTGGGCCGGGGGCAGGCTGCAGGGACTGTCCCCAGTTTCTCCTCTGGAAAATTAGGGTGAGGGTAGAACCTGCACTTCACAGGTGTGCAGTGAAGGCCCCTTCATCTGCCCTGTGCAGAGTACTGAGCAGTGCAGTTCACACTGAGCTGGGACTCAGCAGCCACTGGTGTTACTATAACAAAAAGACCCAGAAGCCTCCTGCGCAGCCCCCCGCAGGCCAGCGAAGCCTGGCTCACGTCTCAGCTCTACCTCTCAGAACCTCAGGACTCGGAACTGGGCACATTATTTCCAAATGGGAAATGGGCTGCAGGGCTTCATGAGGTCCTCAACCTCCTCTAGCCTCAGGGAGTGGGTGCTGAGCTTGAGGGAAGGGTCGTGTGGTAAGCAATGCCTGGGGTGTAGGCAGGGAAGCGGGTGAGGGGCAGGGAGGAGGGTGAGGGGGCAGGGAGGAGGGTGACGGGGGCAGGGAGGAGGATGAAGGGGTAGGGAGGAGGGTGAACGAGTTAGGGAGGAGGGTGAGGGGACAGGGAGGAGAGTAAGGGGGACAGGGAGGAGGGTGAGGGGGCAGGGAGGAGGGTGAGTGGGTGGGGGGGTGAGGGGGCAGGGAGGAGGGTGAGTGGGCAGGGAGGAGGGTGAGGGGAAAGAGAGGAGGGTGAGGGGGCAGGGAGGAGGGTGAGGGGGCAGGGAGGAGGGTAAGTGGGTAGGGGAGGGGGAGGGGGCAGGGAGGAGGGGGAGGGGGCAGGGAAGAGGGTGAGGGGAGCAGGGAGGAGGGTGAAGGGGCAGGGAGGAGAGTAAGGGGGGCAGGGAGGAGGGTGAGGGGGCAGGGAGGAGAGTAAGGGGGACAGGGAGGAGGGTGAGGGGGCAGGGAGGAGGGTGAGGGGAGCAGGGAGGAGGGTGAAGGGGCAGGGAGGAGAGTAAGGGGGGCAGGGAGGAGGGGGAGGGGGCAGGAAGGAGGGGGAGGGGGCAGGGAGGAGGCTGAGGGGAAAGGAAGATGGTACGGGGGAATAGGGAGGAGAGTGCAGAGGTGAAGGAGGAGGGTGTGGGGGACTGCAGCAGGGCGGGAGGACGTACCTGAGTGGACCACAGGTTCAGCTGCTTGAGCGAAGGCAGTTTGATGAGGTGCTCGGCGCAGGCACTGGTTACATTGGTGAAGGCCAAACTGAGGTTCTCCAGGTTTCCGAAGGAGCCGGAGCTCAGCAAACGAGCCAAGTCAGCGTCCTGCGGGCAGACGGGGGAGAGGCCTGAGGGTGCTGCTGGGAGTTCCCGAGACCCTGAGCCCTCCTATCCCCTATCCTCCTCCTCTCCCCTCGCCCTACAGAGAGCTGTTCCTGGGGGGCGGTAAATCCCAGGAGCTGAGATGGGGGCACAGCTCGGTGGGATGGGCCAAGGGGGTGGCCAGAGAGGGAGGGGCTGCCACGCATCCCATGGACGACAGCTGCCAGGCGGAGGAGAAAGCCTCCAGTGCTGTGACTCACACCCTGAGGCACCAGCGGGGTGTTCCAAGGCCACGATCCTCCCACAGGCGTCTGTGTGTGTGTGTGTCTGTGTGTGTGTGCCTGTATGTGTGTATATCTGTGTGTGTCTGTGTGCACGTTTGTGTATGCATGTGTCTGTACATGTGTGTGTCTGTGCACGTCTGTGTATATTTGTGTGTGTGTGTGTTGGTGTGTCTCTGTGTGTCTGTGTCTGTGCATCAGGGTGTGTGACTGGCTGCCTCACTCCTGGGCAGCAGCTCATGCCAACACTGAGGCCACACTCAACTCTAATGCCTGAAGACACCAGCGCATGCCTGAGCACCGGACTGGGAGGTTCCTAAGACAACCTCCACACTCCCCTCCATCCTTGAGTGTCAGCGGCCCTGTGGCTGCCCGGAATGAAGGCTGATTTAGTGTGTGGCCCCACACACTAAATCTGGAAAATGGGATGTAAGTAGACATGTCAAGTAGAACTTCCAGGAAGTTTCTTAAGAGGAAGGGGCACGTTCTCCTTCCTGCTGGCTGGAATGGAGACAAGAGGTCTGGAGCCTGAGCAGCCCTTTTGGTCCAGGAAGTAGAAGCCATGTGTCAAATATAATGGGGGCATCAGAATAGAAGGAAATAAGACCCTTAAAGACCTTGTGAAATGCGAATGGTAAGATACACAAGCTTCCAAGGGTTGCTGTGAGGATAAAACAAACTAATAGAAGAGCATCTGACACACAAATGCTCAAGGTATATCTGCTATTATTCCAAGTACTATTAATAACTAGATATCAACACTATTATCACCAACAATCTGTATCATATTTTAACTTCCTTTTTGGTTTTCATTTCTCTTCCTGTAACCCAGCTACCTCCTGGAAGAGCTGGCGTGTTAAGTACTAGGGGGTCCTTGTGCCCCGCCCTCCATCACCTCCCATCTCAGCAGCAGACACCACCTGCCGTTCCCCAACAGAGAGGACCAACCCACCTTCTCCATCCAGCCCCAAAGAGAACCAAACCAACTCACTGTGGACTTGGAGGGCAGTGTTAGCCTGGTGGGCCCGCCTTTCCTTTGCTGCAACAGAAACCAGGCTGGTTACAACCATTCTTTTCCCCAAGTTTCCATTCTAGACTTCCACCTCTGTTAACAACACTCATGGAGCCATCGTTATTTTCTTGGTGGTACAAGGCAACACGGTGGTCTTGGTCTCAGGGGCAAACCCGGAGATGAGGTTTGAGCACAGGTGGTTTACTGGAGGGTGATCCCAAGAAACACCAGTGGGAGAGTGGGGAAGTGACACTGTGGCTACCTATAATGGAAGGGGTGTTATCAATCCAGCTATCACTGGGTGGGTACTGGCACCAAATCCCACCGGGGGACTCTAAGAAATGGTGGAGAAGCCATGTCTCAAACATATCTCACTGAAGGGGTGAGGGAGCTGGGGTATTTCTACACACTCTCCCCAGAAGGGACTGGTTGAGGGCTGCTCCAGGAGATCAGAAGGCATGAATTTCCTGCCCCTTCCGTCCTTCTGTGTACACATGTGTGAGTATATGCATGTGGACATACAAAGTCCTTCAGCAAAGAGGTGTGGGTGCTGGCATTTGGAAGTTGGGTCCCCCATGTACTGAAATGGAAGGGTCTAAGGGACATGGAGGAGGGAGGGTGGGCAATGTCCTGGCCAGGCCCCAATGAGCTGTGTGACTCTGGGGATTGCTTTGCTTCTCTTTGATTACCTGAAAAGTGGCAGGTGGTAATACCAATTTCTGGGGTTTGGAGGAGAATTCAACGAGATTGAGGTCCACTCAGGTCCAAGTACTAGCTGCCCCGCATCCCGCCCTGGCCCCCCCTGGCCTGCTGGGCAGGGGAGTGGTCCGGAGCAGCCGGGGACTCACCAGCTCCTTCAGCTCCCGCTGCCGGTCACACAGCTGCTCGTACATGCGCTTCCCCACGTCTGTGCTCTCCAGGGTTGAGATGATCTGCAGTTGGGTGTCGTTGTTGTCGATGATGTTGTATTCCAGCATCAAGCACAGGATCTGTCCAGAACCGCAGGGGTGCATTACGGACCCGGCCTGCCACCCTAGCTCAGCACACTCTGTGCACCCCAAGGGCCTTGTTTTGAAAACCAGCAACCCCACTATCCCCTTTCTGCAGCCCCGGCTGTGTAAGCCTGGGCAAATCACCTGCCCAACTTCCTGCTTGTACAATGGTAGCACCAGTGACCACGCACTGAGGTTCTCCAGGTTCAAATGTCAATGGACATGGGAGTCTCCCAGGCATCTGCTTACCGTGCGGTGTCTGGACATGGGGCAGGCCCCCGGGGGATGTTTGCAGGCCCCTGAGCACTGGTGGAAAGGCCAGAAGTTAAGACACCTCTCTCTCCCCAGTTCCTTCCCCAGTGGCTGTCATGAAGTAGGTGCTCAAACTCACGGAATGGCTCAGAGCCCTGGGCCCATCTACCACACAGCTTCCTAGAGGGCCTCATGACTGCACATGTGGCTCTTCGGCCTGGGGGTCAACACGCCTGACAGCCCTGCCTCTGACATTCCCTTTCCAATGACGATTTTTTTTTTTTTTGAGATGAGGTCTTGCTATGTTGCCCAGGCTAGTTTCAACCTCCTGGGCTCAAGTGATCCTCCTACCTCAGCATCCCAAGTTGCTGGAACTACAGGTGCATGCCATGGTGCTCAGTTCTAGAACTTCTCACTCACCAAGGAGCAGGTCACTCAGCCCACGCTTCTCACAGCGCCTCTTGCCTGTCTCCTGTCTCCCTGCTCAGCCCTCCCCCATGGCCTCCGAATCCCTGTCACAGGACAGCCAAGATTAAATCCAAACTCCTTCCCAGCACCTCTAGGTACCCAGAAGGCTCTTCATGCCCATCCAGCCACATCCCAGACCTCTTGCCCCTTGGCTCCCTGTGTTCCAGCCACCCTGGCCTCCAGCAAGCCTCCGCCCGGGATGTCCCCACAGCCTGCTCAGCTCCCACCTTCCCGCTGCCTCTTCCCCAGGGCTCACATCTGCCCGAACTCTCATTTCCACGGGAGCTCCCATGGCTTTGCTGCGCCTGCCAACTCTTCGATGCTCTTCCCACTGAGGGGTGAAGTCTAGCTCCCACGGCTTTGACTGAGGGCCGGCCGCGGTGACTCACTGCCAGCAGGAGGATGTGGCAGAAGTGATGCCGCCTGCCTTCCAAGGGAGGCTAAGTTAAAAAGTGACATGGCTTCTGCCTTGGTTCCCTTGGGACAGTTGCTCTGGGAGTCTCAGGCTTCTGGGGACTTTGGGACAGTTGCTCTGGGAGTCTCAGGCTTCTGGGGACTTTGGAGCGTGCAGGGAGAGAGAGGAGCAGCAGCAGGTGAGGGGTGACCTGTGGGGCTGGGTGTGTGTGTTCTTGGCAGGTGGACAGGCTACCTGGAGGCCACGAGGTGAAGGGTGCGGCTGGGGAGCCCCAGCCGCCAAAGCCCTCATTGTCTGAGGCCTCTTAGGCCAATGCGAGAAGCCTTGGGGCTAACCCAACCTGGCCCCATCTGACTGATGAGGCCCCAGGTGAGAAGTGCGTAGCTGCGCCCAGGTACCCCAATGCCCATGTGCAAAAGAAATGAACGATCTTGTTTTAAAGCCCTCACTTAGAGGTGGTTTGTTACACAGCAATAAATGAGCAGAACAGAAGCGTCCCCAACCCCACTGATCAATGGATCAGCTGGATCACAACAGAAACAAATACACTGCATGATGAAGGCTCGAGGCTCCCACTAAGCTCAGGACGGCTGGGACTGCACGCCTCACCCACTGCCCCCCGTGCCTGCAGCAGCTCCTGGCTCCCAGCAGATGCTCTATCGGCACGGACAAGGGACGGGGAGCCAGCCACCCCACCAGGGACCCCGACCAGCTCCTTACCTCCACCATGGTCTGGTTCCCCCTCAGTGCCAGGAGCATGCAGGGACCCAGCTTGTTTTCTGCCAGGGAGAGCAGGAATTTTTTGGTCTTGTAACAGGAGCCCATGAGGATGTGCACCTGTGAGGCAAGAAGGCCCAGGTGAAGGGACAGAGACACCCAGTGCCAGCCTCCAGCGTGCTGGCAGGAAGTGAGCCCAAGAGCCGTTGAACAGACCTGCCTACACGCTGTCCAGACAGCCAGGTGTTCTAGGATCACCAGGCCCCAGGGGGATGCAAGAAACCCCTCCCTGGCACACGATCTAACCCAGATGAACCCTGAGGACACTATGTTGAGTGGAATAAGCCAGTCGCGAAAGTCACGTTCATGATCCCTCTTTTCATTCTGTCTTTTGCCTTTTAGTAGTACCTGATTTAACTATAAGCCCCAGCTCAGCAAGGGTATCTTTTGTATAAATCTATAATACTAAATGCAATAAAAGCTGACTAGAATGCAATTTAAGGTCTCTTGATTTAAACAAATGTAGCCCTTGCTATTTTTATTTTTTTTGAGATGGAGTCTCGCTCTATTGTCCAGGCTGGAGTGTGTAGTGGTGCGATCTTGGCTCACTGCAACCTCTGCCGCTTGGGTTCAAGCAATCCTCCCACCTCAGCCTCCCTAGTAAGCTAGGATTACAGGCATGCACCACCATACCTGGCTAATTTATTTCTATTTTTAGTAGAGATGGGGTTCACCATGTTGGCCAGGCTGGTCTTGAATTCCTGAACTCAAGTGGTCCACCCAACTCGGCTTCCCACAGTGCTGGGATTACAGGCGTGAGCCACTGTGCCCGGCCCTTGCTAGTTTTTTCAAGAATCTGTAATAGAATCTCTAAATATGTAATCTCCTGCCATTATAAAAGTTCTGATGTTTGAAACACTTATTACGTTGAAGTTTTAAGCAGAAGGAGACTCTGACTCCACTTACATGAGGTACCTGGATAGGGAAATTCAGAGACAGAAAGGAAAAGTGGCTGCCAGGGACTGAGGCCGGGAGGAAGGGGGAGTCAGTGTGTAATGGATGCTGAGTTTCAGTTTCGGAAGATAAGAACGTTCTGGAGATGAACGGTGGTGATGGTTGTGTTACAACATGAATGTCTTCAGTGTGACTGAACGGTGTGCTTACAGATGCACACTTTTATATGATGTGTATTTTACTGCCAAAAACAAAAAAGCCCCCTCCCCTGCTCCCCTCGGGAGTCTGCTGACAGTTGATCCTTTGAATTCCTGGCACCGCTGGAACCACGTAGAAACTTCTAGGCAGCCTTCGCACATGTATGGGGTAGGGGACGTGACGAAGCCCAGCCACCTCTGCCAAGCCCGCTGTGAGCTCGGAAGGGTGTTTTGGGAGACTGCCTGCGCCCCAGGAATCCAAGAATTGGCAAATCCTGCTTCCTCTTGGGTTATGTGTTGGGCGGTCTTTTGTTCTGGTGCATGGGCGATGGGGGCCCAAGGGCAGGGGTCCCCGGTCACCGGGGCTGGGGGGAGGCCTCGACACCCCATTGGCTTTCCTCCAACTTCACACAATGGCAAATGCCCTTGGCGGTGGAGAAAGCAGCCTCATCAAGGGGCCGGCTTCCAAGCCATGCATCTCCATGGCAACAACACACTTCCATCCAGCGGCTGCCTGCTTCCTTCCTTGTGTATATTTTTTCCGCTCCATCATGAACAGCTCTGGCATACAAATGCAATCTCTCGGGCTGGGAAGCCGCCAGCTCCCTGCGCTTTCTTGCACCGAATCCTCACATTGTAGGGTGGGGGCGGGGGCGGGGGGGCGCAGCTGAGCGTTGCTATGGTGAAGCTGTGACATCAGAGGAGAACCCGAGAGGTGACCGAGAGCGCGAGAGAGGTGGTGCAGGCTGGCAGGGGCAGGCATGTTCCTAGATGCGCAGGGCCCTGAGAGGCCTGGGGTGGCCGGCGAGGAGTGGCGAGGGAGTGCATGAGGCAAAGGGCCTAAAAATAAGCCCTTTTCAAGAAGCTCCCAGGGGCAGCGCCTCAATTTGTCATCGCTGCACAAACATCTCTGCTGAGTTCAGTGTGGACAGCCAAACCAGCCACCCAGCAGAGAGGAGAATCACCACCGGCGTCATTTCCGAGCAGCGACTGTGCCGGCCCGCCGGGCGCCGTGCATCTACTGTTGCATGCGATCGCTGCGGTAACCTCGAGAGGCCAATGCGAGGCTCCCGGACGAGGGGCTGAAGCTGGCAGAGGCAAGTTACCAGCCCAAGGTCAACAAGCTAGCTCCCAGCAGAGCTGCGACTGGAAGCCCAGTTTGAGTGTGGGAGCACCAGTGACCAGTAAATGGAGCTGGTTTTCTCAGCAAGTGGAGTCGGCGAGGCTGCTGGCCACTAGGGTGCAGCATCTGCCCTGGGGGAGGAAGAGTCTGTGGCCCTTTACTCCTGGAAGAAGCCATGTGTGCCTGGCCAAGGAAGGGCTTGGAAACAGAAGGCCTGTGGGACCCCAGGCACGCCACCGAACCTCTGTGGGCCTCTGTTTCAACAGAGGTGTAATTCAGCAACAAGGATGCAGTACAGATAAAAAAGGATAGTGCATATGAAGTGCCGGATACAGTGCCGGGCACAAAGAAAGTTATCATGGATGCAGCTATTGGTTTGGTGACCTCAGACCCCTCATGATAGTGGGAACAATCCCCCTGACCGCGACACCTCCTTGTAAGGATTAAACAAGCTGGTGGACCTGCAGTGCCTTCCAGAATCCCTGGTCCCGTTGGGCACTCAATTTCTTGTAGGAACATAACCATGGCAATGAACTGTGTGACCTTAGGCAGTAACGGCCCAGGCTTTAGCTGCCTTGGGTATAAAATGGGGCAATGACATGTGTCGTCTTCTCACTGTGCTGTGAGAGCTGAGTGCAACTGGGAAAGCCAAGTGCTTGGCTTGGAGCCTCAGATAAGAAATGAGTAAGTGACAGTCACGGTCACCATCACCACCACCACCACCACCACCTTCATGATCAGCACTGTGTTAGCCGGGAAACTCCGGGGCTGGCCCCAGGGGATGGGGGACGGCTGTTTTACTAGTCAGGCATGGCAAGCCCAGGGACCCCTGGAAGTCACCCCACTGGGGTCCCACTGCGTACCATGCTGGCGAACAGCTCCCCGTCATCGTCGCAGGCCACCCCTCCGGGGCTGTAGAGCTGGAACCAGCCATCTTTGCCGGCCCGCACGCTCAGCAGGCATGAGTGGACCTGCCAGACAAGGGAAGACACAAGTGTGAGCTGCATGCAGCCCCGGTGACAAGGGCGACCATGATCTGCACACATGAATGGGAAAGGCTCAGGCAAGTCCTGCAGTCAAGAAACCCGCTTAACTTTGTTTCCTCCAGCAACCCCCAGCCTTCCACCAAATGCCATGAAAGGTCTTTCGGGAAATACCGTGGCCCCCACACCCCAGGGGACTCTGGCTACTGGCTGTCAGCTGCACAGGAGGGAGGGCAGGCCCCGGCTTGATTGGCTGATCTGAATGAAGCGGGCCTGTGGCTGCAGCAGGTAGAGATGCCCAGAGCAACCGCCCACAATCAGCCCCTTTTCCCTTTCTCCTGCCCCCTTTCTCCTTCTGCTATGCCTTCCTCTGGGTGGGGCCATCTCCTGGGTCTCCGTTCTCTGTTTGGTTCTCTGTCCTCCTCTCTCTGTGTTTCTAACTCCTCTCCCGTGCTCTCTGCCCTCTTTCTCTAGAAACCTCTCCCTGCTGCCTCTCTGGGGTTCTGCTGCCCCCAGCACTGACTCTCCCTCTTGGGTGTGTGCCTTCTGCCCTCCCTTTCTTGACTTGTGCAGGCACCATCCTCCCCTCCAGGTATCTGCCCTGCTAATCTCTCTCTCTCTCTCTCTCTCCCCCTCTTTGGGACTCTGCCACCCTCTCTTGTTAGGTCTCATCCCCACTTCCTTCCCTGAGTCTTTGTCCCCCTCCACTGAAGGATCTGTCCGTGGCTGGGGGCAATTTCAGTGCCAAAAGCACAGCTCTCACATTCCTTCCCAGAGCTGTGTGTCTGTGTGGATGGGCCTGTTTGTGCATGTGAGCACACGTGTGTGTGTGTATGGGAGGAATTCCACATCCACTCTGGCCCCTGCTGTGATTACACAGAGAGAGAGGGAAGGAGGGAGAGGATGGAGAGCGGGGAGAGTGAGGGAGAGAGACAGAGCATGAGAGCAAGGGCGTGCAGGAAACACAAAGGACTTTTCCCCACCTCCTCCTGTCCTCCGAAGAAAGCTGAGAGAAGTTCCTCATCATTTCCTTTAGGAAAGGACGATTGGCTGCCAAGAATCTGTTACCCACAGATATTAAACTGATCACAACCCACACACGAGCACACAGAAAACAAAGGCAGTGGCTTTTATTTTTCCCTCTGAGCTGGAAGAATATCAAGGGTTCCCTTATCGACTTCAAAGCAATAAGGACTTAGGAGTGTTGAGATGCTATTCAACAAATATAGCAAATAATTTTAAAGGAAACAACTTTGGCTTCATTTAGGAAGGAGAAGGTAGAAGGGAAGGGAGAAAGAAGAGTGAGGAGGAAAAGGGAGAGAGAATCAGCAGAGAAAAGAAAGAGGCAAACAGGAGAACAAGGGCCTGGGTGTGGGACCTTGGCCAGGGGAGCTGGCTCCTTCCAGACCGGCAGGTCACTCGGGGCCTCATGCACATTTCCCTGGTTTGAGAATTACCCTCCCAGCAGCTGGCCCTGCCTCTCTACTCTGAGAAGCAGCTGATGCCACTTTTGTTCTCCCAGCGTCAAAGGCTGGGTTTGAATTAAGGCTCAGTTCCCAGGAGAATTCTGAGACGCTGTCTTCACAGGTGGCAAGGAAAGACTTAAGTTTAAGAAAAATGGAGACACTCACTGGTCCCTGACATTTAAAAGCACCATATCCACCGTTTCTCCTTTTTCCCTCCATGCCTGAGGAACACTTAGGGAAATCGGTGTTTAGAATTGCGGTGTTTTGGAACTAGAGTCTTCAAGATCCCTCCAGAACTCGGTTTTTCAGTGTGGCCTGGAGACCAGCCCCTCAGAACCACTTGGGATGCTTGTTCAAAACGCATCAAAACGCATATGCTTGGCTCCACCCAGGCCCCGTGAGCTGGAACCGGGAAGGGATGCGGCGGCAGGGGGGTCTGCCTTTTGAACAAGCTCCTCAGGTAATATAGTTTGAGAACAAGTACTCTAGAACTTCTGGAATTACAGCCTGATAAACTGTGGGTTCTGAGTCAGAGAGACCTGCCATGGTTGGACATGGCAAGACCTTGGTGTCCATGTGTCCTCAGATTCCTTCTCAAACACCATGCTCCACCCTCCAGACTAAGGTCCAGTTTGACCCATTTAGCTAAGTCCAGCCAGTTCAGTACCACCTTCTCCAGGAAGCCTCCTGGGGATGGCTCTATGGAGAGGAACTCCCCCTGTCCTCTGCTCATCCTTCCCCCTGTTCTGCCGGGAGCACGAGTCTAGGTCTGTCCTCAACTGGGAGTTAGGGCGCTACCACACCCAGAACTCATGCACACAGAGAAGCAGGCTGTGAGCATCTCAGAGCACAGCACACAGTGCAGTGAGATGGTTATCAGCACCAGGCTCGAATCTTGCCTCAGTCGTGGACCAGCCGCGCAACACTGGGAATACTATAGAAGACACTCACAGGGATGCTGTGAGGCATGAGAAAAGGAATGTGTGTGACCCGGGGCACAGCACCTCCTAAAAGACAGCTGCTGGTGCTGTTACTATCAGATGATGCGGGCCCAGGGCTACAGGCTGGCTTCCTTGCCTGCCTAGGTCCCTGCCCATGTGCACAGGCTCAGGGGCAGAAGGTGGAAGGCTGCCCTCTCCCTGGAAGCCCAGCTTTGGTGAGGGACACAGCAGCCCTTCAGGGAAACCCTTGGCCACCATGACCGGGAAATAAAAACCCAGCTCTGAATCCCAGCTCAGATTCCTTGCTCTGCCCAGTGATTCACATAATAGCAGAACCAGACAGGATCAAAATGCTGCCTCAGAGCTGGTTGAGAGCTGCCATGCCAGCCCAGCCCGAAATCAAGGCCTCGGCTGCGGGCAGAAACCACCAGCCAGTGGAAAACCACCCCCGGTGAGCCGGCGTTTACAGTAAAACACTGACATCACAGGCTGGGCTCTGCACCAGGCGGGGATGTGTTTATACACAGGCAATGGGTCTCTGAAAGCTGTTCTGAATGCCTGTTGGTGACAAGCTTCAGAAGGCCTCTAAGGGGCCCTCGTGCATCCTGCCATCCCCAGACAGCCGGCCTGAGATGCAGAAACAAAGGCCTCACCTCTTGCCTGGGGTCTTCGGCGAACCTCTGAATCACGTACTTCAGTTCCCTGGAAGAGACGAGGCGGCCGGAGTTACTGCCGGGGTCTGGAACTGAGTGGGAGGTGTGGGAAGGGGAGGGGATGGTGTCAAGGAAGAACGGGCCAGGGAGCTGGGCAAGGCGGTGGATCAGGGACACGTGTCTCAAGAGAACTGCCAAGAGGAGCCACCACTGCCTCCCAGAATGCATGGGCCACGGAGGGAAGACCTCAGGACAGAGGCCGTGCGTGCCAGAATGGAATGAGGGCGGTGCCCAGACACTCACTTGGTGAACTTCTCATGTGCGAGAGCTCTGCAACAAAAACAGGGGAAAACACGGCGGTTAACAGAAGCGTCGGAAACAGCACAATGTTCCCAAGATTAACCTCTGGGGACGTCTAGACTTTATGTCTGATTCAAAGAATGAAGAGGAATGTGAGTGAAATGCCAACATTTTGTCCCCACTCAAAGCTCCAAAACAAAGGCCTTCTTTGAGGAGGCGGCAGATCAGAGCAACATGAACACACTGGGCCCCCCATTCCCGAAAGTTCCCTGTGCCCACACCTGTGAATAAGAGGGGCTAAGCTGCTGCCTGAGCATGTGTGGGTGCATGTGGGCTCCGGAGACCCAGGTGTGTTCATTAATTGTTCCACGATTAAGGCGGGCGGCACTCATTACTGCACACATCAGCGGCCATGGGGGACCATTCTTCTAAGACAGTTGCCACAGCCAAGAGCGCCCAGGCCTATGGGGACGGGGACTGAGGCCAATGACGTCACGACTCTGCTGAGACTGAGCGCCTCTTAGGAGGTGGATTTCTCCGGCCTCAAGTACTGGGGACCCTCGGGGACTGGCCAGGCCAGCACATGGGGCAATTACTGCGTGTAATGTGCCCTTACAGAGGCAGCATTTCCTAAACACGCTTGGTAATCGGCTCCTTCGAGAGCCCCAGCTGCCTCCCGAGGCTTGCTCCTTCCAACCTCTTGAAAGAGACCTGGAGGCATTTCAGGGCCTGGTTATTTTGACAAAGCCTTCTCTTCAGGCCATTATCCACCAGACAGCGTTCTCTCTAGTTTCCAGTGATCAATTCAATATGGTGCTAGGGGCCGGCAAGAGAGAGGCAGAGGGTCTGTTTCTGGCCAGGTTTGCTGCAGAGCCTGAGCTGAGCGTTGTACCGGGCGTAATTAGAGCGCTTCCAGCATCTCAGTACGGCACAGCGAGCAATGCTACGCGCATTATCTTTTGATTCTTACTATCGCCCTCGGAAGAGGAGCGGCAGGTATTACGGTTCCCATCTGGTGCATAATAAAAGACGATAACTGCACGGCCTGCCAGGAGCCATGGGGAGGGCTCTGTTTGCATTCTTAGCTCATGAATCCTTGTGACAATGCAGTCAAGCAGCTCCTACAATGTCCCTGTTCTCCTGAGTTCCCCATTTTTCTGAGGGAAGATGTGCCTCCCCAGGGGTCCCACAGCTGAGGACGTGGCTGAGCTGGTACCGACGTCTCCAGGGTCTTCCCGCTGTGACTTCGCTTCCCCATAACATGACTGGCCCCCCACTAAGGCCTTGGTGGACAACTGAGGTTTGTCTCACAGGTGGGAGGGCTCCGGGGATGCACACGGGACTTACTCTTTGGGGAATGGAATGGGTTGAAGCAAACTGGCCAGAGACGGTCTCCAGTCATCATAGTCTGACCTAGAATGAGAGAGGGTGACAGTCAGCTTTGGTTGGGACAAGGAAGGTTTATGGCACTGTTTTTGGTCCCAGATGGGCCAAAAGATGGGGTGAGAGCCTGGCAGGTAGTCAGTGGCACTGACTTCTCCACCCACTTCCACCTCCAGGATGAGCAAGTCAATGTTCTCAGCGTGGCCTCAAGGACTCACAACTGGGCCTGTGCAGAGACTTCCTCATGGCACCCGAGGGGGTGAGCTGTCTATTCCCCAGACTTCACAATGCCCTTTGAACCAAGGCTACGTGATCATTGTTCATGCCCTCTTTGGGACCATTAGGGGGTGTTTTAGGCTGAACTTTGCCCCCCATTCATATACTGAAGCTCTGCACCCCAGTACTTCAGAATGTGACTGTACTGGGAGACACAACCTTTAAAGAGGTGATTAGGTTACAATGAGGCTGTAGACGGATGTCCTTAGAAGAAGAGGAAACACGGACACGCAGAGCAAAGACCAGCCAGGACTCAGCGAGAAGGCAGCCATCTGCAAGCCAGGAGAGAGGCCTCCAGAGAAACCAGCCCTGCCCACACCTTGATTTCAGGGTTGTGCCTTCCCGAACTGAGAGAAATACATGTTTGTTGAGTAAGCTATGAGGTTGATGGTACTTTATAGCAGTCCTAGCAAACTAATGTAGGGGGCTTAGGCTGGGACCCTGGGGCCATTCTCACCTTTCTGTGATCAGAACTGAGGGAAAATTCTATAGACAGAATCATAAACAACAAACATTCTAAGCTGTTTGTTTGTAGTTTGGGTCAAACCTCCTGATTTGTTGGATCCCTTTTTTTTCTTTTTCTAAAATTTATTATTATTATTTGAGACACAGTCCTACTCTGTTGCCCAGGCTGGAGTGCAATGGCACGATCTCAGCTCACTGCAACCTCCACCTCCTGGGTTCAAGTGATTCTCGTGCCTCAGCCTTCCGAGCAGCTGGGATTATAGGCGTGCGCCACTATGCCCAGCTAATTTTTTGTATTTCTAGTAGGGATGGGGTTTTGCCATGTTGGCCATGCTGGTCTTGAACTCCTGGCCTCAGGTGATCTGCCTGCCTCAGCCTCCCAAAGTGCTGGGATAGGCCAGGTGTGGTGGCTCACGCCTGTAATCCCAGCTGCTCAGGAGGCTGAGGCAGGATAATTGCTAGAACCTGGGAGGCGGAGGCCGCAGTGAGCTGAGATCACCCCACTGCACTCTAGCCTGGACAACAGAGCGAGACTCAGACTCAAAAAAATAAATAACTCAAAGTGCTAGGATTACAGGTGTGAGGCACCATGCCTGGCCTTGGTGGATACTTCTATTTTTGCTTTCAGACAACAGCTTTTCTTCTTTTCTAAGAGTTGATGCTAAATACCCAGGAATCCAACTTACAAGGGAAGTGAAGGACCTCTTCAAGGAGAACTACAAACCACTGCTCAATGAAATAAAAGAGGACACAAAGAAATGGAAGAACATTCCATGCTCATGGATAGGAAGAATCAATATCGTGAAAATGGCCATACTGCCCAAGGTAATTTATAGATTCAATGCCATCCCCATCAACCTACCAATGACTTTCTTCACAGAATTGGAAAAAACTACTTTAAAGTTCATATGGAACCAAAAAAGAGCCCACATTGCCAAGACAATCCTAAGCCAAAAGAACAAAGCTAGAGGCATCACGCTACCTGACTTCAAACTCTACTACAAGGCTACAGTAACCAAAACAGCATGGTACTGGTACCAAAACAGAGATACAGACCAATGGAACAGAACAGGGCCCTCAGAAATAATACCACACATCTACAACCACCTGATCTTTGACAAACCTGATAAAAACAAGAAATGGGGAAAGGATTCCCTATTTGATAAATGGTGCTGGGAAAACTGGCTAGCCATATGTAGAAAGCTGAAACTGGATCCCTTCCTTACACCTTATGCAAAAATTAATTCAAGATGGATTAAAGACTTAAATGTTAGACCTAAAACCATAATAGCCCTAGAAGAAAACCTAGGCAATACCTTTCAGGACATAAACATGGGCAAGGACTTCATGACTAAAATACCAAAAGCAATGGCAACAAAAGCCAAAATTGACAAATGGGATCTAATTAAACTAAAGAGCTTCTGCACAGCAAAAGAAACCACCATCAGAGTGAAAAGGAAACCTACAGAATGGGAGAAAATTTTTACAATCTACCCATCTGACAAAGGGCTAATATCCAGAATCTACAAAGAACTTAAACAAATTTACAAGAAAAAATCAACCCCATCAAAAAGTGGGCGAAGGATATGAACAGACACTTCTCAAAAGAAGACATTTATGCAGCCAACAGACACATGAAAAAATGCTCATCATCACTGGCCATCAGAGAAATGCAAATGAAAACCACAATGAGATACCATCTCACACCAGTTAGAATGGCGATCATTAAAAAGTCAGGAAACAACAGGTGCTGGAGAGGATGTGGAGAAATAGGAACACTTTTACACTGTTGGTGGGACTGTAAACTAGTTCAACCATTGTGGAAGACAGTGTGGAGATGCCTTGAGGATCTAGAACTAGAAATACCATTTGACCCAGCCATCCCATTACTGGGTATATACCCAAAGGATTATAAATCACGCTGCTATAAAGACACATGCACATGTATATTGATTGCAGCACTATTCACAATAGCAAAGACTTGGAACCAACCAAAATGTCCATCAATGACAGACTGGATTAAGAAGATGTGGCACATATACACCATGGAATACTATGCAGCCATAAAAAAGGATGAGTTCATGTCCTCTGTAGGGACATGGATGAAGCTGGAAACCATCATTCTGAGCAAACTATCGCAAGGACAGAAAACGAACACCGCATGTTCTCACTCATAGGTGGGAACTGAAAAATGAGAACACTTGGCCACGGGGTGGGGAACATCACACACCGGGGCCTGTTGTGGGGTTGGGGGAGGAGGGAGGGATAGCATTAGGAGATATATCTAATGTAAATGATGAGTTAATGGGTGCAGCACATCAACATGGTACATGTATACATATGTAACAAACCTGCACATTGTGCACATGTACCCTAGAACTTAAAGTATATTAAAAAAAAACAGAGTTGATGCTAATGACGGTAATAACAATGACAATAACAACAGCAGCTCCGATGTCACGGAGACTTTCCACACACACTGCAGGATGCTAAGGGCTATACCTTAGTTCATTTACTCTTTACAAGAGCACAATAAAGTCAGTGTGACTAACCCCACTTAACAGATGACGAACTGGAGGCTCAGAGGTTTAAGGTCACACAGCTGTGGCATATGAGGAGTCAAATCCAGGCTTCTGTGACAGCAGAGCCTTGGCTCTCACCAGCCCTGAAAGGCCACGGCTGTGATCTTAGCAAAAGCCAACGCCTGCCTGGGTAAGGAAGGAGGGCTAAACCTCAGTGAGAGCAGCTGCGGGAAGCACCGTGCTGTTCACCTGACTTCACTTAACCCTTTCATGAAAGAGCCTCCTTCCTGTGTGCAGAGACAGCGGGAGAGGTCAGTTACCCACTCCGAGTCATCTACACAGCCTAGGAAGGGGTAAAGCTGGACTCAGAACCAGGTATTTCAGGCTCTATCACACCATGGTGTGTGGTGAAGCCAGGCACCAGGGTGTCACCCCCATCCGACCCTGGGAAGACCACTGTCCCACAACCGAACAGTATTAGCACTGCTGATAACGCAGATGCAATTCGCTCTGCGCTGCCTGCGCACCGGGGCTTGAAGTAAGGGCACTGCTTGTGTTCGCTCATGGGATCTACCCAGAGGACCCTGTGTGCTGAGTCCAAATTACGGACAAGGAGCAGTATGGCAATTCACTGACCGTGACCACAGGGCTGTGATACAGCCAGGCCACAGCAGGGAAGCAATAGCTTCGGGAGTTTCCTGAGGCCCAACAGGCTGCTTCCCGACCACCTACCAGCACAGCTTCATAAAGAGGGAGTTTTTTGGCCAACTCTTGCCCCCAAAAGCTGGGAGCGTCCAGAGAACTCGCCGGCGTCTCAGTCTGAGTACAGATGGGCTTGTATCACACAGCAGAGCACTCACACACGGCCCCCAGAGACTGCAGTCATGACAACCCCCATTTTACAGACGAGGAAAATGAGGCTCAGAGCTGTTTGTGATTTCCCACAAGTCACCAGCAAGTGGCTGAGATCTGACCTCAGGTGCTTCAAAGACCATGACCCGTCCTCTCGGCCCCAGCACCTGCACTGTGTTTATAACCAGTTCCCCCACCTGGGTTCCGGATCTCTCTGGCTATAGGGACTCCGCGGAAAAACAAACCCAGAGGTAGTCAGTTCTCGCCTAAGCCAGGCCTGGGCACCTCTGAGGGCCCAGAGCTTAAAACCGTGACACATAAAGTGAGGGGTGGCCACTGGAGCAGTCCCCATCCGAATCACAGAGCTGTCCCTGGTGTTCCCCAGCTTCTGACCATCTTGCCTCGGACCACCCCAGGAGGGGCCCAGGTCTCATCTCTGCATCCCCCATGCTGGGCCCCGGGCTGGGTGGATGGCTGGTGCTTGGGAGGGGACTGCTGAACACAAGGCCCAGTGCACACTGGGACCGGGCCAATGACAGAGCCTGGGGCCTGTGACCGGCTTCAGAGCAGAAGGGATGTTGAGTCTCCATCTGGGGGACTAGCAAGTGCCACCAGGTGCCAAGATCGAGTGGGATGCTGACTTCGATCCTGGCTTGCACTGGGGCAGGAGGTGGGATCTGAACCCTTGTCCAGTGGTCTGTGTTGGGGAGGCGCTGCAGAGAGATGCCCCGCTGACACCTGGGCACCACCCACGGGAGAGGCCAGGGGGTGCTCAGACCCGGGCTGGGCAGAGGGGTGGTCCCGGGACCCCTACCCACATACGACTCACCACAGATACACTGTGTATCGGTTTGCGTGCTGTGTGTCTAACTGTGCCTTACATAGAAACGGGAGGAGATGTTTTTTTCACCAAGTACAAATGTTCACTCCCATCGACAACAGGCGGTTTAGATAACCCCTGAGTGAGGGCTTTTCCTGCCCCACCTTCCTCCAAATAAGCCCACGATAGAGTGGCAGCCTTCAGAACCCCAATCATACCCTGGAAGCTTCTGAGGAAAGGCTCCGATGCCAGACGCGGAGAAAAGAATGACCAGGAAAGCCTGTTGCCTGAGATAAGTCCTGACAGTGATGCCAGCGACCGCTTACTCACTGCCTACCCGACTTGCTCACTTAATCTCCAGAGCGGTATGTGAGGGCAGAGGGTGCCGGTGAGGAAGCTGAACTCCACGCCTGGGAGGCAGATGAGGACTGACAGCAGGTCCTCTGGACTGCAGTGCTTGAGTGCGGAAGGCCCAGGTGCAGCCTGGGGTTCTCAGAGCTGCAGGAGCCTGAGGCCTGTCGTGTGCATGTCAGGACATGGAGACCCCTTTATGCCCCCGTATTCACATGCTCCCTTCTGAGGGGTCATCTGTTTTTGCAGCTAGCTTGTCTTCCCTCCAGAAGAATCACCTTCCTCCTTTCCTCCCACCTGTCCCTGACTCATGGTTTCCAGAAAATGGAAATGCAGTTGACAGCAAACCTCGTCTGCAGCGCCTGCTGCGTGCCAGGTGCTCTCCAAGGGCTCCCATGCGTCAGCCCATGCAACTCTCCCAGCAACTTGGCTGGGCGGGTGCTCTTGGCACCCCCATTTTATAGGCAGGAAAATGGAGACACAGTGATGGGCTGCCCTGGCCCCAGGCCACACAGCTGGTGAGAGCTGGGATCTGAACCTGTGAGCCTGGCCCCAGTGTCTGTGCTCCACCCTCTCAATAACCATGTCTCACAAGGAGGGTGGCCCGGCTCACACCTGAGAAGGAAGACGATCTCCCTATATCACAAGGACACTGGTGGGCACATGGTGGCTCACGCCTGTAATCCCAGCACTTTGGGAGGCTGAGGCGGGAGGATTGCTTGAGGCCAGGAGTTCGAGACTGGCTTGGGCAACATAAAGAGATCCCATCTCTAAAAAGAAAAAAAAAGTTAAAAAAAAAAAAAAAAAGTAAGCCAGGCAGGTGGTGTGCACCTGTAGTCCCAGCTACTTGGGAGTCTGAGGTGGGAGGATTCTTTGAGCCTGGCAGTTCGAGGCTGCAGTGACCTGTAACTGCGGCACTATACTCCAGCCTCGGTGACAGAGTATCTCAAAAAATGAAAGGGAGGGGAGCACTTAGGTTTTTTTTTACTTTAAAAATAAAGCATATTCCATGCAGAAATGTCATGAAATGCAGAACTCTAAGGAGATTTGAAATCACCCACAATCAGAGGAATCAGGGTCCCCACGGGGGACTATGAGCCCCAGCAGCAGGCCCATGGTCACTTGTTACTCCTGAGCCTGTTCTGTGAACCGTGAGCGTGGCCTGTACTCCCAGGTGCTCAGTCCAGTGGGAGACTGTGGCCTGTCTGAGGCGGGGTCTGGACAGAAGCCTCCTCCTCTCGGTCTCCCAGCCTGGGGCTCCGCTTCCTGGCAGCTCCCACAAGACCGAGAGGGGTGCATGGGAAGGAGGGAGAGGGCAAGTGGACTTCCTTGCCTCGGCCCAGACCAGCTTGGAAGTCTGTGACCCCAGTCGGACCAGGTTGGTGGATGAATGGGGGGCGCTGGACAGAGGTTGTGGGGGAGGTGAGGCTGGGTGTCCCCAGACTGGCAGGCCCACGAAGAAGGGAATGAGGAACCCTCTTGTGCATGGGCCTCTCTGTGACGGGCCTCGGCACAGGACCCAGTGGCCAGCAGAGTCCCCGCCTCGGGACTGCCCTGGCTCTGGGCGGGCCTGTTATCCTAGGATGGGATGCCTCTGGCCACTGGGGCAGTCTCCCATTTGGCCAAGGCTGGCCTGGGGTGGGAGGACAGGCACCAGGCAGGGTGTGAGCGACCTGACTGCCCACCTAGGAAGGAGAAAAGAAGGCTGGGCCCTTCCCAGCTTGGACGGAGGGGACGGACAAGCAGGCAGGTGCCTGATGCATCCTGCTGACCCCAACATGCCTCAGGCATTAGGCACCTGCACATTTAACCCTCCCATGAAGAGGGCCTTAGAACCCCCATTTCACAGATGAGAAACGGAGGTCCAGAGAGGTTCAGACACTTGTCAAAGGTCACAGAGCTAATGGGGGACATGTTGGGACTGAACAAGGCTTTGTGAGTGCAAAGCCCGGGTCTCCCACCTCACGCAGCTCAGCTGGGATTTTAACCCAGTTCAGAAGATGCCACCTCAACCAGAGCCCTGTGCTGCCCTGTGGACAGGACGCTTCCTGCCAGCCTCGCTGCTTTCCCTGACTCACAGAATCTCCTGCAAGTCACGGGCAGAACGTGGCGGCCTCACGGTGGCCTGATGCTTGGGAAGGCACGGGGCATGAGAAGGCCCCTGTGGGGGCACATTCAGACCACTTTGCTCCTGCTATGCAACATCCAGAAACATCTGCTCCCTTGAAAGGCAAACCAGCTAGCTCGGGGATTTGAACCCAGGCTGAGAAACAGTGGCTGTTACCCGCGAGGCCGGAGGACCTCAGGAAAATTCCCTTTCTCTCCACCTGTGCGGTCATCCCATCAGGGACCTTCCCAGGCCCCACAGCACATCTGCTGGCCTTAAATGCTCCAGGGACCTTTGAGTTTCTAGAGTTATCATGTGCTCCAGGAATGAGCAGTTTAAAGTTTCCAAACAGGCTGGGCGTGGTGGCTCACGCCTGTAATCCTAGCACTTTGGGAGGCTGAGGTGGGCAGATCACTTGAGGTCAAGAGTTCGAGACCAGCCTGGTCAACATGGCGAAACCCCATCTCTACTAAAAATACAAAAATTAGCCGGGCTAGGCGGTAGATGCCTGTATCCCAGCTACTGGGGAGGCTGAGGCAGGAGAATGGCTTGAACCCGCGAGGCAGAGGTTGCAGTGAGCTGAGATCGCGTCACTGCACTGCAGCCTGGGTGAGAGAGCGTGACTCCATCGCAAAAAAAAAAAAAAAAAAAAAAAGAAAAAGAAAAAATAAACACATATAAGAAAGAACTACCTAGAAGAATCAAAGACTTTTTAAAAATTACAAAACAGGCTGGGCACAGTGGCTCATGCCTGTAATCTTTGGGAGGCTGAGGTGGGCAGATCACTTGAGGTCAGGAGTTCGAGACCAGCCTGGCCAACATGGCAAAAACCCGTCTCTACTAAAAATACAAAAATTAGCCAGACTTGGTGGCAGGCGCCTGTAATCCTAGCTACTGGGGAGGCTGAGGCAGGAGAATGGCTTGAACCTGGGGGGCAGAGGTTGCAGTGAGCGGAACTACTGCAGGTAATACAGGATGTCCCCTGGCCCTGCCTCCCAGTCATTAGGACAACCCCAAATTCATCTGCATTTCCCTGAAGTTCCCCGAGGGAGGGGCCTCTTCCAGCTGAGCTGCAGCCCACCAAGGCCTCTTAAAATCTAATGTTTGCAAAGAGTCCCAAGCGGTCGACGGGAGCCAATCAGAAGCGCGTCCTACCCCTGTGGCCCCAGTGGGCCACGGCTTCCACACTCTCCCCATCTGAGCTTTACAGCAGCCGCACTGAGCGCTTGATGTCACTGCTCTTAGCACTTGGCAATACTCAGGTTCAGAGGGACTGAGTACAGGGACCAGTATGGCATTTGGCATAGAGTCTGGCCTGGCGTAGGTATACAACAAAAGCTGGATGAAAGAATGAATCAACAGGTGGATAAATGAAGGTGTGAATCATACATAGGTGCCCAGCAGGAAAAGAGCTGGACTCCAAATGACTACAAATCCCAAAGCTCTTCTTCGCCTCCCGAATCCACGTTCTTTTCATCACCTCACCCCTCCTGCGCCTCATGCGGTGATTTTTTTCACCATCAACCTCGACCCGCATTTGGAATAGTTTTCCTTTTCAAGGACCTCCAGGAAATTTTTGCAACTTAGGTTACTTTTCAAAAGTGTCAAATTCTAATGATGCAGGGGCCTTCCTATGGGAACACGCAGCAACTGATCAGGGCCTGCGCCCCACTACCCCTGCTCCCTGGCAGTGGAGCGGGAAACACTGACCTGTGCACCCTGCGACCTGCACTGCCCTCTCCGATGGATGTGGTTCGCTCTAAGCGTGCCTTCCTGAGCCCCGCCTGGCAACGTCCTCTTTAAGACCCTTCAATTCCACATAAAGTCATCTTTTTTTTTTTTTTGGAGATGGGAGTCTCGCTCTTGTTGCCCAGGATGGAACGCAATGGCGTGATCTCAGCTCACTGCAACCTCCGCCTCCCGGGTTCAAGTGATTCTCCTGCCTCAGCCTCCCAAGTAGCTGGGATTATGGGCATGTGCCACCACGCCAGGCTAATTTTTGTATTTTTAGTAGAGACGAGGTTTCTCCATGTTGGTAAGGCTGGTCTCGAACTCCCGACCTCAGGTGATCCGCATGCCTTGGCCTCCCAAAGTGCTGGGATTACAGGTGTGAGCCACCGAGCCTGGCTGCTTCTTTTTTTCTTTATGTGTAACTCCCATTTGGGCAGCACTTCAATACTGATAACTGCAGTTCACGCTTTTATTATTGAGATGGAGTCTTGCTCTGTCACCCAGCTTGGAGTGCAGCAGTGCAATCGTGGATCACTGCAACCTCCGCCCCCCGGGGTTCAAATGATTCTCGTGCTTCAGCCTCCCGAGTAGCTGGGACTACAGGCGCCCGCCACCACACCCGGCTAATATTTGTATTTTTAGTAGAAACAGGATTTCGTCACGTTGGCCAGGCTGGTCTTGAGGCCTCAAGTAATTCCCCCGCCTCGGCCTCCTAAAGTGCTGGGATTACAGGCGTGAGCCACCGCACCAGGCTGACAACAGCAGTTTACTCTTATCAAGAACCAGAGGCTAGGCCAGCACCAAAAATCTCCAACATCCCTGAATTCTCATGCAGTCCTCCGAGAAGACATGCATTTTACAGACAAGAAAACTGAGGCCCAGAGGAGCCAAGAACACTGGCCACAGTTCCACAGCAGCTCAGGCCCACGGCTGCATTTCCTCAATGCTAGGAGGCAAGTTTCCTGCAATCCAGGTGTGCAATAAATGCCATGTGGCTTTTCTCTCTCAAAGCACTCTTACTGAATCAATGACGCATCTCGCCCTCAATAGTATGGTCAAGCGGCGGGAACATGGCTGCATCATAAACGGCGGCTACTCCCATTGGCCAGGTGTTCACCTCGCAGAGGTGTCTGCTCTGCGCCAGGCACTCAGGGCTGGCCCCTCCCATCTCTTTGCCAATGCCAGATGCAGCCATACTTGCGCCACCTCCCAGCCTGGGACCGGAGGCTCAGAGAGGATGACCAACCGTCCAAGGTCACAACTAGTATGTGGCACGGGTGAGACTTGAACCTAGCATGGTCTGACTCTGAGTCTGTGCCTTTCCTGACGTATCTCACTTTGGAGCCCTTTGAGCGGCTGGGGTTGTTTGGGTCCAACCAGTTTGAAGCCTCCAATGAGCCAGCAACTTAAGCAGCCTGCTGGGTGTGGGGAGGAAAGTTGTTGGGAAAATACAGTTATCAGGCCCAAATTGTGTTGAGCTCCCCGAAGATGGAAGAGGCTGCCAGGAGCATAATCCCATTTTGTGGAGGGCTTGGGGATAGGCGTGACCTGCTCCTCTGCGTAGCCCCATCGGGAACCCGTCCTGGCTTGCCCTGACTGTCCTGGGCCCTTGGCGATGGCCCTGACCCCCACCTGCACCCTGGCAGCTGGGTGATGCGGGCAGGCAGGGGGTCTGGACGCAGATGGGGGAGAACAGAGCCCCCATTCATGAGCATGTTTATGAAGAAGGAAAAAATGTGTGTCAACTGCGTGCTGAAACTCAAACCCTTAGTGCTTAATGAGAAATAGGAGTCAGGCCCCAAATACCAGAAGGCCCAGGAGCTCACGGTGTTTGCAAAAACCAGCTGGAACTGGGGAGTTGGAGTGGACAGCGGGGCCACTCTCTGGCCTGGAGGCTTCTACCTCCATCAGAGCAGGGAGCCCCCTCCAAAATCCAGGGAGGCGCCCTAACCCGGCTGCCGCTGGGAGAGCTGGCACCCTTCTCTGCCTTGAAGACACTCAGGGCTGTGACGTATTCTTGGAGTGGCTCTCTTAGTGGGATCTGGAATTCCGCTTGGCTGGGGGTGGCGGTCACTGAATGTGGTTATGCCCTCACCTGACCTCTGCTGCTGGGACCACGAGGCGGGGCTGGTCCTGAACCCCTGGGCACACCCCACCCTTTCCTCTCCGGGGCCAAAGCCAGGGCAGAGGAGGCTATGTGGGGACGCTGCCTCCACGATCTCCTTCAAACCAGCAGCAGCCACCTTGTGAACGTGTGTGCGCATGTTCACCTTCACAGACACCACAGGCCTTGCTAGCAGAGCACAGGGGGCACCCCAGGGTGCCTCCCAGCCATTTCTCCAGCTCACCAGGCCCTCAGAAGCTGCCCTCTGTCCCTCGAAACCCTGAGCAGGCTCCAGGAGCAACACAACACATACATGACAGAATGACCAAACGCTGCCCAGCGCGTGACGACACAGGGGCTCAGGGAAACCCCACCCACCCACACAGACAACACCCCAGGCACCGGGCTTCCGAGTGGCCTCCCTGCAGGCTGAGGGCCCCGGGAGCCCTGGCTCTAGACAGGCACCATGCATTGGTTAAATATGACAACACAGCCATACCCCGAACCCCTCCGAAAGGTCCAGCAACCACATGCAGCTGCATCTGAAAATGCCTGTCTCTGGATTCAAAACTCCTGAGAGTGGGGCAGAGCTTGTTCCGAAGGAAGGAGTTTGTGGAGCGAGAAAGGGGGAGGTGTCTGCTGAGTGTCTGCAGACCTGAGCTGGTCTGTGGAACCACATGGCTCTGTGGGGGGCAGAAGGGAACAGTCAATGAGATCCCTCAAACTGGGGCTCCCAGAACCAGGTGCTCACGGGTTTGAGATGTGTCAGGTGGAGCGTGTGGATGGCAAGGCTGGAGAGACCCTTAGGGGTCAAGGATTAAGAACTGTACTCCCCTCCACCCTAGAGTCACAGAGTTGAGGTTCAGGGACGGGGAGGGACAGGCACAGAAGGAGCCAGCTCAGAAGCCACACCACCCAGAGCAGCCCCGGGTCCACGGGTCTCCTACACCCACACCCAGGCACACACAACACCAATGTGCACACATAGACACCCAGGCACACGGCACAAATACGCACAGCCACATACCCAAGACAGACTCACACACTCCTGCACATGACCCGTCACTCACTCAGACACATGCATATGCACAGATACTCACACCCCAAAGACACACGGCATGCATGGCTCACACAACACACACATACATGGGCTCATGCACATACCTGCAAACATACAGAGAAACACACATGCTCTCTAACCCTACAGCACAAATGGTTACACCCACATGCATGCAGCCACAGCCACTAGTGCACAAAACTAGCCCAAGTGCCTAGACACACCCACTGCTGTGCATTTAACACACACACACACACACACACACATCCCTACAGAGAAATCCACAGGCATGCCCACACCCATCTCTCCTATAAACACACACACTCGGCAGACCACGTGTGCTGTCGCACCCACATCCACCCATGGCCGTTCAGGCACACAAAGACACTCACAAGCTCTAAGGATCCCACACACCCAACACAGTAGAGATGTCCACACACTCAAAGACACACTTGGGCACCCCTGTGCTCCTGCACACCCTGGCAGATGTATCCAGATCCTCACACACACACACAAACTCATGTAGACATATGTACACATGTATGCTTGGGCATGCACCTTGCACATGTGCCCAGGCACTCAAGCATACAGGTACAAAGCCATGCATGCACCCCACGTGTGTATATACACACACCATATGCTCACAGATACACAACCAGAGCCACATGTGCCTCACCCACTTGTACATATGCACCCTGTATGCCTGTACTCACAGCCACACTTGTGCTTATGCACACTCTTGCACACACCAGCTCGTGTGCACTCACACACAAGCCACTCTACCATGCCCGGCCCTGCGTAGCTCGAACCAACAAACACAGCCGCACCCAGCAGCAAAGCCCAGTCTCCTCCCACCGGCCCCGGGGGCGGGCACGCGGGGGGGGCACTCACAGCAGCTTGAGGATTTCCACGTAGCAGCCGAGCGTGCGGTCGGCCTGGGGGCCCAGCTCGATGCTCATGGTGCTGCAGGCGGGGCTGACCATGAGGCAGTCGATGAGGTTGGGCTCGCTGTCGTTGCCTGCGCTGGCCGTCAGCGCCGGCTTGGCAGTGCTGGTGCGTTCCACCTCCACGTGGATCTCACTGGAGGCCACGACCACCGACTTGAGCCGGGCCTCAGACAGCGTGGCTTCCTGAGACACCAGGTCCGGGCTGGGGTGCAGAAGGCGCAGAGGTAAAGTGGGCTTCCGGTCGCACGGCTGCTGGCAGCCGTTCCGGATTTCCTTCAGGCTTGGGGAATTGTCGCGGCTGGGGGAAGAGGCGGGAGAGGGCACATGAGTACAGGCACCGTTCATGATGCACCATGACCCATCAGACTAAAGGCCTCCCTGAATCCCAGGATGAGGCCAAAATGTAATACTATCATCATTCCTGTGCTACAAATGAGGAAACTGAGGCTCAGCCTGGGTGCACGGCTTGCCCAAGGTCTAGACAGGAAGAGGTGGGGATGGCAGCCCAACCCAGGTTGCCTGTCTCTACAGCCCATGCTATCACCCCAGCACATAACAGGTGCTCAAAAAATATTTGCTGACCGACTGAGTGGATGCTGATCTTCACGTGACAGCCATAAGGCTCTTGGCATTCTCCTCCACCAAAATGCCACTGGCCACTTTCTTGATAAGCCAATGGGATCTACTGTTTTGCTTTTAGTAGCTTCCTGCAGTCTAACTGCCCTCCAATCCCTGACCTCATGCCACAATGTCCTCCAGGACTCTGCTCTCCTGCCCCCAAACCCAGCCAAGTGAGCAAGCTCAGTATCTGCCCTTCTGTCTGCGGAACCCCCACTCCTCCTGGGTAACCCTCCAGGCACAGCATCTTTAACTGCCCAGAGGAACAGAAGCCTGCACAAGGTGTTAACACATGTTAACCCAGAAAGGGGCTCTATGGCATTATTAATCTCACATTTGTTAGGCAAACACTGGGCAAACAAGATGAAATTAGGCCTCTTAATGGCAGGACTTGTCAGAGCCTTGACCTGGTTAAAGCCCCTCCTCTGACTGCTTCCCAACGTGCCCAGTTGCCTGGGAGGTGCATTATAAGGGACAGTAGTACCATCAACGGGTTCCTCTGCTGGTGCCCATGGGCCGGCAAGGTGCTAAGTGCAGTCACACAGATGCTCAAACACATCACTGAACAGTGATTCCGACCGTCTCTGTGCCACAGGTGAGGAAAGACGGTCTCAGAAGTTAAATGATCTACCCCTAATTAAACAGCCCATGAGTCGACGGAGATGGGATTTGAAGCCAGATCTCCTGGACCCCAAAGCCCAGGATCCTCCTAACTAGGTTGGCTTCCAAGGTCCCCTAAGAGCTGTGCAGGTCCCCTCCTCCAGGAAGTCTTCCTTGATTTCTTCCTGCTACTCTTGCCCTTCCTACCCTCGAACTCCTCCTAAACCAAAGCTCTCCACCCCTGGCGGGACACCAGGATCCCCTGGGTACACTTCCAAACATCCCAAAGCCCAGTTAGACAGGAATCTCCAGGATGCGACCTGGACATGAGTAATTTTTAAGGCTCCTCGTGTGTGGTCAAGGTTGAGATCCACTAATCCAAGACTTCGAGCACAACGGCACGATTGAAAACAGCTGCTTGTCTAGTCCTTCCCCACATGTGTCACATGCATGGGTCCTGTGCCTCTAAAGGGGCTCCCAGGCTTGAGGACAGGGCCACACAGCTGGCATTGTGTTTGGGGAATTGTTGCAGCTGGGGGAAGGGGTGGGAGGGGGCACGTGAATAGCCCCTCCAAGGGCTGTGTGCAGAACTTGAACCCCATGCACAGCAAGGGTCTGAATGTATCCAGCACATGCCAGGAACCAGGCCTGAGCTGAGCCCACCAAGGGTGTTTAATAAATACACTTTCAGCTTTGCTGGGGGAAATAAACAATCCATCGGCTAAAGTCCGAGAATTCTATCGTTGATAACAACTTGTGTGTGGTCTGTGATGGGGGGAGACCTAAATTCTCTGGTCCAGATCTGATTTGCTCCCCAAGTACTCAACACTGCATTTCTCTTTGTTTGCCGTTGCTGGGTTTTAAAAGTGGATTTTCAAGGCTGTTTGGCTCAGATTGGTGATTTTCAAGAGAGCCACGCTAACCTGGGTCAAGTTGTCTGTTCTTTTCAGTGTGAGTACATTGTGTACATTTGCCCACCGAGAGCACTGGGGACGGCCTGGAGGACATGACGGACTTTATCTTGAAGGGACTGGCTGAGGGGGGCGTCATGGACCTGAGCCCACGAAACGTGTTGGCAGCATCGTGCTTCTCTGGGTGATATCCAGGAAATGTATGGCATCAGCTGGAACCCAGGCTACTGTGGGCTCCGAGGGGGCTCAACACAGCTGAGCCAGGGCTGGCACGAGGCAGCAGGCACCATCTCACCCTCGCCACGCCTCCAACCTGGCATCTCCTTGCCACAGCCACCTAACCGTTCCCCAGGGTCACGCCTGCCCCCTACTCCATCCTCCTCACAGCAGCAGCCAGAGGGGAATGGAACTGAAATCCCATCACGTCCCTTCTCCACTTACAACCCACTGTGGACTCTCCAATGTTCCCAGGATAAAAGTTCTGCCACTGAAACCCAGGACAACCCTGCTACTTACAGAGTGATCCCCAGCCTGCAGCTTCGCCTGGGAGCTTGTTAGACAAGCAGAGTCTCAGGCCCCGCCCCAGACCTGCTGAATCCAAATCTGCATTTTAACTCCAACCCTAGAGAGTCCCAGGCACCAGGAGGTTTGAGAAGCTGGCTATTCATGGCCCAGCACTCTCTCCTCTCCAACTCCATCTTTTGCTTCCCTTTCCTCTCTCTGCTCTAGTCACACTGGATTTCCTTCAGCTCTTCCCCTGCAGGGACCTCCATATTCAGTGTGCAGCAGAATGACTTGTGGAGTTTGTTTAGAATGCAGACTCCTGGGCCATACCCCAGAAATGTTGCAGCCAGGAATCTATTTTAAAGCAGTCCAGGTGATTCTGAAGTAGTGGTTCAAGGACCCGTAGATACAAAAACATTGTACACGGGCATGGTGGCTCACCCCTGTAATCCCAGCACTTCTGGAGGCTAAGGGGGGCATTTCACTTGAGGCCAGGAGTTTGAGACCAGCCTGGCCAACATGGCGAAACCCCATCTCTACTAAAAATACAAAAAAAAAAAAAAAAAAAATTAGCCAGGTGTGGCAGTGCACACCTGTAATCCCAGCTACTTGGGTGGCTGAGGCATGAGAATTGCTTGAAGACAGGAGGCAGAGGTTGCAGTGAGCAGAGATTGCGCCACCGCACTCCAGCTTGGGTGACAGAGTGAGACTGTTTCCAAAAAAACCCAAAAACCAAAAACAAAAACACTGTGACGAATGGCACCTTCACCCATCACTGCCAGGCCTTTCCATGTGGTTCTCTCCCTGGGTCACCCTCTTCCTGCTTCTTGCCTGGAGAACAGCCAGGAGGTATTAACGTAAATATCACCTCCCCAACGCTCCTTCCAAAAACAGATGCCAGGGCCATCCTAATTAAATCAGAATGGCACTGGGAGGGTCCTGGGCACCCTTTTCTTTCTTTCTTTCTTTCTTTCTTTTTTTAAATTGACATATAACCCAAAGTACGCTGGTAAATGTCTAACAACCAACTCTCCAAAGAAAGAAGCCCTGATCTGGCTGGATGTGGTGGCTCACGCCTGTAATCCCAGTACTTTGGGAAGCCGAGGCGGGCAGATCACCTGAGGTCAGGAGTTCGAGACCAGCCTGGCCAACAAAGTAAAACCCCATCTCTACTAAAAATACAAAGATTAGCCAGGTGTGGTGGCCCACACCTATAATCTCAGCTACTCAGGAAGCTGAGGCAGGAGAATCGCTTGAACCCAGGAGGTGGAGGCTGTAGTGAGCCAAGATTGTGCCACTGCACTCCAGCCTGGGCGACAACAGCTAAGCTGTCTCAAAAAAAAAAGAAGCCCTGATCTGCAGTGTTTACCAATTTCTTTGGTGTAAATACTCACCACAGCTACTTCAAGCTATCAATATGATATCATTACAGAACTGGGAAGGGATGTGTTCCCAAATGTAACGTGTGAGCTGGCTCCTGCACACTCTGGGTATAACTTAAATACTGTAAGCCAGGCGCGGTGGCTCACGCCTGTAATCCCAGCACTTTGGGAGGCCAAGGTGGGTGGATCACGAGGTCAGGAGATCAAGACCATCCTGGCTAACATGGTGAAACCCCATTTCTACTAAAAATACAAAAGGGCAGGCCTGATACTACCCTCTGGCTTCCGTTTTCTCCTCTTTTTGCCTCACCGTGCTGTCAGCTCCAGAACATGCCCTTGGGAATGAGCAGCCTCCCATCTCCACATTCTGGCCCCTGGAGTCCCTGCACTTCCTTCTGATCAGGGAAGTGATTCAAGGTGGGACATGATCCCCTTTGAACATCGGGACCTGAGGCTGAGGGCATTAAAAGAGTCACCCTCTCTCATGCCCTGCTGCAAGAAAACAGCCCCTGATTTATCAAATGCCTTTTCCTGCCCCTCCGAAGAACTCAGCAGTACGGCATTTGTTTGAGAAATCCCCCCTGTACAGGTTTTCAGCGACTCAGAATGCTCTACTGCCTTCATTTTGAGAAAAGACTGAAATACCCTCCTGCTGTATCCCCAGCTCTGGTGGGGTCTGGACTCATGTTGGTCTCCTTGGAGTTGTGTAGTGTACCACCTGAACAACTGGGTGGCTGCAGCAGAGACCACTGTGTTCTGCATGTCACATCCTCTCCAATGACACCAGAGGTCACTGCAGAAAGTTCCCCATAAACTAATGGCATCTGCATTAGTCTGCATCCCGGGAGCAGTTCTCAGCCAGCGAGGGATGGGAGCTGGTGAGTGACTATCCCAGCACCGCCAGCCTCGGCGGAGCAACTCTCAGCAGAGCAACTCTCAGTGTGTTACGCACGGCCTCCTGGGGCACAGTGGGAGTGCATGCCAGCTGCCTGAAGTGGTCACCTGCTTGCTTGCTTTCTTATTTATTTATTTATTTATTTTTGAGAAGGAGTCTCACTCTGTTGCACAGGCTGGAGTGCAGTGGTGTGATCTTGGCTCACTGCAACCTCTGCCTCCCAGGTTCAAGCTATTCTCCCGCCTCAGCCTCCTGAGTAGCTGAGTACAGTCATGTACCACCATGCCCGGCTAATTTTTATATTTTTTTAGTAGAGACGGGGTTTCACTATGTTGGCCAGGCTGGTCTCCAACTCCTAACCTCAAGTGATCTGCCCGCCTTGGCCTTCCAAACTGCTGGGATTACAGGTGTGAGCTACTGCGCCCAGCCTCACCTGCTTATTAATTCATACTTCACTGATGTCCTCCCTTCCCTGTCCCCCAGTGTTTCCTGGGACCACCTTCCTAGGAAGCCACTTCCACCCAAATCCTGGTCTTGGAGTTTCCTTTTGGAGGCTCCAAAGCCAGGTCGTGGCCCTGCCCTGCCACCTCTTCCGGTCACTTGCTACCCCACCACTCGGTTTTATTGCTCTCACGGTTTTTCTTACCCTCTGACATGATCTTGCACATTTACTTGTACATGATCTCTTCCTGGTAGAATGGAAGCCCCAAGAGAGCAGGGAATTTGTGATCTTGCTCGCTCTCCAGCACTGAAATTGTGTCAAGCACACAGCAGGCGCTCAAGAAAAACAGATGCAATGGCTCATGCCTGTAACCTCAGCATTCTGGGAGGTCCAAATGGGAAGACTGCTTAAGCCCAGGAGTTTGAGACTAGCCTGGGTAACACAGCAAGATCCTGTCTTTACAAAAAAATTTTAAATATTAGCCATGAGTGGTGGCATGTGCCTGTGGTCCTAGCTACTCGGGAGGCTGAGGTGGGAGGACGGCTTGAGCCCAGGAGTTTGAGGCTGCAGTGAGCTATGACTGCACCACTGTATTGCCGCACAACCTAAGTGACAGGGTGAGACCCTGTCTCAAAAAAATAAAATAAAACCATGCAAATCATGGGCAAAAGCCTGTGTTCTCAAAGCCAAGACTAGACAGGATAAACCTTACTGTCAACCCTTGTCCCCAACACACGGGCACATATTCACACCTCCATGTGCACACACGTACACACAGTCACATGTATGTGTACAGTGCACACATGCATTTGCATACCCATGTGCACACATTCACACACACACACCAGTGTGTCATACCTCTCCAGTGGTGAGAAATCTTCAGCATAAAACATCTGTCCCTAAAGCCAAGCAGCTCTAACAGCCTTGCAGTTGCGGTGCTGATTCAGTGCTTGCTTTTTCAGCAGCATCCCTGGCTTCTGGGCCCATGAATCAATGTGCCCAGGGGAACTGGCAAACACACCATGAGGTCTGCCCAGTAAACAGCCACTCCACCTCTCTGGCCTGGTCAGTTCTTGGTGACTTTGCCCATGATGGGGGTGGCAGTTTGCCCCTCCCAAGCCCTCTGGGTGGCGGTGGTTCAGCAACTGACCTGTTGATGAACTCTTCATAGCAGGAGTAGATGGCAGCCAGGCACACGGCCACCAGGTTGGGCAGGACCCGGGGGTGGGGGCAGTGCCCTGTGGGGCCGTGCATGCTGGAAAAAAGCAGAGGGCTGGGGTGAGAAGCCTGCAGGAGTGGGGCCCATGGACAGGGTAAGGGGGGAAAGGGAGGGCGTTGCTCAGGCACGGGGCTGCCCGCTCTGCCAGCGCCACTTGGGGGGCTCTGAGAGCCTTCACTGTGCAATTGGTGGCACCAGGATTTGGGCCCCGGCTGTGCCACGTGCAGGCAGCAGAAGGCAAAGCTCCTGGCTGTGGACTCCGGATCCAGGGTTCCCGGGTTCAAACCCCTGAGTGGCCTTGGAAACCTCCTAAACTCTCCACCCTGTTTCTGCAGCGATAAAATGAGGATAGCAGCCCCCTCCTCAGTTGGGGTACAGTTAGGACCAAATTTTCTAATTCACAGAGAGACCTAGCAAATGGTGGCCATACGTCCTGGGACAGTCATGCTCACACCTGGTGGTTCAGGAATAATTAATTATTCCTAACACCTCATTTTACTTTCAAACATATCCTGCTTTGGAAGAAAAATGATGAGGGTCATTTTGGCTTAGCATAGAGTCACCAACATAGTTACTAAGTCCTCAATAAGTGCCACTAATTATTACTTGTCTTGGCTATTTTGGTGGTCCTGAGGATAACACCTGTACCATTTCTGGGAAGCTGTCATCGAGGCTGCTGTCACTAAGAATGCCCTAACCTGACAAGATTTTGCAAACCACAACTGGGTGGTGTCACCACGGTTCTGGCATGAGGGCATGTCACAAAGCCAACCTCAAACGACTTCGTGAGTTCCAAGTGGGCATATTTAGGAAATACGTAGCTTCAGAACTTGTTTAAATGGGTTACTGTGATTTTCTTAAAACATGAGAAGAGTCTGGGGGCAGCAGTTCACGCCTATAATCCCAGCACTTTGGGAGGCCGAAGCAGGTGGATCACCTGAGGTCAGGAGTTCAAGACTAGCCTGGCCAACATGTTGAAACCCCATCTCTACTAAAAATACAAAAATTAGCCAGGAGTCGTAACGTGTGCCTGTAATCCCAGCTACTTGGGAGGCTGAGGCAGGAGAATTGCTTGAACCCGGGAGCCGGAGGTTGCAGTAAGCCGAGACTGAGCCACTGCACTCCAGCCTGGGTGACAGAGCGAGACTCCATCTCAAAACAAACAAACAAACAAAAGAGATGAGAAGAACAAGAATGATGACACCTCGGCCTGACACGAGACTTCCGCAGCATTCTCCATGTGTTGTGTCTCCTACTCACTGGAGCATCACACTAACTGGGCGAGGGATACTATGGTTCTTGTGTGACAGATGAGGAAACTGGAGCACCGAGAGAAAATTTAAAATTAAACAAAGCAAAAGCAACCACCCCCCCCCCCCCCAAAAAAAACCCAAAACACCAACCCCAAGAACCAAAAGTGAGTAAGAGCAAGAACATTTGGCTTCCTCTTGGTTATGTTTATGGGGTGATTGTTCAAGCACCCGACGATGACGCTCTGGGACCACCAGGGGTGGGACAGAGTCCTAAACATGTGGCACCTACAGCCTGAGGGGTCGTGGGACCTGAGGAAACAGCAGTGTTGCTGAGGTCCAGTGTGTCCGAGTTCCTATCGGGCACCGTGCAGTAGGCTAGGGGCTTCCTCATAGAGGGAGTCTTCATTTAATTACACGACAGCCCCCCGTGGATATCTGAGTAAACAGGATCCGAGAGGAAAGTGGCTCCTAGGCCACAGAGGGACGTCGCGCCGGAGACCCACCTCTGAATGAACTTCTTCACCACTTCCATCCCCGCGTTGAGCTCGTTCAAGGCAAGGATGTACTCCTGAGTAAACAGCCTCAGTCGCGGGCACTTCCCAAAGTCCTGTGGAGACAGCAGAGGACAGGAGTCGGGACGGTGCTAGGCAGGGCAGGAGCCCAGGGCAGCCAGGACACCAGAAAGAAGGGCGGGACCGAGCTCTGCCTGGAGCTGTTGATGTGGAAGGCAATGGGGAGACACCAACCCTCTGGAAAGCACAGGTGGCGTCTACTTCAAAGAATAGCACTGCGACACCCGCGCTTCCACTCTGAAGGACCATCTGATGAGCAGGTGCTTCTGGCTGTAGAGAAAGCCACCCTCAAAAGGCACTTGTGAGACAAATGAGACGAGAAAGAGAAAAGAGAGCCAGAAAGGCTGGGGGGACAAGAGAGGGTGCTTCCGAGGGGAATGTGGAGTGTGGAAGGAGGTGTGTGAGAGGTGGGTGTGGAAGGAGAAGAGAGGTGGGTGTGGAAGGAGGTGAGTGTGAGGTGGGTATGGGAGGAGGTGAATGTGAGGTGGGTGTGGAAGGAGGTGAGTGTGAGGTGGGTGTGGAAGGTGTGAGGTGGGTGTGGAAGGAGGTGAGAGGTTGGTGCGGAAGGAGGTGAGAGGTGGGTGTGGAAGGAGGTGAGAGGTGGGTGTGGAAGGAAGTATGAAGTGGGTGTGGAAGGAGGTGAGTGTGAGAGGTGGGTGTGGAGGTGTGAGGTGGATGTGGAAGGAGGTGAGAGAGGTGGGTGTGGAAGGTGAGAGGTGGATGTGGAAGGAGGTGAGAGGGGTGTGGAAGGAGGTATGAAGTGGGTGTGGAAGGAGGTGAGTGTGAGAGGTGGGTGTGGAAGGTGAGGTGGGTGTGGAAGGAGGTGAGAGGGGTGTGGAAGGAGGTATGAAGTGGGTGTGGAAGGAGGTGAGTGTGAGAGGTGGGTGTGGAGGTGTGAGGTGGATGTGGAAGGAGGTGAGTGTGAGAGGTGGGTGTGGAGGTGTGAGGTGGATGTGGAAGGTGAGTGTGAGAGATGGGTGTGGAAGGTGAGAGGTGGGTGTGGAAGGAGGTGAGAGGGGTGTGGAAGGAGGTATGAAGTGGGTGTGGAAGGAGGTGAGTGTGAGAGGTGGGTGTGGAGGTGTGAGGTGGATGTGGAAGGAGGTGAGTGTGAGAGGTGGGTGTGGAAGGAGGAGAGTGTGGTGGGTGTGGAAGGAGGAGTGTGAGGTGGGTGTGGAAGGAGGAGAGTGTGAGGTGGGTGTGGAAGGAGTGTGAGGTGGGTGTGGAAGGTGTGAGGTGGGTGTGGAAGGCCGTGAGTGTGAGGTGGGTGTGGAAGGTGTGAGGTGGGTACGGAAGGCAATGAGTGTGAGGTGGGTGTGGAAGGCAGTGAGTGTGAGGTGGGTGTGGAAGGCAGTGAGTGTGAGGTGGGTGTGAATGGATGTGTGTTTGTGACAGGCTGCTGTGGACAGAGGCATACATGTGCAATGAGGAGTTGGGCACCAGGCATTAGTGGCAGGGGAGGCACTGGCACGTGTCACTATGATGAGGGGACAGGGACACCACCCTGGTTGGAGGCCCCATCTGTGCCACGCTAGGGAAAGCAGCGCCTGCACCAGGCCCCCGGAACTAAAGTGTCCACTGCGGGGCTCTGTCAAGGGGCCAGGTCAAGGACACAGGGACACTGCCTGTGCCGGCTGAGGGCCATATGTGGTGGCTGCCGTGCTCGGCCTCTTCCAGGTGTCAGGAAGACAGGGGCCACGGCACAGAGAGCTCTGCCAGGAGGCAGGAAGTCGGCGCCCAGCCCAGTGGGGGGCTTGGGGCTTGCCAGGAGCAGAACAGAGGTGCAGGAGAGAGGCACGGGCCGGACAGGGGCCTGTGAATCTGGCCGCCGCATTCATTCCCAGGGTCGTGGCCAGGGCTGCGGAGGTGCTGGGACTGCCAGCCCCTCGGGCTGTGTCTGGCCACCCAGGAGCGGCACCGTCCTGCCCCCGACCCTCCATAAACGTGATGTGGCTGACCACGGAGGGGAGCCTGGAGTCTCCAGACCTGTCCCTCCGTACCCATCTCAGTGGAACCCATTTTTTAAGGAGAGCAGCCTGCATCAGGACTTCAAGCTGTAGAACAGAAATAGAGACCCCCCTCAGGTCTAACTGACCCCGAAGCTGGCATGAAAGCTCTGAGTGGAACCCGTTCCTACCACTCCCTCCCGCAGGCTCCCAGGAGAGAGTTTCTAGAGCCGCTGGGGGCTTCTTCATGTGGAGTCAAAGGGGTCCTTTGTGAGAGACAGTGCAGGGGGAGCTTTCACTCGTCTGCCTGCTAGGACTGTCCTGCTACATAAAGAGGGAGGCAGAGCCCCCGGAGCAAGTTCAGAAAAATGCACGCACTGGCATGAGCACAAACACACACACACACACACACACACACACACACACACACACACTCTCTCTCTCTCTCTCTCTCTCTCTCTCTCTCTTTCTCTCCCTCCCTCCCTCCCTCCTGGGTTAGAAAATGAGGCCTCTGCCTCACAAGTATTTAATCTGGCTTTGGGCTGCCACGTCTGTCTCTGGGCCTCACTGACCCCACTATGGAATGAGGGTCCACAGAAGTGATCTCTAGCCCCCTTCCACCACGAGGGTTTTATGATTTTGTAAACTGCTTCAACAGAGACTTAAGGTAACTGTCATCTTAGCTATTAGATTTTTGAATAATCAAGGTCATTTCCATGGAAATAAACATTTACAGAGGGATCCAGCAGCCTCTGAAAAATACGCTCCCCTTGGAAAACTGGAGGTTAGGTTACTTGACGGTCCACTGGGGACCACAGCCGTGTCTTCTCGCCTCCTTTGCCACAAGAACACTCCGAGTGGCGTGGGGGCACAGAGATACATGGTCATTCTTCAGAACGCAGTTTGGCGAATTATTTGGACTGAATCTCCAGAGGAACATACTAAAGAACCGCTTCCTTTTGTTTCTAGTTTTTATTTCAGTCTAGTAAAGAACATTCTTTGAGACTCTCAAAGCTTCAGTTTGCTCATCCGTGAAAGGGAGCACATAACATATTTGCAAGAGATGCACCCAGAATGGGGGAGCCCCCAAATCCCAGAACAGCACCGTGGCTACGTTCCCCCCGTTTCCTAAATGTCTGAGTGCCTCCTTAAGGAGAAACACTGCATTTGGGGTGAAGAGCAGTCACTGTTCATGCCACCCCAACAGGCTCATGGCTTAGGCAGGCTAGGTACGCTCCTTAGCCAGAGACATGACCCCCCCCCCACACCAGCTGAGAGCCCCAGCTCCACAACGGTGCTGCTGACCCGTGCCACTCATTAAGCATCAGGGCGCATTCAGTGAGTAAATGTCAAAGCTCTCTCTCGCCCACCGCCTGTGTTGTTAGGATTCCATGAGGTCAGGTCTTCCTGTGCCTGGCATGGCCATAATCACTGTTTAATACAGTCTGTTCTTCTACACGAGAGGCGGATCCTCCTCGGTCCTCCCAGCAGTTCTCCTCTGCCGCCGCCGCTCATGGTGTGTAATTAGGAGGCGCCAAGAGCAAGGTGGGATCTGGGTGCGTTAAAGCATCCCCAGACACCTGGGATCACTTAGGGGGTACTCGTTACAAGTGAGGCGAGGACTCATGGCTGAGGGTCCCTACTCTCTGCCAGACTGCCACAGATACTATAAATTCTGGGTCTGCCCAGAGCGGTTCTGATTTTTATAGAGAAAATTAATACATGGTCAACACTCCAGGCCCATAAAACTAACCAAATACAAGAAAGGCGTTGTATGGTGAAGCCCCGAGAGCCTGTCTGAATTATGAATTTTTTCCCTTTGAAGTCAGATGTCCTCAAAGAACCCTTATGAAACGGTTTATTGACTAACATGGAGTATGCAAAAATGTTTATGTGCCTGAAGAGGCATTCCTCTGCCAAGTATGTCCCGGGGGTGTGGCTCTGCCATTGACAAGTTAAGGTCCTTCGCAAGAAAACCTGAAGAACCTTTGCTCTGAACTCCAGCATGGCACAGCCCACTCCATACACTACACCCGTAGTGATTTTAAAGTTAACAAACAGGGCACCTTTCCTTCTAGCTGGCCAAAGCCAGAAAGAGCTCCTCCTTGAAACTATGAGCGCCCAAATTAAGGCAGAAACCCCGCCCCATCCCCCAGTGGGGAGTCTCCTTGTCCTGGAGAAAGAACTGCACAGGGTGTCCCTATCCCCTGTGTTCTGAAAACAAGAAATGAATTTACCCCAAATCTAGGAGGGGCTCAGAAATCAGCAACAATTCATTTACAGTTTGCAATCGCTTAGGGTAGAGAATGGTACATAGCATTCATTATGGTACTAACACGATTTCAGTTGGTAGTGGTGGCCTGGAATGCAGGAGGGGAAAGAGTGTGATGCTGTCTCTGGCTCTACAGAAAGAGTGCTATAATTGATTAATGATGTCTGCCATGAGCATGGAAGGGGTAGAGGAGCACATGTGTCATGCACTTCCATTCCTGACTGGGGAAGGGGCTGTAGGTGATATACTATTCTTCAGGGGCATGGTGTGGAGACAGGCAAGCTACATCACAAGTGAAATGATGTGTGGTTACCCTTTTTCAGTTGTTTTCACGTGCTCCAGGAGACTCTAAAATCTAACGTGGTGGCTGGCTCAGTACAACATGTGATTGGGAATGGGCCCTGGCCTCAGGCTGCCTGCTCCTTAGCTCCCACCAGGACCACCCACAGCTGCTCATCAGACCCTGCCTATCCCGTCCCACCTCTCTGGGTCCCAGATTCCTCCTATGCACAGGTGTCATGGGAATGGCATGAGGGTTAATAACACAATACACTCAAAGAGCACCACACTCTTGACTCCAAGAAAGTGTTCAATAAGCATCTGCAAAAAGATGTTATTCTTATTCCTACCTGTGGTCCCTGTGGCCACTTAGTGGACCTAGCTAAGCCTCAGTTTCCTCGTGACATACAGGGCAAATAATGGCATTTGCTGCTGTCCCTGGAATGATGAGGGAACACCAAGGGGCCACACAGATTACAAGCGCCCCACCCGCTCTAAGTGTGCAATTAAATCCTGCTTTTGTATTTAAAAAAAAAAATTAAAGGCCAAGCTTTATTCAGATTTCCTCAGTTTTCCCTTCATGTCCCTTTTCTGTTCTGGGATCCCATGGAGAGCCCCAAATGACATTTAGTCGTTACGCCCCCGTAGACTCCTCTGAGCTGTGACAGTTTCTTAGAATCTCCTTGTTTTTGATGACCTTGACCGTGGGGAGTACTGGCCAGGTACTTTGTAGACTGTCCCCTTGTTGGGATTTGTCTGATGTTTTTCTCATGATTGGAATGGGGTGATGGGTTACTGGGAGGAAGACCATAGAGGTCAAGTGTCGTTTTTATACGTCCTATGAAGGGAATATTCTGTCTAACTGGCTTGTTGTTGTCGATGTTGACCTTGATCACCTGGCTGAGGCTGAGTGTGTCTGGTTTCTCCACTGCAAGGCTACTCCTGCCCCCTTCCATACAGTGCTCTCTGGAAGGACCTCGCTGTGCGCAGCACACACTAAAGGAGTGCAAAGTCGCGCTCTGGGTCCTTGAGGGCAGGGCATCTACAGACATTATTTGGGCCTATTCTTCCCGGGAGGCTTTCCTCTTCTCCTCCAGCTGCGGTATTTTTGTAATTCTTAGGAACTGCAAAAAGATTCTTCCTGTTGCCGTAATGGAGGACAAGCTGTACAAAACCCCCAAAAGTCCTTAACCAGAATCTCAACCCCAGTTCCTGGCTGTCACGCTGGGCCAACCACATTCCCCAAATCTGTGCCAACGCAAAAGGCCAGGGAGGCGCGCGGGGCCTCATGTTCTGGGCGCTGGGGTCTGGGTGTTGGGGCAGGGTGACTCACCATGTTATGCTTGAGGATTCGCTGCACCACGGGGGTGAACACCTCGATGACCACCATGGACCGGGGCCGCTCTCTGCAGTGCTGGGGACAGAGTGGGGTACAGTTACTGCGGCCCTAAGAATGTTCTGAACACAGCCCGTGGCTGCTAGCAGGGCTGGGGACAGTCAGCCCAGCTGTGGGTGCCTGGGTTCCCTTGATGAACACGGCTGCACTGCTTTCTAAAAATGAGTTTATTTTGGAGGGGGGCCAGTTCTAGGTTCAGAGCAGAACGGAGAGGAAGGTAGAGACCTTTCCCAGATACCCCCTGCCCCCGGCACGCACAGCCTCCCCAACGATCACTGCACATGCTCCTTTTAAGGATGGGGTGGGGGCGTTCCAGGCGGCCCTGAAATGTACCCTGGGCACGCAGGCCAGCAGGCATGTGGGGCACTGGAAAAGGAATCCTGGTGGAGAGACAGGGCCCAAGAGGACAACACAATCTTGTTTCCCTTTCCTGTCCCCTGATGCACACACAGAGGACTCCCTGGGCAGGGGGTAAAGTGCACCACGGTCCCCTTTCCTCCCAGGTGCCTGCATTTCTACCCCACAAGCTGGTCTCATTGGTGGACACAGCCCTTGCCTCCCCAAAGGACCGTGCGGTGTAACAAATGTAGCACGTATACCCTGTGGGATATTTGTTACAATGGAGAACCCCACACTGACACATCATTGTTACCCAGAGTCCACAGTTGACTTTAGGGTTCACTCTTGGTGCTGTGCGCTCTGGGTGTTTAGACAAATGTCTAATGTCCTGGAGCCACCAATGTAATATCATAGGAAGTCGTTTCACGCCCTAAAAATCCTCTGTGCTCAGCCAATTCGTCCCTCCCTCTCCCCAACCCCTGGCAACCACCGATCATTTTACTTTCTCCATAGTTTTGCTTTTTTCAGAATGTCCTGTAGTTGGAATCGTGCAGTGTGCAGCCTTTTCAGATGGGCTCCTCTCACTTACTAATATGCATTTAAAGCTCCCCCTTTCTCTTCGTGGTCTGCTAGCTCGTTTTTTTTTTTAGTGCTGAATAACACTGCATTGTTACACAGTTTATTTATCCATTCACCCACTGGAAGGCATTTTGGGTGCTTCCACGTTCTGGTAGTCATGAATACAGCTGCTGTAACGTCGGCATGTAGATGTTTGTGTGGACAGGTGTGTTGAACTCATTTGGGGAAATACCTACGAGTGCCATAGCCTTAAAATTTTTTTTTTTTTTTTGGAGTTAAAAAAGTAGACGAGATGAGAGCTTTTGTTTGCTTTTTGTTTGGTTTTGACCTTAAAGCTTGAGACTATTTCAGATGGTACACATAGGCGTTCTGACAGGGTCCTTATTTAATATATAATGAGACTTCTGTAAAGCTAAGATTCTGCATGTTTGGTCTGAAAGACCTTGGAAATTGGGTATGATAGTACGAGGGCTTTGGCATTTGACCACCAGGGTGTTGAAAATTCTGTGACTCTTCAACTGGTGGCTTTAGCACTCGGGTGGCAGTCTGCAGACCCAATTCATCACCAGCGCGGTGTTTTGTTTTTCATACTGGAAAGGAAGCCCTTCACAGGCTGTGAGGACAAGGCCCAGCCCCTCCCTCGTGTCCTGCACACATGTATCACCCACCCGGCCCCCAGATGAGGATGCTAGACCTGGGATAAGAGAAATCAGGGCTCCCCTGAGAAAGCAAGATGAATAAACTTTCCTCAGATCTTGGAATTTGGCAGGAGTTTGGCAGAGCGGACGCAGCGCGGGAGGCTTTGGTCCCCTCAAGCTCTCCTCTCTGGGCTCCAACTCCCAGAGGCAAAATAGCCAAAGAAGCATCCCACATGGCTGGGACCCCCCTCCCTCCAAAAGGCAGACGGCCCTCTTTGAAACACCCACACAGGATTACAGCAAAGAATGCCAAAAAGGGTACCTTTTTCTACCTCATCCCTTTCCAAACTGTGCTACTAGGAACGCTGAGGTAAGAAACACAGTGAGGCAAGTGAAGCCTCAGGTAGGAAACACAGTGAGGCAAGTGTATCTTGTTCTACAACAAATATCCAGTGTTCTAGAACCAGACTTTGAGAATCATGAGATCTGGGTGAAATCCTAAGCTTGAGAGGCAAGCATGGGGCAGGTTTGGGTTAAATTGGACAGGAGATGGAGGAGGTGATCTGTTGTGACAGGCAGAGGAGCAGCTGGCCGTTCTCTCAGGATACTGGGTTATTTAATTCCACTCTTCTGGGGGCATGATACCCATGAGTCCCGGAGGCAGACAAGGCCCTTGTGTGTCCTGAGGAGCCCGGGGCCTGTGTGTATCCACACCTGTATACACACACACACACTCACGGGTGTTCACTCCCTGGGCCAGGGGGCACACATTGCACATGCCCACATTAAGGATGGGGGTGGGGGTCATTCCAGGCCCTGACAGGTACCCTGGGCACTCAGACCAGAAGGTGTGTGGATTGGTAGAAAAGGAATCCTGATAGGGAGGCAGACTCCAGGAGGACAACTGAATCTTGTCTCCCTTTCAAAGCTCCCGTCCCCTGACACATACACAGAGGACTCCCTGGGGTGAGGGGTGGGGGGCCGGGAAGGGGCGGCAAGGGAAATCAAGCGCACCACAGCCCCCTTTCCTCCCAGGGGCCTGCTGTTCCACCCCACAGGCTGGTCCCACTGCTGGACACAGCCCACGCCTCTCCAAAGGACAGCGGGTGACCGTGGCAGGAGGCAGGTAATGGGAGCGGGGAGGGATGAGGACCAGCTGAGCGGGGCAGCAGGGGTATGACAGGGGAGTGCTGAGAACATGTCTCTCCAAGGACATAAAATTATTACACTAAAAAAACCACACAGCAAAGAACAAAACAGGTTTGTGTGATGGTTCGGCCTGAGCCACAAAGATGTGCCCTGGACATGTCCTATGTGAATCCCACTGCAAGGCTGGCGCCGGGTGCCCGGCAGCGGATGCCCTGCTCCACAGCTCCTCTAAGCTAACCTGGAGCACCGTGCTGCCTCCCGTGTTCAGGGAAAGCCCCACAGCCGCACCCCACCGTGGGCCAGCCACTGCGCAGAGGAACCTTGGCTAATAATAACCCAGCTCTGACGTCATGAGCCCAGGAAATCTGCAGCAACCTGTCTCCTAAGACAGCCGGGAAGTGATTCCAAGGAAAAGCAAGATGTTCCCCTTGTGACTCTTTGTCACCTGTCTGGCAGAGACGTGGGTGTAGCCCTAAGAATGGGTGCCGGGCATGCCCTCTCCGCCTGTGTCTGGGACCGTGACCCAAGACGGTGGGGCCCAGGTTTTTGGCCTTTCTGTGCAAACCCAATCCCTGGTATGCGCACAGAGGGAGGTTACTTCCTGCAGCCACAGCCCCAGCTCAGCAATCCCGTACCTTGCAAAAGAATTCACAGAGATCTGGTGGTGGGTGGTTGTTTTCCAGCAAAGGAGCGATTGCCTGAAACACAACAAACAAGCATCAGGAACCGTGGGGTAGATAGCCACGGAAAGACTTCGAACAATCTCCAGGCCATATTGTGAAGTGAAAAAAATAAATGCAGAGCAACACATCCTGCATCACATCATTCATATTAAAAGCAGAAAAAAAAAGAAAAGAAAAAATCCCCCAAAAATCCACAACCGTATCTGTCTGTGTGGGTTTGTCACCACCTGAAAACAAGGTGTTTCTAAAGAGGGCACTGGGATGGGATGAAATACTCTTTTCCTGATGAAAACATACTCATACTCATGAAATACTTGCAAAATTGGCTGGGCGCAGTGGCTCATGCCTGTAATCCCAGCACTTTGGGAGGCCAAGGCAGGTAGATCACTTGAGGTCAGGAGTTGGAGACCAGCCTGGCCAACATAGGGAAACTCCGTCTCTACCAAAAATACAAAAATTAACTGGGTGTGGTGGTGTGCGCCCCTGTAATCCCAGCTACTCGGGAGGCTGAGGCAGGAGAATCACTTGAACTTAGGAGGCGGAGTTGCAGTGAGCCGAGTTCCTGCCACTGCACTCTAGCCTGGGTGACAGAGTGAGACTCTGCCTTAAAAAAAAAAAAGAAAAAAGAAAAAAGAAATACTTGCAAAATGAGATTTTAAGTAAAATTAAAAGTTCTGTCACAGCTAGTATGGCTGGGGTCTGGGTCTGAACTCGATTCTGAACTTGAACCTAGATTCAGCTCATGTTCTTCACCACCATGGTGAGCGCCTTCCATAGTGAGCCGGACCACAGCTGGGGTTTGGACTCCTGGTCCATGACCAACAACGGTTACTACTGCCTGGCCAATGGAATGAATAAAACCAACTCAAGCTATGGTAGAAAAATTAGCGCATAAAAAACTACCAAGCATGTCCAAAGAAGACTAATTGCCAATAGGGCAAATAAGAGGATGTAACTGTTGGAATGAAAGGAGGCTCCAGAAGGCATCATAATAATGACAACAGCAATAGTAATAAAAGAATGCTGGAAGGGGAGGCTGTAAAATGCAGGGGTGAGGGTCAGACCCTCAGATCAAATTCTTTCCTGTTCTCAGGCATTCCTGCTGAGCCGGGAAGCTCAACCTGACCCAATTAAGGGTTCAGTTCAGCCACATTAGCTGGATAAATGCAGCCTGGATTTCTCAGATCAAAATTTCTTTCCCAGGCTTGTCCTGAATGCAAGCCCTTGTCCTCCATCCAGGGCTTCCAGGCACTCAGTGGGACCCACAGGTGTTGCTGGCAGGGAGAGGAAGGCAGTACCTCCTTCCAGCTCTCATGCTTGCTCCTGGTTCTGCAGCAGCCCGTCTTACCACTTTGCCTTTGCACATGTAAGTCCCCCTGCCTGAACTGCCTTCCCCAGCTTGCTCCGTTTACCTGACATTCTCCTATCTATCCTTTAAGATTCACCTTGGTCACCTCCTCCTGGAAGTCCTCCATCATCATCCTCCCAGGACCCTCCCTGACAGAGGTTAAGTACCTATCCTCTGCACCCCCTCTAACACCCAGAACAAACCTCAGCCCTTGGCCATGTTATTTTTGTATTATCTGTTGATCTGCCAGGTTCTCTCAGCACACATTCAGTCCTCAATGGCAGGCCTCAAGTCTTGTCCAGCTCTCTATCTGTGTCTGGCACATAGTCAGACTCACATGCTCAGCAAAGTTCGTTAAATGAATTGATGAATTAATACTATGCCAGAAAAAGGTGGTGGTGAGTGATTGGGGGTGCCCAGGTTGACTTGTCCTCCTGTTCTGGCAAGAGAAGGCAATGGACAGTCCGGGTGAAAGCATGGAGAAAACCTCTATACTGTTAGCGTTAGCAAACACCCACTGAGAGCCCACTACGTGCCAGACACTGGAGCTGACAGCAAAGGCAGAAGCTGCTGCCTTGACTCTCCACAATCAAAGGCCTGGGGCTCACCTCATTTTGTGCATACAGTACCCAGCTAGGCTTGCCAGGGCCGACTGAGTGGGTCCCCCAAGGCCCTGATTCGGCTAGAGGAGCGTGAGGGGCCTAGTGACTGATGCTGCTCTTGTTCTGTACCTTGCAGCCAGGAGACATCCCAGGCAGGTTAGTTCCAAGGTCCCCTCCTGGGCACAAAAGGCTCTGCCTCTTGCTTCTATTTCATCTCCCATCCGCCTGCTTCTCATTTCCTTATGCTTTATGCTCCAGCAATGCTGAAGCTTCCAGAACACACTACGTTGCTTTAAATCTTTGTGCTCTTGCACATTTTGTTTCTTCTCTCTGGGATGCTTTTATCCCGTTTTGCCACCTGGAAAACTCCTATTGATCCTTCAAAACCCAGCTCAGATAGCACTACCTCTAGGAAGCTTTCTGGCTCCTTTCCCAGGGGAGTTTATCACTCTACTTACTCTCTGCACTCAATGTCTCTATTTTTTGCGGTGATCACTTTTGTCTTCCTACAATAGATGATGAACTCCTTAGGGACTAGGTTATCTGTGAATTCAAATACATAGCATGGTGCTTACCATCTAGCAGGTGCAATTTCATTTCTTTCTTCTCTCAAGTGAGAGTTAGGTTTCGTAGCTAAAAGTCATTCAGGAAGATATTTTACCCCAAAAATGCTTACATCATGGTAGAGTCCCAGAAAATAGCATCTCACTTTATGTATCACAGGGAATTAAATCCAAGTTCTATTTGTGGATTAATTGGGAGACATGTCCTGGGGCAAGAAAGAGAACGTTTACCTTTCAGCTAATGGGGTGATGCCTCTGAATAAATTATACGGGCTCTGCCATCTCCTGCCTTCAACTCCCTAGGCAGAGACGCAGGAAGGAGGAGGCGATTATGATACATTTGCTACAAACCTCAAAGACAGACAATTACACTCCCGCTCCTATCAACTGGGGCTCTGAAATATGCAAAGGCAGAGGGAGGTGCGTCCGGCTTGCTAGAAAAGACAAAACGGAGCAAGGCCAGATGCTGGTGGATTACGCAGGCGCCAGAATTACCCCAAACCAGGAAAAGGGTTGTAGGCTCCAGGAGGCGGAGGTGGGTGGAGGGAGCGTGTTCGAGAGGAACTTACCACAATGATGTTTTCATGCTCCTGGGTGGTCAAGTTTGTGTTCTAAAGGATTGAATGGAGACAGCAGGAGGAAAACAAAACAAAAGAAAATTAAGAAAACGAGCATTTGGATTTCAAGATCCACAGTTTTGAAACATCTTCAGCGTCACAGACCAACTGTCACTGTCATTTTTTCTTAATTAAACAGATCAGAACACCCTCAGGGGCAAGGTCGGGAAGGGGGAGAAGGTATGGTTTTGGGGCAGGGAGAACTGAGTTCTTGTCCCTGTTTCGGGGCTTGAGTTATGTGACCTTGAGTGAGTCGAGTCTAGGGGAGACTCAGTTCCTGCTTCGGTCAACAGGGCTTCCAGTAACCTCAATAGGCTATTGGGAGAGGATCTGGCCCTCGTCAAAGTGAAACTGCTTAGAAGCCAGAAGGCAGGTTCATAATAAGTATGTAAAGAAACAGACCTTTCAAGAGTCCTAATCTGTGCCAGGCAGCCTTTTAGGAGTAACACGTATATGATTTCAGTGCTTCTCAAACTAAGTTCCCAAGGAACATGAAGTTCCGTGAGTGGGCCCGAGATGTTTTAGCTGAATTCAAATTCTAGCAACTGACTTGCAAAAACATAATTAGGTTGAATGGATTACATTTGCTGAAATTTTAGGGGTCCTGTTTCCTTCCCAATCTGGACTTTTCTTAAATAATTGGTAACTGTTACAGGTTGAACATCCCTTACTGAAAATGCTTGGGAACATGTGTTTTGGATTTCCATTTTTTTTTTTTAAATTTTGGAATATCTGCATTATACTTAACCAGTTGAGCAACCTAGTCTGAGAATGCAAAACCTGAAACTCTCCAATGAACGTTTCCTTTGAGTGTCATGTTGATGCTCAGAAAGTTTCGGACTTTTGGCCAGGCATGGTGGCTCCCATGCCTGTAATCCCAGCACTTTGGGAGGCTGAGGAGTGTGGATTGCTTGAGGCCAGGGGTTCAAGATCAGCCTGGCCAACATGGTGAAACCCCGTCTCTACAAAAAATACAAAAATTATCTGGGCATGGTACTCGCTACTCGGGAGGCTGAGGCAGGAGAAGCATTTGAATCCAAAAGGCGGAGGCTGCAGTGAGCTGAGATTGTGCCACCACACTCCAGCCTGGGCGACAGAGCGAGACTGTCTCTAAAAAAGAAAGTTTTGGACTTTGGAGCATTTCAGGTTTCACGATTAGAGATGCTCGACCTGTGCCGCCATCTGTGAGTACTTGAACAAGGAAAGAGACGGCTGTGCCATAAACAAGGAATCACAGGAAAACTCAGAAGTGCCCGCCCTTCTTTCTTGCTAGTTTCGTGGTGTGTTCTGCTTTGCTTGTCTGTTTTGGTGGACACACAGTGGTGCCAATTCGTATTTCCTAAAAGAGCCACATTGGCTGCTTGTAAAGAGACCTCTCATTTGAACAGTGTTGGCAAGATCGATTGTTCTGGTTCTAGACAGAGCCCCATGGCTCCCACCACCTGGACAGGCTTAAGGCATATGGGGGTATCTAATGTGTTTACAGAAGCCAAGGCAAAAGAAAAGCTTGCGAGCTATGAATTTGCTTTTGCCCAATAAGCTGGCTCCCGAGGGCTGCGGGAGGCCGTGAAGCCAGGTCAGCATCTGAATGAACAACATGAGTCTCTACCGGTCCCCATGAGACGTCCTGACCTAGGTGAGGTTGGACCCAAGATACCTAGAATGCAGGCATGTGAAAGGATGTTTTTTGGATCTGAACACGCTTTTTTTCTTTAGTGGATATGAGTGGAGTTTGAGCAGCCTGTTTATGGTAGATTATTAACTATCAGTCATTTTTCAGCTTCGGGGAGAAGCCTGGCCTTGGTCTCTCCTTATGACTGCTGAGCTCTCTATGCCTCAGGCACTGTGTAAGAGCTTTGTTTTGCTCATGCCACCAATTTCTTTTGATTATGACAGGTTCTCTACTATCCCATTGACTGATCAGCTGCCTAAGACTGACGGGATGCAGTGACTAGCAGGCGCAGGGTAATAGGGGCTGCAGTGAGGATATGAACCCGTCTGTCCTTACTCTAAAGTCTATATTTCCTGCCACTGAGCTACAGTGCTCCACCACCCATCCAAGAAGCAGTTCCTTATTTTGGGCTGCCAAGGGCAGCTCGACACATCCATCCCTCGCCGCCACCCACGCACCTTTCCAGGAAGGCTTTGGCGACCACGGACATCATTTCCTTTGTCCCAGTCACAGGACAGCCCATGCATTCTACAGGGAGCCTTCTCTCCCCCAGGGCCATTTTCCACCCCTGGTAGAGCATGTCCACCAATAGCCACTGCATTAGAGGGAACACCTGACTCTCGAGCTAAGCGGCCACTTTACACGCAACTCAACAAAGGCCTGGGAGGGTGGGGACAGCCAGCTTTGCTTTGCTGGTGGACGGACAGTTCTTTCTCGGAACTGTTTTGCGTCCTTAGCAGCTCCCTCCACGATGCCCCTCTGCCTGCTCCCTCCAGATCCTTCCACCTTCTGGTTGGTCTGGTGATGCCTGGAACCTCTCCAGAGGAGGCCTTGCAAACAACTTGGGCAAACAGAACAGAGAAACAACCCAGCCCCAAAACAGGGCACGGAGGTCGAAGGCAGATGTTTGTTTTTCCAGCTACTAGCTCCAGACCCCTGGCTGAAGGTGCTTACGGGGTTCAGACCACAGACATCTCCTATGACAATGAAAATGTGGCCATGTATCAAAGGCCCTTGCAAGTTAGGCACAGTGCCAAGCACTTTATGCATATGAGAGGATCGCATCTTCAATTCTGTGAAATAGGTACTCGTCTCAGACCCAATTTACAGAAAACAACTGGGCACAGAAAGGCCTAGCAACTTGTCCAAGGCCACCCAGCTACTGAGGGCAGGACAAGGTCCTTCCGACCCTACAACACGGTTTCTCACTCTTCATCTCCATAGTTACATACTTGCCAGAAAGTCTCTACCAACCCGGGTTTATCTCACATCTATGTGCAGGGGCATAAGCTTCATCACTGGGCAGACCCGGGCGAGGGTCCTGGCCCAACACTTAATCTGACTGGCCCTGTGTAAGCTACTTAACCTCTCAGCACCCCTGGTTACTCCTCTATACATTTTAATACTTACCTTGCAGGGTCCTTGGGAGAAACTGGGGAGGTCTAAGGGCCATCAAACTGACCACTGCAGAGCATGCATGAGTGGATGCCGGGTCAGGCAGCCTGGGCTGGAGTCCCAGCTCTGTCCCTAAATGTCAGCTCTCTTCAGTAAAGTAGGGTGAGTAATGCTGACTCCTTGCCTGACACAGTAGCTTCAAAGCACATGGAAACTTCTTCCATTTTCCTACTTTAAATATCTTTATTCCTCCATCCTAGCACTTAAGGGTCAGCTGCCTTTGAGATTTTTACTTTAAAGCCCAAGAAGCACCCTCAGCCAGGTGTCTGGTCCTAGGTGTGGTGGCTCATGCCTATAATCCCAGCACTTTGGGAGGCCAAGGTGGGAGGATCACTTGAGCCCAGGAGTTTGAGACCAACCTGGGCAACACAGTGAGACCCCATTGTTAATAATAATAATAATAATAATAAAGCCCAAGGAGGGATGTGAAGGCCAACAGTCATGCGGTCACCTGAAGCACATCTGAGAGGGGAAAAAAAATCTTGCCCGAGGCCGGCAATGGGGCACGTCTGCTGCCCTCAGCACTGCCCTGATTTAATAAGGGTGTGGTGGTGGTTGAGCCTGGTGGCGCTGAAGTGGTGGCCAAGTTGGTCTCAAAAGCGCTTGGCAACTCTAAGGTGGAACTTCTAGCTCCATTACAAACTTGCCACGTGAGTTGGGCAGGTCACTCAGTATCACTGGGCCTCAATTTCCTCATCTGTGAAGTGAAGACAGAAAGGCCCATCTTTCAGAGAGAATGTGAGTTTTAAAAGAGAGGCTGTCTCACTTTGGGAGGCCAAGGCAGATGGACCATTTGAAGTCAGGAGTTCAAGACCAGCCTGGCCAACACGGTGAAACCTTGTCTCTACTAAAAATACAAAAATTAGCTGGGCATGGTGGCGCACGCCTGTAATCTCAGCTACTTGGGAGGCTGTGGCAGGAGAACGGCTTGAACCCAGGAGGCGGAGGTTGCAGTGAGCCGTCACGCCACTGCACTCCAGATTGGGTGGCACCTGGCACCTGCCTGGCTTACTACAGGTGAGCAGGGACCCCTTCTCCAGATGAGAAGTCTGCACCTGGAGCTGGACATCCAGCACCCAGGCTCAGAATTCCAGCCACTCTGTGATTCATTTCCCAGCCTGGGTTTTTACTCCTCTTGGAACGATGCTGGTCTCCCAACTGAGGACAACACCTCTGACCTCTGTCCCTCTGCCTGAGACTGTCACTGCCACCTACTTTCTACCTCCCACCTCGCCTCCTCCTGGAGTGAGGGACCTTCTCTACTCCACAGACACGGAGGGCCGGTGCCAGGCCCCGTCCCACGGGCAGCGGCCAGTGTGGGCCTGCAGAGAAAGGGGAGGGCTCCAGGCAGCCAGGCACTTGCATGGGAGCTTGACGGGGGAGACTCAGGACCGGGGGTATCACTGTCAGGGGAGGGGGACAGAAGCATCAGTCTGGTGGCTGTGCACAGTTTAAATCAGGAGTCATCAACTCCAGTGTTCCCAGAGGGCCAGGTGAGCAAATAAACGAGAGCAGTATTAATATTTGTAAAGCGCCTAGAATAGCACCTGAAACAGAAAACAGAAAGAAGCACATTTCCGAAGCGCCTTCTGCCTAACCAACAGCGGGACAGACTCGCTGATGAGTTTCATTGTTCACTGCCTGTCTCCCCTGCCGGGACACAAGCTCCAGGGGGGTAGGGGGCTTGTCTTTGCTTGAATTCCCAGATGGTGCCTGGCACAAAGCACACATTCAATATGCGAGGAGGCCAGCAAAGCAGATGGCACAGGAGGCCCAGCCGACGGGTGGCATCAGGTAGCACCAGCTGCAAACCGCGGCTGGATTTTCTGATTGTTTTTAAAGAGAACCTGGAAATTCCCACTGTACTGTGAAATCTCCTGATTTTTAAAATGGTGTTTAAATTAAACAGAGCACATCTACAGGCTTTGTGGGGTGACGAGGGCAGAAAGCTGAATCCCCCTGGACCCCTGGAGCTCATGTGGGCCACTGCTAGGGGAAGACAGAGATGGGGATGGGACTACTGGCTCTCACTGCACGGGGCAACACCTCCTCTTCGGTGCCTACAATCCCCAGACAGCACAGCTGCAAGCAGCTGGGGCAAGCCTCCCTCTCCCAACTCCCACACACGGCTGGGTGGGCAACTGCTCACCTCCTTCGGCAGCAGGGCAACAACACAGCCCACACGGAGCTCTGCCTGCGCCTGCTGCTTGGCATGGAGCCGGTGATCGGTGGAGGGAAAGGCAAACAATGTAAAGGGGTCCAGGGGAGGGGTTTTACCTCTGAGAGCAGTTTCGAGACGATTTCCAGTGGGGCCTGGTTGATGGAGTCATCCTGCAGGGGGGATGTCAGGGCCATGTCCACCAGGGTCCGGATCTCTTTCAAGACAACTTCCCAGCGGCTTGGGTTACTCAGCACTTTCTTATATTTGTAAATCTTTTTCTGGTTGAAAGAGATAAAGAGACAGCAACATGTTACTCACGTAAGGAAGGCAGAAGATGGAAGACAATCAAAGAATCAGATGGGTTAGGGTGTAAAGGGCCCTGAGAAACTGACAACTTGGCCCAGTCCCCGTTTATAAGGAAACTGACACCCCGAGAGAGGAAGGGTCTCATCCAAAGTCACGGGGTGCATTTGCAGCCAGGCCTCCTGACACTAGACTCATTTCCCACACAGGCTCACTTCACCCTGATGATAATCCTTGATAGATTACCTTTTTCTTTTTTCCTGTTTTTTTGTTTTTGTTTTTGCTAAAAGGATGAAGAAACCGAGGTACACAAGAGGTTAGAAAATCTGCCCAGGGCTCTAGAGTTGGCAGAGCTGAGACAGAAACATGTGCTCGGGCTCTCAAGCCAGTGCCCTCACCACCATACTATACTGTCTCCACACAGTTTCCAATGACTTCAAAAAGAAAAGGGGGAGACTTCTCTTTTAGATCGTATCTTCTGCCAAACTCACTTCCCAAGGATTCAAGCGCAGTAAGAGTGGGAATGGTCAGTCCACAAAGGGGCTTTCTCTGAGTTGAAGGCACTGTTTCCGCCTATGTCAATCCCAAGAGGTCGCTTGAAGACAGGTAGTCAGCTAGGGAACATGACAGACAGGATTAAGGCCAGGAATTAGACTCCGGCCAGGTAGGGACTAAACCTGGAATGCTCCCCCGGGAAATCCAGCGCTGCCCTCCGCATCCACCTGGTGAGGAAGACAAGAGTGCTCTCACCTTTGCTTGGGCGCTGTGTCGAAGCCAGAGAGCGGTTGGGACAGGGGCTGCTGCCTCCCTGGATTTGAGGCAGAGTTAGTTCCGCCTCTCTGACATCATGGAAACGGAGGCCCTCGGAAGGCGGAGGTCTGGGCCAAGCACTCCCTCCACCCCCGCCCGGGCTCCCGCCTTTGCAGCTGCCTGCCCCATGCACCCGGCCTGCTTGAGAGACTTTCTAACTGGATGAACTCCTTCATTAAGTGCTCTGCTCCTTAGGGAGAGCCTAATTTTAGTGTTACCATGCCAGCAGCCAGCTGGGGTGACATGTCACAATCTCTGAGCCAAAGTCAGAAAGAGGAGGGGGGAGAGGAGGGTCCCTTGCTGAACTGCTAAGGCTCAAACAGAAACTTAGAAGCTGCCAGAGCCTCCCTGACCGCTGAGTTTCTGAGCTAGGAATTATCAAGTGGTCAAGGGACCCACCGCTATCAAGGAAGTATCTGAGGGACACATTCCATGCCAAGTGGAACGGTTACTTCTGTCGGTGAGGCACACTGGTGGGACGGGAGGTGGACCTGAGTCGGAAAGATCTGGTTCTTCCTAGAAAACTTTCACCTTCTGAGCCTTAGGGTCCTGTTCTGTAAGTCAGGATGGAAAATACCGGCACCTCTTTCAATCTGTAACCCTGACCCATCCTGGACCCATGTGGTCCACTCTATGGAGCCGCATTCAAAAGTCAAGTCCAGATAAATCAGCCAAGAGTCACAAAAAGGAACGCTGAGACTGAATCTGTCTCTTGAAAAACTGAAGGAGATGAAACGTAAAACCTAGGCCAATACGGCATCCCATCTTCCTCCTCTCCATTATTTTCCCGCACCCCATGATTTTCTGGGGCCTCTGATATACTCATTGCCACTGGTGTCGCCCCCATGAACTCACACCAAAGACGGTTTTCATTCCCCCCGCCCATCACCCCAAGTCTTTCCCGTCATCTCTCCCTTCTCCTCTCTCTGCTCCTTCTTTCTCCTTCTCTCTAGTTCTTTCATCTACCCACCTGCCCACCTTTCTTTCCTCCTTCCAGCACCTGGTCTTACTATTCTTTGCCCATTCACCCATTGCACATCAAGAATTAGAAAGAGATCAGCTCTTCTCATAGGCCCAGCAGAGCAGAGGAGGCCAGGGCAGCCCAGCATTCCCCAGGGAGCGGGAGGGGAAAGACCAGGAACATTCACTTGCCAGCCATTGGAGACCCTACGAGGACAGGAAGAAACGCGTGACAAGTTGTCGGGGGTGAGTGTACAGTGAAGAGTAAACATGCAGTTGATGTTGACGATGGTGACAGTGACTACTGGCTGAACTTCATTAACGATGAGACGCACCCAGTCCACTGAGGCGTCTCTGGAACCATAACCAGCCTCCTTCCTAGTTACTGTCAACCAAAGCCGCCCTGTCCTAGTGCTGTGAGCAGGACACGCTGCCTGAATAGCACGATGAAATATCTGTGCAAAACCCAACATGTCTGAAGCAAGAACCCTACCCGCTCCAGAGGATGAATGCTCCTTTGAGCCTCAGAGTCTGTGGTTTTAGTTTGTACCCAGAGAATTGTTTAATTTTTAAAAGACCATGAAATGATCTCACAAAATCCACCCTATATCAAGCCCCAAAGCAAACCACAGCGATCCACACCCGTGTCTTACATTTGCATGGAGTCTGGGCTCTAAGTGGACTCTTCTGATCAGCTGCACATTATTTACTTTTGAAAGATTAATGACTTCATTCTTTTGCGAAAGATGATGCATGCTCATTGCAAAAAATCTAAACTGTACTGAAAAGCACAAAGAAGAGGATAAGTTTTAAAAGGCCTCAAAAATCCCACAACCCAGAAATAGCCACCATTAATATTTGGTGAACATCATTCCAGCGAAGTCTCATTTAAACTTGCAAAATACAACCAGCCCTGAGGTGGGTGGCCATGAGTACAATCTCCTGTTCTCCACACACAGATGCCACTCAAGATGCAGAGGCAACCAGTCTGAGGCATAGCAGGGCCCAGTGGGCAACGCTGGCACCAACGCAGTTTCAGACACGAGCCCTCGGGGTCGGTACACCCAGCCTCAGCTCATCCACAGCTCCCCTCCTTGGAGCGGGGAGGACAACAGCTTTCCCGGGAGGGCCCAAGCCCTTGCCTCACAGGCATCCATGGGAGAGTCTGCAGAGGCTGTATTCAGAGCCAGAAGATCCCAGGGCTTGTACCAAGGGCTAAAATTTCATGAGGACATACCATGTGCCAGCACAGTGCTAGCTCTTATGAGCTTTATCCCACTCAATCCTCACAGTATCCCATGAGTTGGGGGCTTGTCATAGGGAGGACCCTGAGACAAGGGACTGAGTGCAAATGGCTTACTGATCTGAGAGGGAACAGCAGGAAATACTGGTGGGGAGAGTGGGGAAGTGAGACGGGCAAGAGAAGACAGTCAATAAACAGGGCACTGTCAAGCACATGATATAGGCAATGAGGGCTCACTCCTGCTGGGGGCTCTAGGGGACAGTGCAGATCACACTCAGAGTTGACGTTCCTAAAGAGTGAGGGAGCTGGCCATTTGTCCATTAGCTCCCTAAACTCTTCAGGGCTTTTTTTTTTTTTTTTTTTTTTTTTTTTTTTTTTTTCTGAGACAGAGTCTTGCTCTGTCACTCAAGCTGGAGTGTAGTGGTGAGATCTCAGCTCACTATAATCTCCACCTCCCAGGTTCAAGTGATTCTCCTGCCTCAGCCTCCCAAGAAGCTGGGATTACAGGTGTGCACCACCATGCCCAGCTAATTTTTGTATTTTTAGTAGAGATGGGCTTCACCATGTTGGCCAGGCTGGTCTTGAACTCCTGATCTCACGTGATCCACCCGCCTCGGCCTCCCAAAGTGCTGGGATTACAGGCGGCAGCCACTGCGCCTGGCCAACTCTTCAGGGCTTCTGACTGCCGTGTGCCCAGGCCAAAGTGATCCCACAGCCAGAAAAAAGCATGCGCTCTGCAGGGTCACAGGTGTTCATGGTGCACAGCTGGCAGCCCTCACGCGATGCTGAGGGGGTGGCCAGCTGCAGCTTCTGCCAGAGGATTGTTGGTGTTCTCTGTGCACAGAAGCCTATCATGGCCCCGAGAGGTCAAGAGACTTGCCCAGAGTCAAGCAGCTAGAAAGGGACAATTCAGGAATGAAAACTGGCTCTGGCCACTGCAAAGCTCTTTCCATCACATCAGTGAGGGCCACGATGGTCGGGTGAAGAGGATATCAGATTTGCCAAGAGATCCTGAAGAAGTGTCAAGAATGCTTGGTGACACAAGGACAAGATCCAGAAACAAGATCCACAAGGCTCTGAGAGTGGAGGCCAGGTAACCAGAAGGCGGTGGAAGCAGCAGGGGGAGGGTGGGCTACGGCTCTGCGGGTGCGGGGGGAGGGTGGGCTACGGCTCTGCGGGTGTGGGGGGAGGGTGGGCTACGGCTCTGCGGGTGCGGGGGGAGGGTGGGCTACGGCTCTGCGGGTGCGGGGGGAGGGTGGGCTACGGCGTTGTGGGTGCGGGCTGCAGGCAGGCCCCTGTTCCCAGAAGAGGCTCTGAGCCCCAGGTCAGGGTGGCCACAGGGATGAGGGAGGCCTGTCCAGGATCAACAGGGCCCTGTCCCTCCTCCCTAGGTGACAAATTAGCATGCCTCATCCCAGGAACTCTGATGAGCTCATCAGGTGATGAATCATGGTGGAGCTGGGATAGGGACGCCTCCGGAATCCCTGCTCCAGGCTCCCTGGAGGCTGGCCCTCAGCTTTGCAATATGGTCTTCCTGCTGAGTGCGCTTTGCCAGGTGGGGTGGGTGGCCTGGTGGTTTGTCTAGCATGGACCCCACAGGCCACTGGATTCTTCTGAAGTGGGGAGTACACAGGGGCCTTGGAACTGTTCTGTGGCTGGGCACACGACCTGGTGTTTTCACAGAAAGGGGCTGACTTAGAGCAGGGTTGGTGAACTATAGCATGCGGTGAAACCCAGCCCCCTGCCTGTTTTTGTTCGATGAGACCAAGAATGGTCTCACAAACTGTAGGAGTTGTGACGGAAAATAAACACAGAATATGCAACAGAAATCCAATGTGGCCCACAAAGCCCCAAATATTTGCTATCTGGCCCTTTGTAGAAAACAGTTTGCCAAGGTCTGGCTTTAAAAGTCAAATTCCAGCCTAGGAGTAAGCATGCAAAGAAGATGCTCAACGTCATTAGCCCTCGGGAAAACGCAAGCTAAAACCATAAAGAGATACGACTTCGTCCTACGAGGATGGCTGTAATAGAAAATGACAGACAACGCCAAGTGTTGGCAAAGGTGTGGAGAAACTGGGAATCTTGTGTGTTGCTGGTGGGAAGGTAAACTGGTACAGCCACCTTGGAAAATTGTTTGAAAGTTTCTTAAAACATTATACATAAATTTATCATATGACCCAGCAATTCTGTTCCTAGAAATCTACCCAAGAGAAAGAGAAACAAACTCCAAAGACATGCCCAAGAATGTCCATAGCAGCATTCTTCACAGAAACAACTTAAATTCATCAACTGATGAATGGATAAACAAGATGTGGTATAGCCATTCAACCAAACAGTATTTGGCAATAAAAAGGATTGAATTACCCACATGCTACAAGACGGATGCAACTCATAACCACTACACTAAGGGAAAGAAGCCAGATAAGAAAGACATAGTGTATGATTTCTCTTATGTGAAATGTCTAGAAAGGCAATTTCACAGAGACAGAAAGTGGAACATTCATTGCCTGGGGCACAGAACAGGAATGAGACTGCAAACAAGCATGAGGGCATCTTTCAAGATGGTGGAAATGCTCTAAAACTGAATTGTGGTGATGACTGTACAACTTTATAAATTTACTAAGATCACTGAATTGTGTACTCACAGTGGGTGAATTTTATGGTATGTGGATTCCATTTCAATAATGCTATTTTTTAAAAATGCTATCCTAGGGAGGTAGTCATCAGACAAAACCAAAGGTAGTATGGCTCAGTGGCGAAGCGTATAGGCTTCACGAGCAGACTCCAGATCAAATCTAAGCTCTACTTCATCCATCCACCCATCCATCATCTACTCACCCACCTACCATTCACCCACACATCCATCCATCTGCCCAACCACCCACCCATCCATCCATCCATCCATCCATCCATCCACCCACCCGCCCACCCATCCATCCATTAATCCATCCACTCATTCATTCATCCATCTACTTATCCATCCAACCATTCACCTACCCTCTCAACTATCCACCCACCCAACTATCCACCCACCCACCCATCCATCCTTCACCCACCTCATCATCCATTCATCACCCATCTACCATCCATACTTCCATCACTCACTCATCGATCTATTCACCCTTCCATCCAATCATCCCATGAAGATCTACTATGACGTGCCAAGCACTATGTTAAGTACTAAGGATAACCATGGTGAACAAAGCAGACAAGCCCCGGTGCTCATGAAACTTACAGTCTATTACTTGCACCAGTTTCCTTGTCTGCAAATCAGGATAAGAATAACTACTGTCAAAGGCTTGCTGTGACTATTTCATGAGATAATATATAAAACACTTAGCTCAGTTCCTGGCTAAACAGCAGCTCTGATTGTTTTCACCTACCAAGTTCTGTAAAGGAGTAGTCCAGGGAGGTAGAACTCAGGAGGGCTCCCCACATCCGAGCCCAAGCCCCACCAGCCAGCGGCAAGCAGAGACAGCAGGCAGAGCCTCCTGCTTCCCGTCTGGCAGAGTCAGCCACTCCAGCGCTGTCCTCACCCTCTCTGCTTGTCAAGGAAGGGACGTTACCTGGGCAACACTTGCCATCGCTCTGGCAACTGTCAGCAGAGGCAAGCACATATGCCAGGGTTCTCAGGCCAGGGAAAGCAGAGCCTGTTGCTCCTCCACGGGAGACAAGTCGTCAGCAGGAATGTGCCCCTTGCCAGGAGAGGAGTGACTCAGAATGCACTGGAAGCACGTCGCGCCAGGCAGGGGCTGCTGCTCTGCTGCTCTGCTGCTGCCGCAGCCTCTGGGGCTCGCGCGCGTACACACCCAAGCACGCATGCTCCCCACCACCTGTCGTGAAGAGAGGACGCTGCACGGGCGCGCCCATGGCACTGCAGAGTGGAGGAGGACCCCACAGGGAAATATGAGCCAGGGAGGACCCAGCCCGGCTTTGAAAACTTTTTCCAGTGCAGGTCCTACAGCGGAGCTGCCTAGTCCAGAAGCTACCAGCCCCAGGTGGCTACGCACACTGAACTTCATTAAAATGAAATACAACTACAAATCCAGCATCTTGATCACATCGTAACATTACAGTTACTCGGTAGCCAGCTGTGTCTAGTGGTGACTATAGTGGTGCAGACAGAGAACATTTTCATCATCGCAGAATGCTCCGTCGGGCAGTGCTATCCGAAAGTCTTGGTGTCCCTGTCATCACGTCCCCACGGGCCCAGGAGCATGCATGTTTGCCTCTACCCATCGATGCTGAGGTCTAGTATGTGTGTGGCACTGCGTTCGGCCCGAGGAAAGGGCCCTTGCCTACCTCCTCCCATGGGAGACCCCCCTCTCCAAGCCCCCATCTCACTGGGACCCTGCCTTGGAATTTTCTTAAAAGGTCTACCAAGGTGCAATGTCCCCACTTGTGCCTTGCACACCCGGGGACAATGGCTGGCTGGTTATCTTCCCTGGCTTCCCTGATTCAAGACTCACTATGGCTGCAGATGCTAAGTGTGTAGGAAATAATTTGCTATCTCCAGCAAGCCATGGCTTCCGGGAGGACTGGACACTTGGGAGGCAGCATTTTTGGCCTTCTTGAGTCCTCCAGAATAGCTTCCCTTCAATCCGGTGAGCATCAGAGACTGTCACATTACCTTCATATATAATGCAGGCCTCATAACTGTCCCATGGGTGTTACCCCCAAACTGCCCTTTTGGCCGCCAAGTCTTCAACATCAACCTAAAACCCGCTCATAACCTCTCAGCTCCCTGCTGGTGCACTCCCCACAGAGACACCCTGGGTCAAACACAGCCCCCTGGCCTTATTCCCCATGCCTGCTAGCCCACACAATCCATGTCACAAAATCAGCCTCGGTGCTTTGGCTACAATTTTCCAGGGAAGGAGGCAACACTGTCCCGATTATCTGTGCACATTTCCAGTGAAATACATGGGCACCAGCACCACCATGACTGGAGGGCATCTGTGATCTAATTGTGGAGTATAAAATAACGAGAAGACACTCAACTTAACTAGAAAGTGAGACCCCCAAAATCTCATTTTTAAAGAAATATTGTAAATGCATGTTTCGTTCGTTTTCATTACAGGTCAGGGCTATAGGGTCAACGGTGCTTCTGGGATTAGACTGAACACTATTTTTTTTCTCTCTGACTGGGATTCCTTTCTTGCCCCAGGCTTGGTAGGGACAACCCTAGTGCCTCCGGGAATCACACAGGGGCTTTACCAGTCACAGCCCATCACTCTGGCCTGAGAAACTAGGCTGTCTGAGGCACCAGGGGGCTGCCATCACTATATACACATACATATAGATTTACTTCATTGAGGTAAAATCCACACACCATAAAATTAACCATTAACCTTATTTATTTATTTATTTACTTACTTATTGAGACAGAGTCTCGCTCTGTCACCCAGGCAGTGGCATGACCTCGGCTCACTGCAACCTTTGCCTTCTGGGTTCAAGTGATTCTCCTGCCTCAGCCTTCCCAGCAGCTGGGATTATAGGCGCCCACCACCACACCCGGCTAATTTTTGTATTTTTAGTAGAGATGGGGTTTCACACCATGTTGGCCAGGCTGGTCTCGAACTCCTGACCTCAGATGATCTGCCCGCCTTGGCCTCCTAAAGTGCTAGGATTACAGGTGTGAGCCACTGCGCCCGGCCACCATGTACCCATTTACAGTGAACACTTCAGCGGCGTTTAGCACAGTGTTGTGTAACCACCACCACTATTTCCAACACTTCTCCATCACTTCCAAGGAAACCCTTTTAAGCTGTTACTTCCTATTGTACTCTCCCCCAGCCCCTGGGCAACTACCAATCCACTTTCTGTTCCTGGATTCCCCTATTCTGAACATTGCATATAAATGGAATCATACACTATGTGTCCTTTTGTGACCACAGTGAGGCCTGGGAATCTGCATTCAGCAGCTTCCAGGTGAGACAGATGTCCTTGAGCCCTCTAAGCAGCAAGGTTCTCACCCACATGCCTCACTTCCTCTCCTCCACGAGGTGGACGTGTTACAGAGGAGAGGAGAGGTTCATACCTTGCGCAGGTCACATAGCTTGTGTTGTGGGTGGAACTGTGTCTGCCAAAACTGTTGTGGGTTAACATGTGTCTTCCACTGCATATAAATCATACACAATGTGGCCTTCTGTCCACTTAGCATACCGTCCTCAAGGTTCATCCGGCTGTGGCAGCTTTGCTTCACCCCCTTCCATGACTAACAGTCCACTGCATGGATACGCTGCAATTTCTTTCTTTCTTTTTTTTGCGAGATGGAGTCTCACTCTGTTACCCAGGCTGGAGTGCAGTGGTGCGATCTCAACTCATTGCAAACTCCGCCTCCCGGGTTCAAGCGATTCTCCTGCCTCCGCCTCCCGAGTAGCTGGGACTACAGGCGCCCGCCACCACGCCTGGCTAAGTTTTATATTTTTAGTAGAGACAGGGTTTCGCCATGTTGACCAGGCTGGTCTCGAACTCCTGACCTCAGGAGAGCCACCGCGCCCGGCAGATACACTGCAATTTCTTTGTTAATCCGCTGATGAACTCTTGGGTTGTCTCCACCGTAGGCTATCATGAATAGTGCTGCTATGCACATATATTGTTGCTTTTTGCCCTGTCCCCGTGCCTCAACTGCACTGAATCAGTTTAAATTTTGCCACAGGACAGCACAGGGTGTAAGGGGTCTTTTAGGGGACCCCAATTTACCCCACACAATTACTGAACTCTGTTACCTGCTGGTCCAACTAATTCATTGATGAATTAATCAATGCTTACCCTTCAGGACTCATGTTTTCAAGGTGGGTGGAGGGACGCCTACTCTGAGTGGGGCACTGTCTCTATGGAGGGGCAGGGAGTGGGGGAAATGATACAGAGATGAGACAAACCAGCCCCTGCACACTCCCAGTCTGGCTGAAGGGTGAGACAGGGCACAGAACATTCTAACCAAACTACTCATTACAGTCATAATGGCTACTACATATCAAGGGCTGACATTTTCCAAGAACAGCAAGCACGCACACTGGGTTCTGATGAATGACGAGTGACAAGACAGCGGAAAAGCCATCGCTTCTGAAGGGCACTCCATAGGCCAGGTCCTGTGCGAAGCACTTTGTATAAATACATTTTAAATCATCCCATCCACTAAATGAGGTGAGTGGTATAATGTAAGTCCCATTTTACAGATGAGAACATCGAGGCTGAGTGAGGTAAGTCATGCAGCTACTAAGAGCTAGGCAGAATTGGGATCCAGGTCTAGCTCTGGATCCTGAGCACCTGACCATCATGCCACTCCGAGAGGCAAACCTGAGCACCTCTATGCCTTGATCAATGATTCTGCTGCCTTCAAATCGGAGAGTTGAGCCTCGCCTCCTCGGTTTCCCAAAGGCAGTTGCAGGCTGGTGCAGCTGGGTGCCCAGTGGACACCTGCCTGAAAAGCCAGCTCCTGGGGAGATGGGCAATTTGTTTGCAAGAGGGGAAAACGCCTAAATGCCCACCGGTGGTGGCCTCCTGTGCTCAATGCCGCTTCCAGGGAAACAGCGGGAACTCAGGCGGGTGTCCTGCTCCACTGTCTCTGCGGCATCGGCTGGTTGCCTAGGTAACCACGTGCCTGGCTGGCAAGGAGATAAGCTGGCCTTGGTGTCAGGCTCCCAGCTGAGTACCACATCCTACCTGGCTCTTCAGGCCAGCTGCACCGTGGGCAAAATCCAATCATCACGCAGATGCTGTTTGAGCACATTAAAAAAAAAATTGTATGTAGCTGTTTTCCTCGCTGAGCTAGGAGCTGCTTGGGAGCAGGGATGACATCTCATCTGTTCCTCCGATGTGTTGGATGGTGACTGCAGCCACCCAGGGAAGGTGCTCTCGGTGTTTGTTGCAGGTAGAACAGGCAGTGGGGAGAATGAAAATGGCACTGAAGGCTAACATGCGTTAGGTGCTGCTTTAGGCCAGGCCCTGCACCAAATCCTTTCACCTACCCTGCAACTCTCATTCGTGTGCACAGGAATTGCCTGGGGGTCTGGTTACCATGCAGATTCCAGCTCAGCAGAGCTGGGCGAGGCCTGGGAATCTGCATTAAGCAGCTTCCAGGTGACACAGATGTTCCTGAGCCCTCTAAGAAGCAAGGTTCTCACCCACAAGCCTCATTTCATGGTGGACGTGCTGCAGAGGAGAGGAGGGGCTCACACCTTGCCCAGGTCACACAGCTGGTGTTGTGGGTTGGACTGTGTCTGCCCAAAACATATGTCCAAGTCCTAAGCCCGGTATCTGTGACTATGACCTTCTTTGGAAATGGGGTCTTCGCAGATATAATTAAGATGAGGTCATACTGGATTAGAGTTGGCCCTAAATCCAGTGACTGGCGTCGTTATAAAAAGGCCATGTGGAGAGAGAGAGAGACACACACACACACACACACACACACACACACATGCTCCAGAGAGACCTCCACGTATGGAGGCAGAGCCTGGATGCCAAGGCGCATCAAGGATAGCCGGACACCATCAGAAGCTGGGTGAGGCAAGGAAAAGGCCCTCCCCTAGAGTCTCAGAAGCAATGTGGCCCTGCTGACACCTTGATTTTGGACATCTGGCCCCAGAATTGTGTGAGAACAAATTTCTGTTGTTTTAAGCAACACAGTTTACGGAAATTTGTCATAGCAGCTGTTGGAAGCCCAGACAGCTGTAAGGAGCAAGCAAGGACTGACCCCAGGACGCCTGGTCCCAGTCAGTCTGCCATCTTACTGCGGTGACTCGAGCTGAGCCGTCCAGCCCCATCATTTCACAGAAGGCAGCAGGGCCCTCTGCAACTGTGGTTGAGAAAGTGGGAGCTGGGTTTGGAATTGGTTGGGTTTTCTTTCCCTGGGGAATTGGGGGGGGGGGGGCCTGATGTCCTATCCTGCTCTTGCTGCAGCAGGGGACAGAAACACTGACTTCCACCCTAAGGCCCGCCTCCAGCCCATTACCCGATTGCATAAGCCCTGGCCCTGCCCTGCGTCAGAAACGGCACACCTGGGCACCTGCATCATCAGTGAGGTCAGAGGGAGCCACCTGGGGACCCAGGAGGCTACAGGAGGAACTTCCAGGAGAATTCGGGTAGGGACGTCAGCATGGGGCTCGCACAGGGTCCCTGGCAAAGAGGAGCCATGGGGGAGGATTCCGGCCCCAAGCTGTCCTCTCACACAAAGCTGTACATCAGCCGACACCAGCAGCCACCATCACACCAGCTAACATCCCCGGGCTTCCTATGTACTGGGCCCTGTGCTGAGGTGTGCCCCAAATGACTCTATCAGGCAGGGTTCTTGACCCTGGCTACACATTAAAACCACCCAAGGGGCTTAGAATTCCAATAACGGAGTCCAACCTCAGGACAATCCCATCAGACTGGTGTTGGGGGCAGGCAGAACCTATGCATCAGGACTTTTTTGAGCGCCGGTATATTTAAAAGTGCATTTGCACACCCATGTTCACAGCAGCGTCATTCGTAACAGCCAAAAGGCAGAAGCAACCCAGGTCCACCAATGGATAAAGAGAGACATAAGGTGTGGTCTACCCATTCACTGCAGCATTATTCTGTCTTAAAAAGGAAGGAAATCCTGACGCAGGCCACACTATGAATGAACCTTGGGGACATTAGGCTGAGATAAGGCAGCCACAAAAGGCCAAATCTTGTGTGATTCCACGCATATGAGGTCCCTAGAGTAGACAAATTCTTAGAGACCGAAAGCAGAATGGTGGATGCCAGGGGCTGGGGGAGGGGGTAATGGGGACAGAGTTTCCATTTGGGAAGAGGAGAAAGTTCTGGAGACGGATGGTGGTGACAGCAGCACGGCAACGTGAATGAACCACTGAACTGCCACCTAAACCTGGTTCAAATGATGCCTCATGCATATTTCACCGAACTAAACAAGAGAATATTTAAGATCTCCAGGTGATCTGAATGTGGTGCAGCCGGGGTTAACAGGTGCGACCCCCATTCTACAGACTTGAAGACCACAACACACAGAGGAAAAGGTAACCCACTCCAGGTCACAGCCGGCCCTGTAGGAACCAGGATTCTGGCTCAGGGTCACCCCCTGGTCCTGAGCTCCGGTCCTTGAAGGGACTGAGCCACACACACAGGAACAATCCTGGACTCTCCCTCGGCATTCTGGAAAGGCTCTCTGATCTTCACACGGTCCTAATCCCGGCGGGGGCTGTTTCTCCAGGAAAACTGAGTGCAGTGGAAAAACAGCCTGCACGGGTGGGCCGGGTGTGGGGTGGGCCTGGAGAAGTGCATTTCCTCATGGACTAGAACAGGCGCCCCTCTTTCAGAATTCTAAAACTCAACACAGCCTGCCCGCCCCTCCTGTCCTCCTGGATTCCCTGCTCTCAGGCTGACCAGAGGCTGTGCGGACAGGAGGCACCTCCCTCATTCCCACAGGAGGCTGAACTGGGGCAGGAACACCCAGTTCAGCAGGTTTTAAGTTAAGATTTTGAACAGGCTATAGAAAGAGGGAAAGAGGGGAAAACATTCTCAGGTGCAGGCAGAAGCTGCCGGGTTCTTCTCCAAGGAGAAGGGAGAGGGGGGAGAGGAAAGGGACAAGGGGAGGGATGAGAGGTGACAGAAGGGACAATAAGGAGCGTCGCCTCGGGCGTGTTATGCTCTGGCCTTGATAAGGATACGACCAGTTTCTCAGGGTTCCTTAATCAAATCCCAGGCACCATCCCCTCAGAGAGTCCCGTGCAGGTGGGGGTGGGCCAAGAGCTGTGGGATTTTCTTCTGCTCATTCCTGTGTCAAGATGCTCTGGGGGGAGGGCTGTGCCCGGAGACACATTCACTAAGAGAGGCAAACTCCTGCCTGGGTCATGAGGTGACTGGTGGCCCCAAAGAAGGTATGTCCACATCAACCCCTGCCATCTGTGAATGCAACATCCCACGTTTGGGATCTTGAGATGGGGAGATCACGCTGGATTATCTGGTGGGTCCTGAATCCAGTGACGAGTATCCCCAGGAAGTATACAAAGGAGAGACAGAGGAGGCGCAGGCCATGTGACCATGGAGGCAGACACCGGAGTGAGGGGGCCACAAGCCAAGTGCTAAGCTCTGAATGTTTGTATCTTCAAAAAATTCATTATTGAAACCTAATCCCCAGTGGGGGGGGTGTTAGGAGGTGGGGCCTCGTGGGGGTGATTAGTTCATGAGGGTGGAGCCCTCACCAATGGGATCAGTGCCCTTAGAAAAGAGGCTTGGGGGAGCTCCCTCACCCCTTCCCATGTGAGACACAGCGAGAAGGCACCCTCTGTGACGCAGGGAGCGAGCCCTCACCAATCTACCTTGATGGTGGACTTCCTGGCCTCTAGAACCATGAGAAATGAATTTCTGTTGCGCCAGGGAGGCTGGCAGGTCCCAGCCCCATGCTCAGCATGCCAACTTACTACCCTCATCACTCTTTGCTCACTCTACGACCTATGGGCCAGCTGCCTCCCCCACCAGCCTGCACACTCCTGGGAGCTCAGAGGCTCAAGCAAGCCATGTTTTTGCTCGCAGATGTGTGCATCATCACAAACGGAGAGTCGGGCAGATCTACACTTGAATTTCTTTTCCGCTTCTTATGAGCTGTGCAGCCTTAGGCAAACTACATCACCTCTCTGAACCTTAGTTTCCTCATCTGTAAAATGGGGATAATAGTAGCATTTGCATCCTGGAGCTATTGGGAGAATTAAATGTCACATTTCAGGCTTGATAAATGACACCTATTGAGTTCAGTAGGACACTGACTAAAGACAGTTAATGTCTTAGAAAAAATAAAGGTGACCAGCTGGGCACCGTGGCTCACACCTGTAATCCCAGCACTTCAGGTGGCCGAGGCAGGTGTATCACCTGAGGTCAGCAGTTCAAGACCAGCCTGGCCAACATGATGAAACCCCGTCTCTACTAAAAATACAAAAAAATTAGCTGGGCATGGTGGCACGCACCTGTAATCCCAGCTACTTGGGAGGCTGGGGCAGGAGAAATGCTTGAACCCAGGAGGCAGAGGTTGCAGTGAGCCAAGATTGTGCCACTGCACTCCAGCATGGGCAACAAGAGCGAAACTCTGTCTCAAAAAAAATAAAAAAGGTGACCAGAAACCCCCTAAATGTCCATCAATAGAGAAGTGCTTACACTGTGGCCCCCACAGTGCAACAGCAAACAGCAGTTAAAAAGAAGGAAGGAGGGTTACAAGATCTGCCGTGGATTCCACCTGCACAACATGCTGTTAAGTACAGTAGCAAATACATGCATAATCTATGTTGACATACACATATATATGATCTAATTCACGGGGCTTCAGGGGGTGGGGGGTGGGGACCAAGTCCGGCTGGTGACAGCTGTCTTCTTTGGAGACGGAAGTGGCTCGGGGGAGGACCAACGGGTAGGGCTCAGCTTTATCTGCAATGTTTCAAATTATTGCAGGAAGCCGTTCATGCATTGTGCATTTAATTAAAGAGAAATAAAGGAAAAAACTCTCCAAAGATTTCAGAAATTGGAATCATGACGGTGATATTGTATCTTTCCCCAGGATTCTTAAATTAGTCAGAATGCCATACTTTTTTTTTTTTTTTTTTTTTGAGACGAAGTTTCACTCTGTAACCCAGGCTGGAATGCAGTGGCGCAATCTTGGCTCACTGCAACCTCTGCCCCCTGGGTTCAAGCGATTCTCATGCCTCAGCCTCCCTAGTAGCTGGGATTACGGGCGCCTGCCACCACGCCTAGCTAATTTGTATTATTAGTAGAGATGGGGCTTCACCACATTGACCAGGCTGGTCTTGAACTCCTGACCTCAGGTGAGCCACCTGCCTCAGCCTCCCAAAGTGCTGGGATTACAGGCACGAGCCACCACACCGGGCCAGAATCCCATATTCTTAAAGAGAACTGGAAGGCATCTGAGATCTTACTACTTTTGACTTTTCAGTGGTCTAGTAGATGGATAATCCGATTTTTCAAGTGCATGTTCTTTGAAAAATTCATACAGAGGACAAGAACTCCAGCATGGAAGGCTCATGGCCCGCACACCTGTATCATGGTGCACACACACACCCACAACCCAGTTACACACACACTCACACACACAAACACACAACCAGCCCAATTTAAAACTGCACCTAAGTTTCAGCTGCATCATACATGCTGGCTTTCTTCTTTTTAACCTTACCACGGCCCTCCCTCCCGCCACCCCCTGAATCCATGCTAACTCCATGCTCACCATGTAAACCCCGAAAATTTGAGACTATGTTATATATCGGGGTCCACAAACCATTTTCCTAAGAGCCAAATAATAATAGTCCAGGCTTTGTGGGTCATGCCACCTCTGTTGTCACCAGCTTAATGCCACAGCAGGAATGGGCAGAGCTGTCCCCCCCTCCCCCAAATGGGCAGAGCTGTCCCCGCCACCCTGAAAACTCCTTATTTATAAAAACAGGTGCTGGGCCAGATCGTTTGCAGACGCTTGACGTCTATCATTTCATCTCTTTCTCCATGGTCACGGATAATCAAATACAAATATATATTTGTCTGGCAGCAGACTTTCAACGGCAAAAACTGCAATTACTTTTGCACCAACACGATACAGACAGGTTTTGTGGGGTCCTCATTTCATTTTACACAAATGGCACTGCATAATACTTATGTCTGCATCTGGCTTTTCCCTCCTAACACCTGGTGGGTGTCACTCCAGATCAATTCGTATCGATTTTCCCAGTCTGTGTGCTTTTCTAAGCCACTTCAAGGGTCATTAAGCAGAGGTAGGATATACCTTTAAAAAATTAAAATGAAGCCGACCAAATCCTTCCCCCTGACTCTGTCCTGTGTGCCAACCCTCCTGAGGGTCTTTCTGACAGGGCCACCAGCTTGGCCTTCTGAACCTCAGTAATTGGCCCTCCCCTCTTGACCAAGGCCACCCAGAGCGAAAAAGCAATTTGCACTCAACATTAAAGACTACGGGGTGGGGGTGGGGAACACCTCTTATTAATCATTAATATAAGGTGGCATTTTCAGGGCATTTCAGGAAACAACGCTGCTTAATTGCAACCCACCAAATAAATAAAAAAATGCAAATACTGTACCAGAGCCTGCTCTTCCTCTGTGGTGTGGGAGGCGGGCAGCCCCAGGCGAGTTTCCTAGCCCTTCCGAAATACAGTGAGGGACACCACAGGCTCTGTTTCCTTTGGGCCTGATAAAGGGAACTCTCTCTATCCCAAATAAGGATTTCCCTTGCCAGGCCTCAAGACGGTAGCATCTCAACAGGGGCCTCTGTTGTTTATTTCACTAAGAACTTTATCTAGTGCTTGCAGCACTTCAAAGGACATCTGATCTGTTCATGGCTTTGTTTGGAAGCCTCCATCCTTCCCAGCTGCATCCTCTGGGTGGGAGTCACCGGCGCCTACTACAAAGGGCTTTAACTTATGAGAATCCTGGAGAAGGATCCTGTTCTTTAATAAATTAATGTTCAGTAAGTCTCTAATGTGAGTTTCAAGCCAGGTAATGCTGTCATGCTTGAATATAGGAGAAGGCGCACTCCTGCCCTCCCTGGGGAGGCGGCTCCTCAGACACTCGTGCGGCAGACTCTACTCACCCAGAGAAGCTCAGCGTCCTAGGAGTGAGTTCAATGGTGTTCACCACAGTGAATTCTAAGTGACCTGCACAAACAGAGGGGATTCTGGCAGAGTAACCCGAAAGCTATGGACACGTTTAGTCATCCATGCTTGATCTCAGGCTATGAGAAACCCAGTAAGAAGGTGAAATGGTTACAGAAGGAGGCAGCAGACTCTGGGTTTGAATTCCAGCTTGGATGCATGAGAAGGTTAATCTGAGAGTCAGACTCGTGTTCATACAATGGAGATATAAAACCCAGGGACACTGTGCAGCCTAAAGAAAATAATGAAAATAAAGTAGATGGAAAACAGTAGGCACTCAATAGATGTTTATTGTTCTTTCCCCTTTCTTCACACTACTGCAGTGGTTCTCAAACGCTGGGGTGCATCACAGTCACCCGGAGGGTATGTTAAAATAGTTTGCTGCTCTCATCCTGCCACCTCAGAGTTTGTGAAACTGAAGACTGGCATTTCTAGAGAGTTCCCAGGTGATGCAGATACTGCTAGTCTTGGGACTTCACTCTGAAAACCACTGAGCTACCGGTTCAAAATCCCTGGGTCTGCAGTGCCAGGAGGCCTGGGATGATAAGGACCCTCTTGGATGGAAGATTGGTTGCAGACTTTAACAAAAGTCTCAAAAGTCAACAGACATGATGAATGGTCTGCCTGAGTCTGTTCCTGCCTCCAGCCGGTGTCAGGCTGGCCCCGACCTCTGGGGTGTGCTTTCTAAGGTCCTTGTACTCCTGGACAGAGGTCAGGTTCAGCCCAGTTTTCCAAAGGGAATGGTCCAAGCATGTGCCAGCCCCCGCTGGAAACAAACCACCCTGGCCTTCTGCTGCCACGTGCCAGCAAGCTCCATTAGGAGTGGCCTCAGTTTCTCTGAAAGGGGGTCTCTGTCCCTCTCAAGGCTTTCTGCAAAACAGTCTGTTGGTTCTGAAAGTGCACCAGGGTGCTCCGGCGAGCAGAATGTGGGCAACAGCCCTCAGGGCCCTAGTCGTTCTGCATCATCTCCCGGTCAATTATCCTCTCTCCCAAACACCTTCCCTTCCAGAGTTAGCCGGCTGTCCCGCTGGGTATTTTCTGATGATCCCTCGGTGAAGCAAGGGCCTAATTCCTCTGTGGGGACAAGCACTGCTCTTTTTAAAGTCTCTGTTTGGCCTCATCTCCGAGCCAACAGGCCAGCAGGTGGGAGCCCTGGAGGCCAACAAAAGAATGGCAGGCCACCTCCCTCTTCCAGGCTGGACACCTGGCCAAGGTGTGCCCCAAGTGCAGATCAGCAACCCAGCTCAGGGGCCTCCACTGCCCACCACTGGCTGTGAAAGAGACACACTGCAGACGCCTGCAGAACAAAAGATCTTGCTCATCAAGACGCTGCCTCTCATTTACGTTTTAAAAACTTGTCTTTAAAGGGCGAGAAAAAGAAAAACAAAATTCTGCCTTAAAGGGCAAAAAACAAGTTCACCCACAAACCGTTTACATGAAAAACTTCCTTGTATGGCTCCATGACTCATCAGCCTCATCAAAGCCTGCGCTGGATGACACACGAACGCTCGGGTCCCCCCTTCCTTGCCCAAAGAAACGATGACAACCCACAAACGCCACTTCTTCCTTCGCAGTTTGGGAAGCCACTGTAATGCGTCATTTCTGAGGCTCAGGAAAGACCTTTACCCAGAAGGTGGGGGTGGGGGTGTCTTGAATGTCCCAAAGCCCAAGGCTGGCCCTTATGTAGAGTTGAGGAAGCCCTGGCCAGGGACAGGGGAGTGCAAGGGAAGGCTCGGTGACCCAGGCACATGGTGCAAACCTAGGACCTCCACCTCCCAGCTCTGTAGCCAGGGGCAGCTCACTCCACCCTGGTCCCTGGAGTGTGCTTACAGGCTTCCGTGTTGGGGGGCTGCGAGGCCTGGGCAGCAAACCGCCTTGTACTGCCTCTGGCCTGTGGATAGTAGATGCTCAATAAACCTCTCCTTCCTGTCAGAAACTCAGTCTCCCTATGTGGATGACAGCATTTTCCTAAAGGATCTAAAGTTCCATCCACCTTAAACTCTGCCTGAAGGGAAGACTATGAAACTAGAAAAGAAAATGGTGTGGATTTGTGTGCTACTGCAGACACTGCTGCGACATATATTAAGGAGCATGGAACGGAACCGCGTGGATGATAAAGTCTGCGTGGTGTTTACAAAGGAATATTCATAAGCACTTTCTGAGAAGCCCCGTGCAGCTGCTAACAGTGACTGCCTAGGGGAAAATGGACTTGAAGGAGTAGAGGCCAACTTTTCATTTTATACCTTTCTATACTTTTTAGGACTACCACCTATGTACGTGCATTTTATTTTTGTTAAATGTTCGCAGGGGATATCTGGCAGGACAAGGAACTGGCTGGAAAGGGGCGCGAGGAGATCTTCTGGGTGACGGAGATCCAGGTGGTGGTTACTCAGGTGAGTACAGCAGTCAGAACTCCCTCACACTCAACAGTTAGGGCATGCACATTTTGTCACATGTAGGTAATAGCTTGATTTTTTTACAATTTAAAAGAAGTTAAGAGAGATTTAGGGATAGTGGGAATTTTCTTAGTTCTCTTTGTCCTTTTCGGTATTTTAAAAAGCTTCGTAAGTGCCAGTTTTTAAATGCTCTGTGTCTTAGGGCTCTTGCACACTGCTGGTGCAAGTATACACTGGTGCAACCACTTTGCAAAACTGCAGGGCAGCATCAACGAATGATAATTCAGCTCCCAGGCATATACGCAACAGGACTGTGGACACACATTCACCAAAAGATGTACACTAGAGTGTTTACAATGGTCTATTCGTAACAGCCCCAAACTGGAAAGACCTATCCACAGAATGAACAAGTTAACAGAGTCTAACCAGACAACAGAACACCACCCAGCAAAGTGAATAGACAAACTGCTGCTACACACAACACAGACAAATCATAAGAAGCCAGTCTCAAAAGAGTTCAGGGTGTCTGAGTCCATTTAGATAAAGTTCAAGTATATGCAAAGCTCACCTGTGCTGCTAGAAGTCAGGATAGCAGTGGCTGCCCATGGTGGGGAGGAGGGGCCCAGGTGAATGGTAACTCTTTTTGATTTGTACCCTTTTCTAGATGTATTTTATCCTTCAATGAGAAGTTTATTTCGAAAACGTCCTGTGTCTCTTCCAAAGATAGCTCCAGCTGGGCAAAGTGGCAGCTCTGTGGGCTCCAACGGAAGAGGCCAAAAGGCCCATCCTCCTCCTGTCCCCTGGGTTCAATTCACAGCCCTGCCTGTCTCTAGCTGTGTGATCCTGGACGTGCCTCTCTGCTTCCTCAGCTCCTGCTTCAAGACAGGCCTAACCAAATTTTGAGAAGTCCCCAGCAGAGCTCCCGACCCTAGTAGGTGCCTAGTAATTGTTTTTCTCTCCCTCTACTGTAACGAAAGCCTGCGAGACATGAGCTCTCTTTCCCAATGCTCCCGGCCCTCTGCCACTTGTTAGTTTCAATCCCTGAAGCAGCCCTGGTTACTAGTTATGGGGTCCCTGATGACCCACTGTGGGGCTTGGGCTGTGGCTGGGAGATGCTGGAGACTGTGGCCCTCGCGGGGGACTGGCAGCCTGGCCCCAAAAGGTTTCCCATTTGGATTGAACACGTGCACAAAGAGGCTGCCAGGCTGGACTCACCAGCTGCACCTCCCACTGAGGGCCCCTCCTGCAGTCTTGGAGTGGGCTGGGCCCCCTGCCTCTGGGGAAAGCCCCTCCTTTCACAGTTCTCCACTGAATCCCTTTGATCCCCTCTTAAGAGGTCACAAAGCCCTCTTTGACTGAGTGCCAGAAATTAATCTGGATAGAATTCCTGCCTTTTCAACCTGGATGAAGCAGGCAGGTGGCTGGGCCTGGAAGGGGATCAAGGCCGACTCCCGCCCATCCTTGCCTCCCCACCATTCTGCCTTCCTTCTCGGAGGGTAGGACCCTCCAAGAATGGACCCACGGTGCCTGCCTGGAAGTTCCACAGAAGCTTCTGTGAGAAAACCCCACGGAGGCACAGCCAGAGCCAGTGGCACTGACCCGGCCTCCAGGAGCACTCGCCCCATAGGCCTGGGCGGTCACTCAAGCAGGACGGGGGACACTGTCACTGCCTCTGTCAACTGGGTGGCCAGGCAGGGGCTATGTTGAGAAGAGCTCTGCCTCAGGGCAAAGCATGCGGTGGCTGATGGGTGATGCCCGCCCTGGGCTCATGAGTCGGTGGCCTGCGTGCCACACATGTGCCTCCGTCTTCTGCAGCCCCGTCTCCTAGCATCCTCCGACACCAAGAGCCTGTTTTCCTCTGTGTCCTTGTAGATCAGAGAAGAAGAATGAATGTTCTGAGTGGGTACCACATGGCAGGTGCTATTCTAAATACTGAACAGCTGTGAACCCATTTAATCCCCGTAAGAAACTGGTGAGCTTGGTTTCATTTGACTCAAGAGGCCCAGAGACGAAAGCAACTGGTCCAGGGTCACACAGCCAGCAGGAAGTGGATCAGGGTTGGAACCTGGGCAGTCTGGCCCTGAAGCGCTGCAGAAAGTATTATTTTGGGAGCAAATAGGTAATAGGTGGTGAGAGCCACCTAAAAATACCCCTCCTCTCTGGCCCAGTAACCACTTCTAGAAATCTGCCCTAAACAAGTAACTCAAATAAAGCGAAAGCTGAGATACACGACGGTCATGGCTGCGTTATCTATAACTGAGGAAAGCTGGGAACGACCCGAAGGGCAACCACAGCAGAGGCCTTTGGTAAATGGCCCCAGCCTCTTCACGGACGATTCTGCAGCCATTAGGAAGCCTCCCTTGGGCGCTGTGGCACGGCACTGGGATGTCTGAGCTGCCATGCCTTGGCGAGGCTCACAGGACTGTCCATGTGCCTGGCCACAGCTGCTAAAATGGCTGCGTGAAGATGGACGCAGCCTCGGAGGAGAACTGCAAGGTCATAACTGGCAGGAGCTGGGGGTGCTGACCTTGAAGTGATCGTAAAAAGGTCGAAAAGGAGACAGAGAGGGAGGAAGGTGGCCAAGACGGGGTTAGACGGGCAAACGGAGGTGGGGTGGGGTTCAAGGGCAACGTCTTCCCTCAAGACCAAGGGATGAGCTGGGCTAGAGGGGACAGGCCCAGCCAGGAGCCACCTCGGAGGGTCACTGTATAGAGTGAGGGAGTCAGGTGCAAGGCCAGATCTGGGCTTCCAAACCTCAAGTTTAAAGTCAGGGGACACAGCGACCAGTGTGTTTGGGGAAGATGTGGAAGCGGGTCAGTCCTGAGTGTGACACCGGGCCTGGGAGAGGTGGTCTGACAGCGGCTGTGCTGATGACGTGCAAGACAGGATGAGGCAATCAGCCCTTCTGCGTGAGAAACAGGGGCCTGCCTAGTCAGACGTCAATTCACATTATCTTTTTTTTTTTTTTTTTTTTTTTTTTTTTTTTAAGCACAGTTTCACTCTGTCACCCAGGCTGGAGTATAGTGGCACCATCTCGGCTCACTGCAACCTCCGCCTCCCGGGTTCAAGCGATTCTCATGCTTCAGCCTCCTGAGTAGCTGGGACTATAGGCCTGAGCCACCACGCCCAGCTAATTTTTGTATTTTTAGTAGAGACAGGGTTTCCCCATGTTGGCCAGGCTGGTCTCGAACTCCTGACCTCAAGTGATCCTCCCGCCTCGGCCTCCGAAAGTGCTGGGATTACAGGTATGAGCCATCACGCGCAGCCAATTCACATAACCCTAGTGGTGATGGGAGACTTAGGGAAAAGTGGAAAGCTCTCACGCAAGCCTCAGGCACCAGCAACACCCAGGCTCTACCCAGATGTGCCACGAGAACAGGTGGGAGCCGGGGCACTGCTCCCAAGTGCACATCAGGTGTGAGAAGTGTCTGGGTAGCGTGTGTCTGTGTACATGCATGCATGTACAGTTGGGAGCCACACTCCCGGTGGCTGAAGTCCCAGGTTCTGGACTCACTCAGACTTCTGTTCAAATCCCATCTAAGCCATTGAACAGCTGTGTGACCTTGAGTGAGTGATTTAACCTCAGCCTCAGTTTCCACATCAGTAAAAAGGGAGAAGAGGAGGAACAGGCACCTCCTCAGGGCTGTAAGGATTCACCAAGGTGAGTAAGTGAGGCACTGGCACATGCATGGGACAGGAGTTAAGTGTCCATCATGGCTCGAGGACCAGCTGCAGCCTTGTGCTAAGGCCTTGGGGTGCAACTGGGGGCTCGGCTTGGGCTGGATGACGACTTGGGGGATGTGAGCTTGGGAAGGGATTTGCAGCCTGGTGGAGAAAGCGCCTGGGGCCACATCTCTAGGACACTAGGAGTGGCTCTTCCCCAGGGAGGCTCCCATGACCAGGAGGCGACCCAGGGGAGGTGGGCTCCGGGAGCAAGGTCAGAGCCAGGGGTGACAGCCCCTACTGGAGGCCCGGTCCAGAGCCTCAGGATTTCCCCTTTTGTAGGGATCCCCCCTTCTAGCATGGCCCTCAGTGAGGGGTCAGGGGAGGCATCAGCTCAAGGGCTCTGTGTCATTCTGACCTGGTCCCCTGGGCCTTTCCCCTGCATGGGGATGAGGGTGATGGATCCCGCCCTCCTGAGGGTGCAGCCAGTGGGGACATGACCCAGGCCCTGCCCTCAGCTTCCCGTCAGGTGGGCTTCCCCTCTCTGAGCCCCAGGCACTTTGCCTTGGTGCTGGGGACTTTGAGGGTTGTGGTCCCCCAGCGCCAGCTCCCAACACAGAACATGGAACAGACTCATTCCCGAGGCGCCGCAGCCACTCATGAGGTGGAAGCGAGATTGTGACCCTCGCTGGGAGGCATCTGGCTTTGGCACGGTCCTTTATCCTCATCCTTTATCCACTTGGACGCTCAGTCCCCTCTGCTATGAGATGGGGGAGGGATGTGGACCCCACAGAACTGTTTCCGGACTCAGGAGCACAGGGGCACATAGTGCTGGACACAGGGGACACTCCGTGGCCAGAGCCGGGCAGAGACAGTCTCGAGGGCGGGCTTCCCACCCACCCTAGCCCTCCCAGGCCATGAGTCAGCCGGGACCACCTGTGGAGGCTGGAAGGGGCTGCCAGGGAGACAGGCCGAGCCAGCTGCTCCCACCATGTCGGACCCACTTGGAGACACTGATGATGGCGCATGAGAGGCTCCCACGCGTGGGCTCCTACCAGGATCCCTTCTGCCTGCTGCACAAACAACACAGCCTTCGATCCTCACACGGCCCAGTGACGAGACGCCATGATCATCCCCATTCCACAGAGGAGAAAACTGAGGCCCAAAGAAACACACTCCAAACCAGCATACTCATAGTATCCCCACAGGCCACACACACACTCACACACACATAAAACAGTCATCCCACATGCCACACACACACACTCATAAAATAGTCACCCTACAGGCCACACACACACACATTCATAAAATAGTTGGCCCATATGCCACACACACACCACACACACACTCTCACAGTCACCCCCACACACCACACATACACAAACACACACATAAAACAGTCACCTCACATGCCATGCACACATACTCATAAAACAGTCACCCTACAGGCCACACACACACACATTCATAAAATAGTCGCCCCATATGCCACACACACACTCAGTCACCCCCACACACCACACATACACAAACACACACATAAAATAGTCACCCCACAGGCCACACACACACACATAAAATAGTTACCCCACAGGACACACACACACACTCATAAAATAGTCACCCCATATGCACCCCACACACACACACACACACACACACACACTCTCTCTCTCTCTGTCACTCCACACACCACACACACACCCACACCCACTGTCATAAAATAATCTCCCCACACCACACACCCTCATACAAATGACCCCACATGCCACATATACACACAAATAGTCACCCCACACACCACACACACACACTCATAAGCCACCCACACACCACACACACACGCACACCGTCACCCCACACACCACTCACACACTCATAAGCCACCCACACACCACACACACATGCACACCCATAGTCACCCCACACACCACACACACACATGCTCAGTCACCCCACACATTCATAAAAGTCACCCCACATGCCACACATACACACACACACTCATAAGATAGTCATCCCACACCCCACACACACTCATAGTCACCCCACACGCCACACACACTCATAAAATAGTCACCACACATACTCAAAACAGTCACCTCACACACCACACACAGACACACCAGTCACCTCACCACACTCATAAAATAGTCACCCCACACAACACACAGTCACACTCAGTCACTCTCGCTCTCACACACACTCACACATTCACTCTTACACACATTCTCACGCGCACACACACTCACTCTCACACTCACACACCCCACATTCTTTTCCACCTTTCTCCACAGAGGAGGGACAGAGGCCTGGGCCTGGATGCGGTGATCGAGGGGCTGTGGCCACCCTAGGGGGCTGGGAAACCTGCCCAGCAAGAAGAAGGCAGCGTGGCCAGGGCAGGCAGCCAGAAAGGATCCAAAGCTGGGCTGGGATTTTCCCAGAGCCAAGGGCACTCCTCTGGCCCTGGCAGCCCTGGGACAGGAATACAGGCCAGCTTCTTGTGACACACAGTCTGCTCATTGGTCCCCGGCTCTGGGGCTTGGCCCCTGGGGCTGTTCTGAGTGACCTCACTTCCCCTGGGGAAAAACCATCTTGGTTTCCAGGACTAGTGTGCCTCGGCCTGAGGAACCCCTCTCAGGAAGCGAGAAGGTGGAGAGGCACCAGGAGCTCCAGCTCCCATAGCAGGTGCATCCTGGCTTCTCGGGGCTCCTCTAGGAGCCTGGTGTGTGTCTCCTCACAGCCCAGTAGCCTGGACCTGTCACCTGGGCCTGTTCACATGGACAGACTTGTCCCTCACAGCTGTGCATACCTGGGTCTCTCACCTTGAAACCCTGGACACAGAAACAGGCCAATCTTCTCAATGCTTTGTAAACACACACGGTCCCCTCACAGCCTGAACACGCTCTTGGCCTTGCCCCACAGACTGGGCCTTCATGGCCTCGTGTGCACACAGGCCTGTGCCCTCACAGCCTCATGTGCAGACAGGCCTGTCACCACAGGGCTTGGCCTCTGAGGGCCAGGGCATGAGCCAGGAGGTACATCTGAGTCAGAAATGAAGCCTCATTAACCCAGAATAACTATTTAATGCTTCCACACCCCTGGGAATTAGCCTCAAGGGCTGAACCACCCAAACCAAACAGGGCTGGCCTCCCCAGGGGCCCTCAGGACTGCAGCTTCTGCTCTAGCGAATGCTGGGAGGTGGAGCAGCCATGGGCTGGGAGATCCTGGCCCTCCTCCTGCAGGCTCCAGGCCTCCTCAGATCTCCCAGACCAACATGGCAGAGGCCAGGCCGGGAGGGCTGGGAGGAAGAGCAGAGCTGCTCAGAGAAAGAGGCAAAGATGTTCAGGGTCTAATCCCGCTTGCCTTCTTGGTGGCCTTGGAACCTTGTGCGACTGACTTATCCTCTCTACACTCAGGTTTCCCCATCTGCAAATGTTGATAAGAACAGAACCTATTCAGTGAGAGGAAGTAATTCACAAAATGCAGTGTCCATTGCCGAGCAAACTCCTCCAACATGGGAGCTACAACCGTGTGTGAACAGCTCAAAGTTCTGAGCTGATGCCACAAAAACAACACTGTTACCCAGACGGAAAAGCGTGACCAAGATGACCTGGATATTTGCCTTCTTCCACAAAACAATTTGAGGTCAATTCCATAGCAGCGGTTGTCAATCGACCCTGTTATCATGACTGTCCCCATAAGGAACCCTAGTGTCTCCCTCATCTGTCCTCCCTTTGGAAGAAATACTCAAGAATAAGATTTCATTGAATAGGGTCGAGCTTTGGAGGGCCACAGACTATTGTAATCATTAAGATTTGTTTAAGTGTCAAGGAACCAATTTTGGTCCCATTAGGGGTGATGCTGCCCCTGTTGGGAATGGCCTAGAGATGCAAGTCCAACTTGATCAAAACTAAGCAATGGGGACACAGTATTTAGGAGGTGGCATTTTTTTTTTTTTTTTTTGAGACGGAGTCTCGCACTTTCGCCCAGGCTGGAAGTGGCATTCTTTACATACAGGAGAACGTATTCTGACAGTATGTGCACCGCAGCCACAGGAGACAAATGTATATTGGTGTAGGAGAGAAAATGACAAAAACAAGATAGCATTAGGAGATATACCTAACGTTAAATGACAAGTTAATGGGTGCAGCACACCAACATGGCACATATATACATATGTAACAAACCTGCACGTTGTGCACACGTACCCTAAAACTTAAAGTATAATAATAAAAACAAAAGAGAGTTAAAAAATTCAAGCTGAGGTGGTGGAATTTCTAAAGGTCCTCAATTTTGATGTTCCACTGATTTTTTTTTTTTTTCAGTTAAAGACAGAGAAAAGAGAAAAGAAACAAGGAAGGAAAAGAAAAAGAAAAACCTCAAATAGGTGGTTGTAAATAAAGAGGGGAGAGAGAGTGGCTGTATCAGCAGAAGCAGAGGGGTTATGTCCTGGGAGGGCTGTGGAGTCCCAATCTCAGAGAAAAGCACGGTGTGATCAAGGAGGAGGTAGGACAGCCCCACAGATCTGGATTGAAATCTGCTGGGCAACTGTAGGCAAGTCACTTGATCTCTCTGAGCCTTGGTTCTATTACCTGCTTAACGACAATGAACCAGAAATGACCTAGCCAGCCCTGGCATCTCACATGTACTCAGTAACTGCATCTGTATTAGGTGAACACTTTCTGGAATCTGCCCACAGAACCAGGATCCAAATTCACGTTTCCCAGCTAATTTGGCTAGCTGGCGGTACCTCCAAAACACCTTACGTTTCTTTGCCATTTTAAAAGGAAGGAGAGCATGCCTTCTCAAATATCACCAAAACTGGGTACAAAGAGCCACAGGAATTGAGATCAAGTTGCCAACACTGAAATATCACTGCCACCTGGTGGCAGCATACCTAAATTATTGGGGGGCAATTGTCCAAGGAGAAACACTGTGTCTGAAGCATGCTGTAGACACAGCCAAAGCTTACACCCTGAGAGCAAAGACTACCATTGATCACCTGGCAAGTGGGCCAGCACACACCCAGGCATCTGCCAGTTCCTTGACATCCTGATTTAGGTTTTCTGAAAATTTTTTAAACTGCTTGATTAAATTTAGCAACCATAAATAAACCGGATGCCACCATAATTGAATGCAAACATCCAGGTCTTCATGAGAGCTGCTAGAAACACAGTGATCCCAGTTCTGGACTTGCTCAATCAACTGTCTGAATCCCACATGCAAACCTTAACATTTTTGGGGTGGGGCATGGGGGTCTCACTCTATCACTCAGGTTGGAGTGCAGTGGACCAATCTTGGCTCACTACAACCTCCATCTCCTGGGCTCAAGTGATCCTCCCACCTCAGCCTCCCAAGTAGCTGGGACCACATGGGCGCACCACTACGCCCGGCTAATTTTTTGTATTTTTGGTACAGATGGCATTTTGCCATGCTGCCCAGGCTGGTCTTGAACTCCTGAGTTAGACTACCCGCCTGCTTTGGCCTCCCAAAGTGTTGGGATTACAGGCATGAGCCACCACACCTGGCCAATCCTTGACATTTGAATGTTTCAAGGCCGAGCTTTTAAATCATCTTTCTAGCCAAAGCCTCCTGAAGTCCATTTCTATGCCCATCATGTTGGTTGCCCCTTGCAGCTGTGCAATACTCACAGATTTCACAAATGCTGCCTTCCAGGTGCACGTGTAAGTCACTGTTGAAAATGTGGACCAGGGAAAGGCAGAAAACAGAGCCTTGTGGGATACCGCACCTGACAGCCTTCATTGATACTCATCTTGGCCTCCTTTTAAATAAGGCATTTTTCCCCCAACCTGTCGGGTAGGCAGTGTGTCTCCAAGTACATTCTGCCGTGTCCTGAGCTAAGAGAAAATGCAAGGCTGTCACTTTCTGAGGCCCCACAAGTAAAACACCATGGGGAAGGGAAGAGGTGGTACCCCCGTGACCAACACCGCTCAGTCCTCCCTCTCAACTGCTTTGGCATCTGACCCCCAGACGGTCCCCAGTAGGTGCTGACGAATGTCCCGCCTGTCTTCAGACACACTCGTACCCGGGCACAAAGAGAGACCCAGGCATCAGAGATGTTCTCCCAGTGGATACAGAGCTCTCAGTAGCACCTGCTGATCACACGAGCAGGTGTGCACCACCTTACCTGCTTGGCTGACATCTATGCCTTCCCACTCTACTACATTCAGAAATTTCCAGTACATACAGGTACTGGAAAGGTCGAGCTGAGCCCTGCCTCAGCCCCTTCCTAACGATGGGAGCTTGGACTCCAGTCTGAGCCTCATCTTTCCCGTATGGAAAATGGCAACAACGATAATCATCAACCTTATGCGGTTGTGGTGAGGGTGAAATGGACATGATGAGACTAGCAGAGCTCCTGGCACACAGTAGGAGCTCAAAACACGCCAGTCCTGGCACACAGTAGAAGCTCAGTAAACACTAGTTCTCTTCCCCTTTGCAACCCAACGTGGAGACTCAGCTCAGCTTCTGAGACTTGGCCCCACAGCACAAAGCAAGAGGACCAGTAGCTGACAGAGGAAAGGAGGGGAGTGGCCCTCTCTGGGACCAGGAAAGTAATTATCTGGGGTTGCCTTTCTGCCCCCAACCCTGGCCGTTGGGGGAGCCCCTCTGGAGCCATGAGAGGAATCCTGAGTGTTCCCTGGGTCCTCCCAACACGTGACATGGCACCCAGCTCTGCATGGGGCCAGCTGTTCATCCCCTGTGGCTCCCCAGCTTACTGTAAGGATGACAGCTTATGACACACTGGTCATTCCAGCCATACCCGCTGTGGGGCCAGGGGCCTGTCAAAGCTTGTTCTAAACCAGAAGATCAGAAGACAAGGAGAGACAGGGAGGCAGGGCAGGAATGAGAAGCTGACTGTACGTGCTTCACGCCCTGGTCCTGACGTCAAGGTTTCCATCGCCTGAGCCATGGGGCACAACTCAGGCTCCTCGGGTGGCTGGGGGACCCCTCTTAGAAGATCTGCCCCTGGGTCTCCAAGAAGATGAAGTTCCCTTTATGTGCCAGAAAGCTCTGAACCATCCTATGTAGAGCCAGAATCAGAAAATTAGGCCACAGAATCCGACAACTGAAAATCAGTGAAGACTACAGAAATAGGGCTCAGGATTTTGAATCTCTGTTAAGTTTACACTTGGCACAGCCTTTGGAAGTTACTTTCAACTAAGCATCTTGAGCCCCTGAAGTCCAGCCTCCCCGGCTGGACTCCCCTCAGGGTCGCCCTCACTCTGAGAGCAAGCAGTTCTATGATCCTTTTGAAGCAGGAAAACAGCTATAGGGTTTGAGAACACCAGGGCGAGAATGCTATTTCAGCACTGCAGGGGACAGGAATTGAACAGCAGAGGACGAAGGGCCAGGGGCTCTTAGGTAGGGGAACAAAGTTCCTCAGCTGAGCCATCTGGAAGGCATGAGTTCTCCACTTTCATGCCTCTGGGTGACAGATTGGCTTTAAGCCATCGCACCACTGCCTGAGTCGCTTTAAACAAGCAACCGAGTCAGTACTTACCTTCCATTGCAGAGAATGGAACCACTGGTCTCGCAGGTAGCTATTGGCAGCCTGTAACGACAAGAACAGGACAGCAAGGTCCGGTCATCAGCTTGCGGCATCTCAGGGCATTTCAAGGCCAGCATGTGAGCCCCCAAGCCTGCTCTGTAGACAGCGTCTGCCCTGTGACCCTAACAAGCCTGCTGAAAGATATGCTAAGCTGAGCCTGTTGTGTGCAAAACCAAAACAGAAGGGCTGGTCAGGGAGGATTTCCTAAAAACAAGACATCACTAGCACCGTGTGCTTCCTTTGCTGTATATGAGTGACTTCAGACACTGCTGACTTGAGAGCTTTAACTGCACACACAGCTGGACTTAGGGGCATGGGAGGGAATGGGATGAACTGGTTGGAGGCCTGGGAGTGAGGATGGTGGGGGCTGGCTGGGGGCCTGTGTATGAGGACTGTTCTAGGAACTTGGCTTTTGTTATCCACGTAGTCTCTCCTTGGTCCTCACAGCAGCCCTATGAGGTGGCACCTATCATTATGCCCATTTCACAGAGGGAAAAATCGAGACCCTGAGATCTCACAATGAAGTGCATTCAGACCCAGGGTAGCCTGGCTTCCAAGTCTGGGCATTTAACCATGACCTTCTCCTGCCAATGGCAGAAGATCATGGTAAACGGCACCCAGCAGACCTAGGCTAAACATCACAGCGGGTGAAACAAAACCTTCTCAGCTCCACCCCACACTAGCTGTGAGTCTTTGGACATCTCAGCCTCAATTTTCCCATCTGTAAAATGGGGACAATAACCCTGATTTTCCAGGGATGTTTTAAAGACCAGAAATTATTCTTGTAGAGCATCTAGAACCAGGCTTGGCACATGGCAGGTGGTCAGAAATGCAGCCATCGTTATTATTATTGTTATCATTACCATTGCCATCATCCAGTCCTTTCCAATAAAATGCAGCCCAAGGCAGCCCTCCCATCCCTCATGAGTATCACTGCGGCTCTCACCTCCTTTCTCGGTCTGCTAACAGAACAGTAATGCTATGGTGTTTCATGGACGCCAGACACAGCTCTGAGTCCTGTGTGTGGACTGGCTCATTCAGTCCTTACAAGACAGCCCTGTGAAGTCGGTACTGTCATCTCATGGTACAAATGAGGAAACTGAGACTTTGGAAGTTAAAAACTTTCCTGAGTGTTCACAGACATGTGGTGCGGGGCCAGGAATTGAACCCAGGTAATCTGACCCCTGCTGTAAACCACAACACCGGACCATTCTGAGTTCCCCATTGGCTACCCCTCCACCCCAGGCTGGGCCGAAGTGCAGCGTGCGTTCCCCACCAGAACCCACAACCCTCTCTCCAAAGTGACCCTGCCTCTGACGGTTCAGGGGGTCTGACGAAGGCTAGAGTCTCTCTCCAAGCACGAACATCCACCTTCTGCCTCGAGGCACACAAACGCGCACACACACACTCAAGCATGTAACCGCTTTGTTTCACCCTTGTTCGAGGAGATCCGGATCACGCTACAGGTGACCACCTCCCGCTCCCCAAGTCATCTACGAAACATCAGCTGCTCTCCGAGGTCAGGGTCTGGAGCAATCTCTGGCCTTGCATAAATGATCCATTCCAGTAGCAAGTGTGGTGAGGACTCAGGCTCTGGTGAGTGAGCTCAGGGACTCAGAGTTTTGAACCCTGGACTGCACGAATCCACACCAGCCACCCTGATGCTGGTGGAGCTTGAGTCTACCCAAGTGCAAAGCAGGCAGGAGGCAAGCCCTCCGTGTGACACAGGAACTCCGACAAGGGCTGAGCCTCTTACAGGTGCAGGTTCAAGTCTCGGCTCTGTCGTGTCTAGTGGTGTGACTGCAGCAAGTTGCTTGACGACCCAAGCCTGTGCCCCCTGCCCAGAGTTGCGGAGGCCAAGGAGGAGAAACAGCCCCCTGGAGAGACTGTTGCTGAGCTCCCTCCCATCAGCACTGCCCAAGCTCTACTGGTCTTGTGACAATTCCTATTCATTAGGATGACAAAATACACCCTGCTCGGGGAGAGCTGTGCGAAGATCCCAAACAATGAGCTAATCCATGAAAAGTGCTTCCTCAGCACGGTGCCTGGCACGTGCAAACACTCCACAAACAGGGGCCAGCAGCGTCAGCAGCCACGGCCAGGTCTGTGCTGATAAATGCTTAACATCAGGCTCTCTGGAACAACAAGCCCTGATCCCGGCGTGTGCGGATTTCTGTGTTGTGAACAATCCCATTTTGGCTGATTCCACACCTTCAAGGGGATGCCCCTGGGCCAGAGCTGGGGAGAGACGGGCACGATCAGCTCTGGTGGGCAGGTGCAAGCTGGGATGAGCTGGCTCCAGGGCATGCCTGGTCCACATCCATTCCTGTGCTTCCTCACACACCAAGGGGGCCAGAGAGAGAAGGAGGTGGTAAGGAAAATAAAGCCCCCTAAACATGTTCCATCCTAAATCCCTTGTGATTAAGTTATCCTGCGTGGCAACGGGACTCTGGATGTGACCAAGTTCAAGGTCTTGAGATGGGGATGATCTAGGTAGCCCAATGAAATCACAAGGGTACTCACAAGAGGGAGGCAGGAGGGCAGAGTCAGACTAAAGCAGAGGTCAGAGTGATGTGGCCATGAGCCAAGGAATGCGGACAGCCTTTAGAAGCTGGAAACGAATTCTCCCCGAGAGCCTCCAGAAGGAACATAGTCCTGACACCTTCGTTTTAGCCCCATGGGACCTGTGTTGGACTTCGGACCTCCAGAACCATAAGAGACTAAATCTGTGTTCTTTTAACCACAAAGTTAGGGGCAAGCAGTCACAGCAGCAATAGGAAATAAAAGCAGGAGGTACAACCAGGTTGGTATAACGCGGATGTGAGTTGTTCCACTGGCTCTGAGGGTCCACAGTGGACCCAGGCAGTGCCTGTAAGCTGCCACCGGCTGGACGGAACGGCCAAGCAAAGACAAAAAGAAGGTGGAGGAGGACAACCACATCCCTCCCTCTTCTGTGTCCACTGGCCCCGCCAAAGTGCCCTGTATATATGTGTGACCCTAAGAGGGAAGGGGCCACGCATGCTCTACCTACCACTGTATCCTGTGGCCTGGAGCACCAGGAGACCAACAGGTGTTTTCTGAATGAATGAACAAAGGAATGAATGGACTAGGAGTTCCTTGAGGGCAGGGTCTTATTTCTGATTCCACAGCTAGGTGAGCAGTGCCTGGCTGGGCCAGAGCTGGTTACACTGGAACGAATGAACACAGAAACAAAGGAAGAAAGAGGAAAGTGACCCAGGTGTCACAGGTGGTAGAGAATGACCAGAGGAGACTCCCTTCCCCAGCCTCTGTAGCGAAACCCAACACAGACCGTCCTCCACGATGGCTAGCCCAGCCCTTCCCATCTGGGGTCTCCCTGGCTCATGAGTCTTAGGGGGCCTTCCAGCCCTCCTCAACAGTGTGTGAGCCAGTCCTCTGGCTTGGCCAGGCAGAGGTTCTTGCCCAGGACTCTGGATCTTGGGCAAGTGCTATGGAGATGGGGCAGGGAGAATTCACCTGGGAGGAGCTGGGTCCTGCCCTGCACCTTCCTGCACTGGTGGTGATGGGACTACCACCTGCATGCCCCGACCCCAGCTCCAGGCCATTCTCCAGGCTGCCACCGTTCTTCTAGTACATTCCTTTCCTGCTTGGGATGGCCAGATCCCATTTCGGCTGCCGGCACATGAGAGCCCTGAGGGACCTGCAGGGCCTACTGGCTCTTGGCCCCTTCTTCCTTTTCAAAGTGGACATTCTGATGTGTTTGCCCCGTAGGCATTTTTACAGAAGGAACCAGCATTTCCACAACTGTGGCTTCTCCTGGTCACACCGTTGGTGCTCCTGGCGTCTCCTCTGCCCCGAGCTCACATCCAGATGGTTCTGGCCCTGCCAGACTGGGTCCGGCCCACTGCTGAGTTGTTGGCAGGGATGGCTGACAGATCTCTCCTCCTGGGCCCCAGCTGCCTGGCCTGGCCACGCCCCCTGTGACTTCCTGCTGAGCTGCAGGAGCCTCCAGTCTTAGCTGGGTCCTCGTAGCCTGCCTCTCACAGCAGCACTTGATGTCTAAAGGCCTGGGACGGATTTCTTCAGAGCCACTGACCACAGACACTGCTACACATCAGTCTCTTCTCAGCCCCATCCTTCCAGGCAGAGCCATCTGGGTTTCCAAGCCTTTCCTCCCATAGGAGGGTGTGACCCCCTTCCCCAGCCACACTTGGCTTTCTGGCCACTTCTGTTCCACTCTGGGATCCTCTCAACTCTTGGAGGTCGGTGTGGCAGTCCAGGAAGAAGGCAGGTTTCGGTTCAAGAAGGCAGGTTTAGTTTGCAGATCCCAGCTAAACAGGTATGACACAGGCTGGCGAACTAAGTGCGATGACGCATGTCACTACCAACCACAGACCACGGGTGCTTACTCGGTACCAGGCACCACGAGAAATGCTCACACACACCTCCTCTCCTCCTCAACGCACCCATCTTACAGATGAGGAAGCTGAGGCTCGGAGCAGGCAGTGGGGTGCCTCTGCACACTCCGGCGCCTGCCCCTGCCCTCCCCACACCTCGGCCAGGACCCCATCCCTCCTCCGCTCTCCTGAAGCTTCTGGCGGCCACTTCTTCAAGCCCTCGGCCCACACCCTGAGGCTGGCTGGGTATTTATGTCCCACCCACAGGATTGGGAGAGGAGGCAGGATCCACGTAGGATTAACTGCGACTGCTCCAGTGAGCCTGGTGTTAAAAAAAAAAAAAAAAAAATACAGCTGAATGAATTAATGACATGTAAGGCAAGGCACAGAGATGCCGGGCTGAGGACAGTCTCGATGCGGAACTCTCCTGCGCCTCCTTCCAGGGAGGCAGAGACAGCCAAGATCTCCCACCCACCGCGCCCGGCTCCTTCTGCCCCAGTGCGACGAGAAGGAAAGCTGGCCGTGGTCCCCTCCCCACCCCCGTTTAGGCTGGCTGCACTTTGGAAGAAGGCAGAGGCTTCAGCCATGTTTGTCCACGGTAACAATGAGCATCTTTCCATCAGAAGCCAAAGGGAGTTTAAAGATCACCTGATTCAGGGGGGTTTATGGACCCCTTTGAGAACCTAAAACAAGCTATGGACTCACACCCATGTAATGTCAACATTTATGCACACACACAAAGACACATACACCACACACACACCATACACACACACACCAGTTACACATGCACACACACGACACACAAGGACACATACACCACACACACAGACACATACACACCACACACATACACACACCATACAGTTACACATACACACACACCACACAAAGACACATACACCACACACACAGACACACACACTATACACACACGCACCATACAGTTACACATGCACACATACCACACACAAAAACACATACACCTGCACACAGACACACACACCACACACACACACCACACACACAAATACACATACACCACACACACACCATACAGTTACAAATGTACACACACCACGCACACACACACACACCATACACCACACACACACCATACACACACCATACAGTTACACATGCACACATACCACACACACAAAGACACATACACCACACACACCATACACACACACCAGTTACACATGCACACACACCACACAGCCACATACCACGTAGACACATACACCACACACACAGACACACATACACCATACACACATACACACCATAGTTACACATGCACACACACCACACATACACGTACCACATACACCACACACACATGCACACACATCACACAGACATACATACACACACACCACAGACACATACCATACACACCTCATACACACAAAGACATACCACACAGACACACACCTCACACAGACACACAGATACACATGCACGTACACCATATACACACAGAGACATCACATATAGACACATACACCACACACACACGTCACATATCACACAACACACCACACACATGCACACACCACACACAGAGATACACACTATGCACACCACATATAGACACAGGACACACACACATGCACATACCACACACACATGCACACACAGAGATACATGTGCATACACACCGTATACACATATACATACCACATATAAACACACATATCAGGCACACACATGCACACATACCACACACACCACAGACATAGACACATACACACTCACAGAGACACACATGTGTACGCACACACATGCAGACATACCATACACACACACACACACATAAACCATACAGACATACATACACACACACCACAGTCCCACACGCAGGACTGTGCAGGTAGTTTTGGAATCTACCATGGACCACGGCTTAAGGACCCAGGTCTAACCCAACCTTTCCTCCACTGCCACATTTCCACTGGGGAAACCAATGCATATACCACACACACACCCAGACTTGCTGGGGTCATCATTTGTGTCATTTCCAGGTCTCTTCCCTCCGGGCTCCTGGCAAGCACACAGGCCAATGCAACGAGCTGATGTCATGCTGAAGTGACCCGTGGCCCGCGCGTGGGAGCCCCTGAGAACCCGTGCACCGCTTGGCACACTCCCTTCCCCCACTGGCCCATGGTGGACACACAGCACAAGTTAGAAACAATGCCGTGCCGCTTCCAGCCACCTAGAATGCGTGGTCGCTGGTGACTGTGGCAGCACCTGGCCTGCCCTGCTCTCAGACTGGCTTCCATGCAGCGTGTACTCCCCCACCAGGAACATTCTGCTGTCACCCCCTTCTCTCCGCTGCCCGCTGGACTCCTACTTACACTTCAGGTCCCTCCTGAAATGCCACTTCTCCAGAATGACTGTCTTGATGGTGCCTTCCCCTCCCCATCCCCAACCAAACCAGGCCAGAATGCCTCGCCTAACGCATCACACTGTCCTGGAATCGCCTGTCTAGTTGTCCTTCTTCTGCAGGCTATGGGCTCTGGGAGGTCAGGAACCACGTCTGACTTAGGCACCACTGTGTCCATGAAACCCGGAGAAATGTTTGTTAAGTGAAAGATTGGTTGAAGTGTTGAATGAATGAATGAATTGGATAGATGGAGACATGGATGGATGGAAAAACAGATAAGACAGATGGACAGTCTGATGGATAAATGGATGGGTGGGCGGATAGATGGATGGATGAATGGGGCATTCATATACCCATTCTGCTCAGCGAAGAAAGTCCACACACAACAGACCTTCAAAAGAACTCTTCAGCTCTGATTCCCTCTCTTCCCCAAACTGTATTTGACTAAGACTCTAAAAATGATCATGGCAGTGTTTTCTTGAACACCTACTAAGTACCAGGCACAGTGCTAAGTATTTTACATGTAATATCTACGAGCCTCACAATATGCAAGGAGACAAGTATTAGAGTGCGTTTCACAGATAAATTAAATGAGCCCCAGAGAGGTTCTTCCTGCTGTTTAGGGTTCCACAGCTAGAATGTGGTAAAACCTAGGGTTCCATGGCTAGTTAGAGTCTAAGGATCCAGAGCTAGTGCCCAGGGAAGTTGGGCAGGAACTCAGGTCTGTCTGACCCCACAGTCTTCCCTCCCTGCAATCCAGCCCTGGAACATGAAGCAATGCATCTGAGCTCCTCTGGATTCCCAGGACTTGGGTTGGGACATCCGTGAGCATTATTTCTCCATGGTAGCTGCCCTACTGATGAAGCAGGAGGAGGAAGGATGTGGCACGCAGGAGACCTCACCTTGAAACTAAGGGAAGCGCCAGAACTTGCCTCTAGGAGAGCAGGTGGAGGCTGATGGAGCCAAAAAGGTTGGGACAAGGCCGGACTGTAAACTGCTCGTTCCTTTGGCTTGTCTACTTTTGAAGGAGGACATACGCTGCTAGGCAATGTCTTGAGTCCCAGCACAGGCATCTCTAAGGGGCTTCCAAGCAAAGGGAAAGCTGACCAGGCTGCGTTCCAGCTGGGGGAAGGGTCACGCTTCTGTGCAGAGTCCCCATACTGTCCTGCTGGTGGCTGAGCCAAGAGAACTCAGCCCAGTGGGAACATAAGGCATGGCTGGAACCCCGAGGGTCACTCTGAGGAGAATCCATTCAGACCTGGGAAAGGTCCCCCAGCCCAACCCTGAGGGTCACTCAGAGGAGAATCCATTCAGACATGGGAGAGGTCCCCAGCCAGACCCCAAGTCCCCCGGAAGCCTGCGGGCAGCTGGTTCCAGGCTTCCGACTTCTGGTGTTAAATCTTTGGAATGCTGAAAGGGCCTGGTTCCAGGCAAACGCTGCCCAATTTCCTCTCCCAAACTTGCCAAGTTCTTTCTCATTGTTGCATTGTCTTGAGAGGTGAGAAAAACAGCCCAGGGTGCGCTGTGAGCGACCTTTTCCAAGCTCCCCTTCCCCGGCCCAGTTTCTTAGGGAAAAGGAGCTTCCTTTCTTACTGGAAGCTAGAGAGTGAGACCTTTCTGGTGCTTTCCAGACCGGAAAAGTCCTGCTTGCTACCTTCCAGTAAGAAAGGAACCCACCCCGTCCCTGCCCTGCTGCCAATGTTTGGGGTAAACAGTTGCCCCGCCTCCTGCAGGACTTTCCAGAACATTGGTGAGAAGAGCCGAGTCCCGGAACCCATCCCCGAAAGAAGCAGACACTCTTGGGAGGAGGGTCTCCCTGCTCTTATCTTGCCTGAAGCCTTGTTTGTGGAGCAGCGGCTCTGTCTAATTTTTGCTGATGGGCAGCCACTCAATTTTTAGGCAGAATCCCCCAGAAGATGATCTGCGCCGCGCTGCTCTTTAATGCCTGCTACCCCATCCCAGGGGCCAGTGACAGCACCTTCAGGACGTTTTCATGACACTGTCTATGTACTTACATGCTTGGCCTCCCCACAATGAAATGCTAGCAGAAAGGGCATCAATGGAGGAAATGGGATAAACAGGCCCTTTCTGCAACGAGGGATTCTAATAACATGGCAGTGAGGGAGCTCACGCTGAAAACACAAAGCATCCAAAACACACCAACTGGACCCACGCTGGAAGGCTGGGCGCCTCTGTCTGCCAACTCAACCTGCTGGTAGATTGCTCTGTCTCTGAGCTGGGGATGAGGGGCATGGGCCTGAATGTCCTCTCTGCCTTCCTTGAAGGATCAGGTCAGCTCCCCGAGGTCTGCAAGAGGCATTGATTCAAATTCTAACAAAGTAAGAGTTTTACAAAGAGCTCCTTAGAAGACAGAGAGAGCGGAGGAGGAGGAAGAGAAGAGGGGAGAGACACACAGAGAGGACTGGGGGACAGGCTCAGAGGTGGTGAGAGGCCTGGAGGAAGGACCTGCAAGAGAAGCCCAGAGTGAGCCACAGCAAGGACTAAAGAGAGAGAAAGAGGAGAGGCAGGAGGGGACAGAAGGGGAAGGAGGGGAGAGAGATGGAGAAAAGGCATGAGAGAGAGGAAAACAGACACACATGGATGCAAAGAACCTGAAAGAGACAGAGATGGAGAGAGATCAGGCAGGCTGGGGTAGGGAAGGGGCACTAGCCCTCTTTGGGCCCCGCCATTCCCCTTGTCTGTAGAGAGAATGGCTGTGCTGTAATGCAGCAGGGTGCAGACTGCATTACAGCACAGCCAGACTGCAAGATCGAAGAGCCCCCTGTGATCTGACGTGATTCGCCCCAGGAGGGGCTCAGGTGCCTGCAGTATGAGGTCAAAATGAAAAGGCCTCGAGGTCAGCACTGCTCCACAGAACTTCGTGTGTCAATGGAAATGTTCTTTATGTGCGCTGTCCAACACAGCAGCCTTTGGCCATGTGTGGCCCCTGGCCACTGGAGGTGTAGCTAACGGGACTGAGGAACTGTGTTATTAATTTGATGAGTAAATTAAATCCATCTGTGGGCTGCCATGCGTGGCTGCTGGTGGCTGTGCCGGGCGGCACCATTTAAGGCACTTTCACTCATCTGCTGACTAGGAGCACTAAGGTAATGCCGTTCAGATGGGCACCTGGCTGTTTCTTGGTCCCCTCTCCCACCCTGGAGCAGGGAAGATCTGTCCCCAGGGCCAAAGGGGTTGTTCTCTGTGACACCACGGCTCTGGGATCTAATACAGTATGTTGTATGTGAATCAAGACAAAGTACAGCCTCTCAAAGCAGAGGGTCCTGCCACCCGTCACAAAAGGCACGTGAATACAACCAGGACTGAAGAAAGCCCTGAGTACCACACCAGGGGCCAAGTGCACCCCGCCCCAGCCTCCCTAGAACCACACAGACTCGCTAGCCCTGTTTATAGAATGAGCCAGCTACATACCACCCATGCATCACGGTGGGCAGAGTGTGGGGGTGAGGATGAGAGGGAAGCAAGGGAGAAGCCGATCCAGGTCTACCTCCCCTGACGGAAATGGCAGCCAGGGAGAGAACCACAGCCGCCAGGGGCAGGGGCTGCACCCACCTGGGTTCCCCTTGGGGGAAGGGTTGGGAGGCCGTGTCTGCTGCTCCCTCATTAGCTCGGAGTCCGGCTCTGGATCTGAGGAGTTGCAAGCCGCCTCCTCCTCCTCCTTTTCCTCTGCTTCCTCCTCTCCTGCTCCTGCCTCTGACTGCGCTGTCCACGGGATCAGGGGGCAGTGAGCAAGTGGGATGCTGGAGCAGCTAGAGGCTCCCCGCCCGCTCGGCTCCTCAGCACCACGGCGGCAGCTCTGTCCTGAAGCCCTGCCAGACACGGCGGCCAGGCGAGTCATCACAGCTGGGCCCGCGGCCACAGCCGGGTTAAAGGGACATTCCAGGCACTGCTTCTCTGCTTTTCAGCCTCACTGCCCCTCCATCCCTGTGGCGAGTGATGCTCTGGCCTCCTTTGGAGGCCAGGGCTGCCCCTCCAGCCCCAGAAGGAATGAGGCCCCTTTGCTGGTGGAGCAGGAAAGTGGAGGCTCAGGGCCTCCTCTCCTCCAACTGGAATGTTTCAAGGGGCTCCCTCCTGCCTCTCTGTCATGCACAGATCTAGGCCCCTCTGCCCTGCCACCACACTGATTCCTCTAGTGTCCCTCTACCCCTTCAGAGCTTTCAGTGGCTGCCTATTGCCTTTGGAAGAGGGTCTGAGGCTTCTTCACTTGGCTGGCAAGGCCTGGGTGATCTGGCCATCGCCCAACAGATCTAGACATATCCACAGCCCCAAACTCCATCTCTCCATCTCCTCCAGCTGCAGCAAGTACCCAGGTCCCCCATATTCAGGCTTTGCACACACATCCCCTCTGCCCGGGGAGTGTGCCCCCACCCCACCATTCTGGCACACTTCTACTCATCCCTCTACACCCAGTTCAAATGCCCCCTGTCTGGGGAGCCTGCTTTGGCCCCCCAGGCCAAATAAGTTCCTCCTTCTCTGGGCTCCCAGTCCTCCACGGTTGCCTCTAATTTAGCCATTATTTCCGTAATCATTTGTTTATGGCTCTGTCTCCCCAGGGGCTGAGGGGCTCTTCACGCATGGGGCCTCCCCGAGCACAGGGGAGAGGCTGCCTCAAAGCTCTGTGACTACAGCAAAGTCATTGGGGTAGGACAATCTCTGGCTACCCTACCTCTCCGTTGGCCACTGAACCCTGTGATTGCCCGCCCCATCTCCCCCGCCGAGGGGGGCTGGCACTGACCACCCCCTTCATGGACTCTGTGCTGCAGCCATCGGATGGGCAAGAAGGAGCGAGTGAAGAGGCAGAGGAGCTGGCAGAAGTGTCTGGCAGGAGGGTGACACTGACCTCTATCATAAAGATGAGAGGAGAGAAAGAAAGAAGAGGAAGGCTTTGCTGGCTGTGGTGGGGAGGGGGGGAGGGACAGTGTGGGGGTGTGGGGACAGGGTTAAAAGAAAAGCGTAGAGGGCAGAGTGTGAGAGATTCACTAAGAAGAAAGCAGACTGGGGCAGGCGTGGTTTCCAGAGTCCTCTGAGAGATGACAGTAAGAAACAGGACATTTCTAACAATGCTAAGTTGTTACGCTCCGCTACTGAGCTCAGCATTCCTTGGAGCCCAGACTGGGTGACTCTCAGCCCAATGCTGTTACACAATCCAGTGGCTGCTAGATCTAAAATAGGTTTTTAGAAAGCATCTCTTTGGGCTAAGAGAAGGTTTCCCTGGAAAAACAAGTTAGGAATAAAATGATCCCAAAAGAAAAAGCAAGGCAGGTCTTCTTCCCACTGATAAGAGAGTAAATTTTCTCTAGATGAGGGGTTTCAGACTCGGGGTTCCTTCTGAAAATTGGCTGGCTCCCCTGACATGATGTAACATGTCTTATGTATGTGTGACCGTGGTCGTGGTTTTTGTCAGTCACTTCTCCATTCTTGGTGGACGCACCTCACCGCCTCTGTGTGGTCCTGGTGGGGCTACCAATCCGAGACCTGGGCCTTGCCTGAGGTCAAGGGTGGGCGGGTAATCCGGGGGAGTGAATTCCTGGGGGCTGAATGGGAACACGGCAGAGCCAATCAGGATCTTCCATGAGATTTTGTAAAAGGTACTGGAAAGAAAAAGGGCGCTCACTCTTAAGGATTACAGCCTCTAAGGATGTGGCTTTGGGCTGCAGGTGGGTCATCTTTCCTACCACATGGTGAGATTCTGCCAATGAAGCCAGCACACAGAAGCACAGCCAGGAGATGGAGAGAGAGATGCCCAATATTAATGATGTCATCTGACCCCCGGATCCAGCAATGCCTGAAGTCCCCTCTAAGGCTTCCCAGTTACTTTAATAGTTAATTTAATAGTTAACAGCATTAAACTCTCTTTTTGTCTCACTAGTTGGAATAATGTTTGTGCCATTTCCAACCAAACGTCCTGACCAGTACATACAGAATGCACTTTTTTTCCCAAAAAGATAGCTTATACTTCTATCAGCCTCAAAAGACTTAGATCAACAAGATATCAGAAACTCCCTCACTCAAAGTAATGCAAAAAGTCAGTATCTATTGCTCATCTGCTTTTCACGGCCTTCTTGGGCCTAACAACTCACCTGTGTGCCTCAGTTTCCTCATCTGTAAAATGGGGATCATAAAACTTATTTATCAGGTTTATTAAGGGAAACTAAATGAGCAACCTGAAAAGTTCCTAGACTGCAGCAGGTGTGCAGGAGACGCTCAGGCCATGCACAGTCCTTTTCGTTTTCTCCAGTCAGACCTGGTTTACAGCTTTCTTATACTTGGGGAATAAAATCACCCAAAGTTAAACAACCTTTCCTCTTGATAGCTGCTGGCTCCCTCCAAGGGAAACGAGGGGCACAAGTGCATGAAGATGAGGGAGAAGAAACTGCTTGTTCATGTTTATTTCTCCTACCTGCAGTAAGACAGTTCCCCCAGGAATCGTGAGCTGTAAACAGTACTTCGGGGCATTCTCCCAGGACAGCAGCTGAACGTCTTCAATTGCGCTGTAGGAGACTGAGTTTTCCATGTACCCAGTTGGCTGCAGCAAAAAAAGAAAAAGAAGAGATATGCATTGGTTACAGTAGCAGGCATGACGTCCGCATCTCAGACGGTTTTGGAAACATCGCCCCTCTGGCGACAGGCAAATGGAGCTGGTGCAGGAGCTCAGCACCTCTGGTGACCAAAGCAAGCCTCCCTGTTTCTGGCTGGCCATATCCAGCTGCAAGGGGGTTCACTGTAAAACTCCACCCACACGTTTGGAGGTGCAGAGTTAGGAACAGAGTGGGAGCAGCTGGAGGGCAAGAACTGAGGGACTGCTGCTCTTGGTATCCGCGGGGCCAGCGCAGGGAGTGGCTGGAAGCCCGCCATCCCTCACCAGCAATAAGCCACCACCTTCTCCTGCCCAGAAAGCACCGATTTCTCTTCTCCCTCTCCCCACGGATATGCATCCTCCACTCGGCCTCCAGAGCCACGTTCCAAGATGGAAAACTCCATAGCCCCACCCTCCTCCTCAACATTCTTCAATGGCTCCCAATGGCCCGGCCACAAAATCCACACTCCCATCCACAATCGACAGACCCAGCGGGGTCTGCTCTCCCTATGCGCCCAGTCCCGCCTCTCGGCGGCATCTCTCCCTTTCCACACTCCTCACACTGCCCTGATAACAGTGCCTCAAACTCAGCCGGCTCCTTGTCCCAGAAAGAGCACAGCCCCACCCCTGGCATCTGCGCTTCTACTCTCCAGGTCTCATCTCAACTGCACTTTTCGGGGAACTCCCACCCTCTAGACTCATGACCCAACCTGCTTGCACCCTTCCCTGTGCCCTCCTTTTCCGGTGCTCACCACACCCTATTTATTTGTGGCTTTATTCTGTGTCATTATCTGTTGGATGTCTGCCTCCTGGCCAGGCTGCTAGCTCCATGAAGTCAGGGCCTAGGTCTGTCTTGGTTCCCACTCTTTCCCCAGTGCCTGGCTCATGGCAAGTGCTCAATAGCATGTGTTGAAAAGAATGAGAAACGCTATTAGTATTGGTCATTGTTGGGAGTAGGGGCGGGGCAAGATAAATCCACAGCCACCCACCACTCTCTGAGTGAGTCTTGCTGTCCCGAGAAGGCACCAGGTGACCGAGGGATACAATGGCCACCAGGAGCCAAAGCGGGTGTCCTTGTCACTTTGGCTCCAGGAAGCCAGACTTCAGGAGAATCAGGTGAGTGCAGCACAGCTGAGAAGAATAACAGCGAACACCTCCCTGGCTCTCCCATGCACCCTGGGCACATGGCAATCATTTAATCCTCACACAGGTCTTGTGGAACAGGTATCAAGGTCATCCCATCATATAGACAAGGAAGCTGAGGCTCAGGAGGTCACGTGATTTGCCCAAGGTCATCTAGCTAGGAGTGGCATGGCCAAGACTGAACTCGGCCATCTGACTCCGGAATCAGAAGCCTGACCTCTATCCTGTGTTCCAAGAAAGAGGCAAAGGCAATTCAAAGTCTAAGGCCCAACAGGTTAATTCTACCATAAAGATGGAGGACTTCTGTTAGGTTTGTTAATTTCAGTATCTGTCTGCCAAACGAGAGTTATGGTGATGGGGGTGGAGGTAGAGAGGGTTGATGGCTGAAGCTGCCTCAATTTCCCTGATGTGATCAATTGCTAGGCTCAAAAAGTACAAAAGATTGATCAATTCATTTTTCATTCATTCCTTCATTCATCTGACAGACATTTACTGAACTTCCGTTATGCTGCAGGCGCCATGCTAGGTGCTGGAGATTCAGCAGTGAATAAGACAGGAGCTTAGTGGGCAAACAGACAACAAACAAAATATCTAAATAAATAAACTATTGGAGAGTGGCAAGGGCCGCATAAAGAATCACAATGGGGTGTCATGACAGGTGGCCGAGAGCAGGAGTAAAGAGTGTCACAGACCCCACGGCCAGTGCAAAGGCTCAGAGGTGGGAACAGCTGGGAGTGTTCAAGGAGGAGCAGAAGGTGAAACGGAGGGAGGGCTGGGTAAGCGATGCGTTGGAGAGAAGGGTGGGTCACTCCTGGAGAGGCTGGTAGGTCCACCTAGGGGCTCAGGGATTCCTCCCAGGGGTTTGCAGGAGCTTTAGCCAAGGTTCACAGGGATTGCTGCATAGAAAACAGACTTGAAAGGAGACAGTGGTGGCAGGGGGACAGCCTGCAGGCTGCTGCACAGGTCCAGGTGAGCGACAAGGCTGCCTGGACCCCACAATCTAGGGGAGGAGGCAGCTGCGTTCATCCTGTCCTTTCCACCACTGCATCGCTCACCCCTCAGAGGACCCCCTGGCCCCCAATCCCGGCGGCTGCCATGTGTCACCCAAGAAGGTTCTCTTTATGCAGCGTGCCTCAAAGTCACACTCGTGGGCCTGCCCTTCACTGTTCTGGCCTGTTCCAGCATCCCGTGCACTGTTCTGTTCTCCCTATTCTGCAGTAAATGACTCAGCCCTAACAGTATGTCTTGTCCTGAGCACTGCCGGAGAAGCCAGGGCTTGGTGGTTGGTTCTGTACTTCTTTTCCTCACCCATATTCAAATATTTATTGTGTTGGTCACTGATTGTCTGTGTCCCCTGCTACTGTTTATATACTGTGGGAACAGGAGGGTTCACCTGCTGTTTCATATGCCTAAATGGCGTCTGACATTTAGGAGGTGATTACTAATTTCCTGACAAATTAATGACTATCTTACAAAAATAAAGGCAACTTTCATCCGTGTTTTAACTGTAAGCACCACCCACAACACACTGGACAGAGGCTTTCTGAGTCTACCTTTCACATGCCCTGCCTTAGCTGTCTTAACGTGGCTTTGATCTGAAGTTGCAACCAAGGCTTTTTAGGGAAAGGTTGGGTATAAATAAATACATACTGTTTTTTTGTTTTGTTTTGTTTGAGACGGAGTCTTGCTCTGTCGCCCAGGCTGGACTGCAGTGGCGCGATCTCGGCTCACTGCAACTTCTGCCTCCCGTGTTCAAGCAATTCTCTGCCTCAGCCTCCCGAGAAGCTGAGATTACAGGCGCCTGCCACCATGCCTGGCTAATTTTTTTTGTATTTTTAGTAGAGATGGGGTTTCACCATCTTGGCCAGGCTGGTCTTGAACTCCTGACCTTGTGATCCACCTGCTTCGGTCTCCCAAAGTGCTGGGATTACAGGCATAAGCCACCGCAGCCGGTCCTTTTTTTTTTTTTTTTTTTTGAGACAGAGTTTTGCTCTTGTCACCCCGACTGGAGTACAATGGTGCATTCTCAGCTCACTGCAACTTCCGCCACTCGGGTTCAAGCGATTCTCCTGCCTCAGCCTCCTGAGTAGCTGGGATTACAGGCGTGCGCCACCACGCCCAGCTAATTTTTCAGTATTTTTAGTAGAGATGGGGTTTCACCATGTTGGCCAGGCTGGTCTCGAACTCCTGACCTCAGGTGATCCTCCTGCCTCGGCCTCCCAAAGTGCTGGGATTACAGGCGTGAGCCACCACACCCAACCCATACTGTTTTTAAAAAGCAGACAAGCTGCATGCCTACTGCCTGAAGCAGCATTTGGCCAAAAGCAGACTTTTTAGGACCAAGGAGACTTGTGTTTGGGCCGCTTACTGTGTGTCCTTAGGCAAGTTACTCCCCCTCTCTGAGTTCATTTCCTCTACTGGTTAAGATGAGAATTTATTTAATAGGTAGAATTCCTGGGAGCATTACCAGAGATCCAGTTTATCAAGGACTCAGCACAGTACCTGGAACAAACTAAAGAACGCAATCAAACGAACTATTTTGAGAAAGACCAATCTTTGCCTCTGGGGTCTTCCTCCCCAAACCCATAACCCAAGTCTAACCATCAGAAAAATATCAGACAAACCATAACTGAGGGACTTTCCTCAAAACTCCTGACCAGTGCTCATTAAACATGAGGAAAGCCTGAGCAGCTATCCCAGCCAAGGGAAGTTTTGGGAGACGTGACTACAGGTACTGTGGGGATCCTGGATGGGATCCCGGGACAGAAAAAGGACATCACGGAAAACCTAAAGAAACCTAATAAAATGTGGACTTCGGCAATCATGTATCAATATTGGTTCACAAGTTGTGACAAACGCAGCCCACAGACTAAGATACTAGCAGCTGGGGAAGCAGACTGCGGATGTGTGAGAACTCTGGGGTATCCTCGTCGCTTTCCTATACATCTCAAACTGTCCTAAAAGAAAATGTTTATTTAAAAACAAAAACAAGGCCGGGCGCGGTGGCTCACGCCTGTAATCCCAGCACTTTGGGAGGCCAAGGTGGGCGGATCATGACGTCACCTTGATCGAGACCATCCTGGCTAACATGGTGAAACCCCGTCTCTACTAAAAATACTAAAAAAACGAGCCAGGCGTGGTGGCGGGTGCCTGTAGTCCCAGCTACTCGAGAGGCTGAGGAAGGAGAATGGCGTGAACCCGGGAGGTGAAGCTTGCAGTGAGCCGAGATCGCGCCACTGCACTGTAGCCTGGGCAACAGAGCAAGACTCCTTCTCAAAAACAAAACAAAACCAAACAAAAAAAACTGCTGCTGCTGTAGTGCTATCACTGGGCAGGAACACGGGAGGCTTGCAGGGGACATGGGCTGGATTGGGATGGAAAGCCTCTGAACGCTGCTGTTCCTTGGGCTCAGATATGAGCTAACACTGCCCAGGCACCTCTGCCGTTCTGGGTACTTTCCTATCGCTGGGATTATTTTACAGATAACTGATAATTCCCTGGTAAGCTGAACATGACGACCGGAGCTCCAGGGGAGGAGATTCCTGTCTGGGGTAGGAGGCTGAATTGGATAAGAAAGAACATTAAAATTCTCCTCCATTGAGGGATGGTAGGGAATCCTGCTCTAAGATGTACAGCTAAGAGAACAATAAGCAGACGAAAAATTTTTTTCCTAAACGTTAAGAGCAGTGTAAGGCATACTGTATGATTCCATTTATATGACATCCTGAAATAAACAAAACTACAGGGGCTGAAATCACACCCATGGTTGCCAGCCGCTGGGGCGGGCGAGGGGCAGGGGGACTCTTGGGGGTGATGGGAATATTCTCTGTATTGACTGTGGGGGCGATGTCACTTGGCTGTATACATTTGTCAGAACTCACAGATCTGCACGCTAAAAGCGTGACTCTTACTGTATGTAAATTACAACGCAAACCTGACTGAAAAAGGCAATGCGTGAAGACAAGGTAATTTGGAAGATGACGAATAAAATCTTTCCCATAAAAATCCAATCAAGACCACTCATTAGCACTCTGGTGTGTGACTTTCCTGATTATTTTAATATATAATTTTTTATAAAGCCGAAATCATACAGTACAAAGAATTTTGTAACGCCTTTTTTTTCCCCACATTATCGCACATAGATGTCCCTGCTCTGAATGGCAAGCTCCAGAACTCTCACTGTAGCAGCTATAAAATATTCCGCCACCATCAATTTCATCCCTGCTCTCACCCCCTCCCTCAGGGACAGTGCCACTGTTTCATTTTATGCTGCCATGCACAACTCCGCAGTGAACATCCTTGTGAAACATGTTTTTCTACCCTATATTTAGGATTATTTCCTTAGGCCAGATTCCCAGAAATGGAATTACTGGGACAAAGGGCAAGAGCACGTTTTACGTTGTTGCCAAATTGCTCTCATTAAATGGATATTAAAGGGAACCGGAGAGCCCTGGCCAAGGCTAAGGGGCTTTTGTCCTGGGCCACCAGCTTGACAGGGCCATGTGAGAAGCAAGGAGCGAACCCAGGTAGGTTTGGTGGGACCGCTCGCTAACTGAGTGCCCGCAAGGTGACGGTGCCCAGAGGGTATTGGAGATGCGGCAGCCCACAAGCTGGGGTTCTGGCCCCGGGGGACGCTGCCTTCCATGGGAGCTGGAGAATGGGTCGGTGAACTCTGCCTTTGTCTTTTTGCTCTCGGGGACAGATATGGAGCTAGTTTTGGGGGATCCTGCATTTGCCAGACCAGGAAGAGATACTTCACCTCTGCCTGTTTCCAGGTGAGCCCCCTGTCCAGTGGCACACAATGCTGGATCTGGGCTGGAAAAAATAGGGCCTAGAAGGACCTCATGAGGGTCCCATGTGAACCCCCAGAGATCTTCAGAACTGGCATTCCAAACCAGATATGGCCTCAGACCTGCTTCCAGAGTGGGTGGGGAATGGGGTGAGCTGACCCCCCCAGAAAGAGCCCCCATTGGGCCCCCGATGCTGGCAGAAGACACCTAGCCTTCGCCTTCCCTTGCCTTTGTGGTGAGCCAGCTCCCTCCTGCCCAAACCTGCCTGCTGGTTTCCATGGGGATTCCTCTCAAAGTGAATACGAATCATGACGTCCAGGCTGACTCAAAACATGTGCCAGGGAAGGGAGGAGCTCCCGGACCCCAAAAGAAGCCAGTCTGGAAAATCCTCCCATGAGCTTATTCCCGAGGCCAGAGAAACCTTGCCCAGTCGGGGATGGGGTTGAAAACAGCAGCTGTTTGTCATGGGGCATGTGTGGCCCTGACAGCTGGGTGGATGTGCTGGGCTGGAGTCAAGTCCCCTCTCTCCCTACGTGGAAGCGGCTTGAATTATCACACAGGGGACACCCATGCTGCACAGTCGGGTTCCACGTGGCACCACCCCACTGTAAGGAAGGATTTGCTGGACCTGCACACACACCCTGGGGCCCCAAAGGAGAAACGAGAAGTTGGATGGCAGCCCTGCTTAGACAGTCAACAGCAACAACACCAACAACACTAATGATGAGGCTGCCATCACAGTGTCATACGCAGTGGTGCTCAAAGTGGCTTGCGCTGGGAGAATGGGCTTCAGTCCCCACCTCCCCTGGCTGCATTTCTAAAATTCAAAGTAAAATTCACAGAACGTAAAACTAACCATTAATCACTTAAGATGTACAATTCACGGGCATTGAGTCCATTCCTGATGCTGTGTCACCATCATCTCTATCGAGTTCTGAGATGTTTTTACTCCCAAAGGAAGCCCCATACCATTAAGTCGTCACTCCCTGCTACCCCATCCCCAGGCGCCAGGCAGCCACTAGCCTGGTATCTATCAATGGGACTTGCCTGTTCTGGACATGTCACATAAATGACATCACATACTTTGTGGCTGTTTGTGCCTGGCTCCTTTCACTTACTGTTTTTGAGGTTTATCTGTGCTATGGCATGAGTCGGAACCGCATTCCTTTCATGGCTGACTGACATTCCATTGTATGGGCAGGCCACATGTTTATACATTCATCTGCTGATGGACACATGGATTGTCTCTATCTTTTGACTATAGTGAAGAGCCAGCTTTATATATCTTTTTTTTTTTTTTTTTTTTTCAGATGGAGTCTCACTCTGTCGCCTAGGCTGGAGTGCAGTGGTGCGATCTTGGCTCACTGCAACCTCCGCCTCCCGTCAAGTGATTCTCCTGCCTCAGCCTCCTGAGTAGCTGGGATTACAGTCACCCACCACCACTCCTGGCTAATTTTTGTAATTTTAGTAGAGACAGGGTTTCACCATGTTGGTCAGGATGCTCTTGAACTCCTGACCTTGTGATCCACCCACCTCTGCCTCCCAAAGTGCTGGGATTACAGGCGTGAGCCACCACTGCTGCCATATATCTTTTTTTAATGATGACAGAAGGAAGGACACCTGCTATGCAGACGCTAGCCTCACTACACCCCACCCATATGGACATTCACAGGTGCCCGTGGTTAACATTCATCAAGCAGTTACCATGTGGCCAGCACCATGCTAAGAGCTTTATATATAATCCCTCATTTAACTTGACAACAATGCTAAGGCGGGGAGGCTGTTTTTATCCCTGTTATCCACATGCTACAGAGGAAGAAACTGAGGCACAGAGCAGGGGATGTCTCACACAGGCCTCCTGCTCTTATAAGACAGGCCCAGGATTCAATTTCGTAACCCCCCAAGACAGCAACTTCCATCCCTCTGTTATGCCAAATTCCTCTGGCCAGAGGCAAACTCCAATTTGTGTACCTTTGTGCTCACACACCTCAAGTACATATTATGAGAAAGGAGCTGGGACCACAGCCAAAGCCACAGCTGGAACCAGCATGGCAGGGGCCTCAGGTCCACCCTTCTGTTGCTACCCCACGCAGCAGGTCCTCAGACACCTATAGATCAGCTTGGCCTCCAAGGCAGAAACCCATGGATGCTCATTTGGGGAAGGCCCGTCAAAATATTTCATGTTCTTTTTAATCTCACAAACGGAAAGTCATACAGCAAACGCAAAGTGGCAGGTAACGATATGATCCTAGAAGGGCCGGTTTGGGCCTTGGTCCCAGAAGAAATCTCAAATGCCGTTCACACTCTCCCTCCCCTGGTTTCCCTCAGGTAATATGACCTCTCCTTGCCCCGGGGCTGTTGTTATTATTACTGTGATCCACTGGTGAGCTGGGCTGCAACCCAGCTGTGCCCTTGGTGTTGTGGGCACAGGGGAGCTGCCTGCACCTTTCTCAATGGCTGCAGAGTTGGGGTGACTGTGTCTATTTTGTATGGTTTCTCCAACCATTCTCCAGACGCCGACTGACCAGTTCTTTTTGCTGACACTTGACACTGCACCTTCCCCCATGCCAGGCCCTCAAAAGGTTACTACTCTTTTTTTTTTTTTTTTTTTTTTGAGACAGAGTCTTGCTCTGTCACTCAGGCTGGAGTACACTGGCATGATCTTGGCCCACTGCAACCCCCGCCTCCCGGCTTCAAGCGATTCTCCTGCCTCAGCCTCCCAAGTAGCTGGGATTATAGGCACACAACACCACGCCCAGATAATTTTTGTTATTTTTTAGTAGACATGGGGTTTCACCATGTTGGCCAGGCTGGTCTCAAACGCCTGACCTCAGGTGATCCGCATGCATCAGTCTCTCAAAGTGCTGGGATTACAGGTGTGAGCCACCATGCCCAGCCGAACGTTACTGCTCTTCTGTTGTGGCCTGTGAAACCAGGGCATGCAGTCTGTTAGAACCATGTGTAAAGTAAAAGTAATGAGGCTTTGAGCAAGAAAATCTCATGGGAGAAAAATACATCCCTCTTGTGTTTTATTTGATCTTACTTTCTTGGTGATAGCTCTAAAGTTCTTTGTAGCCTAAATGAGTTGATACTGGCACTGCCCTACAGGATCGTCTGTGATGATGCAAACGCTCCGTATCTGCACTGGCCAATGCTGTAGCCACCTGTGGGCCACTGAGCACCTGAAATATGGCCAGTGTGGTGGAGGAACCAAATTACACATTTTGTTTAATTTTTGTTAATTTGACTGTAAAGAGCCAGATGTGGCCAGGCGCCGCCCTGTTGGTCAGCTCTGTTGTAGGCGATACCCTCCTGTTGGTCAGCTCTGTTGTAGACGATACCCCCGTTGGTCAGCTCTGTTGTAGGCGATACCCTCCTGTTGGTCAGCTCTGTTGTAGGCGATACCCTCCACTTCTCTAGCGTGTGCCAGTTTCCAAAACACCTTCTTCCCGAGCACATTCATCCTCCCAGCCAGCCTTGTGGTCAGGATTAGTACTTTTAAAAACCACACAGATGAGGAAACCGAGACTCAGAACTACAGGGGAACAGTTATGTCCTGATCCTCCAGTCCCCTCCCTGGATAAGAGCTGTCACCTAAGGACTGAATTCATGAAGTCATTCAACAAGCAGAGGCCTCCTAGGTGCAACCCTATGCCCAGACCTGGGGATAGGCCAGTGATGGAGAGGGACACGGCTCTGCCATCACAGAGCCATCAAGCTGGGGGGGAGACAGATGATCCCTGAAGATGGCTGGTGAGAGGAACAGAAATCTGTGTCCTTGAGTGTGGCACTTTTCATATGTGCCACTGGGCATCTTTGACAGTTGAGTGTCCAACAAGACTCAGAGGAACCCCAAAAGGAAGCTGAATGGGGGAACTGGCCCAAGCCCCTGCTGGAGCCCCACGGAGTTGGTGGAGGGCCTGGGTGCAGGTGTCCCGCCCCCTGCTCTAGTCCCAGGACCTTCCAGGCTGGGAGACTCCCCCCCCCCCGCTCCCCTCGCTCACCTCCCACATCTCCAGGGCTCTTCCCACCTCCACAAGCCCTTAATCCCACAATCCTGCAAGAGGAAGGTATTGCATCACTCTCATGACAGACCAGAAATGAACACTCTGAGCAGGTGCACAACTTGACCAACCGCACACAGCTATTCAGGAGAGAGCTGGGAAGAAAACCAAGACCTTTGGACTTCACGCCCTGGCCTTTGTCTACAGGCAACTAGTAAGTTAAAGACCAGAGGGGTTACCAGAGTATGAGACCATCATACCAGCAGACTGGCTCAAATGGAAAAGATGAAAAATGATAAGTGTTGGCACAGACACAGTGCAAACAGAATCCTAAATTGCTGGAGGGAGTTAAACTGTGAATCCACCTTGTGACAGCTCTGCTGAAGCTGAACATGAGTCCCCTAGAACCCAGCAATCCCCTTCCTCCACAGAAAGGCCCATATTTGTGCTCCCAAAGATGTTTGCACAAGTGTTCCCTGAGCATTAGGTAGCCCAAACTAGAAACTACCCAAATGACCATCAAGAGAAGAATGAATAAAGAAATCCTGGTATATCCACTCAGCAGAAGCCTAAATGATGAGAATGTATGGTCTACAACTATGCACAACACATAGATGACCTACACAAACTGAGCATGGAGCAAAAGCAACTGGACAGAAGCATGTCATCAATGTACATCACCATGTGCTTCCACCCATACAAACTTCAGAAAGAGGTGCACCTGAGTCTGTGCTGTGGGAAGTCAGGGTACTGGTTATTGGGGTGACCAATTGTCTGGTATGCCTAGGACTAAAGGGTTTCTTGGGATGTTGAATGGTCACTACTCTATTGGGAAAATCCTGGGAAAACCAGGACATGGTGTTGATCCTACTGGTTACCCCATGGAGGGATGGCGCTGGAAAAAGGCAAATAGGAGCTTCTGGGGAGGGCTGGCAGCATTCTAGGTCTGGATTCTGGCTGTTGGTGATACAGGGTGTTCACTTTGTTAAAGTTCATCAAGCAGTATACAATGTGTGTACTCTTTTGTGTGTATGCAATGTTCCAATTGAAATTTTTTTTTTTTTTTTTTTTTGAGACAGGGCCTTTCTCTGTTGCCCAGGCTGGAATGCAATGGCACGATCCTGGCTCACTGCAACCTCTGCCTCCTTGGCTTCAAGCGATTCTCTTCCCTCAGCCTCCCGAGTAGCAGGGACTATAGGCGTGCCCCACCACAGACAGCTAATTTCTGTACTTTTAGTAGAGATGGGGTTTCATCATGTTGGCCAGGCTGGTCTTGAACTCCTGACCTCAAGTGATCTGCCCACCTTGGCTTCCCAAAGTGCTGGGATTACAGGCGTGAGCCACCATGCCTGGCCGAAAGATTTTTTAAAAAAATAAATCAGATTTTCTAGAGCTGAATCCAAACTCCACAACTTGGCCTTAGGCAAGTCGCTTGGTATCTCTGAGCCTCCACTTTCTCCCTGGTAAAAGTGAGATTATACTCATACCCACTAGGATGGATAGAGAAAAACCAAATAAATAAAAGAACGTAGACAAAAAAAAAGTGTTGAGGGAGAGGTGGAGAAAGTGAAACCTGCTTACACCACTAGTGTGAATGTAAAATGATGCAGGCAGCTTTTTGTAAAATAGTTTGGTAGTTCTTCGAAAAGTTAAGTATGACCCAGTAATTCCACTCCTAGATATACATCTAAGAGTTGTGAAAACATAGGTTCACACAAAAACATGCACACAAGTATTCAAAGCAAAATGACTCATAAGAACCAAAACATGGAAACAGTATCCATCAACAGATGATGGATAAACAAAATGTTGTCTATCCATTCAATGGAGTATTATGCAGCGATAAAAAAAAGACATTACCACATGGATGAACCTTGAAAGTATTATGCGGGCTAGGCGTGGTGGCTCATGCCTGTAATCCTGGCACTTTGGGAAGCCGAGGTGGGCAGATCACTTGAGGTCAGGAGTTTGAGACCAGCCTGGCCAACATGGTGAAACCGTGCCTCCACTAAAAACACAAAAATAAGCCAGGCATGGTGGCATCCACCTGTAGTCCCAGCTACTCAAGAGGCTGAGGTGGGAGAACTGCTTGAACAGGGCAGGCAGAAGCTGCAGTGAGCTCAGATTGTGTCACTGCACTACAGCCTGGGCAACAGAGCAAGACTCTGTCTCAGAAAAAAAAAAAAAAAAAGAAAGAAGGAAAGAAAGTATTACACAAAGCAAAAGAAGCCACACAAAAGACCACACATTGTATGATTCCAATTATGTAAGATGTCCAGAATAGGCAAATCCATAGAGACAGACAGTGGGTTCATGGTTTCCAGGGCAGGGACGGGGAAATGGGGTATGATACTAATGGGTATGGGGTTTCATTTTGGGGGATGAAAATGTTCTAGAATTAGTAGTGATTGTTGTACAACCTGGTGAATCCAGCAGTCCTCCCTAATCTGAGATTTCACTTTCAGAGGTTTCAGTTACCAGTGGTCAACTATGGTCTGAAAATATTAAGCTGTCTTGAGAGAGAGAGAGAGAGAGAGAGAGAGACCACATGATATTACCTTTATTGTAGTATATTGTTCTATTTTTTAAATTGCTGCTGTTAATCTCTTATGGTATCTAATTCATAAATTAAACTTTATCATAGGTATGGCCGGGCGCGGTGGCTCACACCTGTAATCCCCAGCACTTTGGGAGGCCGAGGCGGGCGGATCATGAGGTCAGGAGATTGAGACCATTCTGGCTAACATGCTAAAACCCCGTCTCTACTCAAAATACAAAAAAAAAAAAAAAAAAAAAAATTAGCTGGGCGTGGTGACAGGCGCCTGTAGTCCCAACTACTTGGGAGGCTGAGGCAGGAGAATGGCATGAACCCGGGAGGCAGAGCTTGCAGTGAGCCGAGATCGCATCACTGCACTCCAGCCTGGGGAACAGAGCGAGACTCCGTCTCAAAAACAAAAACAAAAACAAAAACTTTATCATAGGTATATATATGTTTAGGAAAAAACACAGTGTATATAGGATTTAGTACTATTCGAGGTCTCAGGCATCCACTGGGGGCCTTGGAACATATCCCCCATGGGAAAGGGGGGACTGCTGTACGGTGAAATCAACCCAACTGTACACTTTGAATTAGATTACAACTAAGAAAAAGGTAATGCTGGCCAGGCGCGGTGGCTCACACCTGTCAGCCCAGCACTTTGGGAGGCTGAGGCTGGTGGATGGCTCTGAGCTCTTAAGTTCAAGACCAGCCTGGACAACATGGCGAAACTCCGTCTCTACAAAAAAATACAACAATTAGCCAGGCATGGTGGTGGGTGCCTGTAGTCCCAGCTACTTGGGAGGCTGAGGTGGGAGGATCACTTGAACCCAGGAGTTGGAGGTTGCACTGAGCCGATATTGCACCAGTGCGCTCCAGCCCATGCAACAGAGCCAGATCTTGTCTCAAAAAAGGGAGGAGGGGGGAGAATGGGGAGGAGGGGGAGGAAGAGGAGGAGGAGCGGGGGAAGAGGGGGAGGGGGAAGAGGAGGAGGAGAAGGAGGGGGAGGAGGAGGAGAAGGGGGGGAGGAAGAGGAGGAAAGAGGGGGAGGAGGGGGAGGAGGAGCAGGAGGAGGAAAGGTATGGTAGGGGGAAGGTAAGGGTAGAGGGAAGAGGGAAGGGAAGGAATACTGTACCTGCCTTAAGGGTGTTTGCAGAGAGCACCTGAATGGGCCAGGGCATGTGGCGTGCTCAGCACAGGTGAGCATCTGATACAGGTAACTATGATTATGCTGCCCCCTCCCCCAGACTCCTCAAGAGGGTGCTAGGGAGGGAGTGTAGCTGTGAGAAAGCAGATGGGAGAGGCTACAGGCAGGCACCGGGTGAGGCGAGGATCCATTTGTGCCAGCGGCCAATGAGCTCAATGCCCAGACGCGCCAGGTGGTCGGCGGGCACTCAATACACGGAGGCGATTACTTTCAAGCCTCAACAAGAAAAAAGAGCTTTGCTGAAATGCTTGCCAAGCTCCTCCATCATCCACGGATTACTCCGAAAAGAGCGGAGAGGAAAGCTCCGGCTTGGAGTCGGCCTGGTGCATGGGGTGACCGACCAGCTCCACATGATGGATGGCAAGCAGGTCGCACAGCTCTTGATGGCCTGGGGTCAGAGACCCGATGGCACCTGCGCATCACAGGGCTGCAGAGCAGAAACTCCCCCCGCCCTCCAACCCCCCAGGCTAGGCACAACACCACCTCTCGCCAATCTCAACCAAGCCTACAATACCCAACTCTCCTTGGGGACCCAGGAGGGGTCATGGGTTCATCAAGACGACAGAAAGACCCTCCAGGCACCCTTCTCTGCTGCCCAGACCTCAGCAGCACAGCCTGCAGCTGGGCTGGGAGGGCAGAGCTGGTGCCTGGGGCTCTGTGGAGACGGTCAAGAGGCAGGACGTGGGCTCATTAATCACGAAACCAGCTATGGCAGCCACCCCCTTTTATGGCCACATGGCTCAAGGTTTAATAATAGAGCAAACGACTGATATTTCCACATTCAAACCCCTCCAGCCCCAGTCATCTTCGTGGGCATGAGAAGAGGGATGAAAATCTGGGTCCCCAGGGTGCAGCCCTTGGCATCTGTGCCACTGGGCACCTTTGCCATTGGAACAGGTGATGGACACAAAGATGCCCTAAAGTCAGCATCATTTCCAACTGCCAAGTCACATGCATTTGGAAGGCCCACAGCAGCCAGCCTGGACTGGGCACATGCCACATGCCAGGTCCTCACCAAAGCAGCCTCCAGGGACCATCTTCATCTCATGGATACTTCCCAAGGATCCTGGGAAAGGGGCACTGCTAAGACTCCCCAGTTCCATGGAGGAGAAAAGGAGGTTCGGGTCCATCAAGCAGTGGGCCTCGGTCACAGCCGCTCAGTGGAACGGCCACATGGAAGCCAGGACTGTTGTTTTGAGTCCTGCCTTGCTTCTACCAGACACTGGCCTGGGAGCCCCAGGATGAGCAGGGTGAGCGGAGGGTGCAAAGTAATGGGGAGTGCAAAGTAACAACACCACAGTGCCAAAGGCACCGCAGGAGGAAGGAGGAGGGTCCGGTACAAAGGGCAAGGACAGGAGGGAGGGGCACCCTGGAACACGGGGAGGGCTGCCCAGAGGTGGCCTTTGAGCCGGCTGTCAAGGTAAGGAGGGGAGCGCCAGGCATTCTCCGCCAAGGAAACAGCACAAGGAGCCAGAGTTTGTGCGACCCTGGTCTGGAATGAGAAGTTGTCAGAGGAGGCTTGGGTACAAGGATGTCTCAGGCAGGGGCCTGAGACAGGACACAGACCAGGAGATAGCCCTCGACTGCCCAAGCTTCTCCCATTTCTGAATCCTCTCTCTTATTCTTTCTCTCTTTCCATTCCTTTCTTTTATAAAAAATTAAGATGTAAACAGTAAGGTGCATAAAAAAGTAAAATATAAACAGTAAACTGCAGCCAGGCGCAGTGGCTCATGCCTGTAATCCCGGCACTTTGGGAGGCCAAGGCAGGAGGATCACTTGAGCCCAGGAGTTTGAGACCAGCCAGGGCAACATAGCAAAACCCTGTCTCTACTAAAAACACAAAAACTAGCCATGTGTGGTGGCAGGCGCCTGTAATCCCAGCTACCTGGGAGGCTGAGGCAGGAGGATACTTGAGCCTGGGAGGTGGAGGGTGCAGTGAGCCAAGATCACGTCACTACACTCTAGCCTAGGTGACAGCACGAGACCCTGTCTCAAAAAAAAAAAAGAAAGAAAGAAAGAAAGAAAACCAGTAAACTGCATAACAAGCAGAAGGGCAGAAATCTTCAGTGGGTTCATTCTGACAATGCACACCCCTGTGCACCTGCCAGCCAGGCCAAGATGGGGAGCATCTCCATGCCCTGGGGGCTCCCCTGCTCCCCTTCCCAGCCCAGAAGGTCCGGAGTGTTGACCTCCATCTCTACAGATTAGCTCTGCCTGTTCCTCAACATGTTATAAATGCAATCACACAGCAGATGCACATTTGTGTCTGGCTTGTTTTGGCCAGTATGATGTCTGAGAGCTTCATCCATGTGGCTGTGTGCACCTGCAGCTCATTTGTCTTTGAATCGCTAAGTAGTGCTCCTCCCCCAGATGCCAGTATGGAAAGAAGGGCACTCTGCCTCTGGGTTCTCACAAGCCCGGGACACGCCTCAACCCCAGTACCTTCTGTGCACTGTCTCCAGCTGTTTGTGTTGTGAGTTCCTTAAAATAGCACCTTACATCTCTATCTGGCACCTTAGCTGGTGTCCAGAGTAATGTGACTTGATTAAAGACCTCATGTGTGCCAGATACTGGGTCAACTGCTCAAAGACATCTCCCCACGAATGACCCATGCCAGGGGTACCATTATGATCCCATTTTATAGATGAGAAAACTGAGGCCCACAGAAGAGAAATAACTTTTCTTAAGTGATGCTGCTAGTTATTAATGAAGCCAGGATTTGAATCTGCTATAACTCTAAATCAGAGCTTAGCAAACATTTTCTGTAAAGGGCCAGAGAGAAAATTCTTCAGGCTTTGTGGGCCATATGCCCTGTCTCACAACTGTCAGCAGTGCTGTTGTGGTGTGAAAGCAGCCACAGACAATACACAAATGATCATGGTTGTGTTCCAATAAAACTTTATTTACAAAGACAAGTAGTGGGTCCAACCCTGATCTAAACCATTCAAGAGGAAATAGAAATGTGATGGATGGATGGATGGATGGATGGATGGATGGATGGATGGATGGATGAGAGAAAGTGAGAATATGTTTTCTCTCCTTGCTTTCTTTGCACAGAGAACCAAAAGATGTTTCAGTGGGTGTGTAGGTGAGAGGTTTAGTTTGTTATTTGTTGTTTACGCCAGGACTGGGTCCTACTGAGACATCCTAAGGCCCTCATTTCTGCAATGTCTCTCCTAGGAACTGGCCTTAACCCAATCCCTAAGTTCTATGGAAGCATCAGACAAGTTCTGCAGAAATTTCCCAGAGGACAAATTTGCCGAAAAATTCCTTGGGCCCATCCCTAAAAGAAAGCAGATGGCCCAGAAGCCGGGCGACATGGGTTTTCTCTCCCAGGGACACCCACATCCACTTGGGGAAGCGAGGCTGCTGGACATGATCCAGAAGTGAGCTGCCAGGACCCCGGACAAGGTGACCCACATCTCTCTCTTGTTCCCGAAATCATGGGAATGAGCCAGTGTGACAGAAGCCTCCTTTGGACACCCTCTGACAGTGTCAAGAAAGCTGGGGACAGTGCCTTCCAGCAACACAGCCTTCAAGAGAATACCAGGAAAAGAGGTTGAGACGAAGGAATGGGAGGTAGGGAAGGAATGGGAGGGAGGAAAAGAATGGGAGGGATGTTTTTGTCCGACGAGCAGAGGGAAACGGAGGCTCAGAGGGGCGTGGTCATTCCCAGGGTTCCCCGCCAAGTGTCCAGGCTGGCAGACAGGGCTGCCTCTCTTCCTCCTCTCAGGAGTCCTGCTGGTCTATCCTGAGGCCCTAGTGAGCTTCAGAAGCTCTGTGCCCTGAGGGCAGCCCCTGCAGTCAATCCCTGGGCCTCCAGCCTCCGGACACCTGCTGTCACCCCCTGCCCCATCAATCCATCCCCCACAGGACTCAGAATGTCTTCTCTGAGATCTTGAGGGACCCAGGGCTGACGCCGGCCTATCATTACACACGCCATTGAGGTACACTTTGTCGTTTTACTTATATTTTTCACTAAACAGATTCATTCAGCGCCTTAAGTTTACCCGCTATGTCCATGACAAGTTGAGAGAGGGAGGAAGGGACAGAGAGAAGGCTACTTTTTATGAAGCCTGAGTATGTGTGCTTCTCTGTATGCATTTTATCTGGTTCAACAAAAACTTTTCTTCGAAAATACTACATTGCGCTGAATCGATGGTTATGCATCTATGGACACAGACCATGGCAGGGGCTCAGGGGACTGCTTTGGGATTTTTCTTGCCATGCATGCCTGCATCGTCCCACAGAGAGACCAGAGTGCCCGGCATGGGCCAGGCTGGCTGCCATGGGGTGCGAGACCTGGCCCTGCCCATAAGCACTCGCCATAGGGTGGAAAAAAAAAAAAAAAACACAAGTCTGCATATATGTTTCTACTGTGCTTCTAATATAGGTAGTTACTATTGTCATGAATATAAATTTGTTGAAAAGCAAGACAAGGCCAGGTGTGGTGGCTCATGCCTGTAATCCCATCATTTTGGGAGGCAAAGAAGGATGGATCACTTGACCCCAGGAGTTCGAGACCAGCCAGGGTAACATGGAGAAACCCCGTCTCTACTAAAAACAGAAAAATTACCCGGGTGTGGTGGTGCACGCCTGTAGTCCCAGCTACTTGGGAAGCTGACGCAGGAGAATCGCTTGAATCAAGGAGGCAGTGGTTGCAGTGAGCCGAGATCACGCCACTGCACTGCAGCAGCCTGGACCACAGGGTGACACACTGCCTCAAAAAGAAAAGAAAAACAAAGAAAGAAAAGGAAAAAAAAAAAGCAATACAATATTCTGAGCACCGGAATATGTTTATGGCCTTTCATACATTTTTCTCAAGTTGTAATGGTAAAGAACACAGCTTTGAGAACAGAAAACCTGACTTTATATCTCAGCTCTGCCTCTTACAGGCTGTGAGACTCCCAGCTAGAGAGCCAGTTGGGCTTTATGAACCTCGGTCTCCTCATCTGTGAAATGGGAGTGATAGAGGCCAGGAGACAGGGCCACAGGAAGACGACGGGAGGCCCACGTCTGGCTCATGGTAAGTGCTCAATGAATGTCAGCGTGTACAGCACAGAGGGCCTGCTGTGCCCCACGACTAAACAGCACACCGGCTTTCACAGGGTCTCCTGCATGCTGGGGGAGACAGACAGAAAAGACAAATAAGTGAAATACACAGGATGTTAAGTGATGATAAGCGTAGGTGAAAAGCAAACCAAGCAGATAACAGAGAACGAGGATGTTGGGTTTTGGCAATTACTGAAGCCATGGCCATGTCATTTCAGAAGAAGTAGGTAATGATGTAATTGTCACACCGACAATGCTGGAGAAGCACTGGGGCTACTGCTCAGCGCCTCCCAAGGTACAGCACCCTGCCCGTAAACGAGGTCAATGGACGGTGGCACACCGGGACCACACCTGACAAGCGTGGCTCCAGATTTAAAGAGAAAACTTCTGCCTTCAGAGAATCAACTGGAAGGGACAAGTCTCCCCCAAATCTCTTAAAAAGAGGTTTAATCTGGGACTGGGGAAAAAGAGAGAGAGAAGAAAGGCATCTACTTTGAAAGACAGACTTGGGTACTTTTTCTGGCCAAAAAACAAAAACTATGCAAGCCGTCTTTCCCTTTCTGCTACCTCAACAGAGAGCTCCGAGACGGCCAAACAAAGCTTGGGGTGATCGGCCCAGCCCTGGGGATCCGGAGGGTCTCGTTCTGTTTGATCCTAATTGCCTCCTTCCACACAGTGTCTCAGCTCTGAAAAGCCTCGGTCCTCTTGGAGGCAGGCAGGGTATAATATCAAGACAAATGCAGTAGTTCCTGGGGAAGCAAGAGCCGGCAGCCTTAGACGGTGTGTTTCAAGTGGGAAATCCCTGACCGTTCCTGCCTCAGCGCTGGCCTGGGGGCTGCAGGCTTCCATGGAGGGTTTCCAGGATATGTGACAAGGGAGCTTGACTCATGCACCCGCACACTGGCTGTCCACACACGGACCTGGCCACCTTTCTCCAGGAGGCTGGACAGTCAGGCCCAAAACATCTGAGGCTCTCACCCTCAGGAGGGGATCAACGTGTGCTCTCTAAAATCACCATGAAAAATCTGCTCCCTGAAGTCAGGGGAGGAGGGAGAGACAGGTTTGGTCACTTCAGGAAGTCAGGAGCAGTAGAGGAAAGTTCTGGAAGATGGAGCAGAGACGGCTGAGATTCCCACTCCAGCGCTGTAGCTCACCCATTGGGTGGCCTTTGGCGGCCACTTCATCTCTAGCACCTTTGGTTTTTTCATTGGTAAAATGGGAATGAGAAGAACACCCACCTCAAAGCTTTACCGTGATGGGGATGATGATCTGCGCAATCTGTGCAGCAGCTGGGGAAGCAAGGACTTTGTGGTGGCTCTGGCTGAACAGAGGTGAAACCGGCCCCCCACTGGGTCACAGGCCCCCGAGTACATATGGCACAGACACAGACTGACCGCCTCATCGATTCCACCCACAGCACTCCACCTTTCAAAATTCTGCCTACCAAACATACTCATCATATAATGAGCAGAGGTGGTGTTTCAAATGTTTAATCGCTGGTACAGCCCAGGAATGGGCGGCCCCATCAGAGTGGACCCCAGCTGTAAAGCTGGCTCCAGTGTCCAGTGCGCTCCCCTAGACCCTGCCCCGTGGTAATGAGTCATGCAGGTTCCCTTTCTCCTGTATAAACACCTCTGACTCCCTGCCCTTCTGCATTTCTGTTTCAAATCAATACCAGTTAACTGCTATTAGGGAATCACACTGCACACACTGCATCAAAAACAAAAACCAACCACACAGATTTCATCTCATGTAGCCTGTTCTTTACTTTTCTAAATTGGGAAAACAGCTCATGGGTCCCAACAGACTTAGGTGAATACCTAGAATTCCGGAACACCCCAGATTTGAATCCAGCGAGCTCTCCTCTTTGAGTTCTCTACTTTCTTCTCTCCTTTACCTCACTTTAAGCACCCATGCAAATGCCCCCTCGGTTCATTTGTCTAACATCTGTGTGACATAGTCCAGAACCCCTTCCTTAAGGACTCCACAGTTGAGTGGGGAGTCAGATGTCTACACATTAGTAGAATTCCATGTGTATGTGTGCAGGTGTGGAGGCAGAGGAGCCCGAGGGAAAGTGGGACGAATACTTCAGAGAGTATGCGATGTTTGAGTTGGGCTTTGAAGGATGAATAGGAGTTTATTGGGCAGAGAGAGAGAAGTTGAAGGAGGTGAGTCATAAAAACTGATTAAATCTCGATTACAGAGAGCCTTGCGTGGCAGGCTACAGTGCTTGGAGTTACACCGGATCACTGAGGAATGTGAGGGCTTACTGGGATTTAATTCTCCTAGTACGGGAGACACTAGGTAAATGTATGTGAACAGGCCTTGTGAAGAGGGACTCTTGGGCCCCCAAGGATCACTGTTGCTACTGTCTACAAACAAGTAGGCAGTGAACGACTATCTCTTTCTACTATCGCTGTTTCGATGATAATAGCACCCACAAATTACCACCTCCAATGCAAGAAGAGATGCATCACGCCTCTACTACAGTAAACTGTGTTATCAAAATAGTAGTAAAGTTGCTTTGTCCATTTCACTATCCCATCAATAGGGCCCAAAATCCCATCTCTGAAAGAGCCTGGTAAGTGGGGTCCTGATGACAGAAGGTAGGTGTGGGGCGGGGCTGTCTCTACAAGTAGCTGTTTAGACCCACCCCCACCCCAAATCCTTTCTGGAAAAAAAAAAGATAGGAGCACAAACAGATGACAACATGACCAATCCCTGAAGCTAGAGGGAGCAATGGAGTCCGGCTGTGAGAATGCCATGCGTTTGTTCCCTGGACCACACGTTCACTAACAGGCCTTCCCCGGCAGCGCCCTGGGCACCATGCTCCAGGAGCTCATGGAGAATGGGGGAGGTGATCAGTGCTGGTGAGACAGGTGCTACGACAGGGGCAGCAACTCTTACAGAGCAGTAAAGAGGAAGACAGCCACTAACTCTGCTCACAGCCGAATCTTGAGAAGTGAGGAGGATTTTGCTGGGCCAGGGACATGGAAGGGCATTTGGGGCTGCAGGGTCAGGACAGGTGGGGTTCTTCTCCAGCCCAATCCTCCAGCAGATGCAAAGGAATTTCTAAGGTCCAGGGAAGTGGACTGGCCAAAAGGTACTGTGCCATGCGGTGTCTGCCGTTAAATTTGTACTGACACACGCTACGACATGGATGAACCTTGAAAATGTGATCCTAAATCAAAGAAGCCTGATACAAAGGGTTTCAGAATGGAATTGATCCACGTATATGAAATGTCCAGAATAGGCAAATCCACAGGACAGAAATCAGACGGCTGTCATGGCCTGGCAGGAGGGGAGCAGGGCTGACTGCTGATGGGCACGGGTTTCCTTTTGAGGTGATGAGAATATTGTGGAACTAGATAGAAGTGGTAGTGATTGCACATTATAAATGTACTAAATGCCACCAAATGGTACATTTATTATTATTATTTTTTGAGACAGAGTCTTACTCTTTTGCCCAGGCTGGAGTACAATGGCACAATCTCGGCTCACTGCAACCTCAACTCCTGAGTTCAAACAATTCTCCTGCCTCAGCCTCCTGAGTAGCTGGGATTACAGGTGCCCACCACCATGCCTGGCTAATTTTTGTATTTCTAGTAGAGACAGGGTTTTGCCATATTGGCCAGGCTGGTCTCAAACACCTGAACTCAAGTGATCTGCCCACCTCAGCCTCCCAAAGTGCTGGGATTACAGGCGTGAGCCACCATGCCTGGCCGAACTGTACATTTACATGTGGTTTTTACATTATGTGAATTTCACCTCAATGAAAAAGAAGTTCCACACGAATGCAATGAATTCTAAGAATTTTCCAAACTTACGGGTGATATTAAAATGGCCATTTCAAAGCCTCTGCTCTCCCTTCACAGGGGTCTGAACAGTTGGGGGAGTTGACTCATGGAGGCATCCAGGCCCAGCAGGCTTCATCCACAGCCACATGAACCCCTTCCTTGCAGAAGCGTTCCTTTACTGGACAGAGGGAGAATGAAGTACTAGGGTCTCAGGGGATTCCTCCAGAGGCCAATTCAAGAACAGAAAGTCATTTCCTGGCATCTCACGATGTGTTGATAATTCGGATGATGGACGGCGCCGGGCTAGTTTGATGTTTATTTCCATGAGCTTCAGTCTTCCTAGTTGGATGAACCAAGGCTCCTGTCATTATGTGGGACTGCAGCTGATCTACACGGGCACACTCTTAACAGACCAATGGTTTCAGCCATTCTCACAGACTACTCTGACCACTCGAGGTAAAAACAGGGTCATTCTGACAAAAAGAAGGATGATTTTACACTTACATACATATATACACACATAAAACACATATACAAACATGGCCTTACACTCAGCTTGAAACAAACAACCTAAAAACTGGATTAAGAGTCTCCTTCCTACGCTTCAGACTCACAGTTTATTCATTCATCAAATATTTACGGAGTGCTTGCTGGAGGACATCGAAGTACTTCCAGCATGTTCTAGGTGTTACGGACACATTGTTCAACAAAACAGAAAGAGCTCCTTGCCTCCAAGGAGTTTTCCTTCTAGTAGGGGGCTTACACTCCAGTGATGGCAATGCAAGCTGAACCCACCACCTGGTGCTGGTGGGCGCTAGGGGCCGTCTTCCCAGGCCTGGCTTGTGGCAACCACGCCTACTGCTCGGCCACACTCCAACTCCACTTCTCCCTTGGATTCGGCGCTCCCAGCCCTTGAATCTAGTGAGTCACCAGGGTCAGAGCCAGCTGCTTCTTGCCCTTCAATTCCTCCACACCTTCCCTTGCCCTCTATCCTACCTCTGCCTCCTCTTATTTTTCTTCTGGAATATTCCAAAGGCTTCCAATCTTTATTTCCTGCTTCCAACGATTCCCTCTCTACCCAAAACACTGTCGCCAGAGTTTTCTTCCCAAAACACAACTCAAATGTGTTGTTCCTCTGCTCAGTGACTTTGAATATCCCTGATTTGCCTACAGAGAAAAATCCAGCCCCCTTGGCCTTGTATTCAGTAGCCTCCATAAGGCTTTCAGATGCTCTCGTCTTTCCCAGAAACCACTTGGGAAAGGGGTATCTAGAAGTGCCTCTGCAACGACAGACAGAGGACTTTAGGTCCAAAGGAGAAACAAAGTACCCCCAATAAGCCTCGGTTGGGGCTGACAGTGAGAGGAAACACAGTGAGACAGTGGGTCTTCTCTTGGGACTCAGTCACTCCCTCCACGTCTGTGACCCGGCCGTGAGAAACTCTATTGACAAGTTTCATTGAGTGCTGGTCCCGCTCTCTGCCCAGGGTCAAGTATTCCCAATGACTTATTTTTAAAAAGCAAATTCGGGCACTAACTGAGAAAGAATTCAGATTTAGCCTAGAACAGTTGCTCAACAAGTGACAAGAATAGATCAGTGGCCGATCCCATTCAGGGTTAAAGAACAGAGCCTCCTTTTCTACCATCAGGCCCACAGCTGTATGAGAGGCCCGGAGCCCCGACCCCGGGGGGAAGTGCCGGTGACAGGGTGGGGACATTCGCACAGACATGAGGCCCAGGACTTGCCCAATGCTGTCGCCGTCAATAGGGAGACAAAGGGGCCAGGCAGGCCAGATGTTGGCAGCAACTCCCTTGCAACCCCAGGAACAATTCCTTCTTTCACTGCCTGATCAGACGGCCAAGGTCAGAGGCAATGCCAGCCAGAGCTTACCCTCTGAGTGCCAAGGCCCTTTAGAGAAATTTAAATAATTTTAGATAGAAACACTCCTTCTTTCCTCGCTTTAAGCAGATGGCAGGGAGTAGCCTTTGCCCTTTCTTGCTGATGCAATTGTCCCTTGGAGCATCTGCTACCCCACACTGCCACCGTCAGGAGCTCCTGAAGCAGTGGAGAGCTGCTGGCCCCCGAATGGTGTCCCCCAACTGCCGTGCACTCTTTATCTTCATTTTCTTTCTGTCATTTTCGTTTTACCCCCGCCGACTTTGTGCTGTTGGGCATTCCGCTCGCCGTTCATGAAAGCGTTCCCTCTTGCTTCATCCTGATTTGCTGCTTTTAGTTTCATGGTCTTGGAAACCCAAGCAATACACTAGTCAGGACTGTGCCCTGCATGGGAGCGAGGCCCTGCTGGGAATGCAACCAAAGAGTTAGAGTGTGGCAGCCACCGTGACTTTGGTACACTTCTCTACCTGGATTCTGGGCTGGGTTCGGAGTGTTTGCTGGAAAGTGGTCTCTGAATAAGCAGGGTGTTCCTCCGTTTACCATCAACAAGGTGCACAGATGACTCAAAGCTCAGAGGTCCTTACAACTGAAAACCCAGCCCACTGGACTCCAGGGAGCAATGAAAAACCACTTGCTACCCTTTAGGGGAGGCCTTTGAGGACCCTTCCCAGTCCCCACACATCCCTTCTCAAGCTCAGTCTGATAAGTGGCTTTCAGAAGCACTGCCTTGGCCCTGTCACGCTCAAGGAGACTGGGGACACCCTGGCAAGTTGGCAAAAAAAATATTCCAAGGAGGGGTTCCTGGAGGCACTGGGCTGAACATTTGGGGAAGAGGCTTGACATGGTTTGGGTCTGTGTCCCCACCCCAGACTCATGTTCAATTATAATCCCCAATGTTGGAGAAGGGGCCTGTGGGAGGTGATTGGATCATGGGGGCAGTTTCTCAGGATTTAATACCATCCCTCTTGGTATTGTTGGCGTGATAGTGAGTTCTCATGAGATCTGGTGGTTTAAAGTGTGTGGCACCTCTCCCCGCCAGCTCTCTTCGTCCTGCTCAAGCCATGTGATGTGCTGGCTCCTCCTTTGCCTTCCACCTGAGGCCTCCCCAGAAGCTGATGCTGCCATGCTTTCTGCACAGCCTGCAGAACCGTGAGCCCATTAAACCTCCTTTCTTAAAATTACCCAGTCTCAGGTATTTCTTTAGAGCAAGGTAAGAACTGATTAATACAAGGCCCCTCTGCAGAGAAGGAAAAGAGCAGGGACTAAAGGGTTCTGGGGATCAGGCTCCCTGGGTCCCAACCCCAGCTCTGCCACCCCAGAGCTGTCTGCGTGAGGAAGTGGTTCCCTTGCCCTGTGCCTCGGTTTTCCCTCTGTAGCAACCTCAGGGTGTTATGGTGAGGAATAAGGATAGCACTATTCCTAAAATGCCAAGCTCGGCTATTCCCCTTCTAGGTGAATACCCCAAAGAACTGAAAACATGGACTCAAACAAATACAGCCAAGCACTGCATAACAACGTTCTGGTCACGATGGACCACATTTATGACTGCGGTTCCATAAGATTATGATTCCATATTTTTACTGTGCCTTTTCTATGTTTAGATATGCTTAGACACACAAATACTTACCACTATGTTACAACTGCCACCAGTATTCAGTAGAGTAACCTGTTGTACAGGTTTGTGGCCTAGGAACAATAAGCCGCACCTCACAGCCCAGGTGTGAGGCAGGCTACACCATCGAGGCTTCTGTGAGCACACTCCAGGATGTTCGCTCAGTGACTAAATCACCTAACTACGCGCTTCCCGGAACGTATCCCCATCGTGAAACAATGCATGACTACACTTGTACAAGAATGCTCACGGCCGCTTATTCACGACAGCCAAAAAGGTGAAAACAACACAAACGTCCATCAACAGATGAATGGATAAGAAAGAAAAATGATACATACAGACAATGGAGTATCATTCTGCCATCAAAAGGAAGGCAGTGCTGACACATGCTGCAACACGGAAGAACCCTGACAACATGACGCTGAGGGAAAGAAGCCAGTGGAAAAAGACCATGTACTGTGTGATTGTACTGCTATGAAAAGTCCAGAAGAGGAAAGCCCAAAAAGACAGAAATTGATGGCTGTCAGGGGGCTGGAAGAGAGGGGAATGGGGAATGACTGCTAATGGGCACGAGATTTCGTGCTGGGGTGGAGAAGAGGTTTCGGAATTAGATAGAAGTGGCAGTTACACAACATCGCGAATTTGCTAAAGGCCGCTGAACTATGCTCTTGTTTGTTTGTTTTTGAGACAGAGTCTCGCTCTGTTGCCCAGGCTGGAGTGCAGTGGCATGATTTCGGCTCACTGCAACCAGGAGCAGTGGCTCACGCCTGTAATCCCAGCAGTTTGGGAGGCGAAGACGGGTGGATCACTTGAGGTCAGGAGTTCGAGACCAGCCTGGCCAACATGGCAAAACCCTGTCTCTACTAAAAATGCAAAAATTAGCTGGGTGTGGTGGCAGGCATCTATATAGTCCCAGCTACTTGGGAGGCTGAGGCACAAGAATTGCTTGAACCCAGGATGCAGAGGTTGCAGTGAGCCGAGATCACGCCACTGCACTCCAGCCTGGGTGACAGAGTGAGACTCCATTTCAAAAATAAAAAAATTAAAAAAAGAAAGAAAAGAGAAAGAAAACAAACCCAAAATAAATTAAGTGGGCAATTTCATATGAGGTGAATTTATCTCAATTAGAAAGACAAAAATACCTTAGCTTAGTGCCCAGCGTGTAGCTCACCATGTCACAAACAGGCTCCAGAGCCGGGAGACATAGGGCACCTCGCTTCTCTGATTCTTGTCTGTCCCCTAAAGGGGTCTGATCACGGCCCTGCCCTCAAGGCCCTACATCACAGCTGCTGTAAAGCTGGAGATTAGGAATGGGAGCTGAGGGAGGGTGTCAAGGCAGCTAAGCAGGTTAGGAAACCCCTGCCTCCATCTTAAGGGGAGAATGAACTCTTGGGAGCCCCAAGACACTGGTTCCATTCTACTGGAAATATCCGTTCTTCAGAAAGACAAGTTGAGCCACAGTTATCCTAGCTTCAAACTTTTTAAACCTGTCATATCATTTTTTTTTTAATTTCTTTTTTTGAGACGGAGTCTCGCACTGTCGCCCAGGCGGGCTGGAGTGCAGTGGTGCGATCTCGGCTCACTGCAAGCTCCGCCTCCCGGGTTCACGCCATTCTCCGGCCTCAGCCTCCCGAGTAACTGGGACTACAGGCGTCCGCCACCACGCCCAGCTAATTTTTTTGTATTTTTCAGTAGAGACGGGGTTTCACCATGTTAGCCAGGATGGTCTCGATCTCCTGACCTCGTGATCCATTTTTTTTTAAGTGGCAGAACTCTTTTTTTACATGAAATCTTTGCCCAGAGTCCCTTAAAACAGAAGGCAGGTGACACTCAGCGGGAGGTGTTGCCTTCAGGGGGGAGCAGGGCTGGGCCATGCCCCCTCTACCTCTTCCACACCTGCTATGGTTCAGGGACAATCTCTCCAAGTCCACATTTTCCCTCTTCCCAGTGAGACAACCAAGAAAGGGCCTGGCAGGGTTCTGCTGGTTTCCTTCAAGAAGGAGGCTCAAGGTGAACATGACACTAAGGGGCAGGATTGCTGTCCAGTTAGAAACTGGCTTCCGAGGTCTGGAGGGCTGTTTTGGGGCACAGAGGAAGGGGCTGGATTTGTGGTGGCTCAAGAGAGCAGAGCTAGGGCCAAAGAGTACCAGTCAGAGGGACAAAGGTGAATGCCTTCCACACCTGAGAGCTGCCCCATGGAGGCCCCAGGAGGACCAGCTGCTGGCCTCTGTCTTGCAAGGACCGCCACCACCCTTCACCTTCATCTTCCTCCTCATTGTTAAGAAGTAACCCCTTATCATCCCTGCAATAGCCCTAGGAGGCAGGGGGGTGCCATCCCCATGTCCCTGCAGGGGAAACTGAGGCACAGAGAGGCGAGGGTGCTTGCCCTAGGTCAACTGGAATTCTTATCTGAATCCGAGATTCTATGGAAGAAAAACAGACTCAGGAGAGGCAAATTGCTTTCTGGAGCTGAAGAAGCTGAGCTAGATCTGGAACTGTGTCTCCTGACTCTTAGTCCAGTGTTCCCTCTGCTGTCTCCCACTGGCCAGCACAGAAAGGAGAAGAAGCATCTGGGGTCAGATGGCACAACCTTGGACCTCGCAGGCCAGGTCTCCGGGGCAGCAAGTGGCTTTGGAGTGAAGGCTTCCCTGCAATGGCACGGGCTTATCTGCCATGGAACTTTTCCGACGCCAGTGCAGGAAGGGAGCAGGTGTTGGCTGCTTCCAGGCCATGGTCCCCAGAGAGGGACACAGAGGATGTATGCACAGTCTTTTGTGATGTCTCCCACGTGCAAAAAACCAAAATGTCTTTATCCAACTGGCTGGGAAGAACATCCTACACACCAGCCCATGGCATGGAGATTTCATACTTTATGGACTGAAGGGACCAGAGGAAGGGGTGGGGAAATTCACAAGGACAGCTCTCTCCAATGTGAGCTCCGAGATGAGATCGTTTTTGGAGAAGGAAGGAGAGAGGGAGACACAAAACATCTGGAGAACTCTCTCTGTGTTCTTCCCCTTGCTCAGGTATACAATTCAAAGTAACAAGACCCAGCACTCACATAGCTCAGGGCTGGGACTGCCATTGACCAGGGAGAGATTAAGGGACTCTGTACTCTTTATGACAAAGACCCCAGGAAGAGCAGGAAAGAGACCTTATATGCAGTGTCTCTCACTTTTAGTTAAATGATGACGATGGTGATAGTGGTGATGCTGTAACAGTGGTGACGAAGATGATGGTGGTGATGAAGGTGATGGTTATGATGGTGGTGATGATGGTGATGGTGACAGTGATAATAATGTAGTGGTAATGGGGATGATGGTTATGATGGTGGTGATGGTGATGATGGTGATGGTGATAGTGATAATAATGTAGTGGTAATTGGGATGATGGTGGTGATGAAGGTGATGGTGATGATGGTGATGGTGATAGTGATAATAAAGTAGTGGTAATGGGGATGATGGTGGTGATGAAGGTGATGGTGATGATGGTGATGGTGATAGTGATAATAATGTAGTGGTAATGGGGATGATGGTGGTGATGAAGGTGATGGTGATGATGGTGATGGTGACAGTGATAATAGCGTAGTGGTAATGGGGATGATGGTGATGATGAAGGTGATGGTGATGATGGTGATGGTGACAGTGATAATAGCGTAGTGGTAATGGGGATGACGGTGATGATGAAGGTGATGGTGATGATGGTGATGGTGATAGTGATAATAGCGTAGTGGTAATGGGGATGACGGTGATGATGAAGGTGATGGTGATGATGGTGATGGTGATAGTGATAATAATGTAGTGGTAATGGGGATGATGGTGGTGATGAAGGTGATGGTGATGATGGTGGTGATGGTGATAGTGATAATAATGTAGTGGTAATGGGGATGATGGTGGTGATGAAGGTGATGGTGATGATGGTGATAGTGATAATAATATAGTTGTAATGGGGATGATGGTGGTGATGAAGGTGATGGTGATGATGGTGATAGTGATAATAATATAGTGGTAATGGGGATGATGGTGGTGATGAAGGTGATGGTTATGATGGTGATGGTGATAGTGATAATAATGTAGTGGTAATGGGGATGATGGTGGTGATGAAGGTGATGGTTATGATGGTGGTGATGGTGATGATGGTGATGGTGATAGTGATAATAATGTAGTGGTAATGGGGATGATGGTGGTGATGAAGGTGATGGTGATGATGGTGGTGATGGTGATAGTGATAATAATGTAGTGGTAATGGGGATGATGGTGGTGATAAAGGTGATGGTTATGATGGTGATGATGGTGATGGTGATAGTGATAATAATGTAGTGGTAATGGGGATGATGGTGGTGATGAAGGTGATAGTTATGATGGTGGTGATGGTGATAGTGATAATAATGTAGTGGTAATGGGGATGATGGTGGTGATAAAGGTGATGGTTATGATGGTGATGATGGTGATGGTGATAGTGATAATAATGTAGTGGTAATGGGGATGTTGGTGGTGATGCTAATAGTGGTGGTGATGATGACAGTGACAGTGATGCTGCTGTTGATTGTGGTGGTGGTGATGATGTGATCAGAGCAGCCTCCACTACGACCAAGTACTTCTCAAGCTTCACCAAATTTAATACCTGCTCTGACACTTCCATTTTACAGATGAGAACACCAAGGCTTAGAGAGGTACTGGGACATCTCAAAGCTACACAGCTAGAAAGTCATGGGAGTGGGACTCACACCTGGATCTGCCTAACTCTAGACCCTGTGTTCTTCAGCACTGTTCTGCACTAGGCTTAGGAGACATCATTCTGCAGCAAGTACACAGCAGTGGGTAATACACCACGCTCTAGTAACGGGGTGCTGACATTCAAGTCCTGGCTCTGCCTCTCATTGGCTACGTATCCCTGAGCAACCTACTGGACCTCTCTGTGCCTTGATCTCCTCATTGTAAAATGGACATAATACTGCGTTTCATTAATTCAGAGACGTACAACTGAACCTCCCTTAAAACTGATGTGATAATAAGTCTCTGGGCACATTCTTTTCTTTTCTGTTTTTTGTTTGTTTGTTTGTTTTTCCCCGTTTTTTGAGACAGAGTCTTGCTCTGTCACCCAGACTGGAGTTCAGTGACGTGATCTCAGCTCACTGCAACCCCTGCCTCCCGGGTTCAAGCGATTCTCCTCCATCAGCCTCCCGAGTAGCTAGGATTACAGGTGTGCACCATCACACCTGGATAATTTTTGTATTTTTAGTAGAGACGGGGTTTCACCATGTTGGCCAGGGTAGTCTCGAACTCCTGACCTCAGGTGATCCACCCGCCTCAGCCTCCCAAAGTGCTGGGTTTACAGGAGTGAGCCACTGCGCCTAGACGCATTCTTTTCTTGCTTAGAGGTATGCAAGAAAATGGAGTATCTTACAAGATATCTCAGATCTGGTGATAAATGCTAGTATCTACCCTAGAGGGTTGTTACAGGAATTAGATGAGATAATACCTAGTGACTGCTTAGCGCAACCAGGCACTAAGTAAGCATTTATAAGAACTACTCTTATTTTGAAAAGTCTTACAGTTTAGCCAGTCTACTAAATGTATCCAAGTGTTTGTCAAGGAATTAAAATAGCCACACTTAGAGCCAGAACCTGTGTCAGAAAAAGTTCTCTGCCCTTACAGACCATCACTGACCCCTACTCACACACATCATCAGACTCACGTGGCCAGGAAGGACCAGAGGCAGGACCTGAACTCAGAGCTCTTCAGGGCCCAGCACACACCTCCCAAACACGCAACGTTTACATGCTGGTGTCTTGGGCTACAATGTCACTGCTGTCCCGTTGGCAGTAACTGGAGCATCCCCAGAGGAACCAAGGAGGTGACAATACAAAAGGGAGCAGGGAGTTGTCCTGGGGGTGTTGGCTCCAGCCTCCAGGGCCCTTGTGTTTACTCTGCACTAATGGATGAAGTCAGCCTCTGTATGGGACCTCCCTTACTGGGGCCTGGATCACTGCTCTAGATGATCTACGGACTCGACTCGGGACAATGTTTTCTGCTCCCTGTAGCCATGTGTCACCCCTGCTCTGAGCCTGCTAGAAAAGGAGGGCCAGTGACAGCTTTGTAGTCGTCTCCACTGATGGTGTGGGGAGAGAGAGGAAGGGGCCAATTCAGTCCACGTCCACTTCTAGGAATGTTCTGAGCCTGGTAAAGCCCAGAGGAGGCCCGACGCATCCCCATTCCAACACTGCATGACTCAGGCCCAAGTGCCTAACTTCTCCTGTGCCTCAGTTTCCTCCTCCATAAACTGGGGATAATAATAGGTCTTTTGTACATTTGTTGTGAAGGTTGAATGAGATAATCTGGGTAATGCATTTAGCATATGGCTGGCATGAAGTTAAGTGCTCAGTTACTCAGTTATTATATTACGAGGCAACTCTCCTTGAGCAGGTTCAGGAAGCAGCAGGGCACACCTGTGTCCTTAAATGGGAGCAATGAGTATCCATCCCCATTACAGGATGAAATGAGGTAGGAATGAGCAAGAGCTCAGAACAAGAGAATGCCCTATGCAAATGCTCTTCCAGCAACCATTTCGTGAGCAGCTACTGTGGAGGGGCTTAGGATACGCAGGGGACAATCCTGTCCTTGCCCACGTGATCTTGCAGTGTGGTCTGCTCTGACAGTCAGCTGAAGTGTGAGCTGCATCTTCATGTGCCTGTTTCCCCTACTGGCCTGTGAGCCTCCCGAGAACAGGGATGGTGACCTGTCCACAGAGGCCACCACTGTATCCCCAGCACCAGCCCAGCATCCGGGACATCAAACCTACTCAGAAGTGGAAGAAAAAACTGAGCAAGGGTGAGGAACTGTATTTCAGGCCATACTCGAAGGCTCTTTCTTACAGAATCACCTACAACCTTTCCGTCACTGTTTTTAGTGACTGAATTTTCCAATTTGTCCATTAGTAAAGCCTCCAACAGCCTTCCAGCTTTTGCCAAATCTCCACCTTTCCCTGAAGGATTATGCCCTGAACCTGGGGCACGGCTGTACCCAGCTGAGAACTCGGGCTTCGCCCGGTCCTGCTGAGAAAACAGTGCCACTTGCCAAGCCTGGCACCCCTGCCATGTCCTCCTGCCAGCCAGCAGGACTCCTGGGGCTGTGAAGTTGTTGGTGCCAGGCTACAGGCAGCCCCAGAAGGGCTGAGAGGTGGCAGGGTGGCCAAGCAGTTGGAGGAGGGGGCCGTGGGGTTATCAGATTCACAGCCTGCAGGTGAGGGAAGTAGGGCAGGTGGGCTCCCTGGGCCCTCAGCCAGGCATCCCTCCAGACTAGCGCGGCCCAACAGAACGTACTACGATGATGGAAATGTTCTGTATCTGCACTGGCCACAGGTGGCTACTGAGCACTCACAATGTGGCTAGTGTGACCAAGGATCTGAATTCTTAAGTTTAATTTAGCATAGAACAGGCACACGTGGCTAGTGACTACTATACTAGATTGCAGTCCAGGTAAAGGCTCCAGGGGTCAAGCCTAGGCTTGGGTGTTAAATGGCGCCCCCAAAAGTTGGTAGAAAATGGAGGGTAGGTGAAACGAAGCATGTCTTATTTCTGAGACACACTCACTGCTCAAGAGGAGTCAGGACACTGACAGCTCACATTCTTGAACAACTGCCTCTGGGCCACGCATGCGTTAAGCACATTAACTCACTTAACTGGCACAAATACACGTTACACATTACACTGCCACCCAGGGAGGTAGGAATGACAACAAGGCCCATTTTACAGATGAGGAGACTGAGGTTTAAAAAACCCTTCTCTCAGCAACACCCTGATGCTATGGGTGATGTCCTGCTGGCTAGACCTCCCCCTCCCCCAACCCTAGGGCCCCGAACCCACAAAGCGATTTTCAACAAGTAACAGATATATTGTACTTATTTTTAAAACAACACAAACACCCACTTTTTAACCATCAAATATGAGCTTCGATGTCCTCAGTCTCCTGCATCCCAGGCCAAAGGTGGAATTCCTCTCCACTTCTTTCCAAAACCTTAAATGAGGAATAGCAGGGTATACCTTTCCTTATTAAAAGGGTTCCCACACTACTGCTTCACTTCACATTCTGACAGCTCCTATTAGGGAAAACATGCCTTTTTTTTTTTTTTATTTTTTGAGATGGAGTCTAGCTCTGTTGTCCAGGCTGGAGTGCAGTGACGCGATCTCGGCTCACTGCAACCTCCACCTCCCAGGTTCAAGCAATTCTCTTGACTCACCCTCCCGAACAGTTGGTATTACAGGTGCCCGCCACCACGCCCGGCTAACGTTTGTATTTTTAGTAGAGACGGGGTTTCACCGTGTTGGCCAGCCTGGTCTCCAACTCCTGATCTCAAGTGTTCCACCTGCCTCGGCCTCCCGAAGTGCTGGGATTACAGGCATGAGCTACTGCACCTGGTCTAAAGGTGCATTTTTGTAATGTCACTATTATGGCTCTGACAATAGGGACCAGAGGTCATTTCATTTTATTATTGGTTATCTACATTTCTCTCTCAGTGTGAAACTTGCTGATATTTGAAGAAACTGGGATGTGAGGCAGGGACCAATCATGGAGGTGTGTCTGAGACGGAGGGGGTTCCTGGGAGGCAGGACTGATGCTGGTGCTAATGCTGGGGAAGTCCCAGGCAGGCTAGCAGGGTGGGCACCAAGCTCGATGTGAACCGCCGTCATTCTGCACTCAAACTGATTTCACAACCAGCCTGAGGGACCTTGGCGCCACTGACTCTGGGACTGTGGGCCACCAGGGCAAGCAGGGCCAGCGATCAAGGAGCCTGGACTTGAAGTAAGACTCAACGGGATTTGAGACCCCCGCTCGACCATGTGCGGGCCGGGCACCCTGGGGAAGTCGCTTCTCAGAGCCCCAGTCTCCCCGTCTGTAACATAAGGGTGGCAAGGCCTAACTCCCGTCAGGGAAGGAAACAAAGAACTAACAGAGCAAGCACACAGTAGGTGCTCCAAGAACACTGGCCCCGTCCACTCACTGTTAAAGGCCAGATGCAGAGAAGTACCGCTTAGGAATGACTGCAGGAAAGAACCCAAAGTCTCATGTAATCCAACCTCGCACGCCCCCACCCTACCCCAGCACATCTGCAAGGTGGTGGGGGCTCTTTCCAAGAGCGACCGCGTTCATTCACAGAAACAGGGCAAGGGCCAATCGCTGCTCAGAGGATGTCCAGGCCAACCCGACAGCCCAACTCCAGGCTAGTTTTGTAGACAGAGATGAGAAATGGAGTCTGAGGCAGTTGCCAGAAATCACCACTCTTGAGATCCAAGAAAGAGATGGCTGCTTCAGACGCGGAGCTGAAGGTCTCTGAAGCCTTGGGAAGAACATGCAAAAGAGCCCCCGGGAGACAGGAGGGAAATGGGCCCAAGGACGCGCCAGAACACGACATCAAAGTCACCCTGGGCTGGTGCCAGGGTCGGGGCCAAGGCCGTCCTGGTGAGCGACTCCACCAAGGGTCTCATGATGCAACTCTTCCGAGACACCCTTCCTCCAGTGAGGCTGAAGGCTGAGGGCAGCTGGGTGGGGGCAGAGGAAAGGGCTGGAAGAGAGTTGGGATGAACCAGGTAAGAGGTAATTTAAGCACAGATCCACCCTTGTTAGTGCAAGAGGCTATTTCTCCTGGGCATCAAGGGAGAGGCTTCCAGCCAGGGAAGCAGGGCTCCCGCGCACGGTCGAGGCAGGGTATGAGCAGCCATGGTGCTGAATGGGACACACGCAAGGTGCACGACGTGCTCACTAAGCCATGTCCTACACACACCAAGGAAGGGACCGCTTGCTCGTCTGTACCAAGATCCCCTGTGAGCCTGCAACTCTTTGGAAGGCCTTTTTTTTCTTTTCTTTTCTTAATTTTTTTTTTTTTTTTTTTTTTTTGGTAGAGATGAGATCTCACTATGTTGCCCAAACTGGTCTCAAACTCCTGGGCTCCCATCTGGGCCTCCCAAAATGCTGAGATTACAGATGTGAGCCACTGCGCTGGGCTCTTTCCTAAATGACATAGGGTCTCACTCTATTATCCAGGCTGGAATGCAGTGACGTGATCCCTGCTCGCTGCAGCCTCAAATTCCTGGGCTCAAAAGATCTCTCACCTCAGCCTCCTGAGTAACTGGAACTATAGGCACACACCACTGCATCTAGCTAATTTTTTAGTTTTGCTAGAGACAGGGTCTCACTATGTTGCCCAAGCTGGTCTCAAACTCCTGGCCTCAAGCAATCCTCCCACCTGAGCCTCCCAAATGCTGGGATTGTAGGCATGAGTCACTGCACCCGCCTGTCTTTTTTTCTTTAACAGATTTTATTTTTGAGAATAGCTTCAGATTTACAGAAAAACTGCTGAGTTAGTACCTAGAGTTCCCATACGCATACCCACACCTCATTTTCCGACTATTTACATCTGACATTAGTGTGGTGAATTTGTTACAACTAATGAAATAATATTAAAACATTTTATTGCTAAAGTCCACAGTTGATTCAGAGTTCCTCAGTTTTTTTCTCTAATGTCCCTTTTCTGTTTCACGACCCCATGGGACATTTCATCATCACGTGTCCGCAGGCTCCTCTGGGCTGTGATCATTTCTCAGACTTGTCCCAGTCACGCACCTGGGACACAGGAGGGCTCTGGAAACAGAGGTCCTGATCACTGGTGGCCTTGGTGGAGGACTAACGACCCAAAGGCTTGGATTGGGAACAGAATGGGGACCTGGAACCAGGGATCGCTAGAGACAGAGCACCGGCGTCTCCTTTCAGCACATGTTAACAGAGAACCAAGTTCAAACAGGACCGCGTTTTTGCCAGGGAGAGCCTTTCCTCAGGCCATCCCTGGTTCTCCTCCCAGGGACCTGCTGGGGCCTCCAGGAAGAAGGGGATCAGTCTGGAGACTCTCAATGTCCCACAGGGGTAGGGTGGGGCTCCCTGGCGTTTCCACCTCGGCTTCTTCAAAACTAGCGGTCCCACCACCTGCCAGGAGGCCATTGTTAGCACATTTTATAGACTAAAAAAATACACCGAGGCTCAGAACGGAGCAGTGGTTTGCCCAAGGCAGTCCACTGAGAAGCAGCCAAGCCAGGTTCACCGCCAGTGTGCTTCCCCCGCACAGCACTGGCCCCACGACAGCCATCCCGGAAGTCTACTGCCAGTTCCCAGGCCACTGCCTCTAAACTGACAACACGGGGTGCTAGGATTGGCTTTTGGAAGGTCCACGACCCCCAGAGGATGCGCCTTCTCCACCCCCTCTGTGGCTACACCAAGGGAGGCAGCCACACAAGTGGAAATTTCTAAAAAACACAAAAAAACTACAGCTGTCCTTGGCTCAAATCACAGCAAACAAGGATCCAGACAAGCCCGTCTGCAGAAGGGGTGAGGCCATCCCCCTTCCCCCATTGATACTCCAAGGGAGAGAGGGAAAAGGAAGATTCTAGCACAGGCCTGGTGGACAGTTGGCTTTGACAGACAGATGCTGGAGGGCTGAAGAAGTTAGTGAAAGCTGAATGAATGAATGAATGAATGAATGAATGAAAGTTAAGTGCACTCATAACGAACGCTTAGACAGCACCTACCACAGTACAGGCGCTAGACACACATTCACTCATTTAATCCTCACAATCAACCACCCTATGCAGCAAATACTGCTCCCATTTTACAGATGAGAAAACCGAGTCTCAGAGAGGTTGACACCAGGTCAAAGTCACCCACCTGGGCAGTGGTGAAGCTATGGCTAAGCCAGCTCTTTCCAGCTCCCAGAAGCCAACTGTGCCCATCTTTTCCAAACTCTGCATTTAAGCATCTCACTTTGGCCATAGTGTAAGTATTTACACAGTAGAAACGGGCAAGCATTGCAAATCGGGACTTCCCCGGCACCTGTCAGAAAGTTGCTGCCGCCTCTCTCTGGCCCGCTTGCCTCCTTGGCAGGACTGTCCTGTGGAATCAGTTCCTGCAGGTCTCGGCAGCTGGAAGGTAACACTGAATTCAAGAGAAGCCAGGATCCCCTGAGGCCCAGCCAGTGCCATGTCCCTCTGGGAGAGCCAGGGACCAAACAGTGGTGGAAAATAAGCAAAAAAGGAGAGCACGGGCTTGAGGCTGGTTACCCTAGGTTCAGATGCCAGCTCCATTACCTACTGGGGTACCTCGCCGAAGTCATTTCATCATTCTGCGCCTCAGTTTTTGCCTCTGCGAAGTGGAACAATGGAACCCCCAGAATGAGACAGTATGTATAGAATGCATGATACACAACAGGTGCTCAGGAGCTGTCACTACAGATATTCTCAAGGGATACAGGGTGATGGGGAGAGAGAACCAGGTGAGGTCACCCCAAGAGCATCCAATTTAGAGGAGGGCGATTATGCACCCAGAAGGGAAAGCATTCATAAGGGTGCTACAGATGCCTTCTTCGTAAAATGTACGATCTTATTTAAACCTCTGCGAGTTCTCCAGGTGAAAAACTGCACCCCCTGTTCTAATTTACATCTCTTTGATTTTTGAGAAGCTGACAGTTTTTCACTGTATTTCTCTTTTGTTCTTTGCACCTTTTCCCCTTGAGGCAGTCACAGTTTCTCACTGATTCACAGCTACTTCGGCTTATTAAGGTCATTTAACCCTTCAATTGTCAACTGGGCCACAAGTGCGTTTTCCCAGGTCACCCACTCGCCTTTCAGACTGGTTTATGGCGAGGCTGGTTGCTGGTCTGCTTTTCCACGCTCAAGGGTCACTTTGTTATGGAGCCAACTCCAGCTCTCCTTGCCTTTGTGGTTTCTGTCTTCTTGAACAGAACGAGCCAAGGTTTGAGGCTCTTGCTGATCTGTTAGGCTGATTCCTACTTACTGGGTTGAAAGCGAGAAACAAATGTAAAAGTTTCCACTCTCCTCCCCCAGCAAGCCAAGGGCTGTCATGCCGGGTCCTCCTCCCCATCAGGCCTTCACTCTTGGGTCACCCCTAGTCCCTGGAGCTCCTGCCTGGCACAGAGAGAGAGTGACTCACTCCCGAGGCACGGTGCCCTTGCCCGGGGCCCCAGCCACAATGAGATGGGAGACACACGGCCCACGGACTTTGAGGCTTTTGCTGATCTGTCCCTCACATGGGGGTTGGGGGCACAGCTCCCTTCTGATGCTCCCACTTTCAGTGGGCAGAGGGCAGGCACGTAGGCAGTGGGGAGAAAGAGGTGAAAGTTAGAGGGAAAGGCAGACTTTACTGACCGCACTGAGGTCAGAGCCAAGGGTGAGGCCAGAGGGTCCCTCTCCCCCTGGAGTTGCAATGAAAAGGCAGAAAGACAAACCGAAGGACCTCAACATCAAGCCTACGGATTCTCCCATCAAAGGTGCCCTAGAAGGCAAGGCCCTGGTCCCTCTGGACCTTGGTCTCCATATCTGCAAAATGGGCCTCTTTTCTGTACAGTTTCTTCCAGCTTCAAAAAAAAAAAAAAAAAAAAACACACACACACACACTGAAAAGCTCACGGTCATCCAGTCTACAGTTCCCAGCATCCCTGGAAGAGGATACTGAGGCCTTCTGGCCTCAACTTCACTCAAAATAAAGCCTGGAGAATGAAACATTAGGGGAAGCTTCTACCAGCTGCTAACAAGTCAAGTCAACAACTATTTATCAAGCACCTACTACGTGCCCAGGGCTGCAGATATACAGCAGTGAACAGAATAAACAAGAATCTCTGCGCTTCGGGGAGGTGACAAGAAGCGGGGACGAAATAAGGCAAATGCCCTTTAGAAGGTGGTCAGTTCTGTGCAGACGACACAGCAGAGGAGCAGCGCATGGAGAGGCAGAGCAGGAGGGTCCTGAGGGCGGCGTGGCATACTGTGAGAGGGAAAGGGACTTTCAGCCTAGCTTCTAGCCACGCAAGGGGCCGACACTTCCCATGTGGTCTCTTGGGTGATCCTCACACCATCCCTGAAGGTGTGAAGTGGAAACTGAGGCCCAGAGACGTGGCATCCCTTACCCAAAGTTGTGCAGCAAGGGAATTCCCAAAGTGAGTCTGCCTCCCTCCAGGCCACACTGTTTTCCTGAGGCCCAAATACTGCCTGACTTGGAGCTCCTGGGCCCGGGGAAGGTGAGGATGTGGCCAGGCCACCCTCCCAACACCTGCCACGGATGCCACATCCAAGAATGGAAAGAAGTGGATTCCGCCCTGTAGCAGCGGTGTCTCACTGCATGACATGCTTCTAGGACAAGCAAGTCCCTTCAGGGAAGTCTGCAGCTGCCCTGAGAGCAGCACAAGCTCCCGTGGTGCGGGGTTTCCGCCAGGCGGCAAAGCCTCGGACTTCGATGTGGGAATTCCTCCCAGCCGGACACATGGCTCCGAAGACCCAGTGAGCATCCACAGAAACTGTATGGCTGAAGGATGCTTGTCTCTGGGTGCAGGAGGTACGAGAAGTCGCTCATACATACTGATGGCAAGCATACAGCCTGACAAATGCTCACACTCATGTGACCACCACCCAGCACCCTAGAAGGCTCTCTCATGTCCCTTCTTGGCAATTCCCTCAAGAAGTAACCATCATTCCAACCTCTATCACTACAGGGTAGTTTTGTCTGACCTTGAACTTCCTATAACTGGAATAATACACTATGTACTCATTTTACTTTATTTTGTTCAACATAATATCTGTGAGATTCATCCATGGTGTTTATTTTTCATTGCTGTGTAGTACTCCATTGTATAACTATGCCACAATTGGTTTATCTGTTCCACTGTTGATGGATACTTGGGTTGTTTCTAGTTGGAGGCTACTATGACTAAGGCTGCTCTGAATATTCTTGTTTATGTCTGTTAGTAGACAGAAGCACTCAGTTCTCTTGGGAACAGAATTGGGAGTAGAATCATTGGGTCCTAGGAGAAGCAGGAATGAATGCATTAGACCCCTGCCAAGACCTGGTAAGCAGGCAACCTAGGAAGGCCTCCTTGAATATGAAGAAACAGAGATCTAGTAATATACCCAGAGTCACACAGCAAAGCTGTGGTACCAAAATCCAGTTGTGCGTGGCTCCAGCTCCATGACCTCCTCACCCAGTGTAGCATGGGTGGGCACCATGAGCAGGACCTGCCTGAGAAAGAGCAGACAGGAAGGAAGGAACAGCAGCAGTGAGGGAGGAAGGCTCCTTCACTGTCTGAAAGAACAGCAAGGAACCCGATGTGTCCCCAGGAGGCTGGGAGACCAGGTACGGGGCCTGGTAGGCTGAGCAAACACAGAAGCATGAATAAGGCCTAAGTCCACTAAACCCCAAGCACATAATTTTATCTGGAAGCCACAACTCATCCAGCCACACCGGCGCACCCTCCTTCTTGAGGAGAGGGCAGCCTCCAATCTGAAGCACCTCTGTCTCCCCTGGACTGTCCGAGACAGAGTGGCAGAAGCCTCGCTTGTCCAAACACACGACAGTCAACGTCTCCCAGGTCCCCCGCTGCCCAATTTCAGCCTCAAAGAACCAACTATTTGCCTCGGCCTCCCGAGTTTCTCGCCTGGAGTCTCCGGGCTGGCTATGAGTGTTCGGGAAACTCTCTGGCTCTGGTCCTGAAAGGTGAAGGAGGGCGCAGGGGCATGTCCCCCCGTGACATCTGTGCCCGCTCCCCAAGCGCCAGCCCAACACAGGGCTGGGAAAAGCTGGGTGAGAGTCGGCACATCCTGAAGGAGGCGGCGCCGTGCCCCAGAAGGAGGCAGACAGGAAAGCCAATCAGTGTGTGTTGAATGACAGCACGAATGAGTCAAACCCCTCCTGGGTAGGGGGCAGGTGGCAGACAGCCGCTGTCTTTGTGTCACTCCCTGCCCCTCTGAATCTCCCCTGCCCCGCTGCCATGAGGATGCCACGGTTACCACAGGAGGCTGCCATGTGTGTACTAGGACCCCACCTGGCAGCCACAGTTGACCAGTCCAGAAGTCAGCATCTGCCTGAGCCCACCGATATGGGTTCCTTCTGGGGGATGTGAAGACTGGAGTGAGAAGGGCAGATGGTCTCCCTGGCAATGCTGAGCTGCAGTCTGCACCAGGGGAAGCTGGCGGCCCTGTGTTACCAGGAGGGGAGCAGGAGGATGGAGTGCAGAGAGGAGCAGGGATGAAGGTGCCGCAGGCTCTGGCCCCTGCCCACCTGCTTGCCAACAACTCCTGGAGTTGGGCTGCTGGGATCTGCATCTGGAACAGGGAGAGAGGCTCCTCTTCTTGGAGAAAGCCCACTGCCACCCAGTGGGGCAAATCTTCCTTTGGAAGGTGGGCCATGGTACAAGCCTCCTATCCATCTGGGCCCAGATCTTGGGCTGAAGTTCACATACTGCCCTGTCTTTGGGGCTGGGGCATCCCTTGGCCGAAGGAGGGCTTTCTGTAATGCCATGGTTACCATGCCATTCCCCCACTCCCTAAACTGAGCCTGCCATCAGCTAAAATGTCTTAAGGCCCCGCTTGAAGGGTCTTAGCCCTTCACCAGGCACCCCCGAGCACTACCTCTTCATGAAACCCCCTCTGGAGACCCCTGCTCCATCCCCTCCTGCCCTGCAATGCCCACCCCCCACAGGTTCATGCCTCCCACCTGCATACAGTCGCCCGGGCACACATGCACTCATTCCAAGGATGCCTTCTTCCCCGCATGTTCTCCTCTGCGAATTCATTCTCTGTGTGCTCATCCATTAGCTTGAGCATGTTTTATTCATTCCCACGTACATGCCTCCACTCATCAAATATTCATCGAACACCTATTGTGTGCCCGACTTGCTGACTCTTCCCCTAGTCCCCAATTTCTAGAAGTGCAATCTGCAGGGTCATCAGCATCAGAATCACCCAGGCTTGCTTGTTTAAAATCCAGAGCAGCCCGACCCACTGCCCCATTGTCTCAAGAGCACACTCTTGGAACAGGCTCCCTGGCACTGCGGCGCAGCCTCGAGCTTGAGAACTCCTGGCTCCCGGCTGCTGGCAGAGGCCAGCTTTGCTTCTTCTCATTCTCTTATTTTCCTTCTTCCCCCCACATCAACTCTAGGGGATTCCAGGGAGGAGCTCAGAGCCACATTACATGGAAGACTAGATTCCTCTGTAATAGCTTTGTGGTTTTATTTCTGCTCTGAGACCATTACATGTATAACACACACTCGTAAAGACACATATGTACTTTTAAATCAAGTCCCTGGAGCTCAGCATGGGCACATTTTAGACATCGGAGACTCCTCCAAGAAAGGCACCTTAAGTGGGGTTGGAAGTAGGGGTGATATGGAGGAAGGCCCCAATGCAAAAATGTCTATTCTCAGCACCCCACCCCCGGGTGCCCAGCTTCCTTGCCTGTGTGAGGGCGGCATTCTTTTCTCCCCTGGCAGGTGTATTTGACCAACTAAAATCTGGGCTCCACTGTGATGTCACCACCTGCTTCTGTCCTACCTGCCCCAGTGGCTTTTTCAGACCACATATATCAATCTGTCCTAAAACTGCTAGGTAGAAGGAGAGGACGAAATGGGAGAATGGCTGGCCTACTGGCCCTGGGCTCAGGCTCTGCAGCTCTTTCTAGCCCAGGAAGACGGGCCCTGAAAGCCAGACCCAGGCACCAGCTGCTGGAGACAGCTAGGCTGCAGCATGGGGTTGGGTGTCCAGCTTGTGGTCTGCAATGGAAGGCGGCTCTTCCAAGGTGCCATTAATGGCCCCGACAGTGCTGACCCTCCCTCAGCAGAATCAGGGCTAAAAGGCAGAAGCTTTTCTAGACATTGATCTGTCTCCCAGGGCACCTCTGCACCATGAAGCCCCATAATAATAGCTAAGAGTCTAGGAGAGACGGCCCAAGATTGCACAGCTCATGATAATAAGAGAACACGCCAAGCAAGAAGCGTACCGATTGCCATGCAACAGCATCATGCTCAATATGGAACCCGAACCACCTTGCTCAGTCCACACCAGTGTCTCAGCTTTAATGTGCACATGTATCGCCTGGGGGTTTTGTAAACATGCAGACTATAATGCGGTACGTGTCAGTGTGGCCCCAGATGCTGCATCTCTAACAAACTCCCAGGTGAGGCTGACGCTGCTGGTCCATAGACCGCACCTTGGATGGAAAGAAGTATTGCTATTATCATCATTCCCATTTTACCAGGAAGGAAACCGCAGCAGCGCGCAGAGTTTGTGACTTGCCTGGAGTCCACAAAACAGAAAGAGGCAGAGCTGGGATTTGAACTCAGGACTTCTGGCTCCAAGGTATGAGCCCATGATCCCCAAGCCAAGATGACCCTCTCAAGGCAAGCTTGAGGCTTTGCTGTATTCTCACTGTTCCTCTGTGTCTGCCATCAGGTGCCAGCCAGGTTGTGGCTCGCCTGTAGACACCTTTTCAAGAACTGGAAGACAAAGCCCCCTCTTGGCAGATGATAGCAGCCATGGCCAGCCAGCTGGGGGAGGCTTTGTGCAAAACAAGATGGTTTTTCCTCTGGCGGGTCAGCGCCTTGCCAGGGCACGTGAGATTCCTGCCCACTGGACCCCACACCATGATGAGGTCTAAAATCAAAACTGTGTAACCCTCGGCAGAAAGCTCTGCTCAGCAGTTCTGCATCCTACTCAGCTCGAGGACGCGGCAGATCCCAGCAGACAAGGGCAAGGGCTTTGGATTCCAAAAGCCCTGAGTTCAAATCCTGCCTCTCCTACTTGGCTGCTGTGTGACTTTGAGCAAGTAAGTGTACCCTTCTGAGCTTCAGTTTCCACATTTGAAAAATGAAAAAAAATATTTACGTCCCTCACTGGATGGGTATGTGATATGAACTTGGAGCCCTTCGGTGCTGGCTCTGTGCCATCTGGCACTGGACAGATGAGTGAACCACCCAGCATGGGATGGAGAAGGTCCCCAGGAGAAATGTGTAATGCACCCATCTGGGGCCATCCGCCAGGCATGGGCGTGGGCGTGGCTAGGAAGCAAAGGAGAGGACACCCTGGCAGCCATCCTTTGCCACATGTCCTACTCTCATGGGCCCCAGCCCAGGGATCATCACCCTGGTCCAAGAGGCCCGCAGCTGGGCATCTGCCAACACTGCCAGCACTGCAAGTTAGCCCCAAATGGATTTGCTTGAGGGCAGAAGGGTCCAGCACCTTGCCAGTGGTTTCTGGGATGAGAGAATGCTGATGAGGCATTCCTTGTAAACAGGGCCCCCTTGTCAGGACTAAGAAGACCCAGATTTGAATCCTGGCTCCTTGGACCATGAGCTGGGTAAGCCTGGGCAGGCATGGACCTCTGCGGAGCCTCAGTGTGTTCTGCTGCACAATGGGGGCTGAGGGTCCCAGGAGATCCGAGTTTGGCTCAGTACTTGGCACAGACCACAGCTCACTCAATGTAACTTACAACGGTTGGCTGCATCCTCATCTCATAAATGACCTTTCTGGCCTTCCAATGGCTCTGTCCAACAACCATGGAACCCTCACTTCCCTTCCTTGCACATTTACATCTAACCCACGAGTGTGTCCTGCCCTCTTTACCAGCAGATAGATCCTGAGTCCGACCACTGTCATGTCCTCTGCCCGAGGTATTTATCAGCCTTCTCTCTCAACTGGATTACTACAACAGCCCCCAGCAGGTATCCCAACTCCCATACTTGCCTGGATTTAGACCACATCATCCAAGAAGAAGTCTGGGATGGTGGAAATGTTCTGTATCTGGGCTGGCTACTGAGCATCTGAAATGTACCTACTGAAACTGAGGAACTGAATTTTCAACTTTATTGCTTCAATTAATTTAAATTCCAATGGCTACACATGCCCAGTGGCTACTAGACTGGAGGTTTAGAATACTGTCCATACAGCAGCTGAGGGATGCTTTTTAAAGCCAGAGTCAGATTTTATCCTCCCTCTGCTCAAAACCTTCCAAAGCTCTCCACTCCGCAGAAAACTCAAGGCCGGGGCAATTGTCTGCGAGGCCCTCTGTAATTGCTGGTCCTACCTTTCATACCCCAGCCCCTGCCACCCTCTTCCCCCTCACTCTATAGTAGCCCCCACTGGCTTCCTGGTAGTTCTTAAACCTGACCAGCCTCACTCCTGCTGCAGGGCCCTCTGCACATACTGTGCCTACCTCCACCCTACCCTTCCCTCCACCACACATCTGCTAAGTGTCTGCATAGCTGGGTCCCTTGATTCACAGCTCTGTTCAATGTTGTCCCTGAACCCAGGAAAGGACACCCTAAGTCCTTTGCACCTCAGATCCCTCTGCCCTCTTTCTCTAAAGCATCTATGATCACCTAAAATATTAGGTGATCTATAGTCATGGCCAGGCACACTGACTCACGCCTGCAATCCCAGCACTTTGGGAAGCCAAGGCGAGTGAATCACTTGAGGTCAGGAGTTCAAGACCAGCCTGGTCAACATGGTGAAACCCTGTCTCTATAAAAACTACAAAAAGTAGCCAAGCGTGGTGGCATGTGCCTGTAATCCCAGCTACTTAGGAGGCTGAGGCATGAGAATTGCTTGAACCCAGGAGGTGAAGATTGCAGTGAAGCAAGATTGCACCACGGCACTCCAGCCTGGGTGACGGAGACTGTCTCCAAAAAGAAAAAAAAGTCATGCATCTCTTAACAATGGGGATAGGTTCTGAGAAATTGCATTTTCAGCGATTATGCCATTGTGTGAACATCATAGAGTGTATTTACACAAACCTACATGGTATACGGCCTACTACACACCTATGGCTGGGCTACAAACCTGTACAGAATGTTATTGTCCTGAATACTGTAGGTAGCTGTAGCACAGTGGTAAATATTTGTGTACCTAAACATATTTAAACACAGAAAAGGTACAGTGAAAATATGGCATAAATGATAAAAACGATTTACCTGTACAGAGCATTTACCATGAATGGAGCTTACAGGACTGGAAGCTGTTCTGGGTGGGTGAGTGAGTGAGCGGTGAGTGAATGTGAAGGCCTGAGACATTGCCGTACACTACTGCAGACTTCATAAACACTGTACACTTAGGCTACACTACATTTGTAAAAAATTGTTTTTCTGGCTGGGCGCAGTGGCTCACGCCTGTAATCCCAGCACTTTGGGAGGCCGAGGCGGGCGGATCACGAGGTCAGGAGATCAAGACCATCCTGGCTAACACGGTGAAACCCCATCTCTATGAAAAATACAAAAAATGAGCCAGGAATAGTGGCGGGAGCCTGTAGTCCCAGCTACTGGGGAGGCTGAGGCAGGAGAATGGCGTGAACCCGGGAGGCGGAGCTTGCAGCGAGCCGAGATTGCGCCACTGCACTCCAGCCTGGGCGACGGAGCGAGACTCTGTCTCAAAAAAAAAAAAACAAAACAAAACAAAAACAAAACAAAACAAAACCAAAAAAACACACAACTTTTTTTCTTTTTCTTTTTTTTTTTTTTTAAGACAGAGTCTCGCTCTGTCGCCCAGGCTGGAGTGCAGTGACGCAGACAGGGCCCCTGCAACCTCTGCCTCCCCAGTTGAAGCGATTCTCCTTCCTCAGGCTCCTGAGTAGCTGGGATTACAGGTGCACACCACTATGCCCCGCTAATTTTTGTATTTTTGGTAGACATGGCGATTCAACACGTTGGCCGGGCTGGTCTCGAACTCCTGACCTCAGATGATCTACCTGCCTCAGCCTCCCAAAGTGCTGGGATTACAGGCATGAGCCACCACGCCCAGCCCCACAATGCCTTTCTCTGTATACCTCTTGAAAGACTTGCCTGAGGCTGTTTTATGGCTCATTTTTTTATAACTAGAAGGAGTATACCACAAAATAACAATAAAATGTACAGTAGAGCGAATGCACAAGCCAGTAACTTAGTTGTTTACCATCAAGTCTTATGCACTGTGCATACTGTAGGTGCTGTGCTTTTGCACGACTGGCAGTGCGAGAGGTTTACACCAGCACCACCACCAACACCTGAGCAATGCATTGCACTATGACATCTCTACAGCTATGGCATGAGTAGGTGACAGGAATTTTTCAGCTCCATTATGATCTTATGGGACCACCATCACACACCGACCACGTCACTATGCAGTGCATGGCTGTTATCTGTTTACATGTTTATCTTCTCTGTCCTTACCTGAACTTAGGAATATGAAAACAGATTTTAACTACTGTGGTCGTTGCTCTATCTCCTGCACCTAGAACAGCTCCAGAAACACAAGAGGCTTTCAATAAAGAGGCACAAAAGAATCATGAGGCTGGCCCAGCATGAAATAAGTGACCACTGATGCTGGTGTCATAATAAATGTTCACCTTCACCCCACTCTTGGGGGTCACTCTTACCCCAAGCCCACCTAGGCCATGTTCGGGGTCTGATATCAAACTGTCTGGTTTGCTCAGCCAGGCTTGGTGTTCCCTTTTAAATAAAAACAAAAAGCGCCACCCTCTTCTTCTGCCCAGCATGCCCGGCCTGTGGAGGCCAACAAGCTGGAAGCCGCACACAGAAGAAGGAAGTCCTGGTGGCTCTGGGCGGCAGGAGGGGCGCCCAGGCCTGGTTGCCAGGTAACCCCGATCATTCACAAACACGGGGTAATGCGGATCCCACAAGGAGAGGGCTGGGTGTTTACTCAGACATCTTATCTACTGGGCTCGCCTGCCAGTGTTTGCACCTTGCTTTCAAAGGACAAAGTACCTGGTGGCGGGGTTGGGGAGGTGACGCTGAAGGGAACAAAGTCAGGATGGCTGCAGGCGGGAGGAACAGTGGGCCTACTGTGCGCAGCCACTCTCAACACATTTTATGCCAAGCTCCTGGCATTGGGGACTGAAATGAGACAATCCAAGAAAAGCTTCCTGGGGTGCCAAGCAGCAAATACTCACAGCTGCCGCAGCTGTGTTCATTCCAAGATGTGCTCAGGACAACTTTCCCAGCAGCCTGCCTGGCTGGCCTGCCTCCTCCCCACGCCTCCTGTCTTTCCTTCTGCCCCTTGCTCACTCCAAGCCAGGCTGTCTCCACCTGGGCACTGTTGACATTTGGGGCTAGGTCATCTCTGCGGTGTCCTGTGTGTGGCAGGGCACTGAGCAGTATCCCTGGTCTCTACATGCTGTTAGTGGAAATGTAAAATGTGGCAGCCACTATGGAAAATAATCTGGCAGGTCCCCAAAAACTTAACCGGAGAAGAGCTGTATCATCCAGACGTTCCATTTCCAGGTACAGACCCAAAAGAATGGGAAGCTTGGTCTGTGTGTGATACCTGTAAACCTACGTTCACTGCAGCACTATCTGTAACGGCCGAGAGGCGGAAGCAGCCTCGTGTCTGCTGATGGAGGGATGGAGAAGCACGGCCTGCATTCACCGCAGCACTATCTCTAACGGCCGAGAGGTGGAAGCAACCTCGTGTCCTCTGATGGACGGACGGATGGAGAAGCATGGTGCAGCATACACAGACAATGGAATATTGCCATAAAAGAGAAAGAAATTCTGACACATGCTACAATATGAAAGAATCTTAAGAACATGACGCCTAGTGAAATAAGCCAACCACAAAGGATAAATATTGCGTGACTGCATTTACAAGAAGTACTTAGAGCAGTCAAATTCGTAGAGACAGAGCATAGAATGGTAGGTGTCAGGGGCTCGGGGAGGGGAATGGGGAGTTAGTGTTTAACAGGGACAGAGTCTCTGTCTGATAAGATGAAAAGAGTTCTGAAGATGGAGGGTAGTGATGGTTGCACAATGGGAATGTACTTAATGCCACCGAACTGTATGTTAAAAACACCTCCGATTTGGTGAATTTGATGTTATGTGTATTTCACCACAATTGTCTTGTTTTTTGAGACAGGTTCTTGATCTGTCAACCAGGCTGGAGTGGAGTAGCAACATCATAGCTCATTGTAGCCTTGAACTAGGCGATCCTCCCACCTTGGCCTCCTGAGTAGCGGGGACCACAGATGTGCACCACCATGCCTGGCTAATTAAAAACATTTTTTCTGTAGAAACGAGGTCTCACTGTGCTGCCTAGTCCTCCCATTTTTATTTATTTTTATTTTATTTTTGGATTTGTTAGCATGATTTAATCAATTATTCCACATTATAAACATATATTAAATTATCACATTATACTCCATAAATATGTAATACATACAACTATTGTTTGTCAATTAGAAAAAAAGAACGAAGAGGCTGCCAACAAGATGGTAAGTACACAGTAATAAGTGAATTCAACCAACATGAGTGAATTCAACCAACATCAGTAAATTCAACCAACATCAGTAAATTCAACCAACATCAGTAAATTCAACCAACACGAGTGAATTCAACCAACATGCATTTGGCATTGACATGGCCTTGGCCTTCATGGAGCTTCATGATCTCGTGGGGGAGGTGGCTTCTCATTTTTAAATTAAACTTTTCATTTGAAAGTACTTTTGGATTTACCGAAAAGCTGAAAAGACAGTAGAGAGGATTCTGGTAGCCCTCTCACCCAGCTTCCCTTGGTGTTGACACCTTTCAGACCATGGAACATTTTCGTCACAAGCAAGAAACCATCATTGGTCTCTGATGCTGAACTAACCCGGACACTTTGCGTGAACTTCACCAGTTTTTCCCAAGTGTCCTTTTCCCGTCCCTGGATCCCATCCAGGGCACCACATGACATTGAGTCATCGCGCCTCCTTGGCCTCCCTGGTCTGGGACAGTTTACGCTTTCCTCAGCCTTGAGGACCTGCACAGTTTTCAGGAGCGCCATTCAGGCACCGTACAGAATGTCCCTTAAACTGGGTGTCTCCTATGTGACACCTGCTTTTGTGTGTGTACACGTGATGTACAATTGTGTGTATAAGTGATGTCCAATTTAGCCATTTTAACCATTTAAGTGTACGGTTCAGTGGCATTTGGTCCATCCACACTGCTGTGCAACCATCGCCACTGTCGGCCTCCAGAGCTTTCTCATCTTCCCAAACTCAAACTCTGTCCCCATCGAACACCAACTCCCGGCTCCCCTTCCTTCTACCTGTGGTTACCAGGATTCCACCTTCTGTCTCTGGAGACACTGCCTCATGCCCATTAGGAGGGCCACTGATAAAACAACGGAAAATAGTAATCGTTGGCACATTGTGGAGAAATCACAACCTTCACGCATTGTTGGCGCGAATATAAAAGGGTGCAGCCAAGTTACTATGTGATCCATCAATTTTACTCCTAGCTATATATGCAGAAGAATTAAAAATAGGGACTTTTAAAAGGGACACCAGCGCACCCGTGTTCAGAGAAGCATTACTCTAAGTAGCCAAAAGGTGGAAGCAACCTAGTGCCCGCCGCCACCTCCTTCTGCAGCAGAAGGCATTCCCCCATAATAACCAGTCCAACATCTGCCTTCCACCCCACCCGGGCTAGAACAGGTTCCGTAACAGCAAAATGAGATGACGTGCAGCCAGGTAAGTGGACTGTTCTACTCCTGAGATCTCTGGCCTCAGTTCCCAGGACTCAGAAACTCTGAGAGAACAAATAGCTCACCGCTGGGTCTGCATTTTCCAGGGAAAAAATGGCTTCAGACAGAGAAGACGGTGATTCTGTTTGGCCAGGACTGGACTCAAATTCTAAGAAAAGTAACAGTCACAATGGAGCTCCTATTAATTGCACACTTCCTGTATACCAAGGTTTACCCCTAGCTCTCATGCTCACAGCTCTCCCAGGGGTGGGTATTATTATGGATCCATTTTAGAGATGAGGACACTGAGGTTCAGGGAGAAAAATCACTTGGCAGGAATCAGTCTCCCCCAACCAGGGCAGACCAGACACACTCCAATGGCAATAACCAGCCCGGAGGGGTTTCATCTATGCTGGAGATCTCCCCAGGCTTAGGTGGGGACGTTTCTCCTTCCTGATTTAGCTTTGGGGAGCACAGTATACCCTGGTGGGGACCCATGAAGATGGTGACTTCACAGACTTGGTCACATCACTGCCAGGCCGCCTAGGGAAATGGGGTCATCTCAGATCTCTCCGGGCCCCAAATGCCCAAATGGCAAGGCCCTCTTGGACAGGGAGCGGACAGTGTATGTGCTGAGCTGGGAATGAGGCCTTAGACCCTTTTGTTGTGCACACTGAGTCTGTGTGCATCCTGTAGGGTGTGTTACCTGGGCAGGTGTGCTTTCACTGTCCCCATTCCCTGCTGAGAGCATGAATTCTTCTGTCTGTTTTGCCCATGGGTCCGGATTCCTCTCTGGCTTTCTGCTGTGCCTGATGTCACTTGGGGACTCCCACAGTCTAGGGGGGGTTCTTGATTTCCCCAGAGCTATGGTGACCCACTCAGGGGAAAAGCAACTGGAGGTATCTATCTCAGCACCACACCATCACGTTTCCCCTCCCTGGATGAGGCCTGCTGCTTATTATAACAATGACAACATCGGAAATGCTGCTTGTGGATTTCTGCAAGAGAGGAGATGACAGGCTTTCTTTGCCCTCCTGCTCTTTGTTGGATTCTGCAGACCCGAGATGAGGCCTTGCGTGTGTGGGAAAGTTCCCTGTGGCTGGGAAGACTGATGGCACAGAGGAGGCACCAAGGTGACAGCTGGTGCCCCTCCCACTGTAGGGGTGTGTCGAGGCAGACTTACCAGGGACCAAGGAAAAACCCCCCCTTCTGGGGGGCATCCCTAGGAGCTTCCAGCCCAATGACACCTGCGGCCAGGGCTTCAATTTGCTGAAGATTAAAGTGAAAACAAATATATTTTAAAGTTGCCATCATCTCTTCAGGGCCTGTTAGTTCCTAGCAGACACGATGCTAAGCACTCTATGCTTTCGTTGGGTCCCACAGAGTCTTACCAGATATAACGATTATCTCCATTCTACAGACAAAGAACTGAGGCCCAGAGAAGAATAAAGTTGCCTGCCCAGGGTCACACAGCCAGAGAAGTGGCTGCAGGAAAAAAGGCACCTGCTGACAGCGGTGAATGAAGAAAATGAGAAAGTGAAAGGACAGCTCTGAGCCAGAAAGTAGAAATCTGGAGGTAAACATGAATTCGATTATACACCCATATTTGCCAGTCTGGGATTCTGCAAACTTCTCAAGCACCTGGTAGTGGCCTCCTGGAGGTGTGTTGTGAACGGTTCTGCAGCTGCCTCTGGGCTCAACAGGAAAGAGTGGTGATTGATTATTGATGTCTGCCAGGGCACACAGTTCTGAGAAGTAGCAGAACGGATGCTACAGGAATCTCCTGCCCAACTCTCTGAAGCAGGATATTTCTCTGAATCTTTCTGCTCCTTAGCTTCTCCTTGCATTAAATGAGCTCAGATAGAGAATAACAGGTTAAAGTGCCTTTTGAAGAGGAGAGCATTTTCTCTGAATGCTAATTGCACATCTGGCATTTGTTAATTCAGAGATAAAACTCAGTTCTCATGGAAAGGTAGACTCCCCTCAACATACATTTATCAGGCACTGATTGTATTATTGGGTATCCGCCCTCAATGAGTTTGGCAAGGAAGACAATTAACTTAATGATTATTTAATAATTATTGTTGTTCTAAATGCCTTAAATGGAAAGTACAGAGGGCCAAGTCCCGCCCACCACAGGGCAGCCTCGCCTTCCTGTTGAGTATTTGATTCTGATGTGGAAAATTACTTTTCTGTTCACAGCCCACTGGAAACGCTTGCATGGTGGCTCCAGTGCCTAGGAGGGTGTTAGACCACCAAAGAATGTGGACACGTAATATAAAAGGGCCAGGGGGGCCACGTGTCTGCACACAAAGCTGAAGGTGGTCCCTCCACCAGCAATTTGTCTATCTTTGCTAATTAGAAGCTCATGCCTCCTTCTTTGCTTTTTCCTGCCCCACAGAGGAATCTTGGCCATGCTGCCTATAGCTTTTGGCAAGGGGCGAGGGCACGGGAAAGAGAAAACACAAATGGCATCTGGCAGGGCCAAGAGAGGTGCGTGTGAAGCTGGCGGAGCACGCCCAGCCTTCCTCTCCAGGCTGTGTTTAGAGGTCTCTCTCTCTCCCCTTGGCCTGAGCACCCTCCCCACTGCCGGGTGAAAGGAGCCACAGGGCGTCACAGTTGCCTCCCCTGTTCGAAGCTGGCGCCGGGACAGGCAGTGGGCTCTGTTTGGAATATATGCTCTTCATCAGACGACTCTGAAACAATCACCCTTTCTGGCCCGAGAGGAGGAAGGCACCTCTGAGGCCAGCGCTTCCCCCAGTGCAAACAGCGACCCAGCCTGCCCAGTCCTGCTTTCAACTTTGTTGCTTTTGCAAATACGGTCCTGGGTCCTATTTCCCACATCCCTGCAGCCAGGTCCCGCCTGCCTCCTGGGGGCATGGCCTGCTCCAGTGCCCAGGCCAGGACGCAGGAAGCCAGCCCCTTCATCTTCCAGAAAAGCAGTGGGCGGGAATGGGGATGAGCAATCTGCGAAACGGAGCAGGCCACAGTCAGGGTGGAAGAAAACGAGGGAAGACTGAGAAACAGTGGGACTGAAACAAGCAGAGACTCAGGCCCTGGGTGCTGGGACCCACGTGGCTAAGCAACTGGTCTTCACAACATTTATCCCCACCTCACCTCCCTAACTCCTCCTCAATCCCCAGACAGCAGCTGACAAGTCACGTCTTTAGAGGAGACTTTCCTGTCCCCCAGGGAGGGGACTCCCAAACCCCCTGCACTGGAAGTCTCTGCTGAAGGTCAGTCTTCCCCTTGGAAAGGACTGGCAGCTCCATGAGGACAGGGCCCTCATTCCTCTTGTGCACTCTGTCCCCAGCCACAGCAATGAAGGAACAAAGCCAGAGAAAGAGAGAGGGAGGGAGGAAGGCAGGTAGCCTGGCTTCTCCCACTAAGGATGGCCCCTGGTGGTAGGCACAAGAGCAGCTCCAAAGATGTCTATGTCTTCGCCCTGATCCCCAGAACCTGGGAATGTGCCATCTGACATGGCAGAAGAGACGTTGCAGATGTGGTTCCATTAAGGACCTTGAGATGGGAGATTCTCCCAGATTGTCGAGTTGGTCCCAATGAAAGAGGAAGGCAAAGGGTCAGAGAGAGGCTGGGAGATGGTACACAGGTGGCTCTGAAGATGGAGGAAGGGGCCAAGAAGCCAAGGAATGCAGGTGGCCTCTAGAAGCTGAAAAAGGCATGGGAAGAGATTCTGTCCCCTAGAACCTCTGGAGAAAACATCCTAACATAGCCCACCTAACATAGCCCAGGGGGATCTGTTTTGGATTTCTGACCTCCAGGACTGTAAGATGATTGATCTGTGTGGTTTTCAGCCACTGGGTTTGAAGGAACATGTCACAGAGGCCACAGGAAAAGAACATCCCCACTACACACAGGATACCCTCGGGAACCACCAGCCAGCCCTTATCAGCCCAAGTGAGCCGACGTCAGAGACAGGCAGACAACTACCAATGAGCACAGAGTTCTGGCTTCCTTCCACTGCCACGTATGGGGAGGATTCCAACTCCCTGCCCCCTTGCAGCCAGGCCACCGCTACACAACTGGGCCTGGACAGTCAGATGTCAGAGGATGTCACACAAGTCCCTCCTAAAGCCAAAGGATGCAGCTGCCAGCGCTGGGCTCCCCAGTCCTCCCTGCCCCTGCCGCCGAGGCTGCAGAGTCACCAGGTGGAAGGACCCCACCAGCCAGGGCCCCCCTGCACACTGCCGGTGGGGAACAGCGTCCATGGTGACTGAGCAAGAACAAAGTTGTTTCAAGTCCCTGGACCGGGGAGTCTTTGTCACAGCAGCAGAGCCTCACCCATCTGAGGATGCATGGGGAACTGTCTATGGGAGCAGGAGCTGTCACCCACATGCATCCAGGGGAACTGTCCACAACAGGGGCCTCAGCCACCTCTGGAAGCAGAGGCCACCTTGGACACAGACCCCTATGATGTCCCCAGGGCCCTGTGACAATTTCCACCTTGGATGGGGGAAGTTTGCCTTAGTCACCAAATGACTGTGAGATGAAATCACTTCTTCCAGACAGTGTGGAGAGAAAACGGAAGACAGAGCAGGTTCCCACAGCTCCCACATACTGCACACGGCCCCAGTGTGTCTTTGAGGCACACACTGCAGCCACCTACAGCCACACACTGACATGGCTGGCCCGACGTGGTCCTCTGTGCTTCCTTCCTCAGGACCCCAAATGTTTTTTCATTTTTCTGCTTCTCAGCCAGGTCCCATGTGCCATGTCTGTGGCTGGGATTCCAGGAAGCCAATGGATATTTTCAGCTTTATTGTCCCATTTGTCACTTGCTAATTAGCTAGAAGTGACTAATCAGAAAACAGTTGGGAGGCAGAGGAAATCCCCCCATTTTCCTGGCTTTTGGTTGCCCATGGTTACTCAGAACCCTCTGGGTGTGTGTGATGGAACTGGGGTGTGTGATGAAACTGGGGTGTGTGTGATGGAACTGGGGTGCGTGTGATGGAACTGGGGTACGTGTGATAGAACTGGGACATATGTGATGGAACTGGGGTGTGTGTGATGGAACTGGGGTGCGTGTGATGGAACTGGGATATATGTGATGGAACTGGGGTGCGTGTGACGGGACTGGGGTGCGTGTGACGGGACTGGGGTGCGTGTGACGGGACTGGGGTGCGTGTGATGAACTGGGGTGCGTGTGACGGGACTGGGGTGCGTGTGACGGGACTGGGGTGCGTGTGACGGGACTGGGGTGTGTGTGACGGAACTGGGATATATGTGACGGAACTGGGGTGCATGTGACGGAACTGGGGTGTGTGTGATGGAACTGGGGTGTGTGTGATGGAACTGGGGTGTGTGTGATGGAACTGGGGAGGGCACAGAATGGGGTTAGGACTTTCTTCATCCTCTCCTGGGTGTAAGGAGAATCTATGTGCTGTAACCAGGCATCACTTCAGAATGACAGTGCTGTGGTCACCAGTGGGCAAAAGCCAAGGTCACCAAAGCCCCTGACTTCAGCCTTCTAGTAGTTTCTAATTGATCAGGTAGATTCCAGAAGCACAAACAGCTCCACTGGGTCCTCCTGGTCTATCCTAGCAATAGCAGCCATGTGACCCCAGGCCACACCTAGAGCACAGAGGGTGGAAGCCACATAGACATTCTTTGACGGGATAAGACCTGTCAACACCATCCTGCCCAGTGCTGCCAAGGTTTCCCAGCCAAGAGTGGGAGGGGGGCATGAGCAGAAAGAAGCAACTAAAGCCCTGCGACCCTCCTGCACCTCCATGGACAGGGCCAGACCTTCCCAAAGCTGGGAGGGCATGCCATCACTGACTGCCACCTAAGGCAGGCCCCAGCCACACACACACCTATGACCCATGACCTTCAATGCCACTCCACACCAGTGCTGTTCCTTATTCTCCCATTTCACGGATGAGAAGACTGAGGCTCAGAGAGCTTGCATGACCAGCCTCAGATCATGCAATGAGTAACTGGCAAAGCTGGGTATTAAATTCAGGTCTCTCTGTATCCACTGTGGAACAGTAAGGAAAGAAGGAGTGCTACCGAGGGCATGGGCAGGGTGCTCAGTGTGTACTGCCTTCGTCCTACAGCCATAGGGGTGGGGTGAAATCACATCACATAGGCACACGCACAATAATTCTGACACACATGTAGATGTGCACACATTTGCCCACGCACACGGGTGAGCGCATTTAAATATGCACATGGGCACTTGGACGGCACAGGCTTGTGTGCACATACACACACACACAAATGCACAAGCATGTACACACAGCACACTGCACACACACATTCAAATACACATGTACAAACATACACACTGGCATATGCACGCGCGCATGCACACACACATTTGCCTGGTTTCTCCACATGGGAAGAGAACGCGCAGTTGCCTTCAGAGGAACCAGCCAGCACCCTGTGCCCTGCTGGGGCACCCAGGCCCTGCTCTGGGCTCGGTCTGCCCAGCTTACCAGGTCTAGCAAAGGCCAGTCCTTGCTGCCTGTGTCCTTTAGGGGCGATTTCATCATGAATGGTACAATTTCCAAAGACAAATAAATAAAGAGGAGGTCTCAGCCCCGCCTCTCAGGACCACTGGCATTTCACTCAGGGCCGCTTCTTCAATATCCTCCGCCCCCCGCCCCCAACACACACAGAGCCCAGCCATGAAAATCCCCTACATGGGACAGTTTCCTGGGGCACGTACAGCACTCCAGGGCTAGCAAGGAAAAGTGGCAGCTATCTGCCCAAGGAGAATTTCCCAACGGCCCTCGGCTGCTGGCTCCTGACCTCATGGGTGACAAAGTCCAATGAAGAAACAGCAGATGTGAAACCAACGGCCCCCCATTTGCAAGCCCGGCATTTTCCAGGGTAAGGTTCTATCGAATGATTTACCAGCTCAACCAGGTTAATCATTGCCTAAGAAATACAAATGGCTCCATCAACCCTCAGGCTGGTCACCCAGGTGCTCCTGCAGGTTGACCGGCTCCCTCCTCATCCTGCAACCTGCACTTAGGGTCTGGTTTGTTGACTGAATAAGCCAGTGACAAATCATCAGAAAAGCCCCTTTCCCTGACTACCTACTACACATCTGGCTTTGGGCCACGCCCTTTCCACCTAAGCCTGCAGTAAAATAGATCCAGGAACTGAGTACAGGCCCATGCAGACAGACCTGGGTTCAAACCTCAGCACCAATGGTCCAGCTGTGGTGCCAAGTCAATCCTCGTGTGTGAAATGGGTTGCTATGAGAATGAAGGAGTCAATGTGTAAAGCAGTGGTTCCCAACGGGGGGCATTTGGCAATGTCCAGACACAGCTTCCTTTTTCCTTTTTGTTTTTTTCAGAGACAGAATCTTGCTCTGTCACCCAGGCTGGAGTGCAGCAGCATGATCGTAGCTCACTGCAGCCTTGAACTCATGGCCTCAAGCAATCCTCCTGCCTCAGCCTCCCACGTAGCTAAGACTACAGGCACACACCACCATGCCTGGCTTTTTTTTTTCTTTTTTTTTTTGTAGAGGCATGGTCTCCCTATGTTGCTGAGGCTGGTCTCCAACTCCTAGCTTCAAGTGATCCTCCCACCTCAGCCTCCCAAGGAACTGGAATTACAGGTGCATGCCACCACACGTGGCCTGGAGACATTTTTGGTTGTCACAACTGGGGTGGAAGGGTGCTGTGGGCATCTAGTGAGTGGAGGCCAGGGATGGTGCCAAATGTCCTACCATGCCCAGGACAGTGCCCGCAATAAAGACTGATCCAGCTGGCTGGTGCCTCACACTGTAATCCCAGCACTTTGGGAGGCAGGTGAGACAAGAGGACCGCTTCAGCTCAGGAGTTCGAGAACAGCCTGAACAACAAAACGAGACCCCATCTCTACAAAAACTTTAAAAATTAGCCAGGAGTGGTGGCCTGTGCCTGTAGTCCTAGCTACTTAGGAGGCTGAGGGAGGAGAATCGCTTGAGCCCAGGAAGTCGAGGCTGCAGTGCGCCATGATTGTACCACTGCACTCTAGCCTGAGGGACAGAGGGAGACCCTGTCTCAAAAAAAAAAAAAAAAAAAAAGTGATCCATCCTTAGATGTCAGTAGAGCTGAGGCTGAAAAATCATGATGTATATACTACAATGCTTGGGTCAAGGTAAGCCCTAGATAAATGCCAGCCGCTGTAATGATCTGGAAATTGTTCCAACAGCTTTACAGCATGACATGATTGCCGGCGTGCTGCAGAGGAGGCTGGGATCAGAGGCTGCGAGTTGCTCGGGTGACAGGAAGAGCAGAGCTGAAGAGGCCTGCCTGGCTCCCTGGGCATTCCTTTGTTGCCACAGCACCTGGCCCTGGGGCACAAGCTGGTCCCAGGCCAAGGGTCCCAGTGTCCAATTTCGGTGTCTGCCAAATTCCCCCTCACTGCCCCACAACTGTGAGCCAGCCTCTCCAATTCTTCTTCATCTTGCACTTCCCCAAAGGGAAGAGGGGCCATTTCCTGAAGTGTTTTCTTGGGTACACTGAACTAACGGACACTCAATCTGGACCCTGCAGGCTTCTGAGGAGATCCCTTCCTTCCTCCTCCTCCTCCTCCTCCTCCCCCGCTTCCCACCCTCCACCTGCAAACCCTCGCTTTTGCCTGAAACGGTAAGTTTGTCTCCAAGGCCCAGCTACCCCTCTGAGCAAGGTGTCCAGCCCTGACCCCGCAAACCAGGCCCTCCTCTGAACTGGTTGTCACTGGCTTTGGGACCCTCTGCTCAGCGTGCCCACAGCAAGAGATGGCCTGCAAAGACCCTCTATCTGACTGGAAGGGCCAGCAGGGAGCCTGGAGCGGGGGTCTTTCTGCAGAGATGGCAGAGCATCTGCAGGAGCTGGTCTGTGTCCCCCTCCAGAGTCACCCTCGCTGCACACACCCCATGCCCTCGGCCACATAAACATGACATGGTCTACGACCCAGCCGCGCTGAACCCCTTCCGTCTCTCTTTCTGGAGGCCAGGCCTTGACATATGTGCTTCCCTCTACCAGATATGCTATCCCTCTCCTCCTCTGCCCCAGATCCTCCTCACTTGACTTAAACACCATTGAAACCTCCCTGCCTCCGGGAGCCCAGGCATGGCTCGGCCATCCCACATCTGTGTGCCCACATCCCAGCCCAGACTGCCCTGTACTGTCACAGAATATGTGCCGGTCTTTAATACCGCAAGGCTGTGCACTCCCGGGGGAGTGGCCTTTGCAGCCCAGCACCATCCAGGGAGCTCTCGCGATGCAGGGAATGTTCTACATCGGCACTCTCCAGTACAAGAGCTGTTCGCCACGCGTGGCTACGGAGCACTGAAGTGTGGCTACGTGCCTCACAAGCTGAATTTTTACTTTGGTCTAATTTTAATTCAATGTAAATAGCCATACATGGCAGCGGCTACTCTTCCAGCCAGCACAGGTCTAGAGGGATGTCTAGCTCCCATCCAGTGCTCCACACCCCCTGAACAAGAGAATGAATGAATGATGAGTGAACAGCACTTGGTTCTCACCCTCCTTTCTCACCCCGCACGATAATCATCTGACTTCAATTTTCTCCACGAGGCCGCAGCTACCTGCAGGCAGGAGACACACAACTGTGTTCGCTCATTGCTGTAACCTGTGCTTTCTTCGGTTCCTGGGACACAGACCCTCAGTAACTATTAGTTAGATGAATTAATGGGTGAATGAATGAACCGCCTGCAACTGAGAGCCTCTTCTCCTTCCCCACCAAGCCTCAGGAAAACTGTCATGAAAAGGAAAACTCCCTCTGGGTGGATTTCTGAGTGCACCTCCAGCCCAGTTCATCCTCTTGCTAAAGGGACCGCCGCCCTACATGCTGGCTCTGTCCTGCCTGGCATTGAGAGGGAGCTTCTGCCGCCGGCGAACAAGGCATCCTTCTCCATGCCTTCTTCCTGCTCTCCCAGGACACCATGGGAGAAGTAGGGCAAGTCTGTCTTCTCTTGACTCAGAGAGAAGGATCGGGATTCCTCATTTCCCTGGGCTGCCATTCCCTGCCTCCTGGCCCCAGCAGCAGGATGCCCCCACGAGGTTTCAGGAGACACGATAACTCGTAAGAACCAGGGTGAATTTGAGAGTCTATTATAAATCAAATGCCTTTCATCCTCGACTGCTGGCTGTGATGTTCTCCAACACTGCTATTCACAGCGAGCGCCATTTGCGTTTTCCCCACCCACCGCCCCGTCCCACTTCCTTCTGATGTAGGTCACGGTGGATTCTCCCTGAGTTCACTAGATCTACCTGCAGTGAGGGGGTGACACCGCTTGAAGCAAATTTAGCAATTCTCTTACAGGCATGTGGGAATCCCGTGCTCGCTCATTCAGCCGAGACCCAGACTTGTACTGTGTGTGGAAAATCCTGTGCAAAGACCCTGGGGCCCACGGGAGGGCCGGCAGGAAGGCTTCTATGCCCAGGTAAGCTGGGCGTTTGGAGCTTGAAAACCACCATCATTTGGAAACAATGCTGAGGAGGGTTCGGATTCTAGAACAGAAGCAGATCAGTCAAGTAGTAACTTGCCCTAGTTTTACCGTGAGCATCGCAGGTCCGCCCCGTGCTGTGTGGTCTGGACCAAGTCACTTCTCTCCAGCCTCATGCTTCCATCTGTAGATGGAGGAGGATGCTGGAGCTCGCCACATAAGCTGTGTGGATTAAATGCCATTCATAGAGCACTGAGCACAGGGACTCTTCACACAGGAGACGCTCAGTAAACGTTATTACTGATGTTGTCACTGTTGTGTGCACGGTCCCTTTTAGCTACACAATATAAGCATCATCTTAGTACAGAACCTAAGCTTCTGCTCCTTCACTGCGAGAAGCATCAAGCACCCACCCTCTTCCAGGCACCATGCTAGGCGCTGGTGATACAAGGACGGGTTCGTCTGCAGGACTTCTCTAGAAGCGCAGCAAATCCTGAGATAACGAATGCATTAAATCAAACACCACAGTACCTGTGGTCAGCCTGTCTCAAAGGATGGAAGAAGCTAAGGCACCCTGCAGGGAGGAGGGCAGGCCTGGGAGAGTTTCGCACCAGTATGAGCTGAGCAGGGAAAGCGGAAAGGGGAACCCTGGCTGTGGGCCTGGCATCTTCTAGGAGTCTAGGAGTTTACAAGATCATGGGCTCTTTTGGGCAACAGCAAAAGGTCGTTTGTGGCTGGAGCACAGGGTGTCTGGTAAGGAACTGGCAGGAGATGAAAATGAAAAGATTGAGTCTGGCCCCAATTTGGCAGCCTTCTCTGCCAAAAAAATGAGGGGTTGAACTTTGTCCTGTGGACAACAGAAGGGTTTTAAGTACCACTCATAAAGTTACTCAACCCCAGAAACCGGAAGCAGAGCCCTCCATGCACGCACACACATGGCATACACACATCTCACACATACACCCTCTCCACACACACGTGCACACACGCAACACTCCACACATACACAAATACACGCACACACACACATGCACATATACACACAACATTCCACAAACATATACACACATACAAATACCCATACACCACACATATTCAAACATACACACACACACACAGGCACACACACATGCACACATGCACCCCTGTGGTGGTCCTGGCACCCTGCACTGGACCCAGAGCAGAAATAGAAGTCCTTAGGCTCCAAGATATAGCAATAAGGAGGTGGCCTGAGAGCCACACAGAGGCCGGGAAGGTCAGCGGCAGGCTGTTTGGAGAAGGAAATATTTAAAAACAAGAGGTTTCCTGTGTGCGCGCACACACACACACACACTTACCCCCTGAGGATGAGACAGAGTCCTATCAGTAATTCTTTCAAAATAATGCCCTCACGTGTTCACGCCACACACATAGCACCAAAGAGACTTTGCAATTAAAAAATTGAGTATTTTTCACTTGCATGACCCTCCAGCCTCGGTCTCATTTGAGAGCTGAAGCCACCCCTCTGCCCAGCACCCACATTGAAAAGGGATGCGTGCACATGACTTGAGTCTGTCTCCGTGAGTTCACACTCACTGTGCACTAGGTGCATGTGGAACCCCACAAATGATGGATAATTGGGGCGGGGGGACCCCTGCGTGTCCAGCGTTTGCCCTTCCTTCTCTCTCTCCTTTCCCCTCTTCTGGGCTGATGAACTGTTTTCTAATGGGAATGGGTACCCCAAGGAGGCTCACAATGGAGATTTCTCATGCCAGGTGGATGCAATAAAAATGTGCTAAAGCTCCTTAAAATAGCTGTGTTCTCCCAAGTAAGATAAACCTTTTCCCGATAATACGATTCAGACCTGCAATTAGCTCAGTAAACCCTCTTCTTTAGACAGAAAGTAGAAGGTGAAATGGAAGGCATTTCAGGGGTCATAGCTGGACTAGTGGAAGTTGATTTTTTAAACAATGACTCAAACTTAGTTATCTCCTTGGAAGGAAAGACTGCCTGAGCCAAATAAAAATTTCTCTTTGTTTCAGAAAATTAAATCCCCATCCTTTGTTAGGCCTGATATAGAAGCCAGGCACTGTTCTAAGATAGTAGCTTGTTTTATCCTCACCTTAGCTCTAGGTGGGGAAACTGAGGAACGGGGGGAAGTGACTAGCCCATGGTCATAGATAAAAGCCAGGAATTGAACACAGGCTGTCTGGCTCCAAGGGTCAGATCTTACCCCCACGACCCTGACCCCCCTTCCTTTCAGCGCCCTCAGTCCTGCTGCTCTGCTGGAAAAGGGAGGTCACAGGCTGGCCCAGGACGCAGCAGGGAGCCCTGGGCGGCCCTGAACTTCAATGTGGGGACACTAGCCAACGCAACGCCTTGGCAATAAGCAGCCAGCTACAGGGGTGGGTATGATTGTTTCTGAATGTTCTCACGGGACCAACAAAGAGCGCTCTCCGGCTGCCGTGTAGCACTGGACATGATTAGGGAAGGGAGGAGAGGGTGTCTTCCAGCCAGGAAGCTGGCCCACAGGTGTCACTTTGCCATCTCAGAACCACACAGTCTTCAGATTCCCAAAGTCAGACCCAGCCCACCTCTCAGATGCGCTCACCTGGAGCGAAGCAACTTCAAGGCCACACAGCAAGCCATCAGCAGAAAAGCAGTGACACACAGTGCCACCAGCCAGGCCTGGGCCCTTGCCACCTCATGGGCTCCAGCGGGCAGGGCTCAGACCAGCACCCCGTGGAACGGACTGGCTCCCAAGCGGCCTCTCGCTAGGCCTGGGGCAGAATTCACAATCCCCCAGAGAGTGAAGCCACAAGTCAAGCTACATACTGCTGCAATGTAAACCGTTCCTTCTCTCTGTTCTTCCGTGCTAGGGACGGTGCTATGGATTGTATGTTTGTGCCTCCCGGAAATTCCTCTGTTGAACCCCCGACCCTGCAATGTGATGGTATGTGGAGGTGGGGCCTTTGGGAGGTGATTAGGGTTTGAGGAGGTCATGAAGTTGGGGCCCCCATGACAGGATAAATGTCCTCATAAGAAGAGAGGCCAGAGTGCTCTCTTTCTCTACCATGTGAGGACACAGTGAGAAGGTGGCTGTCTGCAAGCCAGGAAGAGGGCCCTCACCCAAACCCAGCCAGGCCAGCACCTTGACCTGGAACTCTGAAACAATAAATGCCTGTGGTTTAAGCCACCCAGTCTATGGTGTTTTGTTATGGCAGCCCAATCTAACACAGATGGAGAATACGACCCTCAGATGAAGGTCCAGAAAAACACACTCCTGCAGACCCTATTCCCAGATGCAGGCCAGTTTCACCTGCCTCTCAAGATCACGCACGCCATGCTACCAATCTCCCAACCTACGCCATGCTACAAATCTCCCACCCTCGGTGCCTCACAGAGCATACAACTGGGACTCAAGAAATGCCTGCGTGACAAACAGATCTAAGCACTGGTGGGGTGTCCGAGCATTTAATAGTTGGCCCCCATTTTAATTCTCATTCACAGGTAAAAGACTTGGCTCCCATTTTCACAGAGCTCCCCGCCTAGGAGTCTTCAACTTCAAAATCAACCAACTCCTGCTGCTTTTAAAATTTGGAATGCCACACCCAGCAAGTCTGCCTCTCAGCATCTACTGAGAGTCCCAGGTAAGACAGCTTGTTCCTGGGCTGTGTTTAAGAGTGAAAAGCGAGAAAGGGCCTTCACATCCATCGACCCAGGGTGGGGCACGACCATTTTATGGAATGTGATGTGGCAGCTGAACAGAATAAGGTCAGTCTTTGGTTATTAGAACCAGTGACTGAGTGGTGAACCCAAAGGAGTCCATTAAAGGAGAAAATTAAAACATGAAATAGACATTTCGTTTTTGCTAAAAGTATGTAAAGGTGTATATGTTCTCCATCTTTTGTAGTAGAGATGAGGCTTTCCCTTTGCAGACGGCCTCTGGGTCGTTTTCACATAAACGCATGCCTGATGCCTGATTGACAAGCTGCAGCTTCTGTTTCTCTGAAGACCCCCTCAAGGCTGTCTGATCATTACAGCTTTTTCCTGTTCTTTTACAGTTCTCTCACCCACAACATCGGTTGTTTTGTAGGGACACTCCACTCCACTGAGACTTTCTTAAGCATTCCATTCAGCTTTCATAAAGACAGCCGTTCTCTCTTCACGCTCATATTTCATAAGTTTATGTAATCTTCAAATAAACTGTGTAAATCCAGTAACACCTCTCACCAGCGTAACCAGGTTTGGTAAACAAACAGCTCAACTCATGGAAGAAGCGTGTGAGGGTCCCAAGAGCATCCTACCAGCCTGGGGCACCGATCAGGGGCTGGAGTGGTTAGACTGGCTGGGCCTATGAAATCACAGCCCTCTGCCACTGAAAGTTACAGGTTACACGGCTCCACCGTGCACATCTCCAAAACACATCTCCAAAAAGACTCACTGAGTGAAGAAGTAAACTGCAGAAAGATCTATATGACAGGATTCCTTTTATGTTTAAATAAAGAAACTCACATAAAATTATACCATATACTTTCTATAGAACCATCTGTTTGAATGTAAATATAAAGGAAAAAACCCTAGAAGGATGGGATATGGGGTAGGAACAGGGTCGGGGGTGGAGGAAGGGGAACTTCAGACTTTTCTGTTAAGGCACTGCTTTTCACAAGAATAATATACTTATATATATAGTACATAATTGAATTGTGTTTATTTAGTCATCAAGACTTAACAGAGGGGTTCAGCACCCAAAACAAATAAGCCCACGGACTGATAAGTATGCAACTTAAAAAAAAAAAAAAGGCCGGGTGCAGTGGCTCACACCTGTAATCCCAGCACTTTGGGAAGCAGACGTGGGTGGATCATGAGGTCAGGAGATCAAGACCATCCTGGCTAACACGGTGAAACCCTGTCTCTACTAAAAATACAAAAAATTAGCCAGGCGTGGTGGCACAAGCCTGAAGTCCCAGCTACTCGGGAGGCTGAGGCAGGAGCATCGCTTGAACCTGGGAGGCGGAGGCTGCAGTAAGCCGAGATCGCGCCACTGCACTCCAGCTTGGGCAACAGACCGAGACTCTGTCTCATAACAAAAACAAACACACACACACACACACACACACACACACACACACACACACTCAAAACAAGACACATTTAACTGGCTTCAAAGAAGAGGCCAGGCCAGGTGCAGTGGCTCACGCCTGTAATCCCAACACTTTGGGAGGCCGAGGCAGGAGAGGATCACTTGAGCCCAGGAGTTCAAGCCCTGCCTGGGCAATGGCAAAAACCCATCTCTACAAAAAATACAAAAATTAGCTGGGCGAGGTGGTTTGTGCCTGTAGTCTCAGCTACTCGGGAGGCTGAGGCAGGAGAATCACTTGAGCCTGGGAGGTCAAGGCTGCAGTGAGCCGTGATTGTGCCCGTGTACTCCAGCCTGGGCAACAAAGTGAGACTCAGCCAGGGTGAGCAAGCCCATCTCACGGATCAGAGGCGGCACAGGATGGAGCTCTCCAACAGGCAAGACTAAGGAAAGCCGGGGACTCATCAAATCAGTGTGCTCTGACGAGACACAAAAAGGCCAGCGATGCTGGTCACTAAGCTGCCCTGGTGAGCAAGTACTTTCGGCCCTTGCTTCGTCTTTCCGTTTGGATGGATGTGCTCCACGTCTGACAAATTCACAATGAAGTGACACTAAAAACGACCTTTCAAGGTGGCTGAGATTACTGTGCAAATTAGAGAACTACTTTCGGCTTCGTTCACTGCCATCGTTTGTTTCTGTCACTCATTCACCAATAACATGGTGGTCCCTGCTACATCCAGGCCCAGTGCTCAGGGCTGGGGGCAGAGTTGTACACACGGAGCACGTAGAGAGACATAAAGCAACCAATGGACAGTTGGTTATTATTTCATGTAAATTGTGCTATGAATCACATGCTATGAACTGTGCATTCATAAAGAGAATGACTGTCCTGTGGTGGGGGAATGGTCATGGAAGGTCCAGTGGAGGTGGCACTGAAGATGAGGCGGAGGGAATTAGGAATGAGTGAGTGAAGGCAGGAGGGAAGCTTAGTCTTGCTCTTAGCAGGAACTGCGGGCCTCAGGTGGTAGGGAGGAGGCTCCAGCTGAGAAAAGGAAACAGGACGCAGGGTAGGAGCAGTTAAGGAGCTCCGAGGTGCAGTAAGAGTGGGAGAGGCAGGGCCAGACAGAAACATACCTAGCCCTGTAGTCCTGATCAGAACAAGGAGTGTTTCCTAAAAGCAACAGCGAAGCATGAAGGATTCTTGAGCAGAGATGTGGAGTGCCCTTCTCTCACTCCCAGCAGAAAACAATGATTGAGCAGATCTGTGCTTCAAACGGCCCTTGTGTGCATCCATCCCCGCAGGGCCTGCAGACATTGGTTTCAAGACCCCCTGAACAGCCAGACATTGTGCAGCTGCCCTGGCCCATCATCCTCCACCCCCAAGGACGCCTGGTTAGAACCTTCTCACCATTCCGCTCAAACCTTCAGACTGCCGGGCTGATGGAAACATTCCCAAAATGTTTTTCTGTGCAATTGAGATGCCGGCCTGGAAAATCCCTGCTGCAAGCATTTCTTTCTCACAGGAGGCTACACCCAACTGTTTCGCTGCAAGATTCTGCGTCACAAAAGGGATATCCCCAGCTAATATGACATTCAAGCGAATGGAGAATCTGAGCTGCCTGAATTCAGGGTAATCGGCCCATCGGTGTGTGCTCTTCCTCGGCACTATCTAATCGAATTTTCTGTGTGCATGAATATAAATACTGTTGTCTGACCCACAGTGAACTTGTAAATAGCCTGATTATATCAACCTTAGTAGATCAGGTTTCCACAAACAGATGGACACCGTTCATTTTATTTTAATTTAAAATGAACACAATTTCCACTGGATACAGATAAAATTAATGACCTTAGAATCAACTTGCCTGTGAAAAAAAAACCTGATAATCATATTATTGCCCGAGAAGATCATAACAAAGTCTTGGTTTGGAATATCACGTGCTATTTTGAACTTAATGCCTTTTTCTATTTCCTTGGAATGAGAATATCCTGACACATTCTTCAGGGTGGACTCAACATCAGTGTGACTTGGCTTAAATGGCAGAGGATAGATCACCACCCCAAAATTACTGAAACCAAGAGATCCACAGGATCAAGACCAGACCAAGAAAATCTTATAAAATGGTAATCAAATCAACTTCCTATCAAAACCAGGCTCTTCTTAAATTGCAGATATCAACTTACTCAGCTCGCGAAGTAAGAACATGGAGACACAGGCTGGCCCCAAACAAATCCCCTGAGAAAATAAAAAGCTAACCCACAGCACATTCACTAATGATGATGAAGCTGTTTTGGACCACATTTCAACTTTGTTCCAACAACCCCTTAGAGTGAAATTCGGCAGCCTTCTCTCAGTGTTTATGCAACTGGGCCACTGCAGGCAGGAGCCACCGCCGGGGGCCGCCTATGTCTTAAGTGTCTCTACTTTATGAGTTTCCATGGGCAGGCAGCCCATGCTTATGGGTGTCGCTCTGAGAATGAGACGGACTCAGGCCTTAGCCCCTCTTGACTCCCTACCACTTCCCTAATCTGGAGCAAGTCATTTTACTTGCCTGAGCCTCAGTTCCCCCATCTAAGAATGGGTACAATGATAGCAGCTACCTCACAGGGTTACAGGGGGATGCAACGAGACTGTGGTGTGTGTGTAATGGACCAGGCACAATGTCTTCTGCAGGGCAAGCCCCTGGTGAGTGGAAACGATGATTGTTATTGTTCTGTCCGGAATGCCGGGTCTCTTCCCACCCGCCTCGGCCTGACGGCCAAGACTCTGCACCCAGGGCTCTCTCCACCCTCTGTGAGTTCCCCGACACCTTCAGCTGACCCTTGCCCTGCACCCCACGCATGCAGCCCCCACCACCCCAATCTCTTGCTGCCACTTCATACCACAGGGTGTTTCCCTGCTCAAAGCGGGAGGCTCCTGAAATCCTCATGGCTAATCCTCCACTGAACTTTCACCAAACTCCCATTTGGGGCATTTCTTTTCTTTTCTTTTCTTTCAACAGAGATGGGCGTCTCACTATATGGACCAGGCTGGTCTCGAACTCCTGGCCTTAAGCGATCCTCCCATCTCAGCTTCTCAAAGTGCTGGGGTTACAGGAGTGAGCCACCGTGCCCAGCCTCTATTTGGGTCTTTTTTTTTTTTTTTTTTTTTTTTTGTCTTTTTTTTGGAGACGGAGTCTCTCTCTGTCACCCAAGCTGGAGTACGGTGGTGCAATCTTGGCTCAGAGCGACCTCTGCCTCCCAGGTTCAAGCAATTCTCCTGTCTCAGCCTCCCAAGTGGCTGCAACTACAGGTGCGTGCCACCATGCCTGGCTAATTTTTGTATTTTTAGTAGAGACAGGGTTTTACCATGTTGGCCAGCCTGGTCTTGAACTCCTGGCCTCAAGTGATCCGCCCACCTCGGCCTCCCAAAGTGCCGGCATTACAGGTGTGAGCCACCGCCCCCAGCCTATATGGGGCGTTTCTATCCAACTTTATTTCTCAGGATGCCCCGACACTCCAGGCCAAGGCAGGCTCACACGTGAACATTGTGACGGCCAGGACGGTGAGCAGGGGGGACCCTGCTCTGAGTCTGTAGCCCAGTTCTGCCATGACTGGTCCTGAAGTTTCCAGCAACTTACTCTTAAAGTCACACTAATATGTCATGGGAAAAATGCCAGACAAAATCATACATGCCAAACAACTGCACAGATGTGGAGTTCACAAGCGGGCAAAACCATTAGACACTGATACAAGCCAGGAGAGCAGTTACCCCTGGGGAGAGCAACGGCTGGCGGGAGGTGCAGGGCAGGGGGTGGGGTACTGCTCAGTATGTTGTCTCTTGATTTGGGCGCTGGTTACACGTGCGTGCTGAGTTGGCAAAAATTCACTGAGCTGTACGTGTGCATGCTTCCGGATGTATGTGACGCACGTATGTTTCTATAACAACATTTTACTGGAAAAAAAAAAGACAAGCAGTGCCTCAGTTTCCTCATCTGAAAAATGAGAGGTATTAACACCTACCACAAAGGCTGGTGCTGTTGTCCCTCGGCCTCCTGCTCTAAATAAGTTCTACCCACTTCATCAAAGGTCATGAACCAGGTGTCCACCTGAGGTAGCCAACCCTAATTCTGCATTTATAGAAAGAAGGTTCCGGAGACGGGTTGTGCTACAATGTGAATATACTTAACACTATTGATCTGCACACTTAAAAATGGTTAGGACAGGGCATTATGTTCTGTGTATCTTATCACCATTTTTTTAAAAAGATGAACTATAAGAGAATATTCTTATCCTGACGATCAATTTATAATGCCCCCGAGTTAATGACAGGTGAGAGAGGTACCGAATAGCAAGCACACAGGCCACACTGGGTCCATCCAGGGCACACCCTCCCTGCATGGCGCAAGGTAAGATGAAGACTTCCAATTGCCACAGCAAGGCAAGGAGCACTCCCAAGTACCTTTGGTCATCCTCACAACAAGTTCCAGGTCACCCTCAGCAAGCTGGAAGCCTTCACACCAAACAAGCCTCTCCTCGTGAAATTTTAATAATTAACACTTACCTGATTTCAAAGGTTTTACAGGGAAATTAATCTTCATACTGGCTGGTTATGGCTGCTCTGCAAAGCCAGGGGTCGGGGGATGCTTCGGGTCCCTGCTTATGAGTTTACACTGCAAACAGGGATCACATCAGCCCACAGCACACAGCAGACAAGAGGTCCCTTGTCACCGAGGTTCCCTGGGCCCTCAGGTGACACGACTCTCTCTGGGAGGAGATCCAAGATGCTCTCGCCTTGAAGTCAGCGTGGACAATTTTCTCAAAAACCTGGAACATGTAAACTGACCTGGAGTCCTAGGAGCTTGTGGGAATGCTCAAGTGCAAAACTTTCTATCACTGTAACAGCTTGTCAGCCAGTTCAGAGTCTGGGGTGACCTCGGTAATTTATGGTGGGAGGGGAAGGTGGGTAACAGGGTCCAACATCTGTAAACGAGTGTCTGAACACTCAAGGGCAACTGATCACCAAACTGACTGATGCTTCAAATGAGGACGTACCTTACAAAAAGTCAACATCAATGGAAATAATAATAATTGTATTATTACTAATAGATTAAGGGCTTTTTCTATGCCAGGCACAGTACTACAAAATTCACGTGTCTGATCTCATTCTTGCTAGTAGCTTCATGCAGCTTTTTCTGACTAGCTCCACTTAGAGAAAGAACGTACAACAGCTGTTTAAAAAAAAAAAAAAAAAAAGCATTCCAGTGCTATACCATGAGCAGAAGTGACAGGAAAGAAGCACAGGGAAGCATCATGAGACACAGCCCACGAGAAGGTTAAATACACTGGAATTTTATGCATGTGAGATTCTCAGACAGCATTTGGCTGTGTGACCTTGGGCAGGTTGCTTGACCTCTCTGGTGCCTCAGTTCCTTCATCTTTAAAAGGAGAGGGCTCAATTTTAAAAAAATTATGGGCCACGTGGTGGCTCACACCTGTAATGCCAGCACTTTGGGAGGTTGAGGCAGGCAGATCACTAGGTCAGGAGATCGAGACCATCCTGGCTAACACAGTGAAACCCCGTCTCTACTAAAAGTACAAAAAATTAGCTGGGCATGGTGGCAGGTGCCTGGAGTCCCAGCTACTCAGGAGGCTGAGGCAGGAGAATGGCATGAACCCGGGAGGCAGAGCTTAGAGTGAGCCGAGATCACGCCTCTGCACTCCAGCCTGGGAGACAGAGCAAGACTCCGTCTCAAAAAACAAACAAACAAAACACTATGAAGCTGGAATAAAACAGCACAGTGGCAGAGCAAGGACAGTATATCAGTGGTAACTAACAGAAAGCCTAAAAGGAAACTTAGCACATATTTGAAAAATTTAGTATCTGATAATAGCAATATTTTAAAGCAATGGGAAAAGGGCACACTATTGAGTGAATGATAACAGACAATCCATTAACTATTTGGAGGGAAGGAATAGCATTATTCCCTGCCTCACACCTTATACCAAAAATTTATCCTGGGTGTAGGTGCTTAGTTCTAGGTTAATTTTACAGTTCTATAGTTTTGTTTTTTTTTTTATGGGGAATGTTTGCTCAATCTTAAAATTTGGAAGAACTCTCTAAGCCACGAAGACACTAATTAAGAAGTCACTAATTAAGACACTCAACTCTGACCACAGAAAAATATATAACTTCTATATATCAATAAATACCTCAAACAAAATCAAGAGACTAGAAAAACAAAAAAAGTTGGAGAGTAATAACTGCTACATAAATGATTTGAAAAAGGATGAACAGTTTTCTATATTTCAAAAGAAACCCTTACAATCTTTTTTTAAAGACACATGCCATAATTGAAAATAAAACACACAAAGAATATAAACAACTTGCGGAGCAAATGCAAACAGTCAACAAACCCATAAAATGAGGGCAGTGAATGAGGTTTAATGGAACAAATCCTGACTGAGGGCCACTGGGCAACATTCACAATTTTAAAGAGCTCAGAGTCCACTGCTATTGGGTATGTGTGGCCTTGCTGTGTGGTCAAAAGGGTGCATTCCTGAAAGTCCTGGCTTTGAAACGCAGCCTGGCCACAGGCTGCCCGGGTGCAGGAACCAGTGTGGCCCAGCTCCAGCGTGGAGATGCTCTGACCCACAGGCAGCCGTGGTAGCCGTGAGCAGTAGCTCTCACGGGGCCCTCTCCTGCCCTGCCTGGAACCAGATGGTGGAGAGAAGAAAATGCTCATCTCTGCGCCCTTCCTTCCCATCTGCGGTCACCTCAGCTGCCCAGAAGATGCTCAAGGTGATGGAGATGGAAGGAAAGGGCAGGAGAGGTTCACTGCCTCCTTCTGACTAGTGTTCCCTGCGGCCCTGCATGGACTCCACCCCGGTCATGCTCTCAGATCTGCTAGTGCAGCCCTCTGATTGTAAAAATAAAGCACATAGGCCAGGCGCGGTGGCTCATGCCTGTAATCCCAGCACTTAGGGAGGCAGAGGCAGGTGGACTGCCTGAGCTCAGGAGTTTGTGACCAGCCTGGGCAACACGGTGAAACCCTGTCTCTACTAAAATACAAAAAATTAGCTGGGCATGGCGGCACGTGCATATAGTCCCAGCTACTCTGGAGGCTGAGACAGGAGAACTGCTTGAACCCGGGAGACGGAGGCTGCAGTGAGCCAAGATCACACCACTGAATGCCAGCCTGGGTGACAAAAAGAGACTCCGTCTCAAAAAAATAAAAATAAAAATAAAAACAATAAAGCACATAATGACAATAATATAAAAAATCATGCACATAACCTTAGCTACCATGTACTGAGTGGCTACCATGTACTTAACAGGCAAACTTTATTCCAATGGACAAAGTGAGTGCTGCAAAGTTTGACTGACTGATGATTCATTCATTCGTTCACTCACTCAAAACTATGTACTGAGCATCTAGCAGGTGCCAGGCCCTGTTCTAAATGCTGGGGATACAGTCATGGGGAAAAAACAGGCAAACCCCTGCCTTTCTAGTGGGATGGAATAATAAACAAAATAAGTAAGAAACGCGTGGTCTGTCAGATGATAACATATGCTCAGGAGAAAAAAACGTAAGTCAGGGAACGAGAAATAAAAAATTGTGGGAGTGGGTGCCAACTTTTTGGATGGATGGAATGATCAAGGACAGCCCAAGGAGGTGACTTCTGACAGGAGACAGGAGGGAAGCGAGGGAGCGTGTGGTGTGGGTGTTTAGACAACAGGCATCCCAGGCAGAGGAAGCAGTCAGGGCAAAGGCCTCGAGGCACAGCAGGCTTGGCGTGTCCAAGGAGGCAGCCCAGATCACACCATCAGTAAGGGAGGGAGGCTTTCACTTGCCATGCTGTCTGGGCAGAGAGGCGCAGGAGGCAACACGGTGTGTCCAAGGTCACACAGTTAATCATTGAGAGATCAGCCAAGCATGGCACACTGGAGTCAGGGCACAGAGCTGCATCCCAGGGAGTCACACCCCTCCACATCCCAACACTCTGATGTCACACCTCCACCTTCCTTGGAGGCTCCTGGAGGAAAGGCCCAGGTGACAGCTCTTCCCTGGCACCAGGTGGGTCTCCTGGCTTCGCCTCCCGCTGCCTCGGGACCTGGGAAAGGTTCTCCCGACTCAGCTGCTGGGCAAGCCGAGGCCTCCTGTGGTGGCGAGACTGAGCGAGGGCAACAGCGCTAGTCCCTGGGGAGGCTCAGGGCGACCCCCGGGATTCTAAAGGTACTTAGAGACTGCGAATAAGTTCAGGGATTTATCTGTTGGGCTCAATGTATTGGCCTGGCAGGAAAGGTCATTCAGGAAATTTTTCAAAATTAGTGATAGTCAATCTTCTAAAAGACAATTATATCTGTGCGTATACCTCCTGCATCAGCGTGTGGAACATACACGCACACGCAGGTGCACACACACTTCTACCTAACACACGTCCGAATGTGAACACCACTTGTTCAACTTCGACATCTAATGATGAGGTGATCCGTGGCCAGCGTGAAGATACGCAGAAAGCATGGACTCCTGAGCCCTGGGACTGCAGTCTGAAAGCAGCGGAAACACTTCGGACCTGGGCACCTTGCGCACCTCGCTTCTTTAGCTGTCCTTGGCCTCGATTTCCTTATCTGTAGAGTGGAGCTCACCAGATTGCTAGGAGAACTACAGAATAAAGCGCCCGACTTAGTGCCTGACATCCAGAAGAAGCGCCATGAAATGGAAGCTATCAAATCGCAGGACAGTTTTAGAAGTATGTGCAGTGCAATCATTTCATTTAGAAGACAAACCAAACCCATGTAAGCAAATTTATGAGCCATTTCTAAATACAAATAGCAATGGAGGTGAGATAATCAACAACTAGCCCCAACTAGTAATTTGCAACAGAAATGAATGTTTCTTAGTCAATCATCTTCTGTTTCCCCCTTCCTGGTGGTGACATGGTTTGAATCAGCCAGTCTGGGAAAAGCCATGACACACGGGTTGACCTCTTGAAAGCAGTTAACTTGGAAGGAAAAGGAATGATTCTTAAACCCAGTGAACCCAGTTCTCCAAGCAAAGGTCGGGCGGCAGGCCCAGGCTTGCCCCTCGAGGTGTGGCCCGAGCCTCCTCAAGCCATGTGAGCACGTCACAGAGATGCCTCAAGTGTCCCAACTTCCTACTTGGTCAGCACTAACCATGCGGGTAGAGACGGCCTGGTGTGAAAAACAAAACACGGGTAGGGTCGTAGAATCGAGACTGGACTGAGGGCATTGATGTCCCAAGGGCCTCCTGAACAACAGACCATAAACCAGGTGGCCTGCATATCAGCAATGTGCTTTCTTAAAGTTCTGGAGGCTGAGAGTCCTAAGTCAAGATGTCAACAGGGTTGATTTCCTCCGGAGGCTCTGAGGCAGGATCTGCTCCACACCTCTCTCAGCTTCTGGGGCTTCTGGGGCTGCCAAAATCCTTGGCATTCCTTGGCTAGCAGCTGAATCTGTCTCTGCTGTCACACGGTGCTCGTCCCTGTGTGTCTCTCTGTGTCTAAGTTTCCCTCATCTTTTACGGACACAGTCACTGGATTTGGGCCCACTCTCCTCCAGCATGACCTCCCGCATGACCTCCAGCATGATCTTAACTTGGTCGCATCTGCAAAGTCCCTATTTCCAAAGAAGGTCATGCTCACAGGTACAGAGACTACAGCGTAAACGTGCCTTTTGAAGGCTACAGTTCAACCCATAACAATGACGATCCCAGAAGACATCAGAACAAGCTCAGGCTAGCTGGTGGCTACGTTCGACAGTTCAGCAGGAGAAGGGCGGGTGGGCTGAGTACTCAGGGCTCGCTTTTCCAATTATTCTCCCTGGGACGGTAGAGAAATTTCTTTTTTATGCAGAAGAAGCTGAACTGATCGAAGATAATGTATGTAAAAGAGGGTACGTGCCTAGCACACAAATGCCACTTAGTGATGCCACCTTGGATGGATCTGGAGGAGGCTCGAAGCTCTGACACTCGGTGACATTTCCACTACCCGGTGACACAGAAGCCTCGGAGGTAGCAGCCACGCGGGCACCCAGCTAAGGGAGAGATGTGGGAGGCGGGCGGGAGAGGCTCTGCTCTGCCTTGGGAAGCGGTGAGGAAAGCTGAATAAAGGCGCAGGCTTTTGTGAGCAGAGGCAAGAGACTCGAGTGAACTGCCAGGAAAGTCAGCTGCCAGGGGTGCCAGGTGAGTCACTGACTCAGACGGGCTACACCGATCCCACAAAAGACACGTCCTCCCACCAAGAGAAATCTGTTTGACTTTAGAAAAGTACAGGTTACAGTGATACTCACTACACACCCCACCTTGCAGCGCAACAGAGGCGAGACGGGAGGAACAGGAACTGCACCTAGGTCCCTGAGGGATCCGGATCCACCTTTACTGGGATTTTATTTCCCCCAAAAGCAGGACTCTACTCAAATCACATTCGCCTGGGGTAATAAAGTATCAGAATCCTCTAGTAAGAAGGCTGGAGCCTCATAAGACGTGGGACCCTGGTAGGAATGGATCAGATTCTGTGACTTTCCTTGATCCTGAATGAGTCTGATTTTCCCCCTGGGCTTAATTTTAACAACGAATGATCTATAGAGATAAATTTATAGCGGCCTGACTGAAAGATGGACTCTTTGAGAAGGTTTTCACGCAGTGATGATGGTCTTACTGTCCCCAGCCAAAAACCCTATCCTCTCACTGTTAATGCGGACCCTCGTACAAAGGTTTTCAGATGTCCCTGCACCTGCCCATGTATAAGGTTCCTATGGCTGCTCAAATGGCCACACACGCAATGGCTTCTTCTCTTACAGTTCTTGAGGTCAGAGCCCAACACGGCCTCACAAGGCTAAAATCAAGGTGTGGGCAGGGCTGGCTCCTTCTGGAGCCTCCAGAGGAGAAGGAGTATCCTTGCCCGTTCTCCAAGGCTGCCTGCATTCCTTGGCTGGTGGCTCCTTCCTCCATCTTAAAGCCGGGAATTGCAAGGCTGCTCTCTGCCTCCGCACATCTCCTCCTCAGACTCAGACTCTCCCACCTCCCTCTGTCCCTGGTAGGGACCCCTGTGATGACACTGGCCCCCCTGGATAATCCAGGGTAACCTCCCCATCCCAAGCTCCTCAACCCAGTCTCCTCTGCGGAATCCTCTTCATCCTGCAGGCAGCATATTCCATTTCTGGGGAGTAGGACATGGGCATCTTTGAGGGCCCATGAGTCTGTCCACCACACAGATCTCACTGCCCCACAGTTTCACAGCCCATCTCCTCGAAGACCAACAAGCCCCAACCAAACTGCTGACAGATCCAGAGCCATCTATGTCACCCAGCCCCTCACACTCTGCCCACCCACACTCGGTGACTCGGGGCTCACTGAGTGTCCCAAGCATGGCTACCCTCTGTATCATGTACCATCTGAGAAACCATGTGCCCCCAATCTCTCTCTTTACCCTCCCTCACGGGCCCATCCCAAGATATTCTCAAGATGCAGCAATAGCATTGTGACCTCCAGAAAGCTTTTCTTCATCCTCCCAACCTGCCCTAGAGACCTCTCTCTTCTTCCCCCCTTATATCCGTGTCATGCTGCATTATGAATAACTATTTAATCATTTGTCACAGTATGGGGGAATACTTCAAAGGCAAGGACCACAGCTCATTCATCTGTATCTAGCCAAGGCCTGATTTACAATGGGTAAAGCCATCAGTAAGTGATGGATGAAGGGATAAAGGGATGGGCGGATAGATGGAGGGATGGGTGGGTGGATGGACGGGTGGGTGCATGGACTGGTAGGCAAACAAACTGAAGGAGAGGAGAAAGGAAGGGAGGGAGCATGGGTGAGTGCCTAACAAAAAAATCGCGCTCACCAAATATTTGTTGAGTGAAAGCAAGGAGATAGATGATGATGGCAGTAAAGCAGGGCGAGCAGGCATGAATTAGGACCATGCTCTATGACCTTAATTCTATGTTTCTTTCATGCCATTGAAATAACTCAGCTGAGCAGTTAACAACATGAGGAAGAAGCTCAAGACTTGGGCATCATTTGTGCTAAGTCAGAGAGGGAAGCCCCAGCAAGCAGGTAGCTGTGACCTCAAACCAATGACCAGGAGGATTCTAGGAATAGTTACCAGAATTAGCCAAAACTCAATGAACTATTTTAATTTCCCAGGCTGACTCAAAAGTACATCTCTCTGGGACCAGCAAAAAGTGTAAGAACTTCTACCAGGCCAGGAACCAGCTCCACGCTCCACCTCTGGTCATATCAATTCAATGCATGAGCACAGCTTCAAGGTACTCCCAACCTCACTCCGGGCCCCTGTCTCTGGCTACACCCAGCTTTTAAAAATGTATCCAGCATTCAGCATGAGACCAATGGTGGACTGGGGAGCCACAGGGTCATAGGAGGAAGGGCCAGCCTTGGCATTGTTTAGAATGAAAAAAAAAAGTCTTCACTCCAAGACCAGACAAGCGCCAATTTCAACCATCTCCTTAAAAATACTATTTTTCTATGAAGTTGTCATGAATGTGAAGGATATTTTTCTCCAACATTTTATTATGAAAAATTTCAGACTTAAAGAAAAGTTGAATACTGTTATATACCCACCAAAATGGCTAAAATTTAAAAGACTGACAATAACAAGTTGGCATAGATATGAAGCAACCAGAAATCACCCATACTGCTCCTGGGAATGTAAACTGGTACAACCACTTTGGAAAACAGGTTGGTTTTCTCTACAAAAGGTGAACCTATGCAATACCAGCGAATGGCAACTCATGCCTAACTATAAGCCAACAGAATTTCATGCACACATTCCCAAAAAGGCATACGCAAGAGACTTCCTAGCAGTATTATTCATAAAAGCCTAAGAAGGCAACAACGTGAATGCCCACCGTCAGTAGAATGGGATATTTTTAGGATAAAATGTGATCCAGCAACAAAAATAAATAACCTTCAGCTCTAAACAGAATGTAGATGAAGCTCACAAACACATGTGGAGCCAAAGAGGCCAGACATAAAAGAACACGCATTGATTTGCTTTCTGTAAAGTTGAAGCTTCTAAAAAAACTAAATAAACACAGACACTGTGGTCAGGAGAGTTATCGCGGGGGAGGAGGATGAAGGGTGGTCTCTGGGAAAAGTCTGAGGATGCTTCCATGGTAGAAACAAAATCCAACTGATAGCCTGGTGGTAGGTCCATGAGATGGGATAATTCATGGAGCTGTTCATTTGGTTGTGTACTTTTGAAAGTAAGTAATACTTCAATAAAAAGAAAGAAGAAGAAAAGAATGGATGAATACCCTTACACCCACCACCTAGATTCTACAATGAACATGTCCCTGTTGGTGTTTTTTTCTGGTATCTAGCTATTCCTTTACCCGTCCATCAGGCATTATCATTATTACTGACGATAAATGATATTTCTGGCATGCAGGCTGTGAACCCAAAGGCTCTTACACACTCAGCCAACCTCCCCCACCGTGGGCTCCCGGCCAAGCCAGGGTGTGTCTGCAAACCTCACTCTCCACCATCGTCTTGTTACCCAGCACCCCCTTTCCTGACACACTTTGAGCCAACGAGCTGGAGAGCTGAGAAATTCTGTAGCAGACAAAAACCAAGAAAACACATTCCTTTCAGGTCCAGGCCTGCCTGGCCCGCGCGTGTTGTCTGAACTGCACCATCACCCTGTTTGCAACTTCTTCAGAAACCAGGCCCCAAACTGCAAAGCTCACGCCCTGTGTGCTCACTCCTGGGAATCCAAACAAACTCAAAACATGTCCAAAGCCATCCAAGGAACTGAGAGAAGATTCCTGCTCATTATAAAGCAAAATTTCTCTTCTTATATTGGAGTGGGTAGAGAGAGGCTCAGGGCCCTTCCAAAGGAAGTTGGGTTGCCTTCCACAGAGCTGCCCAGAAACCAAACGCAAACCTGCTCCTCTGGCGGGCTGGGGCCTTCACTGTGACCCCTCCCGGGGGCACCTCTGCAAGGCAAGAGTGGGCTTCCTAAGCTTTTTTGTGCCTTGGACCCCTTGGTAGTCTGGTGAAGCCTCTGGGCCCCTTCTTAGAGTAATCTTCTTAAAAGTATAAAATAAATAGGAAACTGCAAAGGAAAGGAAGCTGATCATAATGAAAAACAGCTATCAAAATATCCCTTAAAATTTCCAATGGAGTAACAGATCCCCTCTTTATTAATCCATCGTATAACAAGACCTAGCTGTGGGCCTGATAACTACTGTAACTTTGGGGTACTGATGAATGTAATGATATTCCAAGATATCCACAACAACAGGAATGAAATATGCAAACACCCGCGATTTCTATTGATGACTAAGTCACAGGCACTGCTAACACCACTGTGATTGGTACTGCCTACAGCCGTCATGGAAACAAATGCTAAATTTCAGTTACAGGTTGGTGACCATAAAGATGTCTTTTTTAAAATGCCACATCCAAGTTCACAGATCACTTGAATTCTATCCAAGGACCCAAGGTTGAGAATTCCTGGAAGTCAGGAGCTTTCTTTTGTCCCTTTTGTTTTACTCCTGACGAGAAAATGCTCTCTGCACCTAGGTATAGACCCAAACAAACTGAAAGCAGGGATGCAAAAAGATACTTATATACCAATGTTCACAGCAGCACTATTCTCAAAGCCAAAACGCAGAAGCAACTGAAATGCAAACGGACAAACTGAATGGACGAACACACACACACACACAGACACACACACACACACACACACACACACACGTATTATTAGTCAACCTTTAAACAAAAAAAAGGATTCTGATACATGCTACAATATGGGTGAACCTTGAGAGCATTACGCTAAGTAAAATAAGCCAGTCACAAAAAGACAAATCTTCTGATTCCACTCATACGAGGTTCCTAGAGGAGTCAAATGCATACACACAGAAAGCAGAAAAGTGATTGCCAGGGGTCGGGAGTAGGCAGAATGTGGAGCTATCATTTAATGAGGACGGAGTTTCAGTTTGAGAAGATGACAGTGTTCTGGAGATGGATGATGGTGGATGGTCGCATGACAATATGAATGTACTCAACGAACTTTAACATTTAAAAATGATTGGCTAGGCCAGTGGCACACATCTGTACTCCCAGCTACTTGAGAGGCTGACGGAGGAGAACCATTTGAGCCCAGGAGTTCCTGGGCAACATAGCCATACTCTGTCTCTTAAAAAAAATGTTTTTTAAGATTTAAAATGGTAAACCTTACGTTATATGTATTTGACCATAATAAAAAAAAAATTAAGGAAATAAAAATAGGGGCCAGAGGCAGTGGCTCATGCTTGTAATCCCAGCACTTTGGGAGGCCGAGATGCACGGATCACCTGAGGTCAGGAGTTTAAGACCAGCCTGGCCAACATGGTGAAACCCTGTCTCTACTGAAACACAAAAATTAGCCAGGCATAATGGCGGGTGCCTGTAACCCCAGCTACTTGGGAGGCTGAGACATGAGAATCGCTTCAACCTGGGAGATGGTGGTTGTGGGGAGCCGAGATTGTGCCACTGCACTCCAGCCTGGGTGGCTGAGCAAGACTCCATCTCAAGAAAAAATAAACAAATAAAATAAAAATAAAAAATAAATGAATAATTTAAAGAAATAAAAATAGGGGCCAGGCATGGTGGCTCATGCCTGTAATCCCAGTACTTTGGGAGGCCGAGGTGGGCGGATCACTTGAGGTTAGGAGTTTGAGAACAGCCTGTCCAACATGGTGTAACCCCATCTCTACTAAAAATACAATTATCAGCCAGGCATGATGTCATGTGCCTGTAGTCCTAGCTACTAAGAGGAGGCTGAGGCAGGAGGATCACTTGAACCTGGGAGGTGGAGGTTGCAGTGAGCCAAGATAGCAACACTGCACTCCAGCCTGGGCAGAGGAATGAGACTCCATCTCAAAAAAAAAAAAAAGAAAGAAAAGAAATAAAAATGCTCCCTGCAGAACATGGGAAGGCGCAGTTACTGTCAAGAATAGGAACAGCCTCACTTGTGACTGACAGCTGAGTCGCTGGGTGGCTCTGAGCAGGGCCTGTGCCGCCAAACCCACTAATGAGCTGTGCCACCGTGGGCAAGTTACTTCACCTCTCTGACCTCAATTTCGGCATCTGCAAAATGAGGGCCGTGATGGCTGCAGCTGCCATACCTTGGGCAATGATGACGTGCCTGGCTTGGCGATAAGCATTTTGCAGACACTGTCTCACCAAGACTTCCAGATAACCCCACGAGCTTAGTAGGTTGTGGCTAACACGTTACAGATGACTTAGTTAACTCACCCAAGGTCACCTGTCTAGGACATAGCAGAGCCAGACTGGCTGAAGAACTCAGACTTATAATTCTCTCTGTATCTCTCTGTCACTTGTAGACAGTCTCTGCCCCTCTAAGCTCCAGTGGGACAGACACCATCTCTGTTTCATGTGCCATGTTACCCCCAGAGCCCACTACAGAGGAGGTGCTCAATAAACACTTGCTGAGCAATTGAGAGAATCCAGCTCTGTCTGACCCCAATACTGGCTTCCTTTATAAGCAATGGATCGTGGCATTACAGGGTCCTGTCTTTCAGGTCTCCTAATAGATGCTGTGACAAGCCTAGCACCTCACAGGTCAGAGGGTTCCGCATGGAACCCGTGAAAGAGGCAGAGGCCAAGGGAGCCAGTTTAAGAGACAGAAAAATAAGCCTACTCCAAGGAGCACAGAAACACTGTCCACCCATGGGCACACATACACACGTACAGGCACACCTGGCAAAAACACCTACAACTCAGGAGCCAGGAGCTGCAAAGTTCTGCCGGTGTGCAGGCGCTGGCTTTTAGTTCAAGACGCCTTGACGTTTGGAGGGAGCCAAGGGATGAGCTGGGTGTTACATCCAGGCTCCTAGCTAAAGGAAGCTGTGTCTGAGCGAGGTTCAGGGTTACCTGGTGGTGACTCAGCTCACCTTCTTCCTGGGGGAGGAGGGAGGCTCCACCAGGGGCTACGAGGTGGTTGGAGAACAGGCACGGTGCTCTCCAGACAAAAGATGCTGTCCTCTTGGTTCTTTTCCAGACTTCGTTCTAGGCCACCATGGCTTTTCGCGGGAAGGGGGTTTGGCTGGGATCTAAATGAGGCAACCACGGTTGGGCTGAGTGACTCGAGAATTTGGATTTGTCAGACTGGATGAGTCAGTTGCTTGGCCGGGGCCCAGGTAAGCTTGAGGTATCGTGAGGGAAGCCCTGCTTCTGGAGTCCAACCAAAATGTGCTGGGAGGGTACCAGACCCACCTTGCGGCCGTGTGACTGTGGGCCCCACGTCCTTCTGTGTGACAGGGGGTGAGTCTGTCCCCCATTCAGGCCTCGCACTCAGATGGAACAAGATGGCAAACAGGGAGTGACTCCACAGTAATCAAAAGAAATGAACTAGATATTCAGGAATCAACGGAGAGATCTCCAACACATGAGCATCGTCGGATAGGGTGGAAAAAGGCAAGCTGCAAGGGAACTTTAAAAACATACACAAAGCAAAGCGCGGTAGCTCACACCTGGAATCCCAGCACTTTGGGAGGCCAAGGCAGGAGGATCACTTGAGCCCAGGAATTCGAGGCCAGTCTGGGCAACATAGCGAAGTCCTGTCTCTACCAAAAAATTAGCCAGATGTGGTGATGCGTGCCTGTAGTCCCAGCTACTTGGGGGGCTGAGGTGGGAGGATCACTTGAGCCTCAGAGGTCAAAGCTGCGGTGAGCTGTGATCAAACCACTGCACTCCGGCCTGGGTGACAGAATGAGACACTGTCTCAAAAAAAGAAAAAAAAACCATATACAAAGAAATGTTATATATTGTTTATGATTATGTGTGTGTGTGTGTAAAAATATTTTAAATGTGAAGATGCACAAGGGACTTACAATAAGGGGGTACCTGGAGGTGGGTAGTAAATTAGAGGTGAATGTCAAGTAATTATACCTTTTCCAGTAATGTTTTATTTCTTTCACTTAAAAAAAAGGCAAAGCAAAGAGGACAACATACTAACAATGCTCTAGTCGGGGCGGTAGAAATGCGATTTTATGATACTAATCTTTGTGGCTTTTGCTTCCTGTTTGCTTGTTTATTTGTTAACCAACCTGGAAGGCATCTTGACATCAGTAGGTGGTGAAGCCACATGTCCTACTGATTGGGTATGCTAAATTGTGTGTTTATTCTTTTTACTTTTCAAAATTCAAAAAGAAGAAAAGTCTATCACAGTATGCAGTGCTCACTAAATGGCACCCTTCTAACAAAAATCCAGGCCCAGGCACCCCATGGCTATGCCAGAAGACACCCCTCTGGCCTCTGGCTACTTCAAGTGAGAAGGAGAACTCTACTGGGCACTGCATAGACCCTCAGGGAGCTCTGGGTGTGCTTCAGTGGATGGAGCAGCACTGAAGCTGTGTCCCTCCTGTGTCAATCCAGGTGTGGCCACCTGGCTTAGGGCTCTGATGACAGGGCCCAACCCACCAATCACACTCCAGGAAACCCAGTGACATCATCGATCGCCAATGGGAGCTCCTGATCATCGTGGGCGAATCGGTGTTGCCACACTGGGTTGATAGGATTCCAGCTAGAAGCAAAGATGTCTGACATTTCCCTTGTCTTAGGCAGTGGCAGCCTTATCAAGTGTGAATGGACAAGCAGAAACCTCATCCGTCTGCACTTGGCTCCTAAATATCAGATTTACTCTTAAATTGTAACAGCACCTCTGAAATCCTGCTTATACGCTTTTCTTCTCGCCTTCCTGGATAAAAAGGAAACAATATTCTGTACCCTGCATTTCACTGTATCAGACACTGGCCTTTCTTGGAGAAATTCTATCTGTAAGATATAGGATACCAAAAAGACAAGGGAACACTCAGGATACCTTTCTCCTTTCCCTAATCTCGGCCAACTCCCAATTGTAGAAAAGTATCTTATGTTTGAAAACCCAACTGACCCCCTAAACTGGCCATTTTGAAATCTACAAGGTATCATAGGAGCTTCAAAAGCCAATTGGTTTCTCCTGTTAGCTCATCATCCCACATCTGTCTACAAATACACAAGACTTAGAAGGAAAAGAAAATTCACTCCAGGGAGGGGCTTTTTGAAGAAGCTCCGCACAGACTCGACCTGCTAGGTTCAGAGTGTGAATATAAGCACCCTCCCCTCAGGTGACGCACCCTTAGAGACACTCAGCCCCCTCCTCTTCTGGAAGCAGAAATGCTATTGTTGCAACCCAGTCCTTCCAAGAACCTGCAGTGGCATTTCAGGGAGGCAGCCGACCTTGGCGGTCACCGGTGGTTCTACAGAGCAGAACGACAGCGGGGGCAGCTCGTGTTTGCTATTCGGGGGGGGGTGGCAAATGCGAAGCCACCAGATAACTAAAACCTCTGCTGTCTTCCTGCCACTGCCGACCATCACCATAGGAACCACATCCTGCTGCTACCATGGCAACCGTGCAGTACCATCCGCTCAGCAAGCAATGATGCAGAGGCCACTCAGGAAGGCTTGCCGAAAGGCCTCGGGGCTGAAAGGGTCCCATGGTCCACAGTCACGGCGACCGGGCAGTGACAAAGAAAAGCCTTCCAGAACAATCCATTTTTTGGTATAAAAGCCCTCCTCCTGTTCCTCAAGAATTTATCCCAAAATTAAATCTTGTATAAAGCACATTCCTGTTCCCAGGCTGCAAAAAGCTCCAGGGCAAAATGCATCAGTGAAGAGCCCAGGGGGCGGGGGGTCCTTTTTCTGACACATGCCACCGCTAATTTAAAGAGGATGCGAAACCCAGGGAGCTCCCCACAATTTAGCCACACACTCACGACAGCAGCTCCTACGGGAGACCCAGGCACCAGGATTAGGCCCTCCCAGAAGCAGCCTCTGACTTCCTCCTCACAACCCTTCTTATAAACCTAATTCCTCACTTCCTACACCCATTTTACACAGGAATGAGGCTCAGAGAAGTTAAGTTATTTGCCCAAGGTCACACAGCACAATGGGCAGACTGTCTGACTCTCCAGTCATGAGAAATTCTGATCAACTTAATTATATCCAATGCCAAGTTCCAATAATCAGGCCCTACTTATTAATCACAGCTCATCTTGATTTTCTTTCTTTTTCTTTCTTTCTATCTTCTCTCTCTCTCTCTCTCTCTCTCTCTCTCTCTCCCCCTTCCTCCCTCCCTCCCTCTCTCTCTCTCTGAGAGATGGGGTCTCACTATCTTGCCCAAGCTGGTCTTGAACTCCTGGGCTCAAATGATCCTCCTACCTTGGCTTCCCAAAGTGCTGGGATTAAAGGTATGAGCCACTGCACCCGCCAATTTTTAATAAGCATTATTTTAAGTAAGCAAACACTCTCTACAGCATAGAAATTGCTTATTTGTTCTAGGCATTGTTCAAGAAGTGGGATCCTGTTTGTGGCTCCCAGAGTCTCTGAGGTAGAAACCACTAGAGATGAAGAAATCGAGGCAGACAGATGAAGTAACTTGGCTGAGTGCACCAGCAGGCAAGAGGCAGACCTGGGGTTCAAACCCAGCCAGCAGGACTCCAGAGAATGGGCTCACAGCCGCTTTGCTATACCGCTTCTTGACTACCTGGGCAGCTGAAATGCAAATCTTAGGCCCCACCTGCTAAGCACACTCTCCAAGGCCTTGAAACTGAAATGACCCCACCAGGCCACTCAAGAGCAGCCGCATCACCACCCACTGCTGCTGCACCCCTGCCGCAAAGCCAGCGTAATGACAGCTTTAGGGAACAGCCCCGAGAAGACAGATGAGACCTTCCCAGAGAGCCACAACTACAATGCCAGCTTTTGTCCCCAAATGGTGGTTTCAGTTTCAGAGCTCACTTCCCATTCGTCGCCATTCAGGATGACAAAGCCTTCAACACTGAGGGCTGGAGGAGAGGAAGGGAACATTACTGAGTCTACCATGTCCCAGCACCTCACTGAGGCATCTCCATGATGGACATACTTGAGTGAGCCATGTCAAACTGCCGTTCTGTAGGTTAAAAGTGGTAAAATGCTGGCTGTTTCATGTGTTTTATCCTGTCTTATCGTCATAACAACCCCACTTTACAGATGAGGAAACTGAGGCTCAATTTCCTCAAGTGAGGTTAAATGGTTGGCCAAGGTCACAGAGACAGGAAGTAGGAGACCCAAGATTCCAACCCTGTCTGGTCTCAGTCAAGGTCCTTCCCCTCCACCATGCACACACTATTTCCTGGACTGCCCTGGGGCATGGGAGGCCCAGCAAGGGTGTGCCTGAGTAGAGAACAGCCCAGAGAACCCAATTCCTCTGCTGACGGAGTTCTGAGTTAAGGGGTCAGGACTTTCTTTGGGCAGCCCAGGCTCTGCTCTCAAATTGAAGCAGCTACAGCTTAGCAAGTACTAGCAAAAATATAATCACAGGGATTTTACTTTTTGTGTGTGTGTTTGCTTTGAGACAGGGTCTCACTCTGTCATCCAGGCTGGAGTGCAGTAGCGCGATCACAGCTCACTGTAGCCTCAACCTCCCAGTCTCAAGTGATCCTCCCACCTCAGCCTCCTGAGTAGCTGCAACTACAGGCATCACCACACCCTGCTACTTCTGTTAAAAAATATTTTGAGGCCGGGTACAGTGGCTCATGCCTGGAATCCCAGCAATTTGGGAGGCCAAGGCAGGTGGATCACAAGGTCAGGAGTACAAGACCAGCCTGGCCAACACGGTGAAACCCCGTCTCTAATAAAAATACAAAAATTAGCCAGGCGTGGCGCGGGCGCCTGTAATCCCAGCTACTCAGGAGGCTGAGGCAGATAATTGCTTGAACCTGGGAGGCGGAGGTTGCAGTCAGTTGAGATCGCACCACTGCACTCCAGCCTGGGCAACAGAGTGAGACTCTGTCTCAAAAAAAAAAAAAAAAAAATAGAGATGCAGGTCTCGCTATGTTGCCCCAGGCTGGTCTTGAACTCCTGGGCTCAAGTGATCTTCCTGCCTCGGCCACCCAAAGTGCTGGGATTACAGGCATGAACCTGGCCTTTTATATTTTTTAATCAACACCAACAGACACAGAACACAGGAAGCAGGTAGACAGTTACTTAATCGGTTTGAGTCCCAGCTGGCTAGTGGGAACGGTAGGATGCTAATGCCAACTGCATAGGGCTGCTCAGAAATAAACACAGCCTGTAAGCCAAAGGCCCTGACCCGTGCTGGGCGCCCGGACGGTTCTCAGCGTACATCACTTCCCTTGCTGGTCCTTGGCTCTCTCGCCAAGCTGGAGGGGTATAGTCCAGCCTGGACCCCTGCAGGGACTTCAGTAGACAGCCTCTCCCAGGCCTAGCCTATGTTCTTCCCCAGACAGGTGAAGGTGTTGTCTGGATGCCATTCACCATGAAGTGGTGGCCACTGTTAATTCACGGTCCCGACATCCCTCTCTCTGCTACCCAACTCCAGGTGTCAACAAGCCCGGTGGGCCAGGAAGAATGACCCTTAGAGGATGACAGGTCCTACTTTCACAATTATGACAGATTTTCTGCGCTCCGCTGTCTTTCGACCAAAGTGAGAGCCAAATAGGAAATGCAGGGGTGAGATGATCCACAGGCTTTAGCCATGGGCGTTTCAACTGACTCGGGGAAACAGCACCCCATTGACCCCAGCCTTCCGAAGAAGGGTGAGTCCTCAAACAGCTGCACCACCCACCGCCCTCCTCCACTTCCAGCACACACACACAATTAACCATGGGGGCATGAGAAGTGCAAAGGGACCCCCGTCACTTACTTTGTGAAAAAATTCCACACATCCACTGGCGTTCATTTTCCTAGAAAATCCTTGAATCTCGTGGCTGTGGCAGGAGGTCCACATTGAAAAGAGATGTCTGCAGCCACTGCCAACTCTGCGCCCTGGCTGCATCTCCCAAGCCTCCAGAGAACGTCGAACTCCAAAAACGGCATTCCCGAAGGATGGGATCATTTCCTAAACACACCCAGAGAATCGCCTCTGCTCCACATTTCTTCAGGAAAAAATGTTTCCCACTTCCCTGGCATTGTCGGGGGAGACTCCAAGGACACACTGGCTAAAATGTGGGGCTTTTTCTTTCTCATAATGGCCTATTACATACTTTGCAATTTCACAGCTAATATGTGAATACAGGGCTGTCATTACAATTTGAATAATATAGAAATGAGAAGTGTGAAAAGCAACAAAATCCCCTTTACCTGAATTCAAGCCCACTCTCTTGCCAGAGGAGGGTGTTTCCTTGGTCTCATTTTTCTATGCAATCATATACATATTAAAAAATACCTTTGTGTTATGCATTTGTGTGATGAGTCTTAGACAATAACATGTCTTGGATATCTTTCCACAGTCATGCATTTTAGATTCACTTCATTCTTTTTCATTGCTGCATCATATTCCACAGAATCAATGTACTAAGACATACTGACCTATTCTTTCACTGATGACCTTGGAAGCTGTCTGATTTTTCACTGATGACCTTGGAGGCCGTCTGGTTTTTCACTGACGACCTTGGAGGCTGTCTGGCTTTTCACTGATGACCTTGAAAGCTGTCTGATTTTTCACTGATGACCTTGGAGGCCGTCTGGGTTTCACCGATGACCTTGGAGGCCGTCTGGTTTTTCGCTGAAGACCTTGGAGGCCGTCTGGTTTTCCACTGATGACCTTGAAGGCTGTCTGGCTTTTCAGTGATGACCTTGAAACCTGCCTGATTTTTCACTGATGACCTTGGAGGCCGTCTGGGTTTCACTGATGACCTTGGAGGCCTTCTGGTTTTTCACTGAAGACCTTGGAGGCCATCTGGTTTTTCACTGATGACCTTGGAGGCCGTCTGGTTTTTCACCGATGACCTTGAAGGCCGTGTGGTTTTTCACTGAAGACCTTGGAGGCCATCTGGTTTTTCACTATGCTACCTGACACATACTTGGGTATGTGTCTATGCAAACATGAGAGAATTTCCTGAGGACAGATGCCTAGATGCTTCGATATCTATTGCCAGGCATCCCAGACACAGTGGTACACTAGCCAGCCCTGGTCCCAGCCCCCAGGGAGCCCACAGTTTGGCTGCAGACAACTAAAGCTATCAGCCCAGAGCAAGCCAATCCCCAGCAGTGACGCACAAGTGCCCGCGCACTGACGAGATGCATCCAGGCTGGGAGGGCAGGGAAGGCTTCCTCTGACGGCGATGAGCTGAGTCCTGAAGGCAGAGCTGGCTGGCCAAGAGCAAGAGCATGAGAGTGTCCAGGGAGAGTGTCCAGGGAAGGGAGTGGGGAGGGCTTCCAAGCCTGGAACACGGCACGTATCTGCAGAAACCAAGGGCTGAACCGAAGTAGAGCTCCTTTAGGAAAAGAAAGCAGCTCAATATGATTGCAGTCCTACTCGGGTGGACGAGGGGACCCGGGGGAGCTAGAAGAACGTTTAAAACGGGAGAGAAGCGCGATTCCATGTGTATTTTAGAAAATCCCCGGAGGAATCAAGAGTGAGAAAATGGGCTGCTGAAGTCAAGTGACTGGACTAGAAACCACCCCAAAGCTGGGGCCATGTCACCTTCATTGCTAGATCAGTCAGAGTCCAACCAGGAGATGGAAGCCACTTGGGCACTGGAACTGAGAGACTCCAACGCAGGGCACTGGGTACACAAGGAAGGAGATCCCAGAACCCAAACGGGGGCAATGGAGCAACCCAGAGATTAGCAACAGCAGGAAGCTGCCCCCACCCGCAGGCCAGAGAGACACAGGGGAGGTGGCAGGACTGAGGCCCAGGGGCTGGAAGCGCCGACAGAGGACAGGCCATAGGGTCCGTCCAGTGGGAGCTGGAGCCACGGAGGAGTTGCAGGTGCCATCAGAGTGGCCTCTGGAGACTGAGGGAGGTAGAAACACTGGCTTCTCCATTCCTCTTGCCTTCCAACCTCCTAGCAGCTCCTCCCACGGGTTGAATCCAGTGACACGGGAGCCTGGGACACAAGAACCTACAGAGATTGGCTCCCGACCACACCCAGCAGATCAGAGCAAGGACAAGGAACGGACCCCAAGGGCAAACAGGCCCAGACTGGCACAGCTACCAACCTCCGGTCCTTAGAATAGCGCCTGGTGCAGGATACACATTTGCTAAAAGAATAAAGCCGGTGATGCTTCATTTGAGAGCCCCTCCAGCCCTGTGATTTCCTGATGGCCACTTAACGATGCTCTTGGGCTGACGAAACACGCCTCCCATTATCCCCAGCCCTGGCCCTGTGCTCCCAAAGCACTCAATAGTAAATCAATAGTGCGTTCTCTGAAACAGAAGCCCAGTGGTGCCCGCCCACCCAGCCTTCAAAGCCAAGATCAGCTGTGCCTCTCCTTACATCGCCACACACGTCAGTGCCCTCCAACACAGACCTTGTGTTTTTCCATCTAGAAGCGTGAGGGACCACAACGCTTCAAGGATGAGAATCAGAAGGCCAAGGTGTTCCTTTCAGCTGTGAGTCATTTTGAGGCCTCGCTGACAGGTGAGAGGGTTCAGCCTCACCTGCCCGGTCAATCCTTCAGCCCTAGAGCCCAGAATAAAGCACAGCCCCCAGTAGGTTTCTCTCTGCTGGAGTCATGCTTCTAGTTTAACTGGGAGAAGACGGTCTGGCACAGGGAAAAGGCTGAGAGCTTTGGGACAGGGCACTCCTGCCAGGACAGGCCACGTGGCCATGGGTCACCTCCTGGCCTCAGTCTCCAGCTCTGGAAAATGGGAAGGATATGACCTTCCTCCAGGGCTGTTGGGCCTGGCACACAGCAGGCCCTCGAACAACGATGCTCAGGGGAGTGTTCATCGCATTTTCTGTTACTGGACCCCAGCGCCCCACTTGGTCTGTGGTAGCTCCTCTGAAAGATGTTAGTATGAGCAACAGCTAGAGCCACCATGGCGCACACTGGCACGGCACACACACAGGCCAGGCAGCAGCCTAAGGATTGTGTATTAAGTCACTTAATCTTCACAACCACCCTGGGAAGCAGGAAATACTGTTTCCTCCACTTTACAGATAAGGAGACTGAGGCACAGAGAAGTCTGGAAACAAACCCACGGGGACCCAGGTTATAAGGGGTGAAGCCATGACCTTCTCCTGGGCTCTCAGGCTCCAGAGCCACCGCGATTGACCGCAACACTAGATCTACCAGGGGTGCCCATGCGGTGCTGAGAGCCACGCTAAAGTCTTAATTAATAGGCTGTCCCATCTAATTCTCACAGTACACCCATTTTGCAGATGAAGAATGGAGGCTCAGTGAGCGCAAACCACTTGTCTAAGGTCATGGACTAATGAGTAGCCAGCTGGGTTGGAACCTGGATGGTCTCGTCACACTCCTGACCACTGCACCCCAAGTTAGCCTCGTTCCTAAGGTCAAACTGGGCTGCCTCTTCCTCCCTCCTCATGCCACTTCTGGAAGCTTCCCTCACCCTGATCCTCTGGAGGTGGCCACACGCCCCCACAAAGGGGAAGCTTTCTCAGCCACCCTCCTCCTCCCTGCCTGCCCCACCCCTCCAACTGCATGGGCTGGGACACCTACCCTCTTCACCACAAAACCAGATGCAAATCCATTCCTCAAATAGACTGGAAGTGTCACCGGATTCTAGTCTCTTCTATAGTAAATACATGAAGTCAGTCTCCATAAACAAATGCATTATTTTAGGGATGAAGATTCACTGGACATCAACAAAGCTGGCGGCGTTTTTGTTTTGTTTTGTTTTTGTTGTTTTTCTTTTAAACTAGCAGCAGCAACCACAACGGAAACCCCATGGTCTGTTTTGGGGTCAAAACACAAAGCCTTCCTCTAGCCCCAGGATTGCACTGGGCAGTGGGGGCAAGAATGCCCCACCTAGGCTGAGGGAAGCGCAGCAAATATGGTTTGGGCAAAGACAACAGGGCAAAGGTTGCAAGTCAGTGGAATGAAAGCCAGCCCAGAGGATCCGAGAGCTGGAATCTTAAATATTCACACCAGGAAGTAATGGCACTAAGTCTGGAGCCAGCTAGGGCCATGCCTGTGTCCCTTGCAAAACGGCTTGGCCTGGAAACAGGAGGCAGCTCCACTCTGGGAATTGACCCATCTGACCCTTGCCCCATTGCCTAGACCCACGGGTCTGCACAGCAGCCAGGCCAGAACGGACCGGGGGGTTCCCAAGTCAGCACCCTCAGCACAAGCTGGAGGTACAATCCCAGCTCCACGCCGGCTCAGCCCCAGGAAGGTGTCCCCGACACGGCAGAGAAACAAAGGCCAGCTCTATTTGCAAACTGGCCTCCTGGAGAATCCCGGGGTGGAAAGGAGCCCACTCCAGCCAGGTGGTATGGCAGATCAGCTTGCAGTCCTGTCATTCACTCAACAGCCGTTTCCGGAACACCTACTATGCGTGGGGCCCAGGCCAGCCGCGCTGGCTGTCTCCTCAACTCCAGCCTCTTGCTGGGACCTTGGCAACCAGGCCCAAGAGAAAGGCGGCTCCTCTGAATAGCCTGCTGGCAGGAAGCCCCACACTCTGGGTCTGGTGAGCAGCAACGGATGCAGGCAGGCCCCGCTCTACGAAAACTCGATCTAGGGGGAGAATCTTCCAACCTACCAAGAAGAGGAAAGAACTCAGAGGTTTACCAGAGGGCAAGGGATCAAAATCAAAACTCAAAAGCTCCCACCAGCCAAAAATGGGCCAACCGGAGCATCCAAAAGAATAGTAACTGCAAGGAATTGAAATTCATCAAATAAGCCGGACATGGTGGCTCACGCCTGTAATCCCAGCACTTTGGGACGCTGAGGAGGGCGGATTGCTTGAGACCAAGAGTTTGAGACCAGCTTGGGCAACATGGAGAAACCCCATTTCTACTAAAAATGCAAAAATTAGCTGGGTGTGGTGGTGCGTGCCTGTAATCCCAGCTACTTGGGAGGCTGAGGCAGGAGAATTGCTTGAACCCAGGAAGCAGAGGTTGCAGTGAGCTGAGATCATGCCACTGCACTCCAGCCTGGGTGACAGAGTAAGACTCTGTCTCAAAAAAAATTATTATTTTAATTATAATTATTTTGTGGCCAATTAATTTTATTAATAAAAAAGAAATTCATCAAATATAAATTTAAATCCATGAATTCATGTTGATATTTAAAAAAAAACCTTTGGAAGATGCTACAAAATCAGTTTATTACTCTAAACTTGATACAAAGGGGAAGAGTGAAGCATTTCTGCTGCCTTTCCTGTACACACTAAACATTGCAACAACCATGTAGCTGATGAAGTGAAGCCCTTCTTCGGATGATCCCATCTGACAAATGAGGAAGGAAAGGTAGAGCTAAAACACCTGCCCTTTGCAATCTCTAATGAAATAATGCACCTGAGCAGTGATTGCTGGTGCCCACTGGAACATGAGCAGGAAAGGTGATGGGGGTGGTGATGGATAGATCAGGCAGCCAGCACCAGAACCTGCCCATCAACCACAGCAAGAAAGACCCCCACCAAGGCATGAGGGACCCTGGAGTGAGGCAACTGGAAGTGCACAGAAACACCTACCTAGAGAGGAATCATGCCGAAAATTTTAATCCAAATCAACCAAATCTCTAGATCAGTGCTCTCCAATAGAAATACAATGCAAGCCACATGTTTAAAACTAAATATTCTAGTAGCCACATTTTAAAAAAGTAAAACAGGTGAAATCAATGTTAATAATATATTTTAACCCAATATATCAAATATATTATCACTTCAACATATAATCAATACAAAAAATGAGTAGTGAGATACTGTATATTTTTTTTCATACTAAGTCTTCAAAATCCAGTGTGCGTTTTACACTTAGAGCACATCTCAATGAGGACCTCATTTCAAGTGCTCAGCGACCATGTGTGGCTGGTGGCCGTGGTATTGGACAGCACAGGTCTAAAACTAACTAGAGGCCAGGTGCAGTGGCTCACACGTGTAATCCTAGCACTTTGAGAGGTAGAGGTGGGCAGATCACTTGAGCCCAGGAGTTCGAGACCAGCCTGGGCAACATGGTGAAACGCCATCTCTACAAAACATACAAAAAATTAGGCAGGCGTGGTGGTGCACACCTGTAGTCCCAGCTACCAGGAAGGCTGAGGTGGGAGGATCATCTGAGCCTGGGAAGTTGAAGCTGCAGTGAGCCACGATCATGCAACTGTACTCCAGCCTGAGCAACAGAGTGAGACCTTGTGTAAAAACAAACTAGGAATTCACAAGGTATGCAGGAAATCTACAGGAAATACAGGGAACAGAGGAATGTGTTAAATGACACCATGAGGAAGCAATCAGCAAAACTCAGAATATGGAAAATTCTACAGGGCAGATGACTAACTTAAAGAGATTGTAAAACCTTCAGTAAGCAAATACAGGGTGTAGACCACGTCCGGAATCTTAAATGAGCAAACCAATAGTAAAAATCATGAATGAAATAACTAGGGAAATGTGAACATTGGACATTTGATATCAAGGAATTATTGTTAGTTTCTTAGGCATGAGGATGGTATTACATTTATATCTATTTGTTAAAAGATACTTTATTTTTTAGAGATTCCTATTTAAGTCATTTCTGATGAACTAACAGCATGTCAGGGATTTGCATCTAAACAGTGGCTGGGAGAGAGGGAAGCATACAGAGGCAGCTACACCCCAAGACTCATCATAAGCTGGGAACTGTTGAAGCAGATGATGAGTACATGGGGGTTCATTTTACTCCCCCATGCTCTCAGTATATGTTTTAAAATTTCCCAAAGTTAGGCTGGCAGCTGTGGCCCAAGCCTGTAATCCCAGCACTATGGGAGGCCGAATCAGGTGGATCACCTGAGGTCAGGAGTTCAAGACCAGACTGACCAATATGGTGAAACCCCATCTCTACTAAAAATATAAAAGTTAGGTGGGCAAGGTGGCATGCACCTGTAGTCCCAGCTACTCAGGAGGCTAAGGCAGGAGAATTGCTTGAACCTGGGAGGTGGAGGTTGCAGTGAGCTGAGATCTCACCACTGCACTCCAGCCTGGGCGACAGAACAAGACTCTATCTCACCAAAAAAACAAAACAAAACAAAATAAAGGTTTGTGATTTGTGATTTTTTTTGTTTTAATGAAGGAAAAAAAAACATTGGTCTTGGACTGGTCCATCACAGTATCTGAGAAAGGTGGTAGTGAAGTGTAATTTTGAAAAGACCTGGAATCGCACCTCCAGGACTTAAATCCTGGCTTTGTGCCTGGCTGGTTGTGTGACTTTGTGCATGTCCCTTTGCTTGCTAAACCTCAGTTTACTCACCTCCTAAACAGGGCTACTAACAATAGTGTTTCCTCAGAAGACTGTCAAAGGATTAAACTAATCCAAACCAAGTGCTTAGCTGAGAGCACATAATAATGTTAGGTGGTAATAACACTACCATTATTGACATTGTCATCATTATTATTAGCAAAAACATCAGTGATGAAGTGATGAGGGCGGCCATCATGGTCCCACTTGGGCGACTCACACCCAGGGAAACAAGGGCCCTGACACCTGCTCCGTGGAGCTCCTGGGCAGCTGTGAGGAGCGAGCACCCCCTCGTCCCCGATCAGACCTTGAGAACTATAACACAAAGAGGGTGGCAGCCCCGCAGCAGGATGCTGACGTCACTGTCGTCAATACCTTGATAGAGGCCCAAGAGACAAAGTCACAGCCAAAGTGAGCAGAGCTTTTGCCAAACGCCCCATTAAAGATACAGGAAAAGCATCCTCATCTAAAATCCTGATGGAAATTGATCAGAAAATGAGGTTCAATTTGCCAGCCAGGTCTGATTCAGGCATACTTCCTTTGGGGCAGGACTTCTCCGTGAGGGCAGGATGTCCGGAGCTCCTGACAAAGGGGCCCCCAGCCAATCACTGCATCAGATCCATCACACTTCCATGCTCCTGCCCACCAGGAAACTCACCTGTTCTCTCCTCCCTGGTTAAGGGAGACAGGAAGACAGCAAGCTGAGGGGTCTGGGTCCCAGTTAAGACCCAGCCCCAAGGATGTGCAGCTGGGGCAGGTAGGCCTCAAGAGACATCTGTTCAGACCATGCCCTTGGGTTATCCAGGCAGCATTCCTGAAACCAGGGTTGGAGCCCTGACCCCAACCCTAGGGTAGGGCTCTGCTTAGGGCCGCCCTGGCTCGACCTGCTCAGGATGACCAGAGGGAGGCGGACAGAGTGGGCGGAAGGGAAAGACAGCCAGACTATGACCCCCGAGTACCTGCACATCAGGCACCAACATGAAAGTCATTCCCATTTTTAGAGCTAAAAAACCAGAAGCTCAGAGAGGTGCCAGAGGCAGTGCACGCAGGAAGGAGGCAGCCCCAATGTCAAACCCAAGTGCCTATCTCCAAAGCCAAACTCCCACCAATGTGTTATGCCGAGCTAGGTGACAGGAAGCAAGCCCCCAGACACACACACAGGCAGGGAACTGTGCAGGCTGAGGGCACATCAGCATCATTCCGGTGGGCTCTCCAGCTGGGTGGTCCTGCCCATGCCACATCTCTCTGCACCTGCTTGCGCATCTATAGGATGGAGCTAAAGAGAGCCCTGTGGGGCAATGACAGCTGAGGACACAGGAGGTCTGCCACACGGGGAGCACACGGTGTTGGTGACACCTGCAGACACCTGAATGAATCTGTTCTTCATGAGGACCTGCTGGCACTTTTTCTCTCTGAAGAGTAGATCTTTATTTGAAAAAAATAAAATGAATGATTCCCTTCCCATCATAAAAGCTGCTGCTCTTAAGGCTAAGGGAAAGGGAACCTGAATTGTATTCAAGAGTTCATTCCTGGAGTAGGGGAGACTCCACGCTGAGCAAAGGAATGGCAGGCAAGGCCAAGGGAGAACCACTCCAGACATGACACTTGCTCTCCTAAGTACTTCCCAACCCCAGTGCACAGTTGACAAAAGCATACATCAGAAGGGGCCCTGAGACACCATGAGGATCCCCATCCTGGGGCCTACGTGGGTCCCTCAGGCATGATCAGATCATTCTGCACACCATCCCAGGCCTGCAGGAGCTGTCCTGAGATCTGTCTCACGGAGCACCCTCTCAGACTGATGGAGAGTGCTGAAACTCCCAATGCAGTCTGTAAATACCTATCAATATTCCAGAGGTGCATAACCTTTGACTCAGACATTTCATTTCTAGGAATTTTTCCCAGAGACATTTTTGCATTTGTCTCAAAGATATATATACATGGATAATCACATGGCATTGCTTGAAAGAGTAAAAGGCTGCAAAAACAGCCATCAGTAAGAAAATGACCAAATAGAGCTATGGAGTAGAATGCTCTGTAACCACAAAAAGAGAACAGGGAAGCTGTCCTGATATGCAACCATTCCTCACTATTGTTTAGTGAGAAAATATTACAGGAAAATGTGCACAGGATTCTATCATTCGTTTAAACAAACCAAATTTGTACGTATTTGCGTCTATGTACCTAATTATGTCCACAAAGGAGATGATCAGAAACCAGGGATGCTGTGGCCTCTGGGGAGGAGATAAGCCAGCCGGGCCACAGGGCAAGAGGGACTTTTCACCACATTTCCTTATAGATTTCCTGAGCTGTGCATCATATGAAAGTCCTATCTATTCAAAAATAAATGCACACATTTAATATTTCAAAATAATATAAAGTAGAGGATGTAGCACTCACTTTGTCTCTAGAACAAGGTTGGGGGAGGAATGCTCCTGCTTTGTTCCTCTCTGTTCAATCATCTCTGATTCCTCCGTTAAGCATGGGTGGATAGGTTGGCATTGCCCAAGTGGGCTCTACTAAAAGCCTGGGAAAACCAAATGGGAAATAAACCAAGAAAGGCAAAAATCACCGGATCAGTCCAGCTCCAGCAGGCTGGGCCAGTGTCCCAGGCAGCAATGGGACTCACACCCCAGTACTACTGAGTGCTACCCTCACAGCCCTTCCCCAGAACCCAGTCCTCTTGTTCCCCCAAGAACCCCAAATATAAAGCAGGGCAAACGCAAAGTGATCTGCGGCCACCCCAACCAGGAGATTCCACTCAGGTCTCCTGGTTAATCTTAATGAGCCTTGTGAATTTGCATTCCACTCCACATCTGTGCACACTTTAACAGCAAAATAATATCTCCAATGACTCCTGAATTAAATGGTTTCACCTTTTCTCCCTTCACCAAATTGTCTAAAGTGGATGTTCCCACAAAGGGGAGCCATGTTTTACATTACGCACCAATTAAACGACTTAACCTTTCCACCCCTCAAGGAAAATGCTCATTCCAAGAAGATGAGCCATGTTCTAAATTATATATTAGTTAAATTACTTAATCTTTTCCCTCTGAATCCACAAGTCAAGTGGACACACATAGAGGACACACCCAATTTAGCCTATGGTTTCTCAAACTCCTGACACCCTCACAGGCTGCACATATCCCAGTTTGAGAAACGTAGTTTTAGGCTTATCTTTAGCAGCTGCAGAGGGAGGGTACCCAAGACCCCCAGAAAGCCAAGGCTGGGCAGATGATCTTCCTTTCTTTTTTAAGACAGAGTCTAGCTCTGTCACCCAGGCTGGAGTGCAGTGGCACAATCGGCTCACTGCAAGCTCCGCCTCCTGGGTTCACGCCATTCTCCTGCCTCAGCCTCCTGAGTAGCTGGGACTACAGGCGCCCGCCACCACGCCCAGCTAATTTTTTTGTATTTTTTTTAGTACAGATGAGGTTTCACCATGTTAGCCAGGATGGTCTCGATCTCCTGACCTCGTGATCCACCTACCTCGGCCTCCCAAAGTGTTAGGATTACAGGCGTGAGCCACTGTGCCCGGCCGATGATCTTTCTTTAGAGGACATTCAGGAACAAGGCTTTGAGCCATTTCTTTTTTTTTTTTTTTTTGAGACGGAGTCTCGCTCTGTCATCCAGGCTGGAGTGGAGTGGCGTGATCTCAGCTCACTGCCACCTCCGCCTCCTGGGTTCAAGTGATTCTCCTGCCTCAGCCTCCCAAATAGCTGGGGCTATAGGCGCACACCACCACACACAGCTAATTTTTAGTAGAGACGGGGTTTCACTAGTGTGGCCAGGCTGGTCTCGAACTCCTGACCTCGTGATCCGCCCGCCTTGGCCTCCCAGAGTGCTGGGATTACAGGCATGAGTGAGCCATTTCAAACTCAAAGTTCCACTTTATTTTCTTCCCACTTGATCATCTTTCTATTCGGAAGACTTTTCCCCAATCAAGCTTCTGTTCTTAAGCCATTACTGATTGTTATTTCCATTACCCATTTTAATCTCCATTTTCCAATGTTATTTCCACAATACAAGGCCAGTTTCTTTAAAAAACAATAAATTGCAATGTAAGGAAGAATGAGGTCTTCCTGTGTAATGAAATGGCTGAGCATAACTGAGGCAAGATCCACCTCTTAAGAACAGAGGTCAAGATCTCAGCAGGGCTTTGTGAAGGTCAGAAAACTTCTCTGGGGGCCCTTGCTCATTACTGTCTTCTCAGACCCCAAATCAGTAAGTACTGGTCAGGATCAGAACGGTCCTGAGTGTAGGCTCAGGATCACACAGGCCTAGATCCAATCAGCTTCGCCAGTTTCTAACTACGTGAGCTGCAGGAAGTTCCTTAACCTCTCCGAGCCTTGGTTTCCTCATCAATAAAATGAGGCTAAGAGGGGTCCCACCTGTTAGGGTTGCAGGAGGATGAATAGAGACAACGTGTGTAAACTGCTCAGCAATGTGACAGCATGTAATAAGCACTCAATGAACGGCAGTTCTTACTGTTCCTGATTTATTTTATTTTATTTTGAGATGGAGTTTTGCTCTTGTCGCCCAGGCTGGAGTGCAATGGCACAATCTAGGCTCACCGCAACCTCCACCTCCCGGGTTCAAGTGATTCTCCTGCCTCAGCCTCCCGAATAGCTGGGATTACAGGCATGTGCCACCACGCCCGGCTGATTTTTTGTTTTGTATTTAGTAGAGACAGGGTTTTGCCATGTTGGTCAGGCTGGTCTCAAACTCCTGACCTCAGGTGATCCACCTGCCTTGGCCTCCCAAAGTGCTGGGATTACAGGCATGAGCCACCGTGCCCAGCCTGTTCCTGATTTAAACCAGCCACTCTTTCACTGAGGAGAGACTCAAAGAGAGACCCAGCTTACAAGAGGGAAATGATCTTGGCCAAAGTTTCTGTGCAGAGCTCCCTGACACTACTCATAACTTTCTTCACAGTCTGGGGAAACAGACAAGGCTTTCAGTTCCCAAACTAAGAAAGCACTAAAGCTCCAAGAGGGACCAGAAACTCGGCCCAGCAGGTCCCAGCTGAGGCTCTGGGGCTCACAGACCCCGCTGCCTTTGAAAACCAGGGTGCAAATGGACAAAACGCACAAGATCAGCAGCTCTCCAGGCGTGGGGTCTGGAGGACCAGGCCCACATGGAAGCAAGAACAGGCAGAAGCGAAACAACAACATGGCCTCCACACAGGCCCAGTTCTCTCCTTTTTCAGAACACATGAGGGATTCCACTTCCCTTCCCTCTTCACCCACCCCTATAAATTATAGGTGTGGCTACGTGACTTGTGCTGGCCAATGAACCATGAGCAGTGATGTGTGTCCTGTACAAGTGGCCACACCCCCGTCCTGCCTCCAGGACAGCAGAAGCACATGTTGAGACGGGCCCTCCATCGGCTGGGTCACTGCACGATCAGATGAGCAAGGCTCCCGACTGATGTGCCCTGGACATTTAGCATGAAGGAGAAATAAACCTCAGGTGTGTTGAGCAGCTGCGCTGCCCGTTACCGTTGCACAGCCCAGCCTCACTGGCTGATTCAAGGGGTCAAAAGAGCAGGGTCTAAAGCAGCACTTTCCAAACTGTCTGTGGGAAAAGACCCATTTTTATTTTCTTTCCAATCCACTGTAAACCAATATTTTTGAAAACTATAATGAAAATTTCATTGGAATGTCAAAATGCTAAAAGGGTTCCACACCCTCACTCTTGCTCTCCTCATTTCTCTCCCTAGAGGCTGGTAACAAGCTCTGCAGATAGGCACAGACTGGGACCACTCGTGGAATGGCACAGACCGTGGAGCACACACAGCACAGGTGGGCTGCAGGCCCACCGGCCATTTTTTCTTTTCTTTTCTTTTTTTTTTTTTTTTTTTTTTTTTGAGACGAGTCTCACTCTGTCGCCGAGGCTGGAGTGCGATGGCACAATCCTGGCTCACTGCAACCTCCATCTCCTGGGTTCAAGCGATTCTCCTGCCTCAGCCTCCCGAGTAGCTGGGATTACTGGCACCCACTACTACACCCGGCTAATTTTTGTATTTTTAGTAGAGACAGAGTTTCACCATGTTGGCCAGGGTAGTCTCAAACTTTTGACCTCAAGTGATCCACCTGCCTTGGCCTCCCAAAGTGCTAAGATTACAGGCATGAGCCATGGTGCCCAGCCCCGCTGGCCATTTTCTATTTTCTTTTTTCCTTTTTTTGAGACAGTCTCACTCTATCACCAAGGCTGAAGTGCAGTGGCATGATCTCAGCCCACTGCAACCTCTGCCTCCCGGGTTCAAGCGATTCTCCTGCCTCAGCCTCCCAAGTACTTGGGATTACTGGCGCCCACGACCACGCCAGGCTAATTTTTGTATTTTTAGTAGAGAGGGGGTTTCACCATGTGGGCCAGGCTGGTCTCAAACTTCTGACCCCAAGTGATCTGCCTCCCTCGGCCTTCCCAAGTGCTGGAATTACAGGTGTAAGCCACGGCGCCCAACCCCACTGACCTTTTTCTAACACTGGTGAAATAACTGAACCTTCCCAAGCCTCACCTCTCCATTTATAAAATGACAGTTGGCATGTGAGGATTTAAATATAAAGTCCATGGAGCACAGGGCCAGGTGTGAACACGCCCTCATTACATGTCAGCTACTCAGCCACATCCTGCCCTGTTCCCAGGTGATGACGTCTGTCACTGACAGGCCTGGTGATCCGCTCAGGGATCTGGAGGGGTGCCATGGGGTTCAGGCAACCTCAGAACAAGGCAGTGGGTTGAGATTCAGAATTCACTTCTAGACATCCACAGTGAGATAAGGTGACCAGACTGGCACCTCAATGGGGCAGAAGGCCAGGCGCGGTGGCTCAGGCCTATAATCCCAGCACCTTGGGAGGCCAGGGCAGGAGGATCGCTTGAGCTCAAGAGTTCAAGAACAACCTCAGCAACACAGAGAGACCTGTCTGTACAAAAAAATTTAAAAATTAGCCAGGTGCAGTGGCATGTATCTATGGTCCCACCTACTCGGGAGGCTGAGGTGGGAGGATGGCTTGAGCCTGGGGGGTCAAGGCTGCAGTAAGCCATAATTGTTGCCACTGCACTCCAGCCTGGGTGCACAGAGACCCTGCCTCAAAAAATAAAAATTAAAATAAAGGGATCAGAGGTATCTGGGACTAGGCAGGCGACCCAGTGATCCACTGAGACCAGGGATAACACTGACTGCTCATACCAGGGGGAAACTCTTCACCATCAAGCACCCGGCTGTCACACAGCAGAGCCACAGATGATGACCCAGGGCTGTGTTCACTCCAGAGCAGGGTAACCATGTATCCCGGTTTCCCTGGGACTGAGGGATCTCCTGGAATTCAAGACTTTCAGTATAATTGGGACAGTATTGGGCAAATCAGAACAAACTGGTCACCGTACTCCGGGGCCTGTGTTCTTTAGCTGTAATATTTAGGTTGTGCTGAACTAGGGCAGCTCTTTAATGAAACATCAACGAGGAGGCCAGAGTAGATCTCTGGCTGCTTAACAGACTGCCTGGGAAAGCCACATCCCACGACATCACGCAAACATATCTAAGGACAGAGAGACAGGGCGTGATGGATGCAGCAGCAAAGACAAAGTGATTACCCGGCATTGCAGGGACAGCAGTGGCTCCGCACAGCCTGGGGACTGGCTCTGCCCTGAGGCCTGTTCAGGAATGGAAATTTCTAAATACTGGTCACATAGCCAGAAGGCTTTTTCTTGCTTCTTTTTTTGTTTTGTTTTTTGCATTCAAACAATAGGTAATCAGAATCTGCTTAGTTAACAGCCATATTGTCATAATTTGCCAAACAAAGCAATGGGAATATGATGATAACGGTAACACTTGACATTTCTCACAAGGGCAGGTCTTGGATGTGACTTCATTTCCCAGAGCCTGCTGGCTGTCTTCTTTTGTCTGAGTCCTCCCCATCCTCGCCCAGCCATCAGCATGACGCCCAAATGCCTGGCGCACGTGACAGGCCCATGGATCGCTGAGCGAATGAGTTAATGAACGAGGACATCTCCGTTCTGCGGGTAACCCAGGCACCCCCAGGCGAGCCAGGCTGGGTGCTCTGTGGCCATGTCACCTCCCCCTCCATTGCTCACATGGAGGCAGTGCCACCATGTCCCCAGGATTGTCCTGAATACTCAATACATAAGTTGACCATGTAATCTATGAATGAAATGAAGCGTCACTGATCACTTTACTAGGACTACAAGTGTAAACTGGGACTGTCCAGGCAAAACAGGACAAGTGGTCACCTCACTGATGTAGCATCTCACCTAATCCTTGTTATGCTGCAACTGTCAGCCCAGGTCCCGGGTCCAGACTCCATGGTCTGAAGCCCAGCCCTGCCTCCTAGCAGCTGGGTACGTTACTTAACCTCTCTGGGCCTCAGTTTCCTCATCGGAGCTAGGCAGTAGCTGCCCCTTAGGGCTGCTCTGCAGACTACTCTATTTAATAGTTGCAACACTTAGAATAGGGCCTAGCATATAGTAGGCACCACTCATGTGTTGACTGAATAAAAAAGTCCTCCCATCATCCCCAGGATTGTTGCCATTTCATAAATCAGGCAAGGAAGGCACAAGGACTTAAGTCACTTGCCGGTTAGTAGCAGAATGGCTCACGCCTGTAACCCCAGCACTTTGGGAGGCCGAGGTGGGCGGATCACTTGAGGTCAGGAGTTCGAGACCAGCTTGGCCAACAGGGTGAAATCCCGACTCTACTAAAAATACAAAAATTAGCTGGGTATGGTGGCATGCACCTGTAATTCCAGCTACTCGGGAGGCTGAGGCAGGAGAATTGCGAGAACCTGGGAAGCAGAAGTTGCAGTGAGCTGAGATCACGACACTGCACTCCAGCCTGGGCGACAGAGCGAGACACCGTCTCAGAAAAAAAAAAAAAAAAAAAGAACCAGAGTCAAACCTAAGCATCAATGCCCATGCCACACCCATCCTGAGATCCTGCCCCCGACCCCACTCCACCCCCAGCTACCGCATTTTCTCTCCCCATTCAAGAATTTAGGGCTGTTCTGCAGATGACGCTATTTAATAGCGTAACCTTATAAGTCAAGTAAGAAGGAGTGCAAGGAGCCCGATACAATGCGTGGCACAGGGCACTGCCAGAGCTCCCCCTGGGGCCAAAGAGGGGCTTCAGGTCCCCTGAGGCTGTGTGGCACACGCAAAGCAGGAGGCACCAGTCCCAAAATAGGACGGGCATTTGCTGCCCGTGCGTCACAACCCAAAGTTGTTCTCCTTTTCTCTTCTTGCCAAATTACTCGATCTCAGAAATTCCTTAGCAAGACAAGACTGAAATGCAATCTCCAACCCCATCAGGCCCAGTGGAATTTCACCAACACAAATTACTGCGTTCTCCAGGAAAACGGAGGACGCTGGCCTGAAGTTTCAGATTCTCAGTAGGTCTTAGAAAGCTCCGGCACTTGAGCAGCTCCTGGAAGTGGCAGGAAGTGGTTTGCCTTTGCTTATTTTCCAAAGGATAACCACCAGATTTGCTCGTAAAAACTTGCTAACCAATTGGCAGAGGGCACCTGCGCAATCCAATGATTTCTCATATCCTGGGTTTTTCTTCTCTTGTTAGTTCAACTCGTGAGGACTTCAAAGACGCAGATGCACAAGGCTTGGCTTGGCACATGCAAAGAAGGAAGGAAAGAAAGAAGGAAGGGAGGGAGGAAGGGAAGGACAGAGAGGGAGGGAAAGGAAACAGTGGGCCGGGGAGGGCACAGTGGCTCATGCCTGTAATGCCAACACTTTGGGAGGCCAAGGTGGGTGGATCATTTGAGGTCAGGAGTTCAAGATCAGCCTGGCCAATATGGTGAAACCCAGTCTCTACTAAAAATACAAAAATTAGCTGGATGTGGTGGCACGCGCCTGTAGTCCCAGCTACTCAGGAGGCTGAGGCAGGAGAATCACTTCAACCCGGGAGGCAGAGGTTGCAGTGAGCGGAGATCGCACCACTGCACTCCAGCCTGGCGACAGAGTGAGACTCCATCTCAAAAAAAAAAAAGAAAGAAAGAAAGAAAAGGGGGAGGAAAGAAGGAGGGAGGGAGGGAGGAAGGGAGAGAGAGAGAGGGAGGGAGGGGAGGGAGGAGGGAGAGAAGGAGAGAGAGAAGGAGGAAGGGAGGAAAGGAGAGAGGAAGGGAGGAAAGGAGAGAGGGAGGGAGGGAGGGACAGAGGGAGGCAGGGAGGGAGGGAGGCAGGAAGGAAGGAAGGAAGGAAGGAAGGAAGGACGGAAGGAAGGAAGGACGGAAGGAAGGAAGGAAATTTTGATAAAGAATCAAAATTCACCAAAAGAATCGTTAAGCCACAGCCCATGGCGTCATGTTCACCGATGCTCAGGCAGGACTGCGCACCAGCTCTAAAAGTCGCCAGAGGCTGGGGCTGGCAGGACACAGAGTGAGGGAGGGAAAGAGGAGCAGAGACCAAGGAGTGGCTGAAGAAGGCCGATTGCCCCAGGGAGACTGGGTATGTTCTGCATCAGGAGAGAGAAGGAAGAAAGGGCTCCTCCAGAAGTCAGCAGCCCAAGCAAAGCAGAGGAGCCAGGTGAAGCCCAGAGTGCGTGGGGCGCCCCGGAAGGCAAGGGCAGAGGAGTTTGGATGCCTCCCATAGGGCCAAAATAGGAGAGTCTCGCCCGGGCTGACAAGCCCAGACTTGAATCTGAATGCCACAGGCAACAACTGCGAGTTGCTGGGCAGGACCGGAGCTGCCGCCCCCAAAACTGTTTCAGATTCAGAGGGCGCTGCTGGGTAAAGGAGGGGTAAAGGACTGGACGGGGAAGCTGAGTCTCCTCCACCACTTCTCAGGAAGCCTTTGGGGAGCCACCTCTGCTCCCCGGGCAGAGGCCACATGCCAGCCCAGTCTGCTAAGGACATTCCCAGATTCTTGGAGGCTGGGATGGGGGCACGTGTCCTGGGCCAGCCCAGAAGATGGATGACAAGGAAGCTACATGGGCGCCGGGACAGGCGGATGCTAAGGTGAGGAGACAGCTCAGCCAGGGCTGCCTCCCACTCAGAGGTCATCGCCAGGTCCAGATCTGTGCAGTCACTTCCCTCCCGAACTGGGCACTTGGGAGAAATCAGAGAATATCCTAGAAGGGACTCTGAAAGGGAGCTGGAGATTGGGGCGAGGCTTGGGGCACATGTGTACATGGGTGTGCAAGTGGTGTGTGTGTGCAGAGACAAGTATGTGTGCCGAGTGTCCTTCCATGCATAGGTGTGAGGCATGTGCATCCATGACCTTGAGATTGAGTGCTCATGGCCATATGTGTATACGGTGAGGGGGTGTGGCCATGCTGGGACACGTTCACAGTGTGAATGGTGCATGCATGCACACACATCTTCAACAGGCAAACAGCATCGTGTCAGGGCCAAGAGCCTGGACTGAAGCCTTGAGCACACGATCTAGCTTCTCTACACCGATCTAACTGCTCTACACCTCAGTTTCCTCATTTGTAAAATGGCGCTAATAACAGAAACTACCTCCTAGTGTTGATAGGGGGATTAAATACATTTGAATTTGTAAAGCACTCAGATGCTTGTACATGGGGTCCTACTAAATGGTATGCATGTGTGTGTTAAAAAATAAATGCATACGTGTGGGTGAGTGGTCGCACAGCTGGGAACCTGTATGTATGGAGAGGTGTGCACGGTGTAAACTAACTGGGACTGTGTGCACACGCAGGGGCAGGAAGATATGGGCTGGGTGTGCACGGATGTGCAAGAGGGAGGTGTGTCTGCCCGTTTGCAAACGTGTGGACTGTGTGTATACATGACGCCTGGGGGAGTGCATGCCAGGGCCCAGGACATGTGTGCTCAAGGACCATGGGGTGTATGCATGCACACACGTGTGTGCTCGTGGGGTATGCAAGTGTGTGCAGCCATGTTCTGGGGCACACATGTGTGGGCACCTGGGCAGGGGCATGGAGGGATGGGAGCCATGAGTCAGGTGGAAGGACCCTCTCAGAGTGAGGCGCGAGGAGCAGAGGCCTGATAACCCCCGTGAGAAAGCAGGACCACTGGGCAGAGGCAGAGTGGCCCCCTCAGAGCTGCCGAGCAGCCCCAGGGGGACTCGGTGCAGAGGTGAGGACCCAGACCAAAAAGGCCGGGGGACAAGGGCCGCATCTCACTCAGGCCTGTGCCCAGCCCCCGGCACTGGACCGTCCTCAGGAAGCTGGAAAGGAAGGAAGGAGAGAATGTGCCCAAGGGAGGGACACAGACCCCAACATGACAAGCACCATCCTCAGGTCACGTCCTGGGGCTCCACATCCATCATTTCATTGAACCTTCTTGACTGTCCTAGAAGGAGCCACGTTTTCAGACAAGGAAGCCGAGTTCTATGGTTAAAACATCTGCCCAGAGGCCCACTGCTAGGGAGCAGCAGGTTCCAACCCAGCTGGGTCTGACCTCTGTCCTCAGAGCCACCATGGTACTCTGAGAATGAATGAATGAACCAACACATGCATGCATGAATGAATGAACAGACCAACAAAGAACAATGAAAAGGAAACCGAAACTTAGTGCCCGGAAGAGGAATAAAATAAGGGAAGCACCGGAGAGTCGGCAGGCACTGCCTGGAGAAGCCTCTGGGGGGACCACAGCTGGAGCAGCAGCCATGGTGGCCTGCAGGGGACCCAGGAGCCCACGCTGCACGGGCAGAAGGAGCTTTCTTTGTAGCCCTTGAGGCTGCAGCAGCAGAGGAGGCGGCGGGGCACCTGTGTCGGCCAAGGCTCCCAGAGCACAAGCCCTGTGGCTTCACAGCAGGGCCAGGCCACTGAGCCTTTAGCACCAATTCAGAAAACCGGGATTCTGCACTCTATGCGAGTCCTGTGGGATTTGGGGTTAACAAGACCTCGGCTGCCCAGGCCCAGACACCCTCGGAGAGCCAGTCTGCCGAGGCCTGGGCATCACCGGCAAGATGGGTTATTAGAGTGACTTCTCCAAGCTGGCTGTGTCCTAAGGCCCCGTAGGGCTCAAACTAATGAAACAATGAGACAGTCGCCTTGCTTCCAGAGACCCTTCTGGGAGCCACCAGCTGGGTTCGGGGGTTGTTTAGAAACAGTTCCTAGAGACCCCTACTTATTATGAGCTCCAGCTCTAAGTGGCCTCTTGGAAAAGTGGCTCAACCTCACTGAGCCCCAAGTTCTTCCTACACAGTAACAATCACTCATCCATGAGGGGTTATTGGTGGAGAGGACCAATACAAGGTATGAAAAACACATCTCGGAGGACAGGTAGCAGGTCCTTCCAAGTGACAGCTGTTCTCATAAATGGGAGCCATCAGAGCCCTAGGTCTGCCTGAGCAGAGGGGAGCCCCAAGCTACTGAGTCCCCCGGGCTATGCAAGGCTGTCAGGCAGGGGTTGGAGGAGGGTGGACTGTTGCATGGGCACCACCAGCTCCAGCTGCCCCATCACTGTGCCTGGGAGGCCCAGGGTCTACACCTCCCTCTCCGCCTAGACATCCCCACAGCCCGGACACCCCTTACGAGGCCCAGCATCAGGGCATCTGTGCAATCCACTTTTATGGCCTCTTCCAACTGTTGAACCCCCCAGCCAGCCAGCAGTAAGCAAATGGCCCAGCTGCCAGGCTGTGGGTGGGTGTCCCGGGCACTGCCCGCCAAGCGGCACTGGCTTCTCCCTCTTGAACTTGTCCTTTGACCCCTTGGCTCCCATTCAGTTTCACAGAATGTAAGACTCTGCTCATTTTAATTGGGAAGAAGCCCAAGAGATGGAGCACCAGGTTTCAAACTGTGTTCCCAGGGGTCCAGGGTCCGCAGGGGGCTGACCCCCGCCTCTACTGGGATGGTGTGCCTTTATGAACCTTCTCTTCTTGCTGTTGGAGGAGACAGCTGTGATACCAAATCCCTGGAAGCACGTGCACAAAAGCTCACCAAATTTAAAACTGAGCTCTCCCGCACCCCACTTTGCTACTTTGAGACATCGTCATCCATTCAAAGGGTTTTATCACTGGATGAAACAACCATAAATCTGATTTGATCCTTGCTGAAAGGCTGAAATTTTAATTGGTCTTTGTCCTTCAAAGTCCTTCTCACTTTTCTTTTCACTTGTCAGGGTTGAGAAGCAATTAACTCCCCTCCATCGTACAAATTCTAAATAGGTTTCACTTACTTCCTTGTTTCCCATCCATCGCCCCCAAGTAGGATCGCCCCCATGAAGGGGGTCTGTTTTGTTCACTGCTGTATTCTGAGCACACAACAGGCACGACAAATATTGATTTAATATTTATTTTAATTAACTAAATGTAGCAATTTTAATAGTAACCATAGCACCTACTATGGTCCAGGCCCTGTTTACACATGTGATGTGTGTTAACTCACCCAGCACTCATATCCACCCTTGGAGACCAGTCCCATTATCCCCATTCTACAGATGAAAAAACAAAGGCACCACTACACTTGCTACCCTGGATTCACAGCATCTTCAAAGCCCCACCCTCGGTCCCTGGCTCACTTGCTCTCCCTTCCCTGGAACAACGCCCTGCTTCCTTTGCGCCCCTGCCAGCTTCATGGCCTCTTTCTCTGCTCCTGCAAGTCTCGGAGCTGGGGGAGCTGGGGGAGCTGGGGATTATCTCGCAAACTGCATTTTACAGATAAGGAGGCTGAGGACTGACAGCTTCCTGTCTAGTTGGGGGAATGAGGTGGAAAGAAAATGACAGCCAACAGCCAAGTCACTAAGGGAGGCCAGCAGATGCCCCAGGAGAGTGAGTGGCCATGGCTGACCACAGCAGGCAGGGGCTTCCAGGAGGAGGTGACAGCTCTCACAATGTCTCAAGTCCTCCAAAGAGCAGCAGCCCACAGCTTTGGGGTCTCAGCCATTCCTCCCACAAACATAAAAAGAGAAGGGGCCTGGGGTCTCTCAGATTAGCAGACACACCTGCCCACCCTCTGAGAAGTGGGTCTGTGAATTTCACTGGCCTGTGGCCAGCAGCAGCAGGCGAGGTTTTAGGCACAGACATCAAGCTGGACAGAGTCGTTCCCCACATGGGACTGTACCTCAGCAGCCTGTCCCATCCTTCCCCGGACGCCAGGGCGGAGATCTGTAACTTCCCTCCTCGCAGGAAACAGAGCGGCAGCCCGGCCGGCTTGGTTTGTTGTTCTCAAACGGTTATGCCATGCACGCCCAGCCCATCCAAGAAGCCTGTGGGTCGCCTGGCTCCTGCTTATCACTGAACCAGCCTGCCCAGGGCCCCGCCCCAGAGGGTTCATCCTCTGCTTCCCCCAGGCTGAGAGGTCCACTCTGACCATCAGTGTCTGTTTCACTGAGAAACCCTATGCTACAGTAATGATGATGATGATGGTGAGAGCTAACACTGAGTGCCAGGTACTCCACAGTCATTAATTCACATATGCAAACCTATGCCACGGACAGCATATGAGGTCCATTTTACAGAAGACAAAACTGAAGCTCAGAGAGGTCACCTAATGTGCCCAAAGCCTTACAGTCCCCAAGTGTAAGGTTTTGTCATCAGAATTGTGTGTGGGTGCCATCTCCGACACTAGCTCTATGATCCATGGCTAGTTACATAGCTGCTCTGTACCTCAATGACTTCATCTGTAAAGTGCGATACTGGTGCCCAACTCACGGGCTTCCTTGGCAGGCTGAATGAGAAAGCACCTGGCAAGTAGGGGCTCTTGATAAATGGCAGTTATTAGTATTTATTGTTATTAATAATATTCATGATGAAAAGAGATTCAGAGTTGTTTGGGGACAAGGGTATCAGTTACCCAGGGGCACCTGGGCAGTGTCCATCCAGGAGTCGAAAGAGCACAGGCTTTGCAGTTGGCCTGACCTGAGTTTGAACCCAGCTACCATGTCCTGCTGTGTGACCTTAAGCATCAGCGGAGGCATCGGGGGGCGGCCCCGGGGGTCCCCCATGCCCACAGGTGCCTCCTCAGAACGGGAGCCGGCTGGGGCTCCTCCTGACCCTCTTTGATACCGTGCTTCCTGAGGGGAGTGTGTCCTGTTCCGCTTACACCCCAAGGTGGAAGGGGAGCTGTCTGGCCGTCCCTGGAGAGCTCTAGAGAAGGCCCTTCCCAGGTCCAGGCTATAGGGAGACCCACCCTCTCCCAGCACAGCCACGTGCCTTCTTTCCCACCCTCTGCGTCAATAAAGGCCAGTTCTGGGGAAAGCTTCAGCCCCGCATCTGCTCCATTCCCAGCACATGCCTGGAAACACCTGCAGCTGGCTGGGCTCTGCCCTGCGTCCCTCCAGCACTGGGCTGGCAACCGAGAGGGGAAGGATGAAAGACGAGTCTGAAATCACGGCTGGAGACCCAGGAAGAGGCAGCTCCCACAGTCTGAGGCCCCGGTAACTGCCCCCGATTCCCCCGGTGACTGCTCAGCAGGCAAGGACCGTGCCTGGAGGGAAGCTTCTGGAACATTCTTCATCCAGGTGGACAGGGGTGTTACCTTTGAGCCAGGGACTCTGGCTCTGACCTCCCCGATCACATGGTGAATCACATTTCCACATACTCACACTGGTTGTTTTTTTAATTAAGAGATTTTAAAAAAACGGCTAATAAATAAGTCATCTTCCCTAAGACTTCCTGAGAAGCACCAGTGTACAGGCGAGGCCTGAAACATGAAACGGCGGGTGACAGGCCGCGTGAGTCACAGGGCAGGCCTGGGCCCTGAAGCCACGTGGGTCACCTGCAATCCCGGTCCCGGCTGCTGTGTGAGCCAGCAGGTGACTCGCCCCTTTGAGCTCTGGTCTCCTCAGCTGTGGGTTCTGCGACGTGCGTGTTGCTTCGTGTATGTTAGGCCCTCATATTCGGCAGTTTGTTGCTGCCATTGTTATTACTGTTGGTGTTTATATTAACTGTGAAGCTCAGTTTTCCCATGCGGAGAGTGGGAACGAGCAGACCTAACTCGCCACACTGCCGGAAGATTCAACAAGGCTGGGCCCGGGTGGCTTGCGCCATGCTGGCTGCTGTCCTGATGCCCTTGTCATCGTCACCATAAAGAGGACAGCCCCTTGAGTCACACGGTACACACTATGTGCCCCACTCCAAGTGCTTTATATTTCGTACTTCGTTTAATCCTCACAAAGACTTGAGGAAGTGGGCGACATTCCCATCTGCATTTTATGGTCCAGACAACAGGTAACGACAGGTAACGACAGGTAACGACAGGTAACGCGGAGGGTGAGTGACCCCAGAGCTCCGGCCTGTGCACCTGGGCACAATAACCCCTTGCACAGATGGCCCCAGTCCAGCTCCCACTGCTGCCCTCAGACTGCACTCTGATGCTGGGGGAGGGCCCTAGAGGAGAATTCGGTGTGGTGGCTCCATCACCCCTGAAGTGTCTGTGTGCCGGGACCAGGATCAAGGCCCTAGGTCCTCTGTGAGGACGTACAAGACCCTGGAGGGGCAGGAACTCGGGTCTCCCAGCTCCAACCTACAGCTTCCCCCGAATCAAGCTTCCAGTGACCCCCGCCAGCGGCTCCTCCCTGCATTCTGGTCCTTTCCAGCCCAGAGTCCCTTCCAGGGGCGCAGGGAGCAATGCCCTCCTACTAAAGGGGCATCTGCATCTTCTCGCTCACGGGCCCTCCTCTTCGGCCGCTCCCTTCTCTCTGTGTGTCTGTCTTTCTGGGTCTCTCTCTCCCACGTACCCCCACCCCACACAGCTCCCCGTAACCCACTCTCCCTTTACTCCCCATTTCTCCCCGACCCCCCACGACAACTTCCGCCTCCCCTCCTCTTCCACATCCTGCCTCTTGTCCTCCTTATCCCGGCTGCCTGCCGTTTCCGTGGTCTATTTTTGCCAGCCTTTGTCTTTGTTTCTCTTCCCCCCTTTTTCTCCAGGGCCCTCCCTTCCCTCCCCTGTTTTGCCTCCTCCTCCCAAGGCGCCTTTGTCCCCAGGCCCTCTCGAGGGCCTGCATAGCCTGGCCTGGCCAGCAAGGCCCGGCCCTGCTAGCAAGGCCCAGCCGGCCAGCACACTCGCTCCCGGCCACCGCGATGCCACTGAAACCCCTCCCTGCTCTGCAGCCAGAGGAGGAAGGGAGAGCCTGGGCAGAAGGGACACTTTTTCATCTTCATCGCTAACAGAAGTGCTCATGGCTGAGTGGCCACGGACAGAGGGACAGAGGACTCAGCCAGGAGCTGAAGGCACTCAGGCATGTGTCTCAAAGCCAGCTGTTGACTAATAACACTGAACACTGCACCATTTTCAACACGTGAAGTTAATTTAAGAAAAAAATGAAAAACAATGACACCCGGAGAGGACATGGCAGTGTTAAAATAAGGACGCTTGCACCCTGTGGATGGCATTACAGATGGGCTCCACTCTGCGGGAAAGCAAGAGAGCCTCATCGATATCCAAAGCCATCAAAATGTTCATACCCCTGTGGCCGACTAATCTCCCTCCTGGGAATTTTTCCAAATGATCTTTCATCATCAAAAGGAAAGGATAAAAACGCTACAGGCACGCAGATATTCACTGTGGCACACTCTATTGAGGAAGAAAAGCAGGAAACGGCCTTAGTATCTAACCAAAGGGAGATGGTTTCATGAAAAATGGTGTGACACAAAAGATGACCACGTGGCCACTAAAAAGCTTCCATCACGGCGAAGACTAGGTAAAACGTCATCTCCGCTGATGACGGTAGAGGAGAAAATGGAAAGAAACCAGCATGTTCACTGTGCCTGTAATGACATAAAAGTATGTGTACAGATGGGCCAAGACCAAGAGGAATAAGTGGAAAATCGATACAAGCAATCCTCAGTAGCCAAATCCATCCAGCTCCCGAGTTCAGACAGGGAAGGGTGCCAAATGATCCAGATCCACGTGATTGTGGAGTTGGGGACGTCAAGCGGCAAGAGTTCGCCAAGTGAGGAATTTATCTGAAAATACATCCAAACCCATTCAGCTGGTGTATACTTGGGTAGGGTAGGATTTCCATACTTGGGTGAATTGTATGAAGAGGTTTTTTTCGTCTTCTTTTAAATTATCTTCCATGTTCCACTGATACTGTTTTTGCAATTAAATAAAGGAAAATCAGAATTCTCGTGTCCAGGGCTTTGGAGCCCACAGAGGGCTTTCCCACACATAATCTTCCCTGAGCCTCACAAAAGCTCTGTAAGGAAGCAGGGCAGGGAGTTTTACTAACCCCGTTTTTACCAAGAAAACGAGGACTCAGAAAGGGTGTGACTTGCCCAGAGTCTCACACAGCCATGCGGTGACAGAGACGGGACTCAAAAGGCAAGGGCTGGCCCAGCCCTGTCCTCACCAGGCTCTTGTAAGGCCAACCCCAGACACCGGCACTCCAGCCCCCTAGACATCTCTGGAGCTGTCGCCCTGTGATGGGTGACACCGTTCCTGAGCCCTCACGAGGATAATGCCTGCAAGGGTAATGGCCAGACCCCACATGGGTCAGGAACAGGAACCCACCACAAAACCCCTACCCCAGTCTCTCAGCTCAGCCCGCGCAGCCCAACGAGAGCCAAGGCTATGCAGTCAAGCAGTCACCAGTTCAAATCTCGACCCCTCCACTGTGTGCAGGCTGGACCCCTTGGAGCCTCCACACAGCCAGGAGAAAAACTGGCATTACACAGGGGAAACTCTTAGGATCACTAGATAAAAGGAGAAAGTGTGTATTCTGCACCCAGTTCGATGCCTGCCCCATCTCAAGTGCTCCCTATGCCTCCGTGTCCTCCTTGGGGCCTGTGCATTTGCTCTCCTTGTCTGGAATGTTCTACCCAGACACCCCAGGGTGGCTCCCTCCTTCACCCTCCTTAAAGTTTCACATCAAGTGTTAGCCTGGTAGAGGACTGGCCACGCCACAAACACCTGCTCCCTTTGCCCTGTGTGGGTCTTGTCTTCTTCAGGGCCCTTATTCCCCCGCCATGCTAGGCATTTGGTTTTTCGTTTTTGAGACAGTCTCCCTCTGTCGCCCAGGCTAGAGTGCGATGGCGTAATCCCGGCTCACTGCAACCTCCACCTCTCGGGTTCAAGCAATTCTCCTGCCTCAGCCGCCCGAGTAGCTGGGATTCCAGGCACACACCGCCACACTCAGCTAATTTTTGTATTTTTAGTGGAGACAGGCTTTCACCATGTTGGCCAGGCTGGTCTCGAACTCCTGAGCTCAAGCAATTTGCCCAACTTGGCCTCTCAAAGTGCTGGGATTACAGGCATGAGCCACCACGCCCGATCCATGCTAAGCATTTGTATGCTGGTTTGTTACAATAGCATCAGGCCTCTGCACTGGGCTCTCCTGACCACGAGAACAGAAACATCATTCACTGTGATGCTATATTCCTTGCACACAGTAGGAGCACAGAAAACCAATGAATTAACTACTAACTGGTAGTGATGACTCTGTCAGAGAGGAACAGGAACCTTTAGCTACACCTAACCTCTTACAGCCCCTGAGGGATGTCAGGCTCCTTGGGACACTACAGGCCTCTGGCACAGGCGTGCAGGCGTGTCCACAGGTCTCTTGCCCTCTCTCACTTCCCCTCTCACTCCCCAGGGACCCAAAGAGCACCAGTCCAAAGGCTGGTACTGAGAAGATATCAAGAATCCCGGTGGCCGGAAACACATAAAAAACTGTCTTTCTGCAGCAGAAACTGCAGATTTCAGGACATCACTGGATTCTGAACCCCTAGAAAAGGTCAAATTCCTAGCACTGGAGAGCTGGGGAAGTTCCCGAGACTCTCCTTCCCCTGTGCCTCCTCCTGCCAGAGTTGGCATTTGCCAAAAGCTCCCAGCGTGAAGGGCCCTTCGCTGGGCACTACGCACACATCGCACATCAGCTCTCTCCCCCTCCCTGAACGAGCCTGGGCAGTGCCGTTTCACAGAGAAGGGAGGGGGGCTCCATAAAACCAGAAGCAGGAGCCAAGGCCATCCCACAGCTGGGTCCTGGGAGAATGGTGGCCTCGTGGGTCTGTTTGGTGACAGGGTGTGCTGGGTTCCTGCACTCTGAAAGTCACACACTTGTAAAGTCTTCCAGACCTCCGGGTACAGCGGCACTTTTGGAAAGAGGGACTCACAAAGGAGACCTCTCCTGCTGGTCTCTCACCCAAGCCCCTGCACCCAAGTGATGTACCTGAATAATACGCTCTGACTACCGAGGAGAAAAAAGTACCAGTGTATTGTGGTACTCCTTTCCTCAGGGCCTGGAGCCTCTGCAAGTAAAGTCCCCCTCTGTGGGGAACAAGCACTACCTCCCCTCTTCACCCACCAACTCCAGCTCCTCCTCTCCTGTGCACATAGAAGTCACCTCCTCCAGAAAGCCCTCCCTCACCCCTCAAGTCAGCCTCTGAGTGCACCATCAGCATCTGTATGGGCACATCGTACCCCTCCTTGCCCGCCTTTCCTCATGCCACCAGCTAGGGATGTGAGCTCCCCAAGGCCTTGGACCAGCTGGGCCTTCATGGGTGCATCTCCTGTGCCTGAGAGTATGGCCAGGACAAAGCAGACAATCAAACTGAAAAATGAATGAATAACAAAAGAATGAACGAATAGAATGAATGAAAGCAGAAAGAATGGGAAGAGACTGAATGAAAAAAAAAATGAATGAAAGAATGAAGCATGAATGAAACTCACAGGAAGGTCTGAAAGGCCATCTCTTCCAGTGCCTGCCAGAGACAGGAAGCAAAGTCCAGCATCAATGACAGTGGCTCACATCTGATTCTACAGTGGCAACTACATCGCTCTGCCAGAGATTATTCTCTCCCCGTCTTCCAGATCACACTGGGCCTGCAGAACAGCGAAGAGCCAGGAGCTGTGGGGAGAGTTCCCGAAGAGGAGTACAGAGGTTCTGTGCCCTCCCAAGGCTCTCCTGAAAGTCACAGGAGCCTCCCTGGTGCTGCGGTAAAGCAAGGAAGCTGATGACTGCCCAGGAGTGCCACCAAGGAGAAGGGGCACACAGAGAGGGGATGGGGGAAGGAACAGGCATGTCACCCTTATAGCAGTCCCAGGAGACGCATATATCCACTGTTTCGGGGAGAACCAGACACAGAGGAGGCCAACAATCAAAACCTGCAGGTGGAATGAGTGGATGACTACAATGATGGCTAACAGCACACTCCCTCCGTGCATCGGGCCCAGTTCTAAGCACTTCATACGTATTACTCATTTAATCCTCCCTGCAACCCAGTGAGGTAGACACTATTATGCCCAGTTTAGAGACAGGGAAACTGAGGCACAGGGACTCTCAGCGGGTGACCCAAGGTCACCCACTAGGAAGTGGAGGAAGTGGAGGAAGAGGAATTTAAAACCCATGCAGACTGGCTCTGGAATATGAGCCCTTAACCCCCTACGGTCGCACTCTCTCAGCTTCGGTGTGCTACGGTCACGGAGCTAATCAGAACCATAACAATAATAACAATGTACTCATCTTTAGTATGCTAAGGTCATGCAGCCAATAAAATAAAAGTCATGCAGCAGTCTCAGTTTACTATGCAAACGGCGTCTTGCCAACAATAATAAACAATAAAACAACAATAAATAAAAATAAAATAAAATAATAATTAAAGTAAGATGCGAGGCTGCCAGGGCATCCCAATGGCACCTCCAGGTTGCAAAGAGCAGAAGCCGAGAGCAGTCATTCCATGCAAGAAGAGGCATTCGAAGATCGTCTAGTAACCGTGTTTGCAGAGCCGGAACATCCTTTTTGTTTGTTGATAGGGGATTGCTCTGAGATGCTGCTGGGCTAAGCCCCCTGAAGCTGCTCTCTGGCACCACAGCTCTTGAGCCTTTACTCCGTGCCAGGCACCAACCAAACACTTTGCATGGGTTTTTTCCTTTAATCCTCACACAGACCCTGTGAGAGTGGTGCAAGGAAGCCACAGTTTGCACATAAAGCAAGCTGAGGCTCAGAGTGGTTAAGTGACTTGCCCAGTGTCACAGAGCTAGGAAATGATATCTGAACTCAGCCGCTCTCTGACCACAAAGCCCAGAGCCTTGCGCTCTGGCTCTGGCTTCCTTCGCCTTGGGAGAGGAGTTGCTGCCTGGAAGCCACGCGGGCCATGCTGCCCAGCCTGCCCATTCCCGCCAAGCCGGCCCGCTTGGCAGGCCACAGGCTCAGAACCCCTCACTTCAAAGTGATTCACCCTCAAGGGCTGTGTGGTTTGGTCTGGGGCCTCGGGAGTGGAGCAGTCAGAGCCCCACTCGGCCCTGACCACCCAGGTTTGAAGCGGGTTCCTCAGGACCTCAGGAATCCAGGTGCCAGCTCGCCGTGACCGCCCGGGACAGCCTTGCTTAGCAGAGGCCACCATTTCTCAAGAAGTCACGCTGGGGCTCCCAGGTAGAGCAGTGAGGCTCAGGAGGCAAGGGAGGGTGGGGAGGGGGCACCCCAAAGTAGCCCCCACACCCCCCCCGGTTCACTAGAAGCCTCACCCCTGCAGGGCCTGTTCTGGTTCTCAGGGCCCCCCATGACCAGAGGCCAAGCACAGCCCAGCAGGCGTCCCCTTCTGTTTCTCCGAGGCCTGGTGTCCAGAGAAACGAAGCTGCGCCAGCTGCCCCCACCCCAGTCCCACGCTCCCTCCAGAAGCTTCCCTCACGGCGCTCAACGCCCAGTGCGGTTATCGCCTGCCGTGCGCCTTTGAACCCCAGGAGGCCGGGGAGTATGGAATGTGCGATGCCTGAGGTCAGAGCTCCAGTTTGATTTGAGCTGGGTTGAGATGAGGGGAAAATGGCCAAGAACAACTCACTCATTTACTTCATTTCCAGACTTGGCGGCTGTTGGGGCCGGGCTTCCAAACCAAGCTGGCTTTGGCCAGGACATCTGCAACAGTGCCGGCCACCAGGCACAGCTGGATTCGCTTAGGGAGTTAAGAGCCTTCAAGGTCTCTTAAGAAATTAGTTCCTGGGGAGTCTGGCTCTCTCTGGGGACCGGGCAATGGGCCGGCCCACTCCAGCCTCACCTCCTGTGGCTGAGGACACCCGGAAACTCTGCGGGACTGGAGGGACTCGGCGGTCTGCTTGGAGAGTCACTGTGTGCACTCAAGTGCAAAGTGGCCCGGCCCTGGGCACCCCTCCTGAATGAACTCCAGCGAGGACCCGAAGTGCAATTTCCTAGTTGCCACTGCGTCTCAGGGCCTAGGACGTATGAGGTGAATTAGAAAAGAAACCCAAGAACAAATGGATGATCCTTGGTTTCCACATCTGTCAAATGGGCGCGATCATATCTACCTCCCAGGGCTGCTCTGAGGCCTAGTGGATGGACGAAACAGATGCAAGGCCCTGAACACAGAGTGCGCATGTTTGTCTCTGAATTAAGTCCATCAACTCCAGATCTCACAGCCACTTCTTGGGAACCTGAATATCTCTGAGAAAGCCTGGCTGTGATGGAAAAGCCTCCCTTTCTTCCCCTAAGCCCGTTCATGTGAGTCTGACACACCAGCTCGCTCTGGCCAGCAGGCAATGAACGTGCAAACCAACACGCCAAGAACAGAGTGATGGCCTTGCGTGTGGCCTTTGGGAGCCCCTCTCTGCCTGTCAGGCCGGGTGCCAGGCTCTCACGCCCAACCCCTCAACCCTCCGCAGTAGGTCTGGGAGCTTAGGATCATCGGTCCCATGACACACTCACAGCGCCTGAGTGACTCATTCGGGGAAGTGGCAGAATCCAGGGGAGAGCTGGGTACTCCCACCTCTACAGTATGGTGGTCCAAGCAGGCCACGTGGTGCCACCCCAGCTCTATCATTCATTAGCAATACCACCTCCAGCAAGCTCTTTCGCCTCAGCTTCCCCTTCTGCATTTGGGAATAAGACTACCTATTTCACCAGGTTGTTCCCTGTCTATGAAAAATTGTACTCACATAACTAAATAACACCTAAAATTCTCAAAAAAGGATCTGGCATATTATAAGTGCTCAGTTAATGTTAGCTCTTACTGTTATTTCCACGGGCTGCGTAAACATACAGCTAAATAAATAGGCCATCAGTTCCCACTGAGTCGGGAGGGACATCAGAAGGGCTGTGGTAAGAAATTACCTCCAGTCTTCCGAATGGGAATTCTCCACCCAGGCCACACTGTAGAATCACCTGGGGAGTGTCTACAAGCTGGGACGTCCAGCAGTCCACAGGCACAGCTGGTTTGCATTTTCATGAACCAGAACCACTTGCAGTATTATCAGCTTTCCACAATTAGAGTTGTAAAATAGCTCAAAGAAAACAAAAGGTAGAAATAGCTCGGATGAGTGAGCTAGACAACACACCCAGGAATCTTTCTCCACCCATTTCAAAGTCGTTCGCAGTATTTCTTGACAGATATGAGCTCACAAGGAGATGGATGGAGAACATATTATACTAGGAAAATTTAGGAACAACTTAAATGTCCATCAACAGGAAAGTAGCTTAATACATTCTGGTATACATACGCAATAGAATACTCCACAGCTATTCAAGCAAATGATGTCGGAATAAAAAATAAGACGTCTGAGCCCCATACACAGCAAATGAATCTCAACCTCTGGGGGTGGAGTCAGGCATCAGGACATTTTTTAAGCTCCTCAAGTAATTCCAATGCGCAGCTCAAGTTGGAAACTGCTGCTCTAAACTCGCCCAAGAAAGCCTTGGACAGAAAAAAAAAGAGGTTTTCAGGGGTAGGAGGAGGAAGGCAGGAGGGGAGGGAGGGAAAGAGGCAGGGAAGAGGGTATATCTGAGCAGACCCCACTCCTAGGAAGGGGATAAGGACAGAGGAATAAGGAAGCCAAGAGTTAAATGAATGAGGACACCCGGGCAGGCAAAGATCAAAGGTAGAGTGAACCCCACACTCGTTTCAGAAGCCCACCTGGCATCTTCCAGCCCCATCCAGAGCACGCCGAGTACTGGATGCGCACAATGTTTCCATCGCTTAGCGTCTACAGGAGTCCCATCAATGGCCTTAAACTAGCCGGGTCTGTGCGCACCAACTGCAGCAGAGAGCCGGAGATGATTACCCAATGACCCCACTACAAAAACCCACTCCTGCCTCAAGTCCCCCACCCTCGTGGCCCAAGGGGGAAGAGGAGATGCTTGTACTGGGCGGGGAGGTTGGTTTTGCAGCCAGGTGATCGTTCTCCACCAGAGTCAAAATGGAGCCCAACCTGCAACACCCTGCGTTCGGCGCCCAACCCGTCTACCCTTCGTCGGGGAGACGGGTTGCCATGGCAGCCACACATCCCAAACCTCGGCCAGAGCCAGGGCTTTCTGAGCTGCACCAGGCCTCCTTCACAGGCGGTTTTGGCTTCCCGTGCCTCCCAGAACTCTTCCTCGAGCTGGCAAGTGGAACTCCACCCAGCTGCTGTGGCCTTTTCACCAAATCTGACTTTGCCAGAAGGAATGGGAACGGGCGAGGTCCGCCAGGGAAGGGCGACTTCCACCTGGTGGGCCCCTGAGCTGACCTGGAGTTGGTGGAAAAAGATGATGGCCAAGGACCTGAAACTATCTCGGTGACTTGGCAAAAACGCTATCTGGTTTGTCCGCCAATGAATCTCACATCTCGCAGAAACCCCAAGACACAGTAGGTGTTTAACAAATATTAACTAATTTATTAAGCTTGAAATGATTACATACAGGATTGAACTAAACTGGATGCCACCTTACACAAGTTCCCAGTTTATGACAAAATATGTTGGGTGGAAAACATAAAATGCAGACAATTCCATCCCCTTAATTTCAGTCCTTTGATTTGGATAAAGATCGCCACTATCTGCCTGGACAGATAACATGCTGCAGGACGGGTTGCGAAATTCTAGAAGCAGAGTTTATAAACCACTGTGCTATATAAATAGCAAAAGCCATAAGTGACCAACACTGAGGATAGCTGGAGGAGGGGATGGCCGAGAAAGGTCCCCAGACTGGACTGTGGGCAAGGCTGCTACTCCAGGCAGCAGGCCTCAATGGGCCCAATCAATCCCCACAAAACAGTGGGCAGCTGGGGGAGGGTCAGGGAGAGGGAGAGGAAGAGGAAGAGGAAGAGGAAGAGGAAGAGGAAGAGGCTGCGGGAGGGAGAGAGGCAAGCCAGGAGGCACTTCGGTCTTCAGAGCTGCCACTTTCCTGAATGTATTAGAGCAGACACAGCTCTCTCCTCTCCCTCAGAGTTAACGGCCAAAGTTCTTACAAGGCCCTACACCATCTGACCCCACTAGTGACTCACAGAGCTCACCTCCTGCCACCCTCCTCAAGGCACATTCTGCTCCATCCACATTTACCTCCTTGCATTCCTAGAAAAAAAACCAGGTAAATTGCTGCCCCAGGGCCTTTGCACATGCTGTGGATGGCTCCTTTACCTCCTTTAGCCGCTGCCCCATGGCCTTTGCACATGCACAGCTTCCTCCCTTACCTTTTCCAAACCTGCTCAAGTGTCACCTCTCATCCAGATTTTCTTTGGTCACCCTATTCCAAAGGCCACCACACACAGACGCCACACCCTCCCCATTCATACCAATACTTCTGTCCTCCCTCGTCTGATGGTTTCCTCCACAGCACTTAGTGGCAGCAGACAAGATTCTATATTTCCGTGTTCATTTTCCTCTCCTCCAGTAGAATGGGGGCTCCAAGTAGGCCAGGATGATGCCTGCTTTGCTCCGTGCCTGCAATGGTGCCTGGTGCACAGTGGACGCGCCACCGCCATCTGCTGAACGGACGAGCAAGCAGGCATGCCTGTGCACCAACAGCGTCCCATGACCTGCCTCGCTGACCCCAGGGCTGACCCTGTGAGTCAGGCCCTATCTCACCCCCATTTTACAGTTGGGAACGGGCTCAGCTTAGGATGTGGTGGAGTTTGGATTCAAACCCAGCCCCAGTGACTCCGAAGCCCGGGTTTGTCACCTTCTCCAGCAATGGGAAGATGCAGCCTGCATTTCCTGCCCAAAGCACATTATGCTCCTAGCTCTCCCTCTTCCTGTCACTGTGAAAGGGAAGCTCCTAGGTGGGGGAGGGGCAGGGGCTTCCCCAACACACACCGTCCTCCTGGGACACGCATGTCCACCAGGCTCAAGTGGGAACAGAGGTCCTCTCTCCAGAAGCTACTTAGCAGGTGACCAACTCCCAGTCTGCCCCATGACTTAAAAGGCCCTCTGCTGTCTCACCCTCCCCTCCAGGAGCTCCTCCTCCAGGTACTTAGGCGCCCAGCACCCCTCCAAAGCCAAGCACCCACTCACCTCCAGGCCTTAGATTGCCTGCCCACCAGCCTCACTCTCCCCTGCTATGATAGGCACAATAATGGCCCTAATCATCCTACTCCCTTCAACCTGTGACTATGTGGCCTGACATGGCAAAGGGACCCTTAGAGTTGCTTAAGCTGAGGATCTTGAGACGGAAGGTGCCCCTGAATGATCTGGTGAGCCCAGTGTAACCACAGGGTCCTTATAAGAGGCGGCAGGGACAGGCCCGGTAGCTCATGCCTATAATCCCAGCACTTTGGGAGGCCAAGGAGGGTGGATCACTTGCGGTCAGTAGTTCGAAACCACCCTGGCCAACATGGTGAAACGCTGTCTCTGCTAAAAATACAAAAATTAGCTAGGTGTGGTGGCGCACACCTATAATCCCAGCTACTCAGGAGGCTGAGGCACAAGAATCACCTGAACCCGGGAGGCAGAGGTTGCAGTGAGCCAAGATTGCGCCACTGCACTCCAGCCTGGGTGACAGAGTGAGACCCCCTCTCAAAAAAAAAAAAAAAAGAGGGAGGCGGGAGGGCCAGAGCCAGAGGAGATGTGAAGACTGAAGCAGAGGTTGGAGTGATGCTGCCACGAGGGAAGGAATGCGAGCAGCCTCTAGATAATGGAAAAGGCAACAGACCCTTCCCTTAGGCTTCCAGAAAGACAACACCTCAACTTTAGCCCCTACGAGACTCACTGTGGACTTCTGACCTCCAGAACTGTAAGATAATAACTTTGTGTTGCTTTAAGCCACAAAGCCTGTGGTCATTTGTCATAGCAGCCACAGGAAACTAGTGTACCCATCCCCCCAAGACCTCAGTTGAAACAGCACCCTCTGGGAGCCGCTCTGGCCCTGGCATGGCCCCATCCCACGCAGATGCTCCCTGGACTTCCTCTTTCATAATTATCTGTCAGTGTTACTTAGTCAAGCTCTGAAGCCATCAGCTCACATTCAATTTCAGTCTCCGCTTCTCACAAGCTGTGTAACGTTGGGAAAGCTTCTCAGCCTTCCTGAGCGGCCCTGTCCTCATCTGTTACACACAGTCGCTCAAGGCCCTCACCTGTACACCTGCCATGAGGCTGGAATGAGGGAGCTCATGCAGAGACAGGGCCCGGCACACCCAGATGAGGGTGACACAACAATCCGTACCACCTGCCAGACCATGAGGATAATGGAGACTGTGCCTGTCTCATCACCGCATATTCCTAAGAGCCCCAGACGGCGCCCAGCTATCAGGTCTCAACAATATTTGTTGAATAAATCATGAGTCCCACAGCCATCAAAAATCTCAAACGCAAATAGGAGGGACAAACCATGTGCAGCTGAGGGAGACAGCCGGGCCAAAGCCCTGAGGTGTGCACAGCTTCTCCAGCTCCATTCAATGGCCCACCACTAGTTCAAACTGGGCAGAGCAGCTCTCACCGATGTCAAAGCCATCCCGTGAAAACACTGCATTCAGCCTCAACTTTGGACCCCACCCTGACATCACACACAGGCTTCTTTCCCACTCTGCTTCAGCTGAGGTCCCCACCAGGAGGGCCAAGGGGAGACTCCCTCCATGATAAGTGAGGCAAACCACCCCCGTCCTTTCCCAACAATGTTGGGGAAACTGATGTCATCATAACAGTCCCCTTGCACAAGGTGGCTGTAAAGGTAAAATGAGAGAACGTGAATCAGTGCCTGGCATACAGCTGGCACCCCATAAATCCCAATTAGATAGTTTTTAATTATTTTACCCCATAGCAAACACATAAGTAGCAACAGGTGCCCCTTCCAAAATCACCTGCAAAACAACAGAGGGAGGCTGGAGCAGCAGAATGGGTCAGGGCTTTGGACTCAGGTGGAGATTTTATTATTATTTTTTGATACAGTCTCACTCTGTCGCCCAGGCTGAAGTGCAGTGGCACGATCTTGGCTCACTGCAGCCTCTGCCTCTCGGGTTCAAGCGATTCTCATGCCTCAGCCTCCTGAGTAGCTAGGATTACAGGTGTGTGTCACCACGCCTGGCTAATTTTTATATTTTTAGTAGAGATGGGGTTTCACCACGCTAGCCAGGCTGGTCTCAAACTCCTGACCTCAGGTGATCTGCCCACCTCGGCCTCCCAAAGTGCTGGGATTACAGGCGTGAGCCACCACGCCTGGCCTCAGATGGAGATTTGAAGCTGAGAGAGCTTGGGTAAGTTACCTGACCTCTATAACCTGTTTCCCTATCCACAAAATGGAGATAATATTACCTACCCCAAAGGACTGCTATGACCCAAGGAAATACTGCCTACCACTCACTCTCATGTTAGAATCGCTCGGAAAAGGCTATGGCCCAGACCTCCCCCAGACCAAAGCCATCAGCGTCTCTGGGGTGGGGCCTGGGTTTTGGGGGTTACGAAGATCCCCAGGTGATCCCATTGTGCGGCCAGGGCTGAGAACCACACATGCTTATGTGGACCTGGCACAAAGTAGGCACTCAAGAAATCCAAGCTTTCATCATTATTTCTCAGCTGGCCAGGATTTTCTTTCATTCATTCAGCATACATTTGTAGAGGGCCTAATATATGCAAATGCAAATCAAATTTAAAGTCATATGTTGGTTTTCAAGAGCCGGGGGTAGGGGGAAAGAGGAGTGACTGTTAACGGGTACAGGATTTCCTTCTGGGGTGACGATGTTTTGGAACTAGACAGAGGTGGTAGTGGCTAAATATCACTGAATTCTTCACTTTAAAATGGTTGATTTTATGTTATGTAAATCTCACCTCAACAAAAAAAGCAAAATAATAATAATCATAACCCAGACACGAAAAAGACAAATCCTATATTAACCCATTCATATGTGGTCCCTAAAGGAGTCAAAGTCATAGAAAATGAAGAGAGAATGGTGGCTGCCAGGGGCTGGGGGAGGGGGACTAGGAGTTAACATTTAATGGGGACAGTTTCAGTTTGAGAAGATGAGAAAGTTCTGGAGATGGATGGGGGTGATGGTTGTGCAACAATGTGAACGTACTCAATGAACTGCACACTTAAAACTGGTTAAAATGGCCCATTTTATGTTACGTGTATTTTATCACCATTTAAAAAAAGGTCACATGCTGACAGTCCCTCAAGACATTCATTGCCCACCTCAGCTACCTGTAGCCCCCACCTCCTTACCATAGGAGATGACATCTTCCCAGTTTTTCCAGGCGAGCAACTTCGAGTAGCTGACCGCCCTCTTTACAAACAGGATGGAGGCTACGCATGTGTTTTCTCTGTGGGGCAAGGCCAGATTAAGCAAAGAAAACACAGCAGCTCCTTCCCCCTCCCCCCAGGAAAAACCCTGTCCGGTCAATAGCAGAACTAAAGAGCTGGTGCACACTTTCACTTCCCACTCGAGTGCCTGAGGACCCGGCTTCTCCTAGGCGTCCAGCAAAGCCCAGACTTAAAGGTGGCAGGTGCTGTCCTCTCACCCTGCTTCGGGTGAGGACGGGTCTCCAACTGAGCTCCAATGAACAAGACGAGGCTGGGCTGGCTCCAGGAGGCAATTTCTGGCTGGGAGGTGGGGAAGAAAGACCCAGAAGAAGGGCAGGGTGTGACAGAGGGACCTGAATCCCAGAGCCCTGGGTCTCCTGCTCCCCTCCCTGAGTGCCTCTGGATATGGCGCTTCCAGGCTGGCCCTCAACGTCCACACCTATAGGAACAAGAGAACTGAATTCAAGTGGGAAAAGCAAATGGGTTTATCTCAGGTGCCAACTTCTTCCCACCGGGAGGCTCTGGGGTGGCTGCGGCTCTGCAGGGCACCAGGAGGACCAACAAGGGCTGGAGGGTGGAGGGGACCACACATGGTCTGTGCATTCACCATCCCTGCATGAGATCCCTTCCATAATTCCTCAATGGAATTCCATGAATGTGCTTTCTGGATCTAGAACGCACTCGGTGGCCTCCCTGACTGACACATGTCCATCTGACCTTTGCTTGCACACCTGCTTTCTCAGGGAGCTCACTATCTTCTCCGGCAGGCTGCTCCTCTCCATACAGGACGCCAAAATCTCGGCCCTACAACCCCTTCCCAGGAGCTGCTGGCGCCATGCAGAACTGTCGGCTCCCTGTTCTACTCTACGGCTTGCTGATACCTTACCACTCCCTCTGCCCCTGTAAAAGCCTTGCTTCCTTCCACTGTGCTACATGTGAGTGGCTTTCAAAGGATGGCCTGTTCCGGAAGCTTGAGGGAATGCCCACGCAATGTGTCTCCCTGACCAGCCTTCGCCTTCCCAAGAGTGAAGTGGAGACTGGCCCTGGGATACTTTCTGGGGTGGGGGGGAAGGGCAGTGGCAGAGATGGCTAGCGTGGCCCATGCCAACACCCTATTCTGGCCTCCTCTCCCTTCTCAATAATAAAAATCCTGCTGTGGGGTGGGATTCATGGCTCCCACTTACATTTCCCAGATGCTCTTGCAGCCGGGGATGCCACATGATGGTCTGGCCAGTAAGGTGAAAGCAGAAGTCACCTTAACAGGGCAGAAGTCCTTTTCCACTCCCCTGCCACTCCCACTTTCTGCTAACTGGAATGCAAACGAAATGGTAAGATCCCATTTCCCACTAACTGGAAGGCAGGCAAAATGGCAGGAACTTGAGCCTCTCTTGGCCCATGGTGCTAAGAACGGAGGAGCAGCCACATGGAGGGGCCCTAGGCCCTCAAAGCCACAGGCCAGCCACGGCAACCCTCACACGACTTAGACCCTAGATTTCCTTTATACGAGAGAAAACAAACAAGCTTCTGCTGTGTTTAAGCTGCTGCATTTTTAAATATTATATGATCCCGGAGTCTTACATGCAGGAGCAAGGAGTTCTGAGTGCTGATGACGACAGTCCAGCCGCCTTCACACAGGGAGGGCAGCCATTGCCTTCAGTGGGAAAGGAGGGGACCTGGATGCACAGTCCATACCCTGCCCTGTATCTACCCCTTAAGAATTCAGGCTAGGTGCGGTGGCTCACGCCTGTAATCCCAGCACTTTGGGAGGCCAAGGCAGGCAGATCAACTGAGGCCAGGAGTTCGAGACGAGCCTGGCCAACATGGTGAAACCCTGTCTCTACTAAAAATATAAAAATTAGCCAGGCGTGGGTGTGGTGGTGTAAGCTTGTAATCCCCGCTACTCAGGAAGCTGGGACAGGAAATTACTTGAACCCAGGAGGCTGAGGTTGCAGTGAGCCGAGACCACACCACTGCACTCCAGCCTGGGCAACACAGCAAGATTCCATTTCAAAAAAAAAGAGTTCAGGGCCGACATTTCCAAGCCCGATGTGTATCTTCAAAATCAGAAGATAGACACAACCAGCTGCCATTTTTCAAGCATCAACCATATGCCCAGGTGCTCAGCTCAACGCGGCATGAATTAGCCCCACGAGATAAAAATGGTCCTACTATAGATGAAGCCCAAAGAGGTCCACCAAGTTGAGGCTGAAACCCAGGAGCCCTGACCTCCACGCTGGGGCTGGGGTCTTTTCATTCATCTTCACCGTCTCCTAAAGATCCTTAGGGAGCCTGAGAAGCTGAACTTGGCTGACGTCGGGAAGTAAGGACAAAAGGAAAGAAGGGGTGGGAGGGAGAAGAAACAGGAAATGGGAGAAACTCTTGGATTCCTGTAAATGGAGATTATCTATGAAGATGTTCACTGTGGCATTGTTTACAGCAGCAAAAATCTAGAAGCAATCTAGAAGACCATCAACAGAATGCATAAATAAATATGCCACGGCTTCTTCATACAATGGATCTCATATACAGAAAGTAAGCAAACTAAAAAGGCAAGTTGCACAAGAAGGCCCAAGTAATGATACTATTTATATGAAACTTTACAATCTAGGAAACATGGCCACTCTGCAGACACCGGCGCCGTCGGGAAACCTGTTCTATCAGCCATGGTCAACCCCACTGTGTTCTCTGACATCGCTGTCAACGGCGAGCCCTTGGGCCGCATCTCCTTCGAGCTGTTTGCAAACAAGTTTCCAAAGACAGCAGAAAACTTTCACGCTCTGAGCACTGGAGAGAAAGGAGTTGGTTATAAGGGTTCCTGCTTTCACAGGAACATTCCAGGGTTTATGTATCAGGGTGGTGACTTCACACGCCGTAATGGCACTGGTGGCAAGTCCATCTATGGGGAGAAATTTGAAGATGAGAACTTCATCCTAAAGCATACAGGTCCCGGCATCTTGTCCATGGCAAATGCTGGACCCAACACAAACGGTTCCCAGTTTTCCACACGCACTGCCAAGACTGAGTGGTTGAACGCAAGCACGTGGTCTCCGGCAAGGTGAAAGAAGACGTGAAGACTGTGGAGGCCATGGAGCACTTTGGGTCCAGGAATGGCAAGACCAGCAAGAAGATCACTATTGCTAACTGTGGACAACTTGAATAAAGTTTGACTTATGTTTTATCTTTTTTTTTTTTTTTTGAGAAGGAGTCTCACTCTGTCACCCACGCTGGAGCGCAGTGGAGCAATCTCAGCTCACTGCAAGCTCTGCCTCCCGGGTTCATGCCATTCTCCTGCCTCAGCCTCCCAAGTAGCTGAGACTACAGGCGCCCCCCACCACACCCAGCTAATTTTGTTTGTATTTTTAGTAGAGACAGGATTTCACCGTGTTAGCCAGGATGGTCCTGATCTCCTGACCTCATGATCCACCTGCCTCAACCTCCCAAAGTGCTGGGATTACGGCAGTGAGCCACCACACCCAGCAACTTGTGTTTTATCTTAACCATCAGACCGTTCCTTCTGTAGCTCAGGAGAGCACCCCTCTGCCCCATTTGCTCACAGTATCCTAGAATCTTTGTGCTCTCACTGCAGTTTCCTTTGGGTTCCATGTTTTGTTCCCTTCCATGCCTAGCTGGATTGCAGAGTTGAGTTAAGTTTATGATTGTGAAATAAAAGCTATATAATAACAAAAAAAAAATCTAGGAAACATTATGGAGTGTTCTATAAGAGTATGTAGTTGTACAAGTACAAAAATATGCACAAGAATAAACATCAAAGTCGGGGCAGAGAAAAGGAAGGGTTTGAAATCAGAGAACGGTACATCAGGTATTGCAACTGGAATGGTTTATTTCTTCCGCTGAGTGGTTACACTGAAATATTATTTTATACCCTGCTTTGCATGGCTGAAACAGATCATCATTTTAAAAGCAAAGGGAGAATATGCAGTTTATTGCATGTCAACTTTATCTGAAAGCAATTTTTTTTATGCACCTAGAGAGAAAGAGACAGAGAGAGAAAGAGACAGGAGGGAGGGAGGGAGAGAAGGGAGGAAAGGGTTAAGGCCTCCAGACACAGCATCTTCTCCTCATGGCCCACCCTCCTCTCCAGAGGGCCAGCCATGCTGACCACAGCAGCTCCATTCATGAAGCCACAAGGCCACGGTGAAGAGGGCCACTTAAACTCCATGTTGCTGAAGGCTCCTTAAGTGAAGTGACATCCCAAACCTTCCAAAATGAGTTACCCTCAGGCCTGGCCACCCCCAGAACCACATTCAGTCCACCAGCAGTTCTGCAAAGACAAGCACTGGTCGACTCCCTCCCCGCCCGCCCCCCATGGCTGGAGGCAGGGCAGCCAGGCTGGCAGGGCCTAGGCACAGAGACTGTCCTGGGCTGGCTCCCCTGGCACCAAGGAGGCAGGAAGGGCGTGCAGGAGAGGCAGGACCAGAGGAGAGGGAGCCCCAGGAGGAGGGCGCCATGAGCACGGCCAACACTGAGGCCCCTCCGCAGGCGGACAGTGGTTCCTCCACTTCCCCCATCATTCCCCTTCCACAGAAGTGCGGTGACACGGAAGAGACCACACAGTAAGAAGACACCAGGGGCTGGGGCTCCCTGCTCCTCTGACCTGACTCAGTTCACCCCTGGGATCCTCACGCAGCACCTCCCACCAGAGGTGTGGTCTGAAGGTAGGGAGAAGCCACCATGAACCCCTCACATGAAGCAGAAGTAGTGTGCGACGTGCCTACCTGGTGGCCCCCGGTAAGCACCAGATGAATGGGAGGAAGGGAGTGAAGGAAAGAGAGAGCGGAGAAAGGAAGGGGGAAGGGAGGAATGGAAAAAGAGGGTGCAGGAGAAAGAAGGGGGAAAGAGAAGAATGGAGACAGTAGGGAGAGAGGGAGGGAGGGTAAGTCAGTGACAGACAACTCAACTTAAGGAGCAGCAGCTGGACTCCCACAGTCACCTTGCCCTCTCCAAGCCCGGGGGGTACAAAGTCCACGCCCACAAGCTCTGAGCAGGGGGGAACCTGAGTACAGTGGGCTAGGAGGCTGGGGGAGTGGAGAGGCCGTGCCCAGCCTGAAGGGGTGGCCACACAGGAACATGGGCACAGCCAGGAGTGCCCGGTTAAAGGCCTGCCTCTGCTTCTTTAGCTGTAGAATGGGGATGATCACAGGAAGCACCACCTCGGAACTGTCTGGGGATCCCAGGAGCAAAGGGATGGGAGTCGTCTAGAGCTGAGCCAGGCCTGTGGTAAGTCACATAGAAATGTTTGCTTCTGTTGTTATTATTAGAAAATGGATATCCGGAACTTTTTAGGGGAATGCTCCCAACTTTAAAGGCAGACAACTTACTGAAGCTTTAAGAAAAAAAAAAAAAAAAAAAACCACTGTGTGGGCCAAGTAAAACACGTCAGCAGACTTGACTTGGCCCATGGGTCATCCGCTTGCAGCTTCTGCTCAATGCGTCCCTGCGTCCCCGCGTCCCCCAAAGGCAGGCCCAAGTCCTACAGGGGTCGAAAATCATGAGTGAGATTTGAGATCACCCCATTCCAACACAAGCGTCCAAGCCCATGAATCCCTTAATGGGAAATAAATATTTAAGTCAACCCCCGCCCAACTCCCACACCAAAAGGACAGGAACTGCTAATTCTTACCCACTACAACCAAGTCTCCAGTTTTATTTCATAGGATGGAAAAAAAAAAAAAAAGACCTATTTTAAAAAGAAGAAGAAAGGGAAAAAGAAAACCAACAAAGACAAATTCAAAAACGCACCACTGTTGACTTGGGCAACAGCCTCTGCCGGGTCAAAGAGGAAAACAGCTCAGTCCTGAAATCCGTCCCAGACATGGAAATTACAGAGCGGCCCCTGCTGACACCCCCTGCCCTTTCTGTGTCATTCCCTCATGAGGAATGCAATTATATGCCCCCCACGGCAAACACGAAGGAAGACACGTCAGTGACAGCCGCAGCCTGTTCACGTCGTCCTGCAGAGACAGAGGCCGACATAAGCACTTGCAGGCGGTGGCCACCAGTGCAGCAGGAGCTGAAGGCACTGACCTCAGAGGAGGCCGGGCAGGAGGCAGGGGCCGCAGGCAGGCTGGTGGTGTGGCTGAAGGTGCTATATTCACTCCCATTTTATAGATCAGGATGCTGAGGGTATGCAGAGGAGATGGGATCTATGTAAGCTTGGCCCACTGGATGCAAGGCGAACAGGCTCTCCTCGCACCTTCAGGGCAAGCAGTTAAACAGACCAGCCCCTCACACACTCACTGGGCAGCTGCGGTGTGGCCAAGCCCCGAAAGGAACAGGACAAAGTACTGGGCGCAGGCTGCAGATCACCACAGATGCCACGATGTGCCCCTGGATGTCCCTCCAGCCTCCACACCCCACTGTGCACCTCAGCCACCCCAGGGCCTCTGCACTCACCATCCCAACGGCCTCTCCACATCTGCACAGGATCAGCTCCTGCCTCCAGGCCACCTCCTGAGGGGCCTCCCATCTCTCCACCCCTTCACCCTGCCCCTCTACTGTCCTAGCACCTGCCACCTCTGAAGGGGCTCTGGTGATTGGCTGACACATTTGCGGGTGCCACCCCCAGTGAATGCTCAGGTTCCTGAGAGCAGGGCCCATGTTGGGGCACCCTAGGACAGGGCATGGCATGTAGCTGACACTCAACGGTGTCAAGTGAGTGGCTGTGATCAGTGCCTACAAGACCCAGGGGACCCCTGGGGAGATGGGCCACTCCTCCACGCATGGGGCACGCCACACACAGGATACCAGAACGGGCGGCCAGATGAGCCACCATGAAGGACACTGGAAATACGAACAGCTCATCTTCACGAAGCACTTCTGGGGTTCTGAGCCTTGCTCTCAAGTTGGTTCATACATCCTCTCATGGAATCCTGACCACAATTCCAGGTCATAAACACTGCTGCTAATCTCATCTTATAGACGAGGAAACTGAGGCAGAGACGTCACACAACTTGCCCAAAGTTACATATACATCAGAAACACAAATGCAATAAGTGAGATTTCAAAGATGGCGGGTGAGGATGTACCTGTGTGCACGTGCATACATGTGTATACTGAGAGCACATGTGCATGTGCGTGAGTGTGTGTGTACACGGCATATACATTGAGTGCATATGCATGTACATGTCCGTGAATCTGTGTGTGCACCTGCAGCAGTGCCCCCTGAGCTGAGGTTTCACTTTCTGCAGTGTCAGTGACCCATAGTCAACCGCAGTCTAAAAAGATTAGGTGGAAAATTCCAGACAATTCTTTAGTCTTCAATCCCACACTGTCCTGCTGCATCTTGTCCAGGACGTGAGTCCTCCCTCTGTCCAGTTTGTCCACACTGCATGTCCTAGCTGCCTGTGAGTCACTCAGCAGCCCTCTCTGTACTCAATTCCACTGCCATGGTATCATGGTGCTTGTGTTCAAGTCACCCTTATTTTATGTATAAATTAAACTTTATCACCAGTATGTACGCGTAGGATGAAACAGAGTCTATGTAGGGTTCAGTACTCTCCACCATTTCAGGCATCTACTGGGAATCTTGACACATATCCCCCAAGGATGAGAGTGGACTACTGTATAACTGTGTGTGTGTGTGTATTTGTGTATGCATGTGTGTGTGCACATGTGTGTATGTGTACACTGGTATGTGTATTACATGTCTGCACATGTGTATATGTATGCCTATGTATCTGTGTGCATGTCTGCATACATGTGTATGTGTACATATGCATGTACAAATGTATGTGCATGTACATGTATGTGTGTATGCATTTGTACGTGTATATGCATATGCACATGTATACACATACATGTATACATATGTGTGCACCTATACATATTTATGTGTGCATATGTGTGCGTGTGGGTACATTTATATGCATATATTGTGCCTGTGTGTACAAGCAAGTATATATGGTATGTGTATATGTATTTCTATGTGTGCATGTATGTGTACATGTATGTGTGTGCGCATGTGAGTATATTTATATGCATGTATTGTGCCTATGTGTATACGTGTATATGTACATATGTATGCATGTATATGTGTATATGCACAAGTATGTCTACATGCATTTATGTGTACGTGTGTGTGCATGTGGGTATATTTGTATGCACGCATTGTGCCTGTGTGCATGTGTGTATGCACATGTTTGTGCGCACATGTGTGCCTGTGTGCATGTGTGTATGCACGTTTGTGCCTGTGTGCATGTGTGTATGCATATGTGTGTGCCTATGTGTATGTACACCAATCATAACACTCCCTTTTCTTTCCCAAGAAAGGATTTCTTTTTGTACTGATCTCAGGAGTTTCAGGGCTACAGCGAAGAGATCACATGAGGAAGTCAAGAATTGTGTTTACTTACAAACTATATGGAACCAATATTTAATCATTTTCTACTTACAAAATCCCAATTTTGGCTGGGCACAGTGGCTCATGCTCGTAATCCCAGCAGTATGGGAGACCAAGGTGGGAGGATCCCTTGAGCTCAAGAGCTCAAGACCAGCCTGGGAAACACAGCAAGATCTCATTTATAATCTTTTTAATAGCTTTTTTAAATCTCAATTTCCTATGGCTCCAGCCAGTATAACCCCAAGACTCCACCTTCGTGGTGGACTCGAACCTCCAGGTGGCCTGTCAGCAGCGCCTGCTCAGATCCAGCCTTATTTTTAGCACTTTCTCCAGACAACCCAAGGGAAAAGAAAGCTGTTTTGAGGTCAAACTTCTGAAACATCTGTCTCTGTGACCCGGCCTCTGTGCAAACGCCACTACTCCCAGGACATGAAAAGCACCCTGCAGATGCCCAGAACCCCAGCCACCACAGCCAGCAGGCTGCACGTGCAAAGAAGGCTCTGGACCCAAGCTGCCTGGACGGGGCGCCTGGATGGGGCACCTCTTGAACCGCTGGGGCTCTCTCCCAGCATCCCTGCGGCGCCTTTGTCTCAAATGTGGAAGCAGCAGAGAGCTGAGGCCAGGGGCCGCTTTATTTCCCTATTGCTTTCAACATCTTCTTTTGAAATTCTCTTTAAACTGAAACTGTCAAAAGTTGTGTCTGATAAATCTGAAGGTTGTAGAGGAAGTGGTTTGTTCTTCCTCCTGCTCATGATTTCTGCACAAGATAGTACACAGTACTTGGTGAACTGTCAGGCAAGGCAAGAGCTCCCAGTGAGGGCCAGAGGAAATGCAGGAGATCACTGAGGCCTGCTCTTTACCTGCTGCTGCTGTCAGACACCAGACAAGGTCAAGGGTGCAGCAGACAGGAGGACCCCAAAGAAGGCCCTCCTCATCCCTCCCCATCCCATCCTCCAAGACATTCAGGGAAATGTTCAAACAGAACTGGCCTGGTGGCTCTGATACTCCCACGGCAGCCTGGCTGTCGGGTGTTATTATCCCATTTTCCAGGTAGAGTTTAACTAACGTAATCAGAATGTAAATAACATGCTCAACTTAATTTCAATAACTAACTTGCCCAATGTCACACATAGTGAGTTCTCTGAAGAACTGTGAATCCACAGTTCAGGCAAAGCCTGAACTTAAGAAGGTCTGACTCCAAAGCCTGACGTCACCTGCCCTGGGAAGCCCTCTCTGGCCCCTCAGACCTTGGGTGTAGTCAGGTCCCCTCCTCTGTAATCTTGGTAACAGTAGCAATGACAGTGGTAACGGCAGTAATAAGAGCCCTCTGTTTTTCCTGTATACTTTCTCTGTGTCAGACACAAGGCTAACACCAGATGTGCATTATCTCACTGAATCCTTCACAGAAGCCCATGGAGTTGGTACCGCTATCTGCCCCATTGTACTGATGAAAAACAAAAGCTCAGAGAGGTGAAGTTACTTGACCAAGGTCACACAGCAGGCAAGTGGCAGAGCCCAAGGTAGAACTTCCAACATGCTGTTTTGATTACTGGCCTGGGCTGATCCCAGTTTTCCTATACGTGACAATTCTTTGCATTATCTTGGGTCTAGATGCTTCTAGTCCAGAATGACCCCAAGGGCTGCCAGCCCCTTTGGGTTTCCCCACCAACGTCAAAGGTTGAGGGACAGAGGACATTTCCCTGTTGGCAACGAACTGGGCCCCACACTCCTGATCAGCTCAGCCATTGCCAGGTTCTTGGGCCTAAGGTTGATCCAAATCGGGGCAAAGAATTAGGTCCTCTCAAAGCGGAGTAGGAAAGAACAAGACGTTCATGGGGCCTTCCTGTAATTCGGCTTCCATGTTGAAGTCCAAAGTCCCAAGGCCAGCATGCAGGCAGCTCACTGCGTCCGCCCTCCACAATTCCACCAGCCCCCAGCCCACTCAATACACCTGAGGCCTATGGAGCGTGTGCCAGGCCTCACCAGGCCCCTCGGACTTTCCCAATGCTGTGTTCTGCCCAGAAAGCTCCTCCCTGCTTTCTCCTCCTGGCCTGAGCGGACCCATTCTTGGATCAGCAGCCTTCTCTCCAGGGACCCTGCTGCTTCCCACGAGTGCCCACCCTGAGTCACCCTCGTTTGCGGGCACTGGAACCGATTGTCCATAACTCTCTTCTCCCATGCTGTTGTCTCCACACTCCCAACCCTTAGCACAATGCCTGGTACCCAGGAGGTGCCCCATAAGGGCATGCTTCAGGCACGATGCCTAACTGCTGAATGAGAGAACACTCTGAAAGCACAGAGGGCACGGCACGCGCAGGCCCCTGCGAGAGGCCTGGGGCATATCTGCTCACTTCTCACTTCGTTCTCACCCTACAAGGTGCGGAAGGTTCCATCCTTGCCCTCAATTTACCCGCAAGGAGAGGGACACTCATGCAGATGGGGCCGCAGAGCTGGAATTCCAGCCCCGGCCTCTCTCTGAGTTTGCGCTCTACTTCCAGAAAACGGACACATCACCTGGGGGTCTGAGTGGGCAGTGGGAGAGTGAGCACACTTTACAGTTTATCTTGAAGACAGGCTTGGGAGCCTGAGATGAACATAGAGAACCATGGCCTTCTGCCTCCCCAGCCCTCTGGCCCCTGCCCAGGAAAGCCCGCTCATTATCTTGGGCTCCAAAAAGCTACCCAAAAGGTTGCCCCTGATCGTGCATTTCAAAGACTTGTTCACCTGGACTAGAGGACCACAGGAGCCCCACATTAGAAACAAAGGAGCAAGGGCCGGGCATGGTGGTGCACTCCTGTGATCCCAGCTACTGGGGAGGCTGGGATGGGAGGATCGCTTGAGTCTGGGAGGTTGAGAATGCAGTAAGCCGTGATTTCATCACCGTACTCCAGCCTGGGAAATACAGCAATACTCTGCCTCAAAAAAAAAAAAAAAAAAAAAGAAGGCCAGGCACGGTGGCTCACACCTATAATCCCAGGACTTTGGGAGGCCGAGGCAGGTGAATTGCTTGAGTCCAGGAGTTCAAAACCAGCCTGGGCAAGATGGCGAAACCCCATTGCTAATAAAAATTTAAAAAGTAGCCAGGCATGGTGGCACATGCCTGTAATCCCAGCTACTCGAGAGGTAGAGGCAAGAGAATCGCTTGAACCTGGAAGGCGGAGGTTGTAGTGAGCCAAGATCATGCCACTGCACTCCAGCCTGGGTGACAGAACGAGACTCCATCTCAAAAAAAAAAAAATAAAGAAGAAAAAGAAAAAAATAAAGGAGCAAAAGAGAAGAGGCCAGGAAAAGTAAAAACACTAAATTCCTCTTTTTTCCAGACCAAACCTGGGGTATAAATGCCATTTTTGAGGGTGGCGCATTCAAATCCTCTCATCTTCTCACAGGAGGCCTTTACGGGGTAAAGAGAAACTGAGGGGAGCCTCACAGAGGGGGAGAGGCACCGCTGCTGGGGGCACTGCTATAGAGGCTGCTCTATGTTAAGCCCCTGCCTCACTAGGCAGGCTTTGTCCCACCTTCCCAACGGGGCAGAAGGTTGTCAAGCGCCTCATCTGGGATGGGAACACCAGGCTGGGGCACTCAGACTGGTTGCGGGATGTGCCCAGGTCCCAGAGTGAGTGTTAGGGACCGGTGACAAACATGGGTCCACGTCCAGCCCAAGGGCGTGGGCCCACATCACACAACCTCGCCTAAGCCCCTTGCCTGGTGGGATGGAAACTCGCTCAACTAAAAAAAACTTCTAGAGCCCAAGAAGATCCTTGTTCCTGCCCAGCGAGGATGGACAGCTTCAAAGGGCAGTTTGGGGGTTTCTGTTTATTTTCCTGTATGTTCTGGTCACCTCAATCATCTAACCAGAAGAACTGGCCCAAAATTAGGCACAAGAAAAAAGGAAAAAGTCTAGCCCTGCCACATAACTCCTGGAACTGGTTGCAGAAACTGAACTTTGGCTTTCTAAACTTGGTGAAGGAACAACAGCCTCTTTCAAGCAAGGCCCTTTTGTTCCTAGTTCCCAGGGAGGAGGCAGAATCTTTGGCTGAACAAATTCGGTTCAGCCCAAGTCTCCCAGGGAAACGGCGCTGTGCTAAGCCCCCCATGGTCAATGCATTAACTTGCTCCTATCCCAGGCAGATCACCAATCAATTGGATGGCATTGGTTTTGTAATTTCAAAAGCATGTAGCCATCAGATTCATTATGCAATCATGGCCCGTTCGTAAGTAATACCAATAAGAAGTGCTTCCTGAGCAATGTCTCAGTTATGCCTCATGATAACCCTGTGATGTAGACACACCCCCATCTTTCGTTACACAGACAAGGAAACTGAGGCTCGCCAAGCTCAAAACCATTGCCAAGATCATCACTAGTAAGTGGCAGAGCTAAGATTCAAACACAGCAACTGCACATCCCTGGCCTCCAATCAACCAAGAAACAGCCAAATGAAGTAATTTTTTTAAAAAGGGAAAGAGGCCAGGCCTAGTGGCTCATGCCTGTAATCCCAACACTTTGGGAGGCCAAGGCAGGAGGATCACTTGATCGCAGGAGTTCAAGACCAGCCTGGACAAGATGGCAAAACCCCATCTCTACAAAAAATTTAAAAATTAGCTGGATGTGGTGGCACACACCCGCAGGCCCAGCTACTCGAGAGGCTGAGGTGGGAGGATCACTTGAGCCCAGGAAGCTGAGGCTGCAGCAAGCTGTGATTGTGCCACTGAACTCTAGCCTAGGTGACAGGGCGAGACCCTACCTCAAAAAAATAAGACAAAATAAAAAGTAAAAAAAAAACAAATGAAAACAAGAGAGAAGAAAAGAAAAAGGAAAGGACAAGGATGTATTTTTCATCATCGACTTCTTGCCACCTGAAATTACCAGCTTCTTCTCTGCAAGGGTTGTCTCCCCGACTGGAACGAAGGTGTTCTAGTGGGGCTGTGTTTGGTTCACCCCACAGCCCAGCCCTCAGCCGGGCACCTGACACCCAGAAGACCCTGAGCGAAGGTCTGGAGCGAGGGAACTCACAGGGCCCTGCTGTCTGAGCCAGGGCCACAGGCACAACCCCTGCCTTTCCCACAGGTGACAGCAAGGACAGCTCACCGTGCTGGGTCACTCTGCCCAGTCACCACCACAGGCGAAATGGTCGAGCCAGAGAGGCCCTCTCACGGTTCAGCTGAGCCAGGCCCAAGGTCAGCTCGCTGGGGAATTTCTCTCATTCGTTCATTCAATCGATCATTTCTTATTAGCTCATTCAACAAATACTTATTGAGCACTAACCACAACCAGGCATTGTGCGAGGCAGCCTTCTTGGGACAGTGAGTGTTAGGGACTGGTAACAAACGTACGGGGTCCAGTCTGGGGACAGAGAACAGGAAAAGGAAGCAAGCACAGCAGGACACAGCGTCAGACACGGGGTGCATCCTGCCCCTATCAAGGACGCAACCTGGTGGTAGTGAAAGTCCAGCTGGCATCCCCTCCCTCCACAGCAGGGCCTCAGGCCTGGTTTATATATGTTTCTAAATGAAGATCCAGCCCACAACACCAAAGACTGTCCAGGTACAGCATCATCAAGTATGGATGGAAAAAACGGCACATGCAAATGAACACCCTACAAAAATGTTAATTATCATCTCTGGCTGTCGGCATTCTAGGTGGATTTGGTTTTCTTCTGTTTATTTGCGTTATCTAACTGTGCTACAACAAACCCGAGTTCTTTATGTAATGGGTAAGGGGGGTGAACATCTTTAAAAAATAAATGTCCGCTCGTAGATGTATATCCAAAAGAACCAAAAGCAGGGGCGATAATAAATACTTGCACCAATGTTCACAGGAGCGTTACCCACAACAGCCAACAAGGGAACAACTCAAGTGTCTGTCGACCGAAGAATGGATAAATCAAATGTGGTCTATCCAGTCAATGGAACATTATTTGGCCTTAAAAAGGAAGGAAATTCTGGCATGTGCTAAACATGGGGGGAACGTAAAAACCTCACACTAAGTGACATAAGCCAGACACAGAAGGACAAATACCGTATGATTCCACTTAGCTCAGGTACTTCAATAGGCAAACTCATAGAGACAGCAAGTAGAACAGCAGTGACCAGGGGCTGGGACGAGGAGAGAATGGGTACAGAGTTTGTGCTGGGGATGATGAAAAAGTTCTGGGTGTAGACAGTGGTGACTGTGAATGTATTTAATGCCACTGAATTGTACACTTACAAATGGATAAAATGATAAGTATTGTGTTATGCATATTTTACCACAATAAAAAAATTTTTTTAAAACCTCAGAACTTCAGCTGCCAAAACGAATGAATGAATGAATGAATGAATGAATGAATGAGACCTTCACTCTTCCCTGATCAAGATTTTCCTGGTTGCATCATCAAATAGACAAAGTGAGAAAACAGCATGCTGTACCGGGGTAGGGACAGCGACTGGGGCAGTCTCTCTACCTGGGCCTCAGTTTCGCCAACTGTGAAATCAAGGCATCTGCCCCATCGGACCAGATGTGGAGCCTGTGACCAGATGTCATCTTTCCTCTCTTCAGTCTCACAGCTAATTCTAGGAAGGTGCTGGCACTAGGAAGAGCTCTGGCTTAGCCAGCCACCTCTCACTGTGCCCACGCCACTTCCCCTGGGAGACTCCTTTTCTCACCTGTGAAATGCGGAGACTAATGACAAAGCTACTGTCTCTACCCCTGCTTCCCTTACACACTGGCTGCGGCTCCCTCAGAAGATCACAAAGGTGAGGTGGATGGAGCCCTAGCTTCTTCCCTGAGCTGGCTGCCTGGAAAAAGCCACCCCGGCCAGGTAACTCAAGGGACTAGGAAAATCCTGGCTGCACTCAAGCTTGGCAAGGAGGCTGAGGGGCAGGAGAAATGAAGGAGAACTCTCCAAGGCCTGCCTTGTTGTCCAACCAACACCTACTTCATTTTTCCTTAGGTGGAACCATACAAGAGTGGGCACATAAAGGACACCTGGGAAGTCCCCTGAGGTCTCAGGAAAAGCAGTGGAGCCTAGGAAAAGACACACGAGCTCGAGTCGGCCTGACCTGGGTTTGCATCGCAGCTCCACAACCCACAGCCATGTGACCCTGGAGGCCAAGGGCCTGGGGTACCTGTCCCCTCTCTTGTAACACGGGGACACTGCCCACCCAGGGGGCTGAATAAGTGCCTGGCACATCATAGGTGCCTGAGAAATGGCAGGTTCCATTATTTCACCCGGTCCAGCCCTGGCAATCGGTACCCAGCTGGGCAGAGAGCCGGCTTGAATCGTCCTACAAAATCCTCAGGGAGGAGAGAGGACTCCATGCGCACAGCACGCTCATAAAAACAAATCTGAGAATAAAAACCACAACCGCCGTCCCGCCAAACGTAGTGGGAGTAATGAAGCAAACAAAAGGGAAAGTTCAACTCCTTTTTTTGGCTTTAGAACATGCAAATGCAAAATTCAGTGGCAAAGGAATTATCCCAGAAAAATTCCATGTCTAAATCTGAAATGGCCCCAAGGAACTCTGTCCCTCTCTAGTCATTTAAGTGACGTTTTGCTCTAGGGTGTGGCTAAAGATCGGGGCCAGCCAACCTGGGGAGAAACAAAGACAATGAGGAAACTTGTTTATTGGGGTCCTTAAAATGTTAACAACCAAGGAAAACCCTCAGCTTCTCTTAGTGGTGCTTGCTTACCATTGCTGAAGGTGAAGTCCTTGGTATCCAGAAGGAAGGAGCCCATTAGACCTGCACTCATCGTCCACTGCTCCATTCACATCAGCTGAATTTGCCAGGTAGCCTCCATGATAGAGACTCAGTAAAGGATCCATACTTCCCAAATTCCAGGCGTTCAAATGCCAAGACTGCCTTTGCCTCTGTGGATACTCCCTGGGCATATTTTCTCATGCTTAGTATTCTTTAATCGTTGGTCATCAAGGGTTTGTGGTCACTCTGTCCCTCTGCTTTACAGGTCAGGGAGGTGAGGCAGCCCAAGGTCACACTGAGAGCCAGGGCAAAGCTGAGCAGTGAGCCACCATCTGCCTGATTCCAGCAGAACAGCCCTCGGACTCAATCACAACGCAGCTCCAGTGATGCACTACACCTTATCAGAGAGTGAAGAACTGCTCTAAATCTTAAAACAAACATTTTAGGGGCAAGAAGTGCCAACCTTGAAACTCCAGACTGGGATAAAAGAAAAAATATTTCACCATAACCAAGAAGACTAAACACAGCTCAAGCAAGTACAGAAAACGCTGCAGGGACCAGCCCCACACTTACCTGGCCAAAGGAGCAAAACTCTGAATAAAAACCTTGATCTTTCTACTTAATGAAACATTTTTTTTTTTATCACTTACATGTTTATTTCTGTGCAAAGCTCCATTTCCTGCTGGGGAAGCGTCACTGACCCCCTAGCCTGGTTTATTGCCCTAGAGAGGGAGGTGTCCATGAATCCCTAAGAATGCCTATATTATGGATGCTAAAAAACACATAGTTGCTAAGTTTTATAAGCCCTGCTCTGTCTTACCATTTTGCCAGCCCAAGGATCCATAGCTTTCAGCACATTTTCAAAGGGAGTATGTCATTCCCAAATCTAGACCCAGTACCCCAGAACATCCATTCAGCAGGGAATAGTCTGTCATTTTGATTTTTGGTGACTGTGACAAAGGACTCACTGACCATCCACCCAGACACAAGAATGGAAATGAGACCAGGAATGAAAGAAAAAATAAATCACTTCCCAAAGCAAGTCATGGGATGCAGAAATGGACCAAAATTTAAGTGGATATGACAGAAGAGAAGTAAAAGATAATGATGACAACACAGTTCCATGGGTTTCCGAGAAGGAAAGAGGAAGAAAACTAGCCTCATCTTTATGAGGGCAGCCAGCTCCATGAGAACTGCCTATGCAGCTCACCGCAACACGCAATGCCTAGAACGGTGCCCAGCACATACTGCTGAATGTTGGATAAATATACCATGTCATTTACTCTCACAATCCTGGGATGTAGGGATGGGAATTTCAGTTTCCAAGATGAGGGTCAGAGAACTCATGTGATCTACCCAGAGTTACAAGCAACAAGAGGCATTGCTGGGATGTGAACCCAGATCCAGGCACTGCTTTGCAAACCCAGGTGCTTTCCTCTATACCACACTTTGTTTAACCCAAAATCATCTCTTAAGAGCGAACACCCTGGTGTGGAGAAGGCTTCAAAAAAATCCCACTGGCTCCCTTGAGGGTCATTTAACGACTCTGGGCCTTAAGTTCCTAATCTATGCAGTGAAAGAAGCTGGGCTACATCAAGAATGGCAAATAGGGTCCCCGTTGCATGCCAACAACAATTGATTATTAGTGGCTGTCTCTGAGCTCACTGGGAAGACTAATTACGCTAGGGTTGATTAGCAATGTCTACCACGGTCAAGGCAATGAGGAGTGGCAGCACATGTGTCACTTATTTGCCATCCCAGAACTAGATGAACTTCAAGTTCTCTTCCAACTATGGCTGGCTCTGATTCTAATTATAAAAACAAAAAAAGGGGGAAGGGGCAAATGGAGAAGGAAAAATAGGCTAACATTTTCCAACATGGGCCATGGCTGAATTCAGTCAAATCAAGGCTGTCTGCCCAGCCAGCCCCTCATGCTCCATGCACACAGCCCTGCCACATGGGAGGAAGTGGAAAACATCAGATCCACTGCCCACATACTCAACAAGACACCCAATCCAAGCCAGAAGCTGCAGAACAATGGGTTTTGCCTGGCTTGGCCTTAGTTGTAAAACACCTCACCAGGAAGCGTGGTAACCTCGCATCTGGGCTCAAACCTGGGCGGGACCTCTTGCCCATCCTGAGCCTTCACAGATTACTCCAACTCTCTAAGCCTCAGTTTCCTTCATCATTGAAAAACTTCACAGGATTGTCATAACGATCACATACAACAGGGCATCAAAGTTCTTCACAACAAGGCCACAGTGGGTAGGCAAAGAAATGGCCACTACCATCATCACCGTCATCATCACCACCACCATTTTGCTTTGCAGGGGGCAAATTTTCAGAAAAGAGTCCAAGTGCAAGAGATTCTTTTGTTTCTCCCACGTTCAGCATGATGCCCATTTGGTTGCTCTGAACTCTAAAGGGAAGAGGCTCTGAACACCACTCCATCTCCTCAAGCTCCTGGTGCATCAGCCAGGGTCCTGGGAGGAAACAGATGGCAGAGGAAATTTTCACAAAAGGACAATATATTAAGGCATGGGCAGCGTACAGGGGAAGCACAAAAGATGGTTTTTCTACCTAGGGTGACCAGCCGTCCAAGTGTGCCCAGGACTGAGGGGCTTCCTGGGCCACAGGACTTTCACTGCAAAAACCTGGGACAGTCCTGGGCAAACCAGGACAGCAGTCACTTCATTTCTCCCCCATGTATTTCTATCCCTGGGCCTGACACTGCAGGGGAAGGAGCAGTTACAGAAAAACCTGGGTAGAGGGAGTGACATGACTGCAGGAGTGGCTGAGGGACGCCACCCACCCATGGCAACCGCTGGCAACCCGAAGGAAAAGGGAGGAGGGAATAAATAGCCCACTCACCCTCCTCCCATCCTCCATCTCCCCCAGGCTCTCCACTGGCCAGACCCACCCAGAAGGCAGGGGAGCAGAAAAGAATGGAGGGTGGGGTTTCCAAGGCAAAGGCTGGAAAGAATAGAACATGGGCCCAGAGGCAAAGAAAAACACACAGGCCCTGTGTTGACTCTGGGGTGGCCAGGGGAGCCAAACCTCACCTCTCAGAGCCTCCATGGTGAGGCCTTGTGGGGACTCAGTGCCCCTAGCCCTCACACAACAGGAAGGAAAGGAACTTCCCTTCCCCACTGGAGGGGACACTGGGATGTGGCCAAAGTCCCCTTGGTCCATGGGTTTGGTTTGTGGCATTCAAAGGTGAGCCCAGCAGGGCTCGGAGGAAGAAGACCCCTTCAGCTGGCATCTGACAAGGCCACCTCCTAAGAGTGGGAAAGGCTAAGACAATTCCCCAAAGAAGCAGCAGCCTCCTGGGCTTGGTCTAAAGCAGGTGCTCTGTCACTGCAGACCCGAGTGGGGGATCAAAGGCAGGGCCTGCTTGGGGTGGAAGTCTATAAAATCCAGAGAGCACACCCCTGGAATTGCTACGCAGTTTACCCCACGGGTGTGCTCAGACCGGAGGCCACCAGTCAGAGGCAGTGCATGCGTCAGGGGCAATATCGTTTAGAAAATAAAAGCGACTTTCAATTCTGTTTTTAAATCATATTTTCCGAGATCAAAATCTTATTTCCCAAGCACTGCTGCTGAAAGCTGAGGTGAAAACCACCAATAATATCTTAATCCTCCCAACGGCGGGTTTCCATCTTGCTTGGGTTGGGAGCTTGGTGGCTGGGGTTAGGACAGGGGCTGAGAGCCCATTCCAAATAATGGTGCCTGAGGTCACGGAGCGAGGTCACGGAGCAGGGTCACGGCACGGGGTCACAGCGCAGGGTCACAGCACAGGGCCACGGGCACACCCAAGAAGAGCTTCCCTTGACTCCAAGGTCACCAGAAGGTTTCCAAGAAAACTGTGAGACTTTCCTGTCCCTTCACAGCCTGGATGCCAAGGTCCCCCACCATGCAACAGACAAAGGCCTTTATTGACATCGGGTATTCCTGGAAAAACGGACCCAAACCCTGCCTTCAAGCTCACAGTCCTGCAGGAAGCAGGAAGGTATACAGGTGGCAAACCCAACACAAGAGAAGCGGTAGCCACAGTAATGACAGTGATGGTGACGGTGACGGTGACAGTGATGGTGATGGTGATGGTGATGGTGATGGTGACAGTGATGGTGACGGTGACGGTGATGGTGACAGTGATGGTGACAGCGGAGATGACAGTAATGGTAGGGGTCATGATGATGATGATGATGGTAGCAAACATCTGTTGAGCACATGCCACGTGTCCACACTCTACTAAGTACTTTCCATGTATTCTCTCCTTTATTCTCAGAATTCCATGTATTCTCCCCTTTATCCTAGGGAGTGGCTACTCTTATATCCCCAGCTTTCAGATGAGGAAACTGAGAGCTGGATCACACCACTGGTTAAATGGCCTCATATGAAATGTCTGGATCAAAAAGCCTGGCCAGCCCTCCTAATCAACCTGCCCGATCACTGTCCTGTTTTAGGGAAGGACTGACCTGGGCAGGCAGGGGATTTAACGCCTCCACCTCCCTGCAAGACGTAATGGGGAAACAGTGTGCGGGTTTCAAAGTGGAGGCAGGGGGTTTCCTCCTTCCTGATCCCCTTCAAGCAAAGCTTCCCAGAATGGCTGAGCAGGGAGGGCCCTACGCAGGAGCACCCAGTGGAGGCCAGTGGGACTGAGATCAGCCGGGATCCCCTCCTCTAGTCATGCCCCCAGCCAGGGCTGTGCTGGCCCAGAGAGGGTGCCCTGCTTACCACTGGGGGCAACAGAAGAACCCCAGACTGTTCGTCTTTGCAGTGCTCCCTGACCCCTACCCCCCTTCACCAAGCCTGCGGGTAGAACCTGCATGCCAACTCCAGAACCTTGCTTTTTAATAGCCTTCCAGGTGATGGGGTTCAGCTATAAAAAGGAGAGGGACCCACTGCCCAGCCGTGGATGGGTCTGGGGTCAAACAGATGAAGGCCTCTTTAGAAGAGGTGAGAAGCCAGGGTCCCTATCCCCTCTCCTCCCCACTTCCTCATCTCCCCCAAAAACCTGCTTCAATTCAGACAGGGCACAAGAAGCAGGTTTTGAAGTCATTTTTCCTTACGCCAAAACTTTCTAATGCTAATTTCTCCCCCTCTCTCTTATTGGCATGATGTAATTCCCCTTTTCAACAACCCAGATCTCTGAAGTCCTGAGTCATCAGGGCGAAGGCAGGGACAGCGAGGGGGAGGTCAGTCGGGAGGGATCAAAGGTAGGGGGGAGCTTGCCAACGCCCAGGCCAGCTGGGATTTCCTTCTGGGGGCCTGGGGTGCCGTGGCCCACCGGCTCTTGGCCCCACACCATGCCAGACATGGGGACAGGGCTCCTAAGGCCCCCACATTGTTTTTCAGACCTCCTGTGGGCCAGTTCTGAAGAGACGAGGTGACTGTGGGACGGTGCAGGAGTTCCCAGCTCTGTCACATGCCAGCCCGGGCAGCCCCTGCCTGCTCCAGAAAATGGGACCTCACGAGGTAGGTGTGATGATTAAATGAATGAACACAGCAGTTCTCAACCAGGGGTAATGTGGCCCCCCGGGGACATGTGGCAGAGCCTGCTTGTTACGTATCACGGGTTGTTACAACTGTGGGGAGCAGTGGGCCAGCACCTGGCAGGTGGAGGCCAACCTAGAATAAAAGCTCCTCCTGCTCCCTGTGTACCTATGCCACACGCACTCATTTAGGAGAAAGGGTAGATGGCTCCACCCCACATGGTTAATACGGGTGATTTCCAGGTGGTGGGATTCTGGGAGGATTTTTTTCTTCTTGATTTTGTAAGATTGTCGTCAGCCCTGTATGATGGCTTCAGTTTTGCTTTTACAAGAGAGGGGAGGTAAATGTGGAGTGGAGAAGGCAAGAGGCAAAGGCGACCTGGCTGCCCAGCTGGGGTGGTGCCGCGCCACAGGGGAGCAAGCCCTGGCTCCAACTGGGGAAGGTAGCCCTGGAAAACCACTGACTGGCGGGGGGGTCGGAGGGGTTCCAAGCAGAAAGAAGAGGCGTGTGCCAAAGGTCAGAGGCATGGGGAAGCTGAGGCCAGAAGCCAGACAGGGCGGGACGCTCGCTCCACAGTAGACTTTGAACTTCGTGCTCACTGTGATCCAGTCCTCACCACCGGCTGTGACAGAGCGCTCTGCAGGGTCAGGTGGTCTCAGGCGAGGAGGCTGAGGTGACCACCCCAGGTTCAACGAGGGCAGGTGAGAAGCGATCCTCTGCCACGGCTCCTCCGGAGATGGGTCTGCAGGAAGCTGGCCCAGGAAGCTCCCGGAAGGGGCCCCAGTGCAGTCAGGGTAGACCCTTCTGCTCTGTCCACACGCTCTCCCTTCCACAAGGCCCTCCTCTCAGCTCACAGCCAGCCTGGCCACTGTGGGCCTTTCTGACATTCTGCTTTGCAGCCCCAAAACTCTGCTTACCAGCCACAGGCAGTGATACTCTGGAGCCAGACAGCCTGGGGTCAAATCCTCGCTCCACAATTACAAGCTGGGTAAGTAGGGACCTCTCCTCTCCGGGCCTCAGTTTGCTCATCTGTATAAGGGGGACAATGACAGCACCACCTCGCAGGGGCATCGTGAGGATTAGATGAATGTACATCTGCACAAAGGGCTCTAGTAGTGTCTGGCATAAAACAGGTTCTGGGTAAGTGCTCACTATCCTTACTGTTGCCTTGCTGGTGATTCGGCCCTTGCTGCCAGGGTTCCTGTGCTCACACCCCACCAGGGACTCGTCGTGACATCTGGAGGCCACTGGCTCTGGAGTTAGGCTGCCTGGGTTCCAGCTGTGTAACCTTGAACTCTTGAGGTCTCCATTTCCCCTGCTAACGCCTCACGGGGCTGATGAGAGGACGAAATGCGCACACGCCTAAAGGTCTGAGAATGACTGGAGGAAATGGTCATGATTACCCCGCGGTCCCCTCCACTCACCTTGGACATGACTATCATCTGGCTCTGGGCTCTGTCTGGCCCTGCTGGGACTCCCCGAGCTCAGTTGCCACCAGCCTGCTGGGACAGTTCGAGCTCTTCCATTTTCCTACCCTGAAGCAAGCCTCAGTCACAGGGTCGTGAAACATGAACCAACCAGGGCGACAAACAGATGTCAACAAGTCATCATTCCCCTTTCCAATGGGCAGACCTGCCCCTGTAACCTGCCAGCTGAGACCCCACTGCACTTCCCCCACTGCAGACAAGAGGCAGAGTGCCACTCCTGCGTCGCCTACAAGGTGCCCAACTGTGTCCCTGGCCCTGAGGTCCAGCCTGATGGGATCACCTTCGAGACAGCACAGGCCTAGGCAGGGCCTTCCCACCAGGCCTCCCTGAAGGGAAGGTTCAAGAAAGGGGTCCTGTGAGCCACAGCTCAGGCCTGGGATTTGGAGTAGCAGGGGTCTCTAGTGGAAAGCCCACCAGGAGCTCACCAGGCTGAGCCCAGCAGCCTGACGCCATTACCACCACTCTTCACAGGCCACAGGGGTGGGCTCGGAATCCTAGGGCCTGTGTGCACACCGAGAAAGGCTGTGTGCACCACAGCTGGGCCATGTGTTGGAGACACCATGTACGCAATCCCCTGCTTTCAGTACGGACAGAGCCCTGCAGCAGGGGAGTGGTAGAACTCGCACTTACGCAGAGGGCCAGAGGCCCGTGGGGTTACAAGGAAGTGGAGGGGTAGAGATCTGGGCTTGCGCCTCCCTCTCCGTGGGTCCCTCTCCCCTTCCAACAGGACGGACCTCCCAACTAGGCAAGCTGTTCATTCATCCAAACTATGTCTGTTGAGGGGCAGTGCCTCAGTGTCCCCATCGGTAAAATGGAGAGAGTAACAGTATCTAACTGGGTTGTACGGATCACTGATAAAACCTGCATAGCATAGCCCCTGGCAAGAGGAAACACACTAATCACACGAGTGGCCGCTGCACGGTCACTACTGTGACTAACTGCCTGGTCCTGGCGACTCGGAGATCCCTGCACTCCTAAGCCTTCCAATCTGTGACATCCCGGGCTCCCGGCTGGCCGGCCAGTCCTTAGTCTCTCTGCATCGTAAAGCACCACCCGCCCCAGGGTGCATGGGTTTACCCAGCATTAATCACCCCACACTGGTAGACTCTGCTCTAGGAGGCAAACCCACCTCTATCTTTAATTCCTATGCCGTCTTACGGTGTCCACCCCATAAAAACTGCACAGACTCCCGGAATGTGCCCAGCCGCTCTGGCCTGTCCCTTTGCTCACTGTTCCCTCTGCTCATTCCCACCTCCGACCTGCCACCCTCATCTCCATCAGTCTCCATCCTACCTCTCCATCCAGATGCCTGTCTCCTACAAAGAAGTCCTTCCTGAAACTCCCCACCCCCATGATGGCGTCTCTTCCTCCGTCCAAACACAGGACAAGACATAAACCTCTCTAAGCAATGTGCTTTGTTCAATGGTGTATCATAATTGTAATACCCCCATTTAACTATGAGTCCCTTGGGAGGGAAGAGTATGTCTGACTTTCCAAGTGCCATGCCTGAGAGCACTCACTATGCAAGAACAGTGCCCCAGAACACTCAATTTGCACAAATAATATATGGTGTTCAAGTTATACACCTAATGCTTACCCTTTACGAATAGCTGGCATTCAATTTCCCACATCGGTTCCCTTAACTTTTTTGACAAAATCACAAAGGAATGTCCGCCAACCTTGGCAAACACTAAACTGAAAAGCTCACTTATTTCTACCTAAGATGTTTCTGCAGGAGGCTGAAATAGTTTCATGTGCATCTACCAGGTGCATATACATTGATGGACCCACACAGACACGGGGTCAGACCTGGCTTTGACACTAAACTCTACTTCCTCCCAGCTCTCTTTATCTGAGACTCCATTAGAGCATCTGTAAAATGGGAATAAACACCTACCCCACAGGATTGTTGTGAAAATTAAATGAGCACTGTGCCCGGCACACAGTAGGGATACGATAAATATCGTTGCAACCAGGAACATATAGGTCCATCTCTTACAACGGATTTGCTCACCCTACTTTATTCCCCACCAGAGAAGACTGCAAGCTTGGCCGAAATGCCCCCAACCTCAAACCCAGGAACCAGATGAGATCACGGTCATGTGAATTTCCTTTCTAGGGAAGCAGCTCTGCTCTTGGCACCCTGGAGACCTCAAGATCTGCTGCTGCATCCCAAGGATGCTGGGGTGGGAGTAGTCATCGCTTCCATGCTCTCCTCTTCCTCCCAGACGCACATGTAAACCATGTTCCCAAGTCTTCCCCTGCACTCCGTGTGGCCGTGTGTCTGAGTTCTAGCCAACCAAGCGGCCAGATCTACAAACGGCTTGGCTGTGGTGCTCACTCTTTCCCCATCCCCCTGACAATGAAGGACCTAGGGGAGGGCAGACCCATTTCACAAGAAAAAGAGGGGGCAGAACCCTCGGGAGACCCCTGCAGGACTGCAAGAACTGGGCTGCATGAAGCCACCCAGATGCCAGGGCTGCGTGTTACGGCAGCTAGCCTGCCTGGGGAACACACAGCCCCTTCCATACCCGTGGCTCTCCTTCCCTGCAGAGCCTCGCACCGGTGTGTGTGTTGGTAAACAGGGTCACCTAGTCCACACAGGGAGCCAACATGCGAGGGAGGAGAGCCAGGCCTGGGTCTGCTCAGACTGTGTGCTCCAATTTTCAGATATCCTGGACCTCTAAGGAAACTGGCACTGGCCCAGGACACCCAGAGAAGCTAGCAGCAGTCCCGGTGTGATCTTCCTTCTCCATATGACCCCACCTGAGCTGGATGCAGCCAGCCCAGCCCAAGGGAAGCACCCAGATGGCTGTTTGATTCCATACACTCAAATCCTATATCCACCAGGGACCAGACGATCCAGACCACGTGCTTCCCTCCAAAAAGAGTTCGCCCAGCACAATCAGTTTAGTCGCTCCGTCCACCCTACCATTTCTGACAGTAGCTTGAAAGCAGTAGAGCCACGAACAAAGGATGCCATGGGAAGGCAGGAGTCTGGGTTTGAATCCCAGGTGGGCTGCTGAGCCAGCTGCAAGGGTCTTTGCCGACACACTTCCCCTCACCCCTTCCTCGCTGGCAAAACCAGAGGTGAATCAGAGCACTAGTGTGTTCTAGATCCTAGGATCCTTAGAGTGTAGTTATGGACAAAGGGAGTTGCGTTTTCAAAGTTCTGCTGGGCTTTGTCATTTAAGAATCTCTTAAGGCACTGCTACCAGGGCTATTCTTCACTATTTATTGGGAGGCAGCCAGGTTTGCAAAAAAAAAAAAAAAAAAACAAAACAAAAAAAAAACAAAAGAAAAAACACACAACAGAAGCAAAAGAATGGAAGCTTTACGGGGCAAGGAGCTGCCTGTGTGTCCATCACCTCGCACATTCTACATACTCATTAATTTTTTAAACAGATAATAACAGCTCCACAGAGCAGGAGGAAGGAAACTGACAATCATAGAACATGTACCAGGTGCAAGCCACTTTACTGGGTGATTTCCACAGATGATCTCCTCCCTCAGGGCCTTTGCAATTGCTGTTCCCTCTACCTGGAACGCTCTTCCCCCTGGAAGTCCTATCACCCGCTTCCCTGACCACTATGTACAAAGCAGCCCACCACTCGCCCCACCCTGCTTGCTTTTCTCCACGATCCCTGTCATCGGATTTTATAATTACTTGCTCTTAACTTAGTTGTTTGTCCACTCCCACCAACACAGGCTCCACGAGGGCAGGCTCCTGTTTTCTTCCGAGTGCCTAGAACGGTGACACTTAACTGCTGAATGGAGGCATGAAAGCACCGCCAGGCCTCACCTCATTTACCCTGACATCAATGCTAAGAGGAAGTTTCTCTGATCCTCGCTTTACAGATAAGGACACAGGCTAGGGGACCTGCCCAAGGTCACCACCTGGGACACTGCAGAGGCAGGATTCAAGCTCCCCTGTCTGATTTCAAAGTCCAGGTCCTCACTCCCCTACTCCACTGGGTCTGCCGTGTTCTCTTCCTGTGGCCTCACTGCACACCCCAAATGCCAGGACGAGCGCTGTGCACATGGGAGGGGTAACGAAATGGCTACTGAAGTCAGGAACCAATTTCAGCACCAGAAATATTTTCTCTGCCATCTCCTTTGCCTCAATACACACAGCAAACACCTCCCCCACACGCACGTCTCATCACCCTTCGGTTAGGGCTCTGCTGATGTAAGCGAAGCTTCCTTTCAAAATGCGCACAGTCTCCCTCGGTGCCTGTTGAATACACTGGGTGGTTCATCACCAGAGCCAGGAGCAAGGAAGAGAAACTCTCACTTCCTCTCTTCCTCCACCATGGGGCTGGGTGGCCTGGCTTCCATCCTGGGGAAAGCAGGAAGTCAGGGAACAAAAAGCAATGCCCTCAGGTGGAGCTGCACAGACCCTTGTTCTGTGGGTGGAAGTCAGCGCATCCTTGTCAGAGCCCCCTGGTCACCTATGTTCCTTCAGCTGCAGGGAAGACCAAGTGGCCAGACCCTCTGAGGGGGATCCCTGGTTGGTGACCTTTCAGCCAGAACAAAGCATGACTCCAGGTAGCAATAACCCCAGGAAACACTGCCCTTCCCTCTTCAAAAGGAGGCTCAGCTCCCCCATCCCAAAGAATTAAGCAAAAGAACATCAAAATAGAGACAACTCCATTCAGTAAAAATAGAAAATGTTTTCTTTCAAGGAACAAGAGTGTATTAGTCCGTTCCCACGCTGCTGATAAAGACATACCTGAGACTGGGCAATTTACAAAAGACAGAGGTTTAATGGACTCACAGTTCCACGTGGCTGGGGGGAACTTACAACCATGGTGGAAGGTGAAAGGCACGTCTTACATGGTGGCAGACAAGAGGAGAATGAAAGAGCTAGGCGAAACGGGTTTCCCCTTATAAAACCATCAGATCTCGTGAGACTTATTCACTACCAAGAGAACAGTATGGGGGAAAGCGCCCCATGAGTCAATTATCTCCCACTGGGTCCCTCCCACAACACAAGGGAATTATGGGAGCTACAACTCAAGATGAGATTTAAGTGGGAACACATCCAAACCATATCAAAGAGGCTGGGACTAACCTCAATGCCCATCAACAGGGGAGGGTCTACCTACATTACTGTGATACACTTCTACAACAGAACACTATGCAGCAATGAAAAAGAACAAGGCAGCTGCACACGCATGGAGGGTCTCCAAAATATACTGTCCAGTGAAGAACCACGGTAGACAGCTGTGTGCATGCATGTCCAGATACACAAGAAATGAGCAGCAGTGCTTGCCTCCAAGGAGGGCCACTAGGGGCTGTGTGGACGTCGAGTAAGGGAAGCTTCATTTTTCATTAAACACCTTGTTATACTAATCAAATCTACCTGATGCATACATGAGTATTTCAATTTTTGTAATTTATTTTAAGAAACTAGACTACGCCCCGCAAGGAATTTTTCTTAAACTGCTGGCAAGAATTTCATTGCCTTCCTACCTATGAGACCTGCTAAACACCCCTAGCTTTCCCCAATGCACTATTCATCTCAGGGAACTCTCTGGAGGCCACCCATTTTTAGGTAACAATAATCCCTTCCATTTGTGCAGAAAGTCATGAAGCTCTTTCAGGGCAATTAGCAAAACAGGAATTGGAATCCTGGTCACTGTATGCTGACTATACTAGTAGGTGCTTATCTATCCTCTCCAATCCTTACAGCAACCCTAGACATGAGGTGCTCTCCCTAAGGATGGAGGAAAAACAAGGCCCAGCAAGGGAAAGCAAAGCACCAAAAGTCACACAGCCAGGAAACTGCACCCTTCAAATCCAGATCCAGCGCCATGAGAACGCAAAACCCAAATCTGTTCTCCCCCACAGAGGAGATGCCCCATATCAGGCTGCCTCACCTAATCTCATGTATTCCTTTAATCAAAGGTGTAAGCTGACCCCCTGCAATGTCCATGCCAACAAAACACCAATTGGGTACCTTCAAGACGAGTCAGTCCTGGCTGGCAGCAGTTGAGGTACCCTGGGACAGCTTTGCCTTCTACCAGGTCCCCCTGAGCCCTGCCCAGGACAGTGCCCCAGAAATGCCCTCTCACTGCCCGATGAGACACTAAGGAGCAGGCAGGGCCGCCACATCAGTCAATCTGTGGGCCAAGCAGCCCAAGCCAGCAGCAACTGCCACCTCTGTCACCCACTTGCAGGAAAGCTCAGCCACATGCAGTGAAATTCCTTCCACCTGGACTGGCATGATGTTGCCGTGGCCGGAACAGGCATCTCAGATTGCACCAGGCAAATGCGAGCATCAAAACTTACTCCTTCCTTAAAATGCACTTACTTATTACAGCCTGGGAAAGGCAGACCACGTTTGCAATTTACAGAGAATTTTGACTTTTTCTCCTCTCTGTCTCAGCCCCTCCCCTCCACCACCTCCAATCAGACAAGTTGTCTAGGAAACAATTTTGATACACTCCAAAATCCTCCTATGACAAATGGCATGGAAAGGGGGGGGGGGAAATCTGTGTGTTTACTGCCACAAAAAAACATCAAATAAATTAAAGGCAGGCTAGGCACATGGGGGGAAGGGGGGTATGTAACAAAAGTGAAAAAGCAATTAACATGCGTGCATGTGGGCACAGATGAGTTCTCGTGGGATCTGTGACTACCCTGGAGGACATAGATTTTAATTCTTAGGTAGAAACCAAGCCATGTGGATGTGTAACTCTTAGCTCAGCAAGTGACACACAGTAGGCATGCAGTAAGCCTGTGCTAAACAAAGTCCAAGTTCAGAAAACACCAGACTAAAGAAACCAATGAGAATGAAGGTGGCTTCTCCTTTCCCATCCATATCAAGATGCCCAGAAACATTGCAATCAAACAGCAGAGTGGTGAAAATTTAAAAACAAGCCACTGATGAATTATGGCTTGAGAATAAAGAACACTACTGTCACCTGTGCCCCGACCCCTGAATAAAGGACTTTCTGAGTGGATCCACCATTCTGAAATACCGTGTGCCACATTCTCTTAAAAGTAAGATGAAATAAAAGGTAGGCAGCTTATTTGTACTTCTGTGGTGCAGAAGAAACAAAGCCTACAGACAAAGCCCTCTGCCCACGGACAAACATGCCTAGCAGGTGATCAAATTCAACCCACAGACGAGAGCAGCAAAATGGATTCTGGTCCTGCCGAACCCGGCCGCTTATGCAGAACCCCTGGCTGCCCTGGCTGTCATTTACAACCAACACGACCATCACCAGCCATGAAGAGCCAGTGAGGCCCAGGAACTGGGAAGTTTGGGTACAAAGAGGGAATGGGGCACCACATTCAGGCCACAGCCTGGGCAGACAGGCCCTTCCCCACAAAGGTGCAGTCCTGGGTCCCCAAGGGAGGGGGCCCTGGCCTCCCTATCTCCCCTCCCAAGTCAGCTGTCGCCTATCTGCTTCCTCCTTTGTTTACGAGCATTTCGGATCCAAAGTCTCCAAGCACAGGGTGCATCAGACCTGGCGGCCGTCACAAGCCACATTAGGCACGCTGTTGGCTCTGCAAGGATTTAATCAGTAACTGGCCCAGGAGACCAGGGCAGGGCAAGCTGCGACCTGATCCCACAGGAGGCAAAGTTTACAGGCAGGCCAGGCGGGTGAGGCTGCTGGCTCCACCGGTAAGACAGCCTGGAGGGCTATCAGGTCCCTTGGACCCCAGACTAAAAGGTGTACCTAGCCGGTGTCACCCAGCAGGTGGGACTGGGAGCCCGAGTCTGCCTGCATCCCAGCCTGATGCAGATGTGCTCCTGGAAGCACGGTCTTAAATCTCTCAGATTCGGTTAATTGGATCAATGGAAACAGACTGCAAAAGGTTTGGGCAAAAAAGAGTATTTGGCTTGTTTATTGGTTTGAATCCCTATCAATCACTCTGGGTCTTGTTCCTGAAGCCCATACAATTAACCAGATAATTACCAGATGATTCTGAGTTGGGCTGTGTAGATGGCTTAAAATATGGATGACTGATATTTCAAGTAAGGATATGACTCTATAGGAAACATACTTGGAATATCGGGAGCTCAGGGCTGGGCCAGCGGCTGCTGCGAAGCCACAGGACTGCAAAGGGTTTTTGTTCTAGGGAACTGCACTCAAATTCACCTTTGTTTTATTTGGGCTCATATTTCTCAATAGAGTGCTTGGGCCGCACTATAAAACGCAGACAGATTACATAATGTCCAGGCCTCAGGGAAACCCCACAGGGGCTCCGCTGCTTCCCCGAGAGCCTGGACACCAACCAGGTGTCTCATGATGGGACGAGAGCCCTGGTGGCAGTCCCAACCTCACCTCTACCCGGGAGGCCAGCGCTCCAGCCAGGCCAGCCCTCACAGCCCCACCTCCAGGCTCACAGGCCCTGAGGCAAGGCCCCCTGGAGCCCACCAGAGGGCAAGGGTAAGACTTAAGGACACCCCCTGCCTGTAGTGCTTGGTGACGAAAGGCAGCGGAAAGGGGATTATGCCAGTCCATCAAACACTTCCTTATAGTTCCTCTTGCCACATTTCCTAACACCAGAGCATGGCTCTGCCAAGAGAATCTTGCTCCATGGATAAGCCTCAGTCCCCAGTACTAGACAGGTGCTTTCCGGAAAGGCCCACACTACCGATGGTGCCACCTACCTGGGCTGGCCAAGGTGAGCGAGGGGCCTCTGGCTATTCAGGTCTTTCTTCCTTCCCTCTTTCTCTCAGATATACCTCCTGAGCAATCGGAGGTAAGTGGGGAGGCATTAGCCTCGAGAGCTGGCTTTCCGGAAACAGGACGGTAGCAGCGGGACACTCACTCCTGGCTTCTCCCAGAGGGAGAAGGGGCTCCTCCTGGCCTTCCCATGGCAGGTCACTGTTCCTTCTAACCATTTTCCTACCCCACCACCAACAACCCTTCATTTTGTGGAGTGTAAGAGGAAAAAAAAAAAAAAAGCCCAATAAAGTCCCCCTGAGCCAGGTGAAAATTCTGAAGCCAGATCTGGGGTCTCCAGAATCCAGGCAGGGGGCACCGCGGTCACCAGTTCCTCCCCACATCAGAAACACTCCGTACTGGCAAATTTTCGGAGGCTCTCTCCCGCCTCCATCCATTGGAAAGCCAAATGCTGCGGCCTGTGGCGCGGGACGGGCTTGAGAACATGCACCAGCCTGACCGGGGACTGGGCCGCCTCCCCGCGACCAGCAATCCTCCCTGAAAAAGGAGTCTTTGCAGATATTGCACCAACGTGCCCACAGGAAAGAGAAAATAGGTGCTCTAAGCATGTCGGACCCCAAATTAAGAATAAAAGTCCTCGAGGGCTGCAACGCTCTGGGGTGGGGGGTGGGGGACTGGTTCAAAGAGTAGGATTCTTCAGCTAACTTTTCCCCCCTCCCCATTCCTTGGGGCATGTGTCATGGCCTGTGACACACCGCCAAGGGAACATGGATGCCAGGGAAATGTCTACACACGCTACACGTTTGTGACATGCCATGTAAGCGACACCCTATTTCCTGGCTGGGTTTTCTTGGCACAGGTGTGGGCAGGCAGTGGATTCGGCCCCCTCCCACTGCGCTTAGTAAACAGGATCACGGTGGCCCCAGGGAGGAGTGTGCATTCTGGGGAAGACAAGCTACACCCCCAATGAGGATGGGACCCCCACGGCAAGCCTCAGGCCCAAGCCACAGCCGGTATTTGAAACTGTCCTTGTTTCAAAACACAAAGCATCCTGTTCAGGCTCCTACCCGCCACCCCCACTCTCCCCTCGACCCCACCACAGCTGTCTTTCTCCACGTACGAAGAAGGCCACCATTTGCAGATCTGATTTCAGAAACAGATCAATGGTTTTTCCTCTCCGACTCATCCAGCTGACCCAGTCCTACCCATGTATTTAAAAACAATAACAAAATTAAACCTCCAGCAACAAAACACACACGTATACACACACTCTACAGACAATGCCGGACCAGGGCTCCACCAAGCAGCTTCTAGGCTAGAACTCGACCACCGCTGGGTCCTGAGATATTCCAGGACCACTGCCCCCTCCCCCTCCACTTCCAACCTCTCAATGTGCGAATGAGATTTTCAGAAAGGGAAGCACCCCGTTCTGCCTGCCAGCCCTGGCAGGAAAGAGAATAAAGGACGGGTAAACCAAACAGAGAAACTGGCTTCTGGAAATTCTTTGGGTTTGGGGGTTTGGAGGTTTTGTTGTGTTGTTTGTTTTTTTTTTTAAATCTGAGGGGTGGTATTTTGTTTTCCCCTCCCCCACCCCTCAGATCCAGATGGGCCAGGGGCTTCCAGAGAGAACCCCCACCACCATCAGGGCCCAGCGTCGGGTCCATCCTCGAGTCCCAGCCACCAGAAACACAAGAGCTGGGGGCAGAAGGTCCCCAGGCACCCAGCCTGGCGGTGGGCCGAGTCTCCAGCATTTTAAGGGTCTCTCCTGAGCCCGGTCGGCTGGTTTGGGCTTCAGACTCCAAAATCGAGCCCCGCGAGCAGGCCAGGAGCGAGGCGCCCTGGTTCTCCCCGTTCCCCCGGCACCCCCCACCGCCCCCCAGGCCCTGGGCTCCAGGTGCAGCGCCAGGGGGCAGCCAGGGAGGGCGCATCTCGGGCCCCGAGGAGAGGCGGGGGTGCAGCCGCGCAGAGCCACTCACCGTGGCGGACGCCAGGCTGTTGTCGGCCAGCGTTAGGTGGTGCGGCTCCCAGCGCCTCAGGAATTTCGAGGTGAGGATCTTGCTGAGAAAGGTCCGCGGGTGCCGGATGACACAGACCTGAATGTCGCCCTCCTGCAGCAGTTTGTACCTCATCCCGTTGCAAAGCAGAAGAGCCCGGCGGCAGGGCACGGCGCCCATCTTCGTGCCTTCGGGGGCCGACACGTCGCCCCCCAGCAGCGGCTTGGTCTCCTCGATCTGCCGGGGGTCGCCGCCGCCGCCCGAGCTGCTGGTCACATCCATGGCCGCGCCGGGGGAGGGGGCTGGGGGCGGGGAGAGGGGGCTGTCCTGGGCTGCTGGGGCGGCGGGGCCCCCGGATCCGGCGGCCCGCACCCCCCCACCCCCCGGGAAGGTGGGGGGGTGTGGGGCTGGGGGCGCCCGCAGGGGAGGGGGCGCTGCCCGCGGGGGGCGGCGCGTGCGGCGGGCTGGGCCGGCCTCGGCGCTTCCTGCGGGGCTCCGGGCTTCCTCCTAGCTCGTCGGGTGCATGCTCGCGGCGGCTGACCGGGCTCGGCGGGCGACGGGGAGGGGCGGGGGAGGCCGAGGGCGGGCCGGGGCCAGGCGCGGAGGGCGGGCGCCGGGGTGGGGGCGGCGGGGTGGGGGCGGGCGTGTCTCGGGGCCCCGCGCCGCCGCGCGCGTGTGTACAGAGCGTGTGTCCGCGCGGCCGTCCGGGCGAGAGTGGCCGCGGGCGGGGCGGGCCGCGCGCCGGGCTCCCGGAGCCCGGGGCGCCCGCGCGATTGGTCCCCGCAGGGTCATGTGCCCGCCCCTCTGACGTCAATGGCGGCAACGGCGGCGGCCGCGGCGGCTTCGGCCTCTCGCGGGCGGAGTCCGCGGTCCGGGCGGGGTCGCGGCCCACGACGGGGAGGCGCGGCCCGACGGGAGGGGCAGCCCCTGGGGAGGGGGCTGGGGCGGGCGAGCCCCGCGGGGTCCCGGCCCGCCCCGCCTGGAATGTGGGGAGGGGGCGGGGCGCGGGGGCGGGGCGCGTGACGTCACGCCAGCCGCGCCCCCGCGGGTGCCCGGGCGGGAGCCCAGCCAGGCTGCCGGAGCCTGGGGGCCCGCGCCTCACCCACCCCCGCCGCCCCCGGGCCGGACTCGGACGGGTAAAGAAGGATACCCGAGGGCCGGGGGCTGGGTGGAAGGACGGGGACTGGAACCCTCGACCCCTGACGCCCCCTCCGCTGTCCAGGCTGTCCAGCGGGCTGGCCAGATGGGGCCGTGGGACGGGGACGCCTTCCCGACTGAAAGTGTCCCCGCGGTGATCCGGAGGATGAGCCCACCCTGCCCTGTCTCCCACTGCGGGACCCAGCCGGCCTCGAACTCCTGGCCTTTGACGTCTGCTGGCTTTGGCCTTGGGGGTCCTCAAACCTTCTGGAGAGAGGGGACGGTCCGCCCATCCCCCTTCTTTCTTCTGCCCAGGGAGACAGAGCCTCTTCTAGGAACCCACTTAAAGCACCCCCCAACCTACACAGCCACCCCTCTTGTGCGCACCCCAGCAGCTCCCCCTACTTCACCTTCCCTGGGACCCCACCTGGTCATTTTATCTGAGTTCACAGGCCCAGCACCAGCCCACGAGAGAACCATATTCGATTCTCTTGTGACCCAGGGTATCAGGAACTGCAGCCTGGATGCAAAAAGCTCCCTTTCTGCCATCACAAGCAGCCGGCACCTAAGGCCACCTAGCAAATGCTCAGCTCCTCAGCCAGGTTTTCTTATCTCCACGTGCTCCTGCAGCTAATAACGTTAAAACCCTAGATTTTTGCCTTTTTAAGTGAAGGCGCCTCTGTAGTGAACACATGAATGTGTGCAGCGTGTGTTGAACTGCGTCGTGAACACTGCGGAATATCCACAGCATCTGTGCCGTTGGTGGAAATTATTCACCCCCCCTCTCCCAAGAACAGGCAGCATGAAGGTGCTCCCCAGAGGACCCTCTCCCCGAGCCTGGCCAGGGTTTCAGGCAGGGGATGAAAGGCAGGTCCCAGGCTGCATCCCTCACCAAGGAAAGAAGACTCACATCCAGCCTGCCCAGGAGATGCCTCCTTGGGGAGGCACAATTAGATTAGAAAGTTAGAAATTCCTTAGCTCCCCACAATTTGCTGCCATTTCCTTCCAGTTTTGAGCTTGAACAGCCTTGAGAAAACCACCAAGCATGAAGGGGCAAGCCCTAGATATGTGGGTGTTGGGGGGTGGTTGGGGCCAAGAAACCCCCCAGTCCATTAAGCGGGTGGGATTAGATCCTTTGTTCAAATATTTTCATTGAGCTCCTGCTGTATGCTGGTCACAGGCCAGGCACTAGGGTATTAATGGTAATGACTATAATAACCACAGTGGCCAGAGGCTTCCTATGTGCTAAGAATTTTGTACGCACACATCATTCTCTTCTCACACCCTATGACATAGGTGCTGTCCTCATCCTCAACCACAAAGCATGGAGGTCAGAGTCCAGAACAGTAACAGACATTGTGCTTGGTGCTCCAGGAACAGAAAGGGGGATGTCTAACCCAGTGTGGGGGACCAGGGTACTCTAAGAGTTCTTTAGGAATCAAGTAAAGAAGGGGATAGGTGCTCCAAGAAGACGAACTGGCTCCTACCAAGGCAAAGAGATGGGAGGATGCTCAGCTTGTTCAGGAAACTGAACTCACTTGCCATGGGGTGCAAGGTCCCTGGAGGAGGTGGAGCAGAGATGTAGGCGGTGAGCAAGCAGCACCCTGAAATGCAAACCCAGGGACTAGAGCAGTGGGGAGACACCACATGGGCCATGCAAAGGAGTGACTTGTACATGGCTTCTTCAAAAGGCTGCAGTGTGGCACAGATGAGCATTGCAGAGGAGAAACCTAGAGGCAAGGAGGCCAGTGAGGAGACTTTCATGCTCACCTACCCCCCACAGAAGGAAGCAACAAGGGCTAGCACAAAGTCACTGGGTGGAGTGGCCCAGTGGCAAGCAAAGCAGCTGCTGTCCACTTCGGGGACATCTGTGGACACGCCCCTACCCATACAGGGCACAAAACTCCAGTAGAAGGAGGAGATTTAGCAGGATGCAAATCCCTGATATATTCCAGGACCATTCCAGACATCCTCCATGCAGCCCAGTACAGTGGTTGATTTGTAAACATTAAGTAGGACATACCGTGATAATAATGACCGGTACCCAAGCACCAGATACCATGCTGGAGGCCTTATGTATTTGTTCTCGTTTATTCCTCCCCACCAGCCTAGGAGGTAGGAACTATTACCATCCCCATCTTAAGTGAGGAAGTTGAGGCTCAGACAGGGTCAGACAACTATCAGGATCCAGCCGAGGTTTGAACCTCAGATTCTGTTCGACCTCAAATTCCATGTGCTTCCCACTCCTCTGGGAATTTAGGAGGACATTACAAATGTCTGTCTTTGTAATGTTGTCCTGAGCAGGCATTCAGGAAGAAAGTATTGAATTCAATCAGTGTCCTCTTTAAATAGCAGTATTTCTTGAATATAGTTTCAAATCAGTGAAATGGAGCCCCCAAGACACGGCAAAGAAAGTTCCTGAGGGCAGAAGCCAGAAGCGCCTGTCTGGCAACAGCACTAGCTCAGTGCCTGGACAAAGCTGGGGTGCAGCAAATACACAGGGATTGATTGTCAAAAACATACTCCTTGGTGCTTAGCAAAGGTCCAGCCACAGGACTGGGTCAGTAAGTTGCGGGGGATGAGCTGGGATGGCGTTAGTACTCAGTCTGTGACAGTGTGACAGTTGAGTCCACAGCCTCCTAGACTGGGATTTGGCTAACTCATTGCAGAGCCCCTCCACCTTCCACTATCCCAGGCTCCCAACCTAGAAAGGAATCTGAATCCAGCCATCAGATTCCATCAGAGCCCCATCCCTGGAGCTCCCCAAATTATAGGAAACATGAGCCCGTCGAGCTCCCGTGGATGGACCATGTCCCCGAGTTGTGCTCAATGCCCTGGAACTCCAGACCCTCCAAAGAATGGTCCGAGCCCCTAAGAGCCTCCCCTTCCAACACTGAACTTGAGAAGCTTACGGAGTAGCAGGAAGGGCACGGCGGTTCACGCACCCTTCACTCCCCTTGGGCTCTCGCAGGCTCGTTCACTAACCAGAGGCCAGTTCACCAGACAAACCTGTCATTTTCTGCATTCTTTGCTGGCGGTGTCTCCTTGTTTGAGCCAGGTTCCAAAGGATGACGTGTGCCCTCACCTGAACTACCGCTTTCGTTCAACAGCCCACTGTGGGGTCACCCCGGGCCACACTGGTGGAGGACCCACTCGATCAACTCAATGCTAGGAGCTGGGATGCCAAACTGAACAGTAAAGTGCCTTCATGGGCACAGTCTCAACTCGAGTTCTCTGAGGTGTCCCCTGTAGCTAACTCAGAAGGGAAAGACACACCCGCTACCCAGGCTGCCATTAAGGAATTTGATGAGGTGGCAAAGTACCTGTTGGGGAGGAGAGCAGTGGAGCTGAGGGGCAGCCTAGGAGAGGTTGAGCTGAGGCGCCTTCCAGCAGCCACACCTGTAAGTGGATGTTCCCCCTGCTCCCATGAGGGCAGCATTTTATGTGCTATGGATCTGTAGCACCCAGCACCGTCCCCAGCCCTCAAATAGGTGCTAATAAACAGGTGTTTAACGGAATTAAATAAAAGAAAGAATGAATGAAGCGGGCAAAGTAAATGCATAGTGATTTTCGGTTGAATGGCTGGATCTCGCTGCGATGTCAATGTCCTCACCCCTGAGCTACGTGACACTGCTTCATTCATTTTCTTTTATTTGATTCCATTAAACATCTGTTTATTAGCACCTATTTGAGGGCCGGGGACGGTGTTGGGTACTACAGATCCATAGCACACAAAATGCTGCCCTCATGGGAGCTCAGCAACTATTGTCATGGGGGGTCAGCAACTATAGTCAAGGGGCCAGATTCAGCCCATGGACTCCAAAGCCTAAAATATTCACTCTCTGGCCCCTTTTCAGAAAAAGTTTGGCAACCCTTACAATAGACATAAATAACTTCAAGAAGAGAGATACCGGCAAAATGTACTAAAATAATTAGGAAACGATGAGTTGTATTACCTTTTAAAAAATATTATTCATTTAATTGTAACTTTACATAACTTAATCTTTTTTTTAACTGGCTGTTTAACAACCAGCAGTCTCCAGTGGAGATCCACTCCAGCCTCTGCACAGCTCTCTCTCCTTGCCCCACCCCACCATGAAATGGTGCACAAACCCCAATGCACTGCACTGTACCCTCCAAGCGGGCAGGGTTCATTCTGGTTTTGCTCACCACTGTATCCAGGGTCGTGTTCAATAGTCAGCCTGCTGAAAAAAGGAAAGCCTGATCTATAAAGTTTGACAATTTCCCTGGTGCAAATACAACCACCATGGCCAATTATTATACAAGCTACCAACATGTGTCCTTGGACATGGAGTTAGGAAGACATGCACCCCACGGCAGAGTTTCCACCACACAGATACAATACACCAGCAAGGGGCCAGATTCAGCCATGGACTGCAAAGCCTAAAATATTCACTCTCTGGCCCCTTTACAGAAAAAGTTTGGCGACCGCTACAATCGACATAAATAACTTCAAGAAGAGAGATACCGGCAAAATGTAGTAAAATAATTAGGAAGTGATGAGTTGTATTACCTTTTAAAAATATTATTTACTTGTAACTTTACATAACTTAATTTTTTTTACTGGCTGTTTGACAACCAGCTTGCAAAATTTCTGAAAAATTAACAATCAGCTGTCATGAGCCATTACAGATCGGCTTCAGGACACCGCTGCTTGTTTCTCCAGGGCATGTCACAAAGTAAATGCACCATGATTATCTGTTGAATGGCTGGATCTAGCTGAGACGCCAGTGTCCTAACTCCTGAGCTACATTACCCTGCTTCATTCCTTCTTTTATTTGATTCCATTAAACACCTGTTTATTAGCACCGAATTGAGTGGCAGGGACTTTGCCGGATACTGCAGCTCCATCACACATATGATGTTGTCCTCATGGGAGCTCACAGTCATGTGGGAAAGCCAGACGCCCTCACAAAAAATCATCACAACCGCCCCCCAAAAAAGTATACCAAGAAAAAAACAAACTCTCTGCTCTTTTGCTTACCAGCTGTATGTGTCTTTGATTGATTTACCGTCAAGTGGAGTCGTCATAGTACCTTCCTCCCAGGTCGCAGAAATTCAGTGAGATGATCAAGCCGAGCCCAGAGTAAGCACTCACAATAGTGTTAGCTATTTCACATTACCACCGTTATTTTAGAACCCGTATTGGCATGACCGTGGCAACGGGCCTTCCATCCAGACCACCTCTCTGAATCTTTCCCATTCGCCCAGCAACTGGGTATAGACACTCTAGACACAGCATCTCTGCAGGATTGGAAGCAGGGTTTCCAACTTGGGCTCTATTCACATTTGGGATGGATGACACTTTGTGGCAGGCAGCTGTCCTGTGCAGTCTGAGATGTTCTGCAGCATCCCTGGCCTCTACCTGTTGGATGCTAGGAGCATCCGCAAGTCATAACAACCAAAAATTTCTCTGGACCTTGTAGCTGGGACTACAGGCGTCCACCGCCACTCCCGGCTACTTTTTTTTTTTTTTTTTTTTTTTGTATTTTTTAGTAGAGACGGGGTTTCACTGTGTTAGCCAGAACGGTCTTGATCTCCTGACCTCATGATCCGCCCACCTTGGCCTCCCAAAGTGCTGGGATTACAGGCGTGAGCCACCGCGCCCGCCTTTGTCACCTAGGAGGCAAAATCACCCCTGGTTTCAAGGAAGATGTTTATTTCTCCCTCTCAGCTGGCAGAGGATGCTGTGGTGTCAGCCACCTCCTCATCAGTCATCCTGTGGGTCACAGTCTCAGGAGATCATATTGTTCACACTCGTGCCCTGACACGTTCCTCCTCAGATGCCACTTATGGGGTCTAGTAACAAACTGGCTTCTAGCCAACTTTATCAGACCGTCAAGGAACATAGGGCCCCATACAATGGAATGAGATGCAACTTGTATTAAGTCGTGGTTTTGGAGTCCGTTTAATGGCGTGAGGCCGTGTGTGTAATAAAATGTCAGGAACCAAAAGCAGGCAAAAAATTGTTCTTAAGCAATCCCAATTTTGTATCTACCCATGACGCTGTTGCTTTTGGGGGATTCTTTGGAAGTTCCATCTGAAAACTCTGTCTCAAAATTACATCAGCCAGGAGAGCATTCCTGAACCTCATTTATAACAGGAATCAGGTACTAGCGTAAGGGAACAGACACTCCGTACTGATGGCGTTTAATGTGCTGATCAAATAATAAAATGTGCTCATTCTCCCGGTGTAAAAAGAGGAGTCGTGTTTTGTGAAGTTGGTGAACATCCTCCTTCCTCTTCTGGGCTGATGTGAAGCCAGCCCATTCTCTAGCTCCAGCAGTGGGAAGGGAGGAGAGGGGAAGCTGATTCATGTTCAGCCGCCTGTGATGCTGGGGAGCCGAATGATAGCTCCCCACCCTCTCTGCTTACAGGAGACGAGGGAGGGCAACAAGGGAACGTGAAGTGCCAGCCTCTCCCCCTTCCCTTCTCACTGTCACCAAATAAATAAGTCTGGAATCGCTGAGAAAGTACTACAGAGGACTCAGTGCTTTCCTAGAACTAATATTTCTTACAATCGATTGATTGATCGCTTTTCCTACATACACCAAAACAATAGTGGTTATCTCCAGAGAGATGGGATTATGGGCAACCCTTTGTCCTATTTATTTATTTAGAGACAGAGTCTCACTCTGTTGCCCAGGCTGGAGTGCAGTGACGTGATCTCAACTCACTGCAACCTCCACCTCCCAGGTTCAAGCGATTCTCCTGCCTCAGCCTCCCCAATAGCTGGGATTACAGACACCCACCACCACATCCAGCTAGTTTTTGTATTTTTAGTAGAGATGAGGTTTCACCGTGTTGGCCAGACTGGTCTCAAACTCCTGACCTCAAATGATCTACCCGCCTCAGTCTCCCAAACTGCTAGGATTACAGATGTAAGCCACTGCGCCCAGCCTCTTTTCCTTTCGAAATCAATGTTATTTTTGTTTGGTTTGGTTTTGGGGGACTTTTTTGAAACAGTCTTACTCTATTGCCCAGGCTAGTGATATAGCAAAACTCTGTCTGCAGTGGTGCGATCATGGCTCACTTCAGCCTCTACCTCCTGGGCCCAAGCAATCCTCCCACCTCAGCCTCCCAAGTAGCTGGGACCACAGGGGCACACCACCACACCTGGCTAATTTTTTATTTTTTATTTGTGTTTTCATAGAAACAGGGCCTCGATATGTTATCCTGGTTGTACCCAAACTCCTAGACTCAAGCAGTCCTCCCACCTGAGCCTCCCAAAGTGCTGAGATTATAGGTGTGAGCCTACCACACCCAGCCAAATCAACGTTACTGGAGTATACTTTGCATGTAATAAGCTGCACCCATTTGGCCAGACACAGTGGCTCATGCCTGTAATCCTAGTACTTTGGGAGGCTGAGGCAGGAAGATTGCTGGAGCCCACGAGTTCATGACCAGCCTGGGCAATATAGTGAGACCCCATCTCTACCCCCAAAAAAAGAACCCATTTTAAAAGAATAGATTGACAAGTTTTGACACATATATACACACATGTGACCATCACCTCAATCAAGACATGGACCTGGAACTTTCCCACAGACTCAAAAAATACCTTCCTGCTCCTTTATAGTTGATCCCAGTCACCCACTGCCAGCCCCAGGCAATCCTTGATCTGCCCTCTGTCACTGTAGATAGTTTCACCCTTTATCGAATGTCATATACATAATACCAAAAAGTATGCATTCCTTTTCTTCTGAATTCTTTGGCTCGGTATAGAAGGATTTGAGATTTGTCCACGTTGGTGTTTGTATCGTTGTCTGTTCTGTTTTGTTGCTGACTAATATATCCATGACACAGATATTCCTCTTATGAGTAAGTTTTGTTTTCAATTCATTTTAATTTTTTTAATGCCATTTATTTTTAAAGAAACTCACAGAGACTTTATGAAGAGCTCAAATGCCAGGCTGCCATTGACTCGTGAACGTGGGGCATGGCTACACAGAGTGGAAGGCCATGGATCATATTTTTAAAAATAAAAAACCTGTGGGGCTGGGCACAGTGGCTCATGCCTATAATCCCAGTACTTTGGGAGACCAAGGTGAGATGATCACTTGTGTCCAGGAGTTTGAGACCAGCCTGGGCAACATAGGGAGACCCCATCTCTACTAAAAATAAAAAAAATTAGCCAGGCATGGTCACACACGCCTGAAATCCCAGCTACTCAGGAGGCTGAGGTATAAGAATCGCTGGAACCCAGGAGGCAGAGGTTGCAGTGATCCGAGATCGCATCACCGCACTGCAGCCCAGGCGACAGAGCAAGATCCTGTCTCAAAACAACAACAACAACCACAACAACAACAATCCACTGTGTTTTTCAGATTAATTACATCTGTCTCCCACACCAGTTTTAGCAGTGAGGCTGCTCAAATTGACCAATTTAAATGTGATTGCCTTTCTTTCCTCTCCATCATCTCTAAGTCAGTTGCCAAGAAGCAATGAAAGGAAGGAATTGGGGAGGAGAAGTGGTTTAGACTTGTGGAGCAGGTACTGATCTTCCAAAACTCACCCACACCCCCATTTGCATGGGTCAGTCTAGACAATCCTCAGATAAGGATGGGTGATGATATCACCCCATTTTGCAGATTAGGAAGCTGAGGCAAGGTCAAGGGTTCAACTAAAACCCCACAGCAACAGCGGGGGGTTGGGGGTGGTGCAAGAAACTCCATCCAGGGACTCCAGGTAGAAAAGCAAAGACATCAAGAAGACAGACCTTAGATTTGAAGCCCAGGTTTCCATCATCTTCAGCTGGGTTCCGCCAACCAAATCTCTTAATCTCTCTGAACCTCAGACTCCTATCTGTGAAATGGAGATTGAATTGTGATACAATTGAGCTAAGCAGATAATGCATGAAGGTGCTCAGGACAAGATGTCGGAAGAAGTCAGTTCTCAATATAATGGTAGGGAGAAATGGCTTCTCAACCCTTGGGCTCCTTTCTTGAGCTACAGCATGAAGTTGGAACTGACTCCAGCCTGCCTGGGCTGAGGAAAAAGGAGTGGATATTTTCTTGTAGCTCCAGGGAGCAGAGCCTCACAGATGCAAAGAAGAGAGAAGAAGGCAGGCCAAAGCCTCCAGATGCCTCTGTTGCAATAGTAACTAATCAGAGTGGATTAAACAAAGAATAGACATGGGTTGTTAGGAGTCACGGGTGCCTCCCAGGGCCCCAGTGGTGTGAAGGTAGCCAGCCCAAAAGGGGCCAAAGATCCAAGGACCCACGGACCTTCTCTGTACTTTATGTTTCTGTTTATCTCTGGGTTAGGCTGACTTAATTTGCTATGTTACTTTTGCATGACAGGAGGTGGCCATTGGAGAGGGCATCCCAGATTGAGCTAGGATCTGTTGAGCCCAGTTCTGAGGGAAGGACTTGGCTTGGGCCAGATACGCACCCCAGTCAGTATCTGAGCCAACCTGGACAAATGTGGTTGCTGGTGATCAACCCCTACAGGTGAAAAGGACAGTCAAGTGGGTCATTGCGAACTGGGCAGGGCATTTCTTCCTCCTATTAATAATAATAATGGCCGGGTGGCCGGACGCGGTGACTCACGCCTGTAATCCCAGCACTTTGGGAGGCTGAGGCAGGTGGATCACAAGGTCAGGAGATCGAGACCATCCTGGCTAACACGGTGAAACCCCGTCTCTACTAAAATTACAAAAAATTAGCCAGGCGTGGTGGCAGGCGCCTGTAGTCCCAGCTACTCAGGAGGCTGAGGCAGGACAAGGACGTGAATCCGGGAGGCAGAGCTTGCAGTGAGCGGAGATCACGCCACTGCACTCCAGCTTGGGCGACAGAGCGAGACTCCGTCTCAAAATAATAATAATAATAATAATAATAATAATAATGGCCGGGCGTGGTGGCTCACGTCTGTAATCCCAGCACTTAGGGAGGCTGAGGTGGGCGGATCACCTGAGACCAGGAGTTTGAGACCAGCCTGGCCAACATGATGAAACCCCCGTCACTACTAAAAATACAAAAATTAGCCGGGTGTGGTGGCACATGCCTGTAATTCCAGCTACTCAGGAGGCTGAGGCAGGAGAATTGCTTGAACCCAGGAGGTGGAGGTTGCAGTGAGCCGTAATCATGCCACTGCACTCCAGCCTGGGCAACAAGAGCGAAACACTGTCTCAAAAAATAATAATAATAAATAATAATAATAATAATAGCTAAGACCCATATAGGGCTCACCATGGGCCAGCCACTTTAGTAAGCACCTTACATGTATTTAATCCTACAAAATGATTAACTTAATTAATCATTTAAATTAATCCTTACAAAAACTTGATGAAGTTTATCTTGTCCGTTGTGCAGATGAGGAAACTGAGGCACAGAGAGGTTAAACGACTGACCCAAAATCACACTTGAACTGGGCCAATCTGATACCAGGCCTGCTCTCTCAGCCACCATGCCATATTGCCTATTTTAGCCTCAGTCATATTTTTTTTTTTTTTTTGAGATGGAGTCTCGCTCTGTGTCACCCAGGCTGGAGTGCAGTGGCGCGCGATCTCGGCTCACTGCAAGCTCCGCCTCCCGGGTTCGCGCCAGTCTCCTGCCTCAGCCTCCCGAGTAGCTGGGACTACAGGCGCCTGCCAACACGCCCGGCTAATTTTTTTGTATTTTTAGTAGAGACGGGGTTTCACTGTGTTAGCCAGGATGGTCTCGATCTCCTGACCTCGTGATCCGCCCGCCTCTGCCTCCTAAAGTGCTGGGATTACAGGCATGAGCCACCGTGCCCGACCCGCCTCAGTCATATTTTTTACAATTCATCTGTTAGCCCATGTCTCTCAAAATAAAAAAAGATGAGGAAGGGGAAGTATTTGAGATGTGACATTTCACCAAAGCATTTAACAGCCAACAACGGAACACAGGGGCACTTTGCTGGCCATCTCCCTGTTTTTATTTTGACCCAGAGTTGAGGGAGAAGGCACTGCCACGTTCTCGGGGCATGTCAGGGTCTCGTGCAGCCCCAGGACACTCCCACTGGCCTGTGACCACCTGGGGCCGAGATCCGCAGCTGCTAGGCTGTTACCCTGCATCTGCATACAGCAGGTGCTGGATACCGTTTGTGGTTGCTGAGAAAATGTGTATCTCGCACTACAGCTTTCAAAGCACTTCCAAAGACAGGGAAAGAGATCAGTTAAAATATTGCCCCTGTGAAACCTTCAAGAAGGTAATTGATGGAAGGAATTCACACAAGGGAGGCCCGCAAAAGCTGAATAACCAGGCCTCACGGGAGCAGGAACCGCGGAATCATCGGAAAGCCTCCTCTCTCTTGTGTTTCTTCCTACCCTCTCTGTGAGCCTGTCCAGCCCCTGGCCTTCCTGACAGGCTGCCTCTGCTTCTGTGTCTGGCCCCGGGCCCCAATAGGCCACTTCAGCCCAGTTGCCCAGGGTGAAGTGGTCACCATCTGCTGGTTTTCCACCTCTAAATGTCGGGATAAGGGGTCTGAAGGGCCTGTGATCTCTTTTTTTTTTTTTTTTTTTTTGAGACAGAGTCTCGCTCTGTCACCCAGGCTGGAGTGCAGTGGCGCGATCTTGGCTCACTGCAAGCTCCGGCCTCCCAGGTTCACGCCATTCTTCTGCCTCAGCCTCCCTAGTAGCTGGGACTACAGGCGTCTGCCACCATGCTTGGCTAATTTTTTTTTTTTTTGTATTTTTTAGTAGAGATGGGGTTTCGCCGTGTTAGCCAGAACGGTCTCAATCTCCTGACCTCGTGATCCGCCTGCCTCGGCCTCCCAGAGTGCTGGGATTACAGGCGTGAGCCACCGCGCCCGGCATGGCCTGTGATTTCTATACAGCCAGGCCTCCCCAGTCTCAGGTTCCCAACCCCAGGCTCAAAGAGGAAAGTCATTTGCCCAAAGTCTTCCAGAGAGACGGCCTCAAAGCCAGGTTTCTGTATCAGTTCCATGGAGCTGCCGCCAACTAGGGGGCTTTAAACAACTACAAGAAATTTATTTTCTCATAGTTCTGGGGGCCAGAAGTCCAAGATCAAGATGTTGGCAGGCTGGTTCCTTCTGCGGGCTGTGGGGGAAGTGTCTGTTCCATGCCTCTCTCTGCTGGTGATCTTTGGCATTCCTTGGCTTGTAGACAGACACATCATCGCAATCTCTGCCTTCATGCTCAAGGCGTTCTCCCTGTGTGTCTGTGTCCAAACTTCCCCTTTTTATAAGGACACAGTCATCGGATCGGGGCCCACCCTGCTCCAGTATGACCTCATCTTCACTTATTACATCTGCAAAAACTTTATTTCCAAAAAAGGTCACATGCTGAGGGCTAGGACTTGTATTTTGGGAGCGCACAATCCAATCCATAGCAGAGCCCAAAGCCCACCACAGCAGTGCATGTGTTCTGCCCCCAGCCCGGCTGGTTCTCCGTAAGCACACCCTGCTCGCCGGGCCTCCATTCAGCCCCCAGGGCGTCGCTCACCCGGTTTTATCTGGGACAGGCATGGACCCAAGTCTGCCCTACTGTCCTCGAGCTCACACTAGAATATTCACAGGGAGCAGTCATGATTTCTGAGGCTCCACTCCGGGTGCCATGGGCGGGACCTGACTCGACTTTGCGCTGAGCACTTAGGACAGCTTTGTTCAGCCGGACGGCCCATTGTCTGTTTCCCAACCACGCTCCAGTTTCATCAGGCAATTTTAGAGGCATTAAACCTGAACAGCTCACAAAGGACTAATGAGTTTCATTCAGCGTGGATGACAATGACCCGTGAATCTGAGCTGGACAGTGTCCCCTCTGCCTGAGTGGTTTCACAATAGCAGTGGTTGACAGGTGGCTGGGTCCTGGGCCAGGGATTCAGGCAAGTAGTTTACTTCTCTCTTTATTCATTTTTTTCTATTTTGTTTGGCTAAAAATCTTAAGCAGATTTTACTCAGGGGTTAACTAGGCAAATCTCTCTCAAAGGTTAGTTGCAGCTGAGAAACCCTAGATCTGTATGAAAGTGGGAAAGCTGACTCATTTCTTTGACCATGACAGACACCACCAATCAATCGTGGACTCAACCCTGAAGGCCACAGGGGACTGGAATCCAGGCCTGTGTACATTAGATTCTGTGTTCATTTCATACCATTATTTGGTGACTTGCAGGATTTTTTTTTTTTTGAAACAGATTCTTGCTCTGTTGCCCAGGCTGGAGCACAGTGGCACCATCTTGGCTCACAGCAGCCTCTGCCTCCCGGGTTCAAGCAATTCTCCTGCCTCAGCCTCCCGAGTAGCTGGGATTACAGGGGTGCACCACCACACCCGGCTAACTTTTGTATTTTTAGTAGAGACTGGGTTTCACCATGTTGGCCAGGCTGGTCTCGAACTCCTGAGCTCAAGTGATCCACCTGCCTCGGCCTCCCAAAGTGCTAGGATTACAGGCGTGAGCCACGATGCCCGGCCTTTGTTTTTTTTTGTTTGTTTGTTTTTTGTTTTTGTTTTTTTTTTTTTGAGACAGGGTCTCGCTCTTTTGCCCTGGCTGGAGTGCAATGGTGTGATCATAGCTCACTGCAGCCTCAACCTTCCAACCTCAAGCAATCCTCCTGCCTCAGCCTCCCAAGTAGCTGAGACTATAGGCTTGCAGCACAGACTGGGCTAACATTTTTTGTTTGTTTAATAAACAAAACGTTTTTTGTTTCTCTAACATTTTTTGTTTAACAAACAAAATATTTTTTGTTTCTCTCACATTTTTTTTTGTTTTTTAGTAGAGATGGGGCTTCACTGTGTTGCTCAGGCTGGTCTTGAACTCCTGGGCTCAAGAGATGCTCCTTGCTGGGCCCGGTGGCTCATGCCTATAATCCCAGCAATTTGGGAGGCCGAGGCAGGTGGATTTCTCAAGATCAGGAGTTCAAGACCAGCCTGGTCAACATGGTGAAACCCCGTCTCTACTAAAAATACAAAAAAAACTAGCCGGGCATGGTGGCGGGTGCCTGTAATCCCAGCTACTTGGAAGGCTGAGGCAAGAGAATTGCTTGAACCCAGGAGGTGGAGGTTGCAGTGAGCAGAGATCACGCCATGGAACCCCAGCCTGGGCGACAGAGTTAGACTCCATCTCAAAAAAAAAAAAAAAGAGAGATCCTCCTGCCTCAGCCTCCCAAAGTGCTGGAATTATAGGTGTGAGCCACCATGCGCAGCCTGAGCACGGAGGCAACTCGCAGCTTTGAGTCTGTACTTGGTATTTACCTCTTTGAAAGGAGAAGTGCTAAAGGGGCCATCAATACATACTAATTCTAGCAGCCATGTCACTCTTACTTATCCCCAGGAAGAGATCAGCAAGCTAGAACATTTTTCTTGCCAGGGCTAAAAAAAAAAAAATTTTAAATCTATAGGGGTCTTCTGGGGTACCCCTATTTTTTTTTTTTTCAGACAGAGTCTCACTCTGTCACCAGGCCAGACTGCAGTGGCATAATCTCAGCTCGTTGCAACCTCTGCCTCCCGGGTTCAAGTGATTCTCCTGCCTCAGCCTCCCGAATAGCTCGGACGATAGGCACCTACCACCATGCCCAGCTAATTTTTGTATTTTTAGTAGAGACAGGGTTTCACCATGTTGGCCACCATGGTCTCTATCTATTGACCTCGTGATCCACCAGCTTCAGCCTCCCAAAGTGCTGAGATTACAGGCGTGAGCCATTACGACCAGCCCCACCCTGTCTCTTTTGCAGGTAGGGAGAACTAAGGCTCAAAGAAGGGAAGAAGAAGCCTTCCCCAAGACCACACGGGTGACAGATGGCAAAACCAGGTTCGGCATTCCTGGCCCCCCAGCTCAGACCTCCCCCAACTGATCTCCTCCTTTTTTCCTCTGGCCTCTGATGGAGCCTGCCAAAGGCCTGTGTATTTCTCACCTGCCTGCTTATCATCTAAGTTAGTGGTGACAAGTCCCTGGGGAGGTTCATTTTCCTCCTGTTCCATCTGCCCCAGCCCCTTGAAACCCTGCTGCGCACTCTGCCTTGCTCCCTGATGATGTGTGCTGTTGCTTCCACCAGCTCTTGGGAGTTCTGCAACTTTCCACACCTTTCCTGGTGCTTTCTCTGGGCCTCCCTCCTGGTGTCACCATCCTCAGCCCTAGAGAAGGCTCTGAGCCTTGTCCCTTGCCCTGGTTCCACTGCAGCCATTTCCCTGGAGCCCCTCTGGCTCAGGTTCGCACTCCCTTCCCCCTTGCTCCACCACCTTCAGCTGCCCGATGCTGGCAAATCTTCCCATTGGCCAATTGCCTGGGGCAAGCCCAGCAAAGAGTGCAGACAAACCCCCTGGTGGCCACAAAACAATGTGGCCATAACAAGTCTAGGAACTCTTTAAAAAAATTTTTTTTTTCAAAAATGATATATTTTTGGCCAGGCTCTCACGCCTGTAACCCCAGCACTTTGGGGAGCCGAGGCAGGCGGATCACTTGAGGTCAAGAGTTCAAGACCAGCATGGACAACATGGAGAAACCCTGTCTCTACTGAAAATACAAAAATTATCCAGGCATGGTGGTGGGCGCCTGTAATCCCAGCTACTCAGGAGGCTGAGGCAGGGGAATTGCTTGAACCCAGGAGTCAGAGATTGCAGTGAGCCGAGATGGTGCAACTGCACTCCAGCCTGGGCAACAGAGCAAGACTCCATCTCAACGAGAAAAAAGAGAGACTTTTTTACTTGGAAAAATAAGAAGATACAGATAAATTAAAAAGCCAATAATAATCAGTTCAAGAATATTAATTAGGTACATACTATAGTCTAAACACTATGTACTTAGCTTATTTGGTCCTCAAAATAAGAGAAATTCTATAGGGCAATGACATAGTGTCTTCAACAAATAAATGGCAAGAAAAAAATGTGAAAGGGGGATAGTATTTTGGATGAAAAGAGACTTAAAAGGATTATGGACTGTAGAGAAACAGGCAGATGGATGGAGGACAGAACAGCTGCAGTAATGGGTTAATAGCTGCGTCTAGGGGCTTATTCAGGTGCTCGCTGTAGAATTCATTCCCGTTTGCTGTAGATTGAAAATTGACCTAATAAAATGCTGGGGTTTGGAGGAGGATCTATCAGCCGAACATAATGTGAGGGCTTTGTGGATCTTGATTGAAACAAATCACATGTAAAAAGACATTTATGGGATAATGGAGGATGAATGAACAGTGATTAGATATTAGATGTTATTAGGAAATTGCTTAGAAAAATTATACGTACGTGTATTAATGATATCATAGAAATTTTTTAATTTTTAACAGAGTCTCCAGGCTTGGGATTTGCTTGAAAATAACCAGTAGGGATGAGGCTGGGGAGGTAGAGATGAAACAAGATTGGCAATTCACTGATAATTGTTGAAGATGGGTGCTGGATAATGGAGGTTCATTAACTATTCCTTCTTCTTTTGTCAACAGCTGAAAATTCTGATAATAAAAAATTAAAACCTGGGCAACATGGCGAAACCCTCTCTCTACAAAAAACACAAAAATTAGCGGGGCATGGTGGCGTGTGCCTGGAACCCCAGCTGCTTGAGGGGCCGAGGTGGGGGGATCACTTGAGCCTGGAAGATAGAGGCTGCAGCGAGTTGTAATCAAGCTGTGATCATGCCACTATGCTCCAGTGACAGAATGAGACCCTCTCTCAAAAAACAAAACAAAACAAAACAAAACAAAACAAAAAAAAACTATGAGGTAGGCGCTATTATTTTGCAGCCGAGGACACTGAAATGAGGTCTAGAGGTGTCGAGTAATTTACCCAAGATTCCCTCTGTCACCACATCCCTGAATGTAGATTAAAAAAAAAAAAAATTCCTGCCTGTCATCCCATCACCTCCTCTTAACATCTTGATGGAGATCCTTCTAGATCTATGCATATAAAAGGACTTTAAATGGCTAGAAAATGTACATACTGCATGAGTCTACCCTTGTGCACCACCAATGACGCTAGTGTGTCCTTGAGCATAAATTTCTGATGTAGAGCTACGAAAAGGAAGTAACACATACGGAGCGCCTGTTCTGAGCTAAGCACTCTCACTGCACCACTTAGAAGAGCCTCATTAATCCTCCGGCAACTCTGGCAGGTGAGCACCATGGTCTCCATTTTTACAGAGAAGGAAGCAAACTCAGGAAGGAGAACTGCCTTGCCCAAGGTCACAGCGCTAATAATTGATGTAGAGTCAAGGGTTGGTGATGGGACTTGACTTTATTAAACACCTGCTTCTCCTCTTGACTGTAACCTTCAGGAAGGCGGCCATCTTGTCTGCTTTCTTGGGCCTGTTGTCCTGGAGCCTGAACAGGATTAATAAATATTCCTGGCCGGATGCGGTGGCTCACGCCTGTAATCCCAGCACTTTGGGAGGCTGAGGCGGGCGGATCACGAGATCAGGAGATGGAGACCATCCTGGCTAACACGGTGAAACCCCGTCTCTACTAAAAATACAAAAATTAGCCGGGCGTGGTGGCAGGCGCCTGTAGTCCCAGCTACTCGGGAGGCTGAGGCAGGAGAATAGCGTGAACCGGGGAGGCGGTGTTTGCAGTGAGCTGAGATCGCACCACTGCACTCCAGCCTGGGCGACAGAGCGAGACTCCATCTCAAAAAAAAAAAAAAAAAAGATTATTTGAATGAACAAAGGCACTAAAAAAGAGCTCTAGCTGGGATTTGAACGTCCTTCCTCCAATCTAATAGCATACTAGGAGTCCTTTCTAAAGAACTGTGGTAAAACACACATAAGAAAATTTACCATCTTGAGCATTTTAGGTGTACGGTTCAGTGGCATTAGATACATTCACACTGTCATGCAACCGTAAGTACCTTCCATCTCCAGAACTTTTCTCATCTTGCAAAACTGAAATTCCATGCCCGTGAAACAGTAAGTTCCCATTCGCCCATCCTGTAGCCCCTGGCAATCACCATTCTACTTTCTGTCTCCATGAATTTTTTTTTTTTTTTTTTTTTTAAATAAGAGACAGTCTTGCTCTGTCACCTGGGCTGGAGTGCAGTGACACAATCTCGGCTCACTGCAACCTCTGCCTCCCGGGTTCAAGCAATTCTCCTGCTTCGGCCTCCTGAGTAGCTGGGATTACAGGTGCCCTGGGATTACACCACGCCTGGCTAATTATTTTTTGAGATGGAGTCTCGCTCTATTGCCCAGGCTGGAGTGCAGTGGCGCGATCTCAGCTCACTGCAACCTCTGCCTCCTGGGTTCAAGCGATTCTCTTGCCTCAGCCTCCTGAGTAGCTGGGACTACAGGCGCGTGTCACCACGCCTGGCTAATTTTTTTTGTGTTTTTTTTTTTTTTTTTAGTAGAGATGTGGTTTCACCGTGTTAGCCAGGATGGTCTCGATCTCCTTACCTCATGATCCGCCTTCCTCGGCCTCCCAAAGTGCTGGGATTATAGGTGTGAGCCACTGCGCCTGGCTATAATTTTTTTATTTTTAGTAGAGACGGGGTTTCATCATGTTAGGATGGTCTCGATCTCCTGATCTCATGATCTGCCCACCTTGGCCTCCTAAAGGGCTGGGATTATGGATGTGAGCCACCGCACCCAGCCTCCATGAATTTGATTACACTGCCTACCTCATGTCAGTGGAATCATACAGTACATAGCTTTTTGCGACTGGAGTATTTCCCTTAGTACAATGTCCTCATGGTTCACTTATGATGTAGCATGAGTCTGAATTTCCCTCCTTTTTATGGCTGAAGAATATCCCATTGTATGGATAGACCAGAATTTGTTTATCCATTTGTCCATCAATGGACAGTTGGGTTGTTTCCACCTTTTGGCTTATTGCGAATGCTGCTGCCATGAACATGGGGGTACAAATATGTCTTGGAGTCTCTGTTTGCAATTCTTGTTGTTATATACCCAGAAGGGGATTGCTGGGTCATGTGGCACTTCTGTTTTTCTAGGCACTTCTTTTAATTAATTTTTTTTTTGAGACAGATTCTCATTTTGTCACCCAAGCTGAAGTACAGTGGCACAACCATGGCTCACTACAGCGTCGACCTCCCAGGCTCAAGTGATCCTCCCATTTCAGACCCTCAAGTGCCTGGGAGTACAGGTGTGTACCATCACACCCGGCTAGTTTTATTTTTATTTTTTGTAGAGGTGAGGTTGTTGCCTAAGCTGGTCTCAAACTCCTGGGCTCAAGTGATCTTCCTGCTTCAGTCTCCCAAAATGCTGGGATTACAGGCATGAACCACCTCACCCAGCCTGAGTTAATTTTTATTCCGTATTTTTTGCCTAACCATAGCTTTTCTGTTGCCATGTTTTTTGTCATTTTGATGACCACACATGGGTCTCAGGAGGTTGAATGATTCCTGTAGTCTTTGTGGAAGCTGCCCCTCCTCTAGGAACCTCCTTCCTGTCTGTCCCTGGTGGTGAGTCCTGCTTCAGGGACTCAACTCATCCTTCATGACTCCAAGGACTAGCTGAGACTTCTGGGTAACACCTGGGATTCCCCTTCCTGCCCACTTCCTGTTTGACATTACTCAATGGTTTGGGCCATCACGTGTTGAATGTTCCCTTTCCAGGGAGGACAACAGCTTCTGTCCCTTTTTTTTTTTTTTTTCACTTTGTCACCTGGGCTGGAGTGCAGTGGTGGTGTGATCATGGCTCATTGCAGCCTCAACTTACCAGGCTCAAGCAATCCTCCCACCTCAGCCTCCCAAGTAGCTGGGATTATAGGTGTGTGCCACGATGCCCAGATAATTTGTAAAATTTTTTTGTAGAGACAGGGTCTCCCTATGTTGCCCAGGCTGGTCTTGAACTCCTGGCCTCAAGGAATCTTCCCACCTTGGCCTCCCAAAGAGTTGGGATTATAGATGTAAGCCACCGTGCTCGGCAACTTCTGTCTCTTGCTCTCTACTCTCTCCTTCCCCGTTTATTTCACATTCTCTCACTAATGTTGCATGAATAAATGTTATTGAAGTAATTAAGTAATTACCTCCTCTCCTGGGGGTTGTTTCCAACTTTTTAATATAAGTAACAATGCAACAACAAAAAGAGGTAATTTTTTTCCCCTATACTCATGAATCATTTTCTTAAGATAAATTTCTAAGAGTGGGAGAACGCATCACTGCACTTGTGGGAGCAGGAGGAAATTTTAAAAAATGGCAGATTGGGCAAAATTTATCCAATAAAGGAGCTGGAAGGAAGTGCACGGTGTCAAGGGAACATGGTTGTTGAAGGAGCGCTTTCCCACCATCGTCACTAGGAGCTTTCCTTCCCATTTCACAAACAGATCCTACAGTGGGCTGAATGTTGGTTTCCCCCTCAAAAGATATGCCCACTCAGAATCTGTGAATGTGGCCTTATTTGGAAAAAGGGTCTGAGCAAATGGAATTAAGTGAAGGACCTCAAGATAAATCATCTTTGGATGGACTCTAAATCTGATGACAAGTTATTAGAAGAGCAGGGGAAACAAGACCGAGGCCCAGGGAAGAAGGCAAAGGAAGACAGAGGCAGAGCCAGGAGTGATGTGTCCACAACCAAGGAATCCAAGGCCCCCGGAAGCTGGGAGAGAGGCGTCGAGTGGTTTCTCCCTCAGTGCCTCCAGAAGAAACCAACCCTGCTGACAACTTTGTTTATTCTTTTTAAAAATTTTTTTAAATGTTTAGTTTTCATTTTTTTGGATACATATTAGGCATATATATTTATGGGTTATATGAGATATTTTGATACAAGCATAAAATGTGTAATAATCACATCAGGGTTTTTTCCATTTAAAGCTGTGCTATAGTGACTTTATGTGTATTTTTTCTATACAAGCATTTTTTAACTAATATTTATTTATTTATTTTTAATTTTTTATTTCCATAGATTTTTGGGGAACAGGTGGTACTTGGTTTCATTAGTAAGTTCTTTAGCGGTAATTTGTGAGATTTGGTGCACCCATCACTGGAGCAGTGTACAATGAACCCAATTTGTGGTCCCCAAAGTCCACTGTATCGTTCTCTTTTTCTTTCTTGAGGCGGAGTCTCGCTCTGTCGCCCAGGCTGGAGTGCAGTGGTGTGATCTCGGCTCACTGCAAGCTCCGCCTCCTGAGTTCAAGCAATTCTCCTGCCTCAGCCTCCCGAGTAGCTGGGACTACAGGTGCCCGCCACCATGCCCGGCTAATTTTTTTGTATTTTTAGTAGAGTTGGGGTTTCACCCTGTTAGCCAGGATGGTCTCGATCTCCTGACCTCGTGATGCACCTGCCTCGGCCTCCCAAAGTGCTGGGATTATAGGCGTGAGCCACCGTGCCTGGCCCACTGTATCATTCTTATGCCTTTGCATCCTCATAGCTTAGCTCCCACTTATGAGTGAGAACGTATGATATTTGGGTTTCAATTCTTGAGTTACTTCACTTAGAATAATGACCTCCAGTCTCATCCAGGTTGCTGTGAATGCCATTAATTCATTCCTTTTTATGGCTGAGTAGTATTCCATCATATATATATATATATATATATATATATATATATATATACACACACACACATATATACACACACACATATATATACCACATATATATACCACATATATATACTGTATATATATATGTGGTATATATATATACGGTATATATATGTGGTATATATATATATGGTGTATATATATGTGGTATATATATATATATACCACAGTTCCCTTGTCTACTTGTTGATTGATGGCCATTTGGTTACACATTTTTGCAACTGCAAATTGTGCTGTTATAAACATGCATGTGCAAGTATCTTTTTTGTATAATGACTTTTTTTTGTTTTTCGAGACAGAGTTTTACTCTTGTTGCCCAGGCTGGAGTGCAATGGCATGATCACAGCTCACTGCAGCCTCTGCCTCCCGAGTTCAAGTGGTTCTCCTGCCTCAGCCTCCCAATTAGCTGGGATTACAGGCATGTGCCACCATGCCCAGCTAATTTTGTATTTTTAGTAGAGATGGGGTTTCTCCATGTTGGTCAGGTTGGTCTTGAACTCCCGACCTCAGGTGATCCACCCGCCTTGGCCTCCCAAAGTGCGGGGATTACAGATGTGAGCCACCACTCCCATCCGTATAATGACTTCTTTTCCTCTGGGTAGATATCCAGGAGCGGAATTGCTGGATCAAATGGTAGATCTACTTTCAGTTCTTTTTTTTTGAGATGGAGTTTTGCTCTTGTTGCCCAGGCTGGAGTGCAATGGCGTGATCTCAGCTCACTGCAACCTCCTCCTGGATTCAAGTGATTCTCCTGCCTCAGCCTCCCAGTAGCTGGGATTACAGGACTGCGCCACCACAGTTGGCTGATTTTTTTGTTTTTTGTTTTAGTAGAGATGCGGTTTCTCCATGTTGGTCTCGAACTCTCAACCTCAGGTGATCCGCCTGCCTTGGCCTCCCAAAATTCTGGGATTACAAGCGTGAGCCACTGCGCCCGGCCTTACTTTTGTTCTTTAAGGAATCTCCACACTGTTTTCCATGGTTATATTAGTTTAGTATAACTATGTTTTCCATGGTTATACTAGTTTACATTCCCTCCACCTGCTGACAACCTGATTCGGATTTGTGGCCTCCTGACTTGTGAGAGAATACATTTTTGTTACCTGAAGGCATAAAGTTTGTGGAATTTTGTTCCGGCAGCCTCGGGACTCTCCTATAGTCCTCATCCCTGCAGCCCCTGCCAGAAGAATGCGGCCACCGCTACAGGTGCCAGCTGGACTCACCCTTGGGGCAGGCAAGATGCTTCCTGGTGATGAGTGCCCCACCCTTCGGAGGGAAACACTGGAGCCTGCAGGGCAGAGGACAAGCCTCAGGCCATCGGGGAGAGCAGAGCATGAAACGGGGTGGTGGCAGCCTCTGGCACGGTACTTGGGAAACTAAAATTAGACTATTTTCATATGCCACACACAAATGAATTCCGGGCGGATGGAGGCCAAAATGTGGGAAACAACACTTGAAAATATTTAGTAGAAAATGTAAGACAATATTTCCATAACCTTGGTATAGGGAGGCATTTCTTAAACAAGATGAGCCTTGAAGCTTGAAGCATTTGACTATATTAAAATTACAGAAAAAAAACCCCTGAACATCAAAGGGTACCATAAACAAGTAAAAAGACAAGCTCTAGACCAGCACAAAAGTCTAGCAATGCAAATTAGTAACCAGGATTTACAAAGAAGCCCTGCAAATCGATATGCATGATCAACTCTCAACTCCAACTGCAAAATGGGCAGATATGAATAGGGAATTGCCCAAAGCAGAAGCAATAAGATATGAAAAGATTTTCAATCTAGTCTGGGTGTGGTGAGATCATGCTTGTAATCCCAACACGTAGGAGGCTCAGACAGGAGGACTGCTTGAGCTCAGGAGTTTAAGACCAACCTGGGCAACACAGCAAGACCCTGTCTCTACAAAAACTTTTTTTTTTAAATTAAGTGGGCATGGTGGTGCGCGCCTGTGGTCCCAGCTGCTTGGAAGGTGGAGACAGGAGGATGGCTTGAGCCTGGGAGGTCGAGGCTGCAGGGAGCCATGATTGTGCTATTGCACTCCAGCCTGGGTGACAGATCAAGACCCTGTCTCAAAAACAAAAAATGATTCTCGACCTCACTAAAAAGTATTAGGGGGTACAAATTAAACGACAGTGATACTCCATTGCATCTTCATCAGATTGATAGAAAATAAAAAGTTTGACACAGCCAAAGACCGGTGAGAACTGGAGAGGCCTCGCTGGCAGATGGACATCAGCAGTGGAAGTACTTCCTTCACCTGGTCTTATGGACTGAACTGTGGCCCCCAAATTCAAATGGTGGAGATCTATCCCTCGGCACCTCAGAATGAGACCATATTTGGAAATAGGGCCTTGAAGAGGTAGTAATTAAGGTAAAATAAAGCCGTATGGGTGGGTTCTGATCCTGACATGTGTCCTAATAAGAAGAGGAATTAGGACACAGACACACAGAGGGAAGACCACGTGAAGACAGAGGGTGAAGGGGCCATCTGCAAGCCAGGGAGAGAGGCCTCAGGAGCAGCCAACCCTGCCCACATCGTATTATTATTATTATTTTTTTAAACAGAGTCCCACGCTGTTGCCCAGGCTGGAGTGCAGTGGCGTGATCTCGGCTCACTGCAACCTCTTCCTCCCGAGTTCTAGAGGTTCTTGTTCCTCAGCCTCCCGAGTAGCTGGGATTACAGGCTACTCAAGCACGCACCACCACGCCTGGCTAATTTTTGTATTTTTAGTAGAGACAGGGTTTCACCATGTTGGCCAGGGTGGTCTCAACTCCTTAGCCTCATGTGATCCACCTGCCTCGTCCTCCCAAAGTGCTGAGATTACAGGTGTGAGCCACCACGCCCAGCCCCCTGCCCACACCTTCGACCAAAACGGTGAGAAAAGAAATTTCCGGTGTTTAAGACACCTAGTCTGTGGTATTTTATTATGGCAGCTCTTGTCAACTAACACACCTTGTAAAGTTAACAATGTTCAAATAATCTTCCCTGCAATTTAGCTCTTACATATAAATGTTAGGCCTTTGTTACTCAAACTGTGATTCCTGAACTGGTAGCATCCACGTCAACTGCAAGCTCCTTAGAAATGCAGAATCTTGGCCCCACGCGGACCTCCTGAATTGGAGCCCGCATTTTAACTTTGACTTTTTGTTTAGTTTTGTTTGTTTTTGAGACTGAGATTCACTCTTTTCACCCAGCCTGGAGTGCAATGGCACCATCTCAGTTCACTGCAACCTCCGCCTCCCAGGTTCAAGTAATACTGCCTCAGTGTCCCAAGTAGCTGGATTTTACAGGTGCCTACCACCACACCAAGCTAATTTTTATACTTTTAGTAGAGGTGGGGTTTTGCCATGTTGGTTAGGCTGGTCTTGAACTCCTGACCTCAGGTGATCCACCCGCCTCGGCCTCCCAAAGTGCTGGGATTATAGGCGTGAGCCACCACGCACTTTTTTTTTTTTTTTTTTTTTTTTTTTTTTAAAAAGAGATGCGGTCTTGCTGTGTAGCCCGGGCTGCCAGGCTGGAGTGCAGTGGCTATTCACAGGTGTCATTGAGCTGTAAAGCCTCGAATTCCTTGGCTCAAATAATCTTCCCACCTCAACCTAACTTCGACTTTTAGCTAGTGATTCTTTTTCTCAAACTTTATTTATTTATTTACTTATTTTTTAATTCTTTGAGACAGAGTCTCACTCTGTCACCCCGGCTGGAGCGCAGTGCTGCGATCGATCTCGGCCCACTGCAACCTCCACTTCCTGCCTCAAGCCATCCTCCAGCCTCAGTCTCCCCAGGTAGCTGGGACCACAGGTGTGAGCCACCATGCCCAGTTCATTGTTGTATTTTTTATAGAGATGCGGTGTCACTATGTTGCACAAGCTAGTCTCAAACTCCTGAGCTCAAGGCGATCAGCCCACCTCACCTCCTAAGGATTACAGGTGCAAGCCACCACACCAGGCCTTTTCTCAAACTTTAATATTCACACACATCACCTGGGGGTCTTGTCAAAATGCAGATTCTGTCAAAGCACTATTCACAATAGCAAAGACATGCAATCAACCTAGATGCCCATCAACAGTGGACTAAATAAAGAAAATGTGGGCCTGGCGCGGTGACTCATGCCTGTAATCCCAACACTTTGGGAGGCCGAGGCGGGCAGATCACCTGAGGTCGGGAGTTTGAGACCAGCCTGACCAACATGGAGAAACCCTGTCTCTACTAAAAATACAAAATTAGCCGGGCGTGGTGGCACATGCCTGTAATCTCAGCTATTTGGGAGGCTGAGGCAGGAGAATTGCTTGAACCCGGGAGGCAGAGGTTGCAGTGAGCCGAGACGGTGCCATTGCACTCCAGCCTGGGTAATAAGAGCGAAACTCTGTCTCAAAAGAAAAAGAAAAAGAAAAAAAAAGAAAACGTGGTACACATGCACCATGGAATACTATGCCACCATAAAAAACAACAAAATCAGGCCCGGCGCGGTGGCTCACACCTGTAATCCCAGCACTTTGGGAGACCAAGGTGGGCAGATCACGAGGTCGGGAGATGGAGACCATCCTGGCTAACACGGTGAAACCCTGTCTCTACTAAAAATGCAAAAAATTAGCCGGGTGTGGTGGTGGGCATCTGTAGTCCCAGCTACTCGGGAGGCTGAGGCAGGAGAACGGCGTGAACCCGGGAGGCGGAGCTTGCAGTGAGCCGAGATTGCACCACTGCACTCCAGCCTGGGCGACAGAGGGAGACTCCATCTCAAAAAAAAAAAAAAAAAAAAAAAAAAAGAACAAAATCATGTCCTTTACAGCAACATGGGTGGAGCTGGAGGCTATTATCCTAAGCGAAGTAATGCAGAAGTAGAAAACCAAATACTGCATGTTCTTATGAGTGGGAGCTAAACATTGAGTACACATGGACATAAGGAAGGAAACAACAGACACCAGTTCCTACTTGAGGGTGGAGGGTGGGAGAAGGGTGAGGATTGAAAAACTACCTGTCACTTATTATGCTAATTACCTGAGTGACAAAAATCATCTGTACACCAAACCTCCAAGACACAAAATTTACCCATGTAACAAACTTGCACATGTACCCCTTGAACCTAAAATAAAAGTTACAAAGAAGTCCGGGTGTGGTGGCTCACGCCTGTAATCCCAGCACTTTGGGAGGCTGAGGCGGGCAGATTGCCTGCAGTCAGGAGTTCAAGACCAGCCTGGCCAACACGGCGAAACCCCGTCTCTACTAAAAAATACAAAAATTAGCCAGGTGTAGTGGCGCACACTATAGTTCCAGCTATTCAGGAGGCTGAGGTAGGAGAATCGCTTGAACCTGGGAGGCGGAGGTTGCAGTGAGCCAAGATTGTGCCACTGCACTCCAGCCTGGGCAACACGGTAAGACTCCATCTCTAAAAAAAAAAAAAAAATTGGAAGGAAAAAAAGAAATAAAACAAAATGCAGATTCTGGTCTGGAAGGTCTGGGGCGGGGCTGAGACTGGGCATTTCTCACAAGCTCCTGGGGCTGCTGCTGGTCTGAGAAACGTACTTGGAGGCACAAGGAACAAAGCCACCATCCTCCACCCAGCCCTGACTGCACGCTGTGACAGAGGACTGTACCTGGGCCTCCCAAAGGCTAATTAAATGAGACTCCCTGGGTTGGGGACTGGGCTTTGGCATTTTTTAAAAGCTCTCAGAAGATTCTAAAGTGCTGCTGAGATTGGGAAGTGCTGTCTTAGAGCTGTGAGTCACCTGGGAGGCCCCCAAAGCTCACAGGGGCTCGGGCATCTTGGGGCAGACTACGACATGGCCATTGTAGTTTCCTCTAGTTCCCAGATGAACCCATGTGCCCTCCCCGCTGCCACAACTTTTGAGAGCCACTCTAGAGCAGTGGTTCTCAAACTTGAGCTTGCATCAGAACCCCTGGAGGACCCCTGAAAACACAGATTGCCAGGCCCCGCCCAACAGTGTCAGCAGGTCTGAGCTGCAGCCTGGAAATGTGCTTTGCTAACAAAATCCTAGCTGCTGCTGCTGCTGCCGCCGGCCCGAGGACCACACTGTGGCAACAAGCTCTCGGATGCTGCTTGAATCAGTGCCCAAAGAGACTGTTTCAAATATTCACTGAAGCGTTTTTGAACGTTAAAAAATGAGAAATCATCCATGTGGCCATTGTTATGGGTTGAATGGTGTCCTCCCCACTAAAGATGTGGAAATCCTAAGCAGAGTATCTGTGAATGTGATCTTATTTGGAAACAGGGGGCTGGACGCAGTGGCTCATGCCTGTAATCCCAGCACTTTGGGAGACCGAGGCAGGCAGATCACCTGAGGTCAGGAGTTCGAGAAACATACAGTGCTAGGTGGTGAAACCCCACCTCTATTAAAAAAATTAAAAAATTAGCCAAGTGTGGTGGTGCGTGCCTATAATCCCAGCTACCCAGGAGGCTGAGGCAGGAGAATTGCTGGAACCCAGGAGGTGGAGGCTGCGGTGAGTTGAGATCCCACCACAGCACTCCAGCTTGGGTGACAGAGGGAGATTCCGTCTCAAAAAAAAAAAAAAAAAAAAAATTAGCCCAGCTTGGTGGCGGATGCCTGTAATTCCAGCTACTCAGAAGGCTGAAGTATGAGAATTGCTTGAACCCGGGAGGCGGAAGTTGCAGTGAGCTGAGATGGCACCACCGCACTCCAGCCTGGGCAACAGAGTGAAACTGTGTCTCAAAAAAAAATAATAAAAAAAAAATAGGCAATAGGGTATTTGGAGGTGATCAAGTTGAGTCATTAGGATAGGCCCCAATTCAATATGCCTGGTGTCCTTATGAAAAGGGAAATTTTGGACACAGAGACAGAAATGCATAGAAGGAAACGACTGACAGGCTCAGGGGGGATGCCATTTCCAGGCCAGGGAATGGCTGAGGCTACCTACTGGAACCCAGGGGAGGCGTGAAACAGATCCTCTCTCGCTGCCCGCAGAAAGAAGCAGTGCTGCCGGCACCTGACTGCAGTCTTCAGCCTCCGGAACTGCAAGGCAGCACGCCGTTGTTGCTCGGGCCACCCAGTGTGTGGTAGTCTGTTACGGTTGCCCTGGGAAACCAACACAGCCATCTCCCAATGAATGACTCGTTAATTATGGTCCAACCCACCCCATGGAATACCCTAGGACAGTGGAAGTGACCCACAGAGGCAACAGGCAGGGTGACCCAGGCAGGATGATACCACTTACATAATGCTCCATCTGGTTACTGCAAACATGAGCGAGTATTAACAATATAAAAACACGCACACAGGGAGGGGAACATCACACACCGGGGCCTATCGGGGGGTCGGGGGCTAGGGGAGGGATAGCAATAGGAGAAATACCTAACGTAGATGACAGGTTGATGCGTGCAGCAAACCACCATGGCACGTGTATACCTATGTAACAAACCTGCACGTTCTGCACAGGTACCTCAGAACGTAAAGTATAATAAAAATAAATAAATGAATAATTTAAACAAACAAAAACATGCACGGGAAGAGAAATACCAGGTTTTATCTGGAGAGTGGTGACACGTCCCTTGAGAGAGAAAACCTGGATGTAAAAGAACCCCTTGAAATCAGGGGTTTCCGCTGTATTCTATAATGTTGTGTTTCTTGGAAAGGATTGAAAAGAATTAGATAGAATTCATTTGATTAACAAATACTATTTCAGTGCTTACTGAGTTGGGGCAGGGCTTAGCCCCATGCACAATTGCATCCAAGAATCCAGGGTTTTGCTCTGTTGCCCAGGCTGGAGTGTAGTGATGTGATCACAGCTTACTGCAGCCTTGACACTCCCCCACCACTTTCCCGCCCCCCACCCCCACCCCGCCACTTCCCTGCCTCCCCCCCGCCCTCCCTCCCCCCGACCCAAGTACCTAGACTCCTGGGTTCAAACAACCCTCCTGCCTGGGTCTCCCAAAATGCTGAGATGACAGGCATAAGCAACTGTGCTGGGCCAGGAAATGCTTCTCAATTCAAGATCCCTCTCTAGGAACATACCACTGCCTTCTCCTCTCCAAACAATGTGTTTTTCCACACATAAGGTGAGTTTCAGAAAGCAGCAGTCTACTCACGTTTGCAAGCACACACACACACACACACACACACACACACACACTTCAAAAAGAACAACACAACAAAGCAATTTTCTCGCCGCACTTTTTTTTTTTCCGTAAAGAAGCAGACAATTCAGATCCCTCTTTCGCATCATGGTAATAGAAAAGAACAAAAACACACCAAAGAAAGAAGCCGACAGCAAGACAACCAGGCATTTCCACTGAACAAGACATGCAAATCCCGGAACCTGCAGACCCTGAAGGCCCATGAGGAAATGCAAAGAATAAACAAACTCATGGGAAATCATTCAATGAGCGTGGCCAGGATCCCCACCCCCACGTATACCAGGAGAACCAGGGCAGGGTTGCTTCTCGGGAGCTGAAGTGGGCTCTGAGGGTCCCTGCCTGAGCTGTCAGCTCAGAAAGCCAAGAAAGAGGCAAGCCCTGGAAAAACTGCACTTGCTCTATGGAGCAAGTCACCGTCAGAGGCCAGGAGGCTGGGGTGTGGGTATGAGACCAGGCAGAAGGAGGTTGGCCAGGGGATCCCCCGTGATGGTCTCAGAGACAGACCATTTGTGAGTGCCCAGCAATGAGGCAGTAGACTAGCAATGAAACTGAGATTTAAGCACCATTTTATTCTATTTGTAATTTCTTTCTTTTTTTTTCCTGTTTATTTTTTTTTGAGACAGTCTCACTCTGCTGCCCAGACTGGAGTGCAGCAGCGCAATCTCAGCTCACTGCAACCTCCACCTCCCAGGTCCAAGCGACTCTCCTGCCTCAGCCTCCCAAGTAGCTGGGACTACAGGCATGCACCACCAGACCTGGCTAATTTTTTGTATTTTCAGTAGAGATGGGGTTTCACCATATTGCCTAGACTGGTCTCGAACTCCTAAGCTCAAGCCGTCTGCCTGCCTCTGCCTCCCACATCTATTTGCAATGTTTTGAATAACACCCAAGGCCAAGAAGATGCAGTGGAACTGGACGATGAAATTTACATGCAAGCAGGAGCTGAACCATCCTTTAATTCACTCAGCGTCTGTTTAGTGAGCACCTACCATGTGCCAGCCTGATGCCAGGCACGAGGAAGCTGTGTGATGAAGGGCTCACATGGTGTCCATGTGTGGGGCATCCGGGTCCCTGGCATTTGGCAGCCTCTGATTTGCCACTTGTGTTTAGCAGCCGTGGGTACAAAGTAGGGGGCCCAGAGTCTGTGCAGCTGCCCTTTAATCCAGTCGGCTCATTTACCACGCACAGCAAGTCTCTGGGCAGAGGCAGCATTATTTGCCTTTTACTAGGAAGACCAGCTTGTTCTGATTTGCCTGGGTCTTGCCTGGTTTTAGCACAGAAAGTCCCACATCCTGGGGACCCCCTTAAGCTGAGAAAACAGGGACAATTGGTCACTCTGCATTTTCCAGATGAGGAAACAAGGTTAGGGAGGTAAAGGGATTGGACCGAGGCTAATTTGCTGAGTAAGGGTTGAAAGCCAGGCCATTGGGTTTTGTAGTGGCCTAGGAGGGGAAGACAGACAAATCAAAGACCATGCGCCACCTCAAGGAAGCCCCCAGTGTGTTATTTTTGATGAAAGTAGCTGATGCTCAGTGCTGGTCAGGACTGGTGAGTGAGGCAGGACCAGGCGGACCCTGTGTCAGTATCGAGCTGACTGTCTCCTTGGAAAAGCAATTTGGCAACTCGTATTAATGCTGTGAAATTGTTCATACTCTTTGACTGAATAAGAGTATGCTTGGACACCTATTCTAATGAAATTATCCTTTTCTTTCTTGTCAAAAAGCTATCAGAGGCCAGGCGTGATGGCTCACACCTGCAATCCCAGCACTTTGGGAGGCTGAGGCAGGCGGATGACTTGAGGTTAGGAGTTCGAGACCAGCCTGGCCAACATGGTGAAACCCCATCTCCACTAAAAATATAAAAAAAATTGGCTGGGCGCGGTGGCTCACACCTGTAATCTCAGCACTTTGGGAGGCCAAGGCGGGCGGATCACAAGGTCAGGAGTTTGAGACCAGCCTGGCCAATATGGTGAAACCCCGTCTCTACTAAAAATACAAAAATTAGCCGGGTGTGGTGGTGGGTGCCGGTAGTCCCAGCTACTTGGGAGGCTGAGGCAGAAGAACCTCCAGGAAGCGGAGGTTGCAGTGAACTGAGATTGTTCTACTGCACTGCAGCCTGGGTGACAGAGCGAGACTCAGTCTCAAAAAAAAAATTATATATATATATATAAAAATTAGCCAGTCATGGTAGTGTGTGCCTATCATCCCAGCTACTCGGGAGGCTGAGGCAGGAGGATCACCTGAGCCCAGGAGGTAGAGGCTGCACTGAGCCAAGATGGTGCCACTGCACTCCAGCCTGGGCAACACGGCAAGACTCTGTCTCAAAAAAAAAAAAAAAAAAAAAAGCTATTTGGAAAGAAAATGTTCTCTGCAGCACTATCTGGAAGAGAAAAGAAATGTTAAGAGCCCAGGTAGGTCAATGGCTCCATACAGCATGAGCCCTCTGCCTCCATGATTACACAGCTATGAAAATGTCACTTTGATGACTGTGTAGCCACATGGAACACTCTTAGGATAGAAGCAGTATCTTATGGAACAGAAAAAGAATGATGCATGCCTTGGGTGCCTGCAACTTTGTAAAATGCTTCTGATTGAGGGCAAGGCTGGAACAGATTACGCTGAATGGGAGGTGTTGTGGGAATAAAGGAAGGTTTTTAGAAGTTATAAGTAGTGGCTGGGCCCAGTGGCCCTCACCTTCCAGCACCTTGGGAGGCTAAGGCAGGAGGATTGTTTGAACTCAGAAGTTTGAGACCAGCCTGAGCAATGTAGTGAGACCTCATCTCTACAAAAAAACTTTAAAATTAGCCAGTGTGGTTGCACACACCTGTGGTAGCAGGTGCACCCTGGAGGCTGAGGCAGGAGGATCGCAGTGAGCCGTGATCGTGCCACTGCACTCCAGCCTGGGCAACAGGAGAGACCACTTTGCCTCAATAATAATAATAACAATAATAATAATAATAATAAATAAAATAAAACTAGTTTTACATCCCATTATACTTTCTTTTAAAAAGCATGGAAGGAAAGCTAGGAATCCTAGGCTTCTGCATGTGGACAAAGATATCATTTGCAAAATGGTCTTGGCTGCACTGGTGGAAATAGTAAATGATTGGAAGCAACCTGAATTCCATCAAGAGAAGAATGTTTAAATAAAAAACTTATTCTTCCATACAGTGAGTGCTACTAAAAACAATGACGCCAGGCACAGTCGCTCATGCCTGTAATCCCAGCACTTTGGAAGGCTGAGGTGTGTGGATCACCTGAGGTCAAGAGCTCAAGACCAGCCTGGCCAACATGGAGAAACCCTGTCTCTACCAAAAATACAAAAATTAGCCGAGTGTGGTGGCACGCGCCTGTAGCCCCAGTTACTCAGCAGGCTGATGCAGGAGAATCGCTTGAACCTGGGAGAGGGAGGTTGCAATGAGCTGAGATCCTGCCACTGCACCCCAGCCTGGGCGACAGAGGGAGACTCCATCTCAAAAAAAAAAAAAAAGAAAAGAAAAACCCACAAATTTTTACAAATTAAAAATCAAACATAAAAAATAATGGTGGGACAGCAGATTCGCCTACCAAGAGCTAGGGGAATCTCATGTTAAAAAATGCTTTGATGTGCAATGACCAAAAAGAGGCTTTTGTGTTTAGCACACAAAAAAAAGCTGGTACACAGGAATTCCCAGGAACTTTCCAGCAGCAGTTGGGATTTTGGCAGGGATCACGCACGCCTGCCTGCCGGGGTGGGGGTGGGGATGGAGCCTGCATCCTCCACGCCTGCCACAGGCACCAGCACTGACCCTGAACTTGGTTTGCTTTCAGCCTGTGCCACAATCTGCTGGGTCTGGAAGGAAGAACAGGGATGGACCCGGCAGAGAGGAAGGGGCAGAGGAAAGGCTTTTCTAGGCAAAGCGAACCGCACATGCATAGGCAAAGAAATATGGGGGAAAGGAGGTATAGAATATCCAAGGAGTTACTGGCTGTGGCTGGGAGGGCAGCATAGTGGCAGCTGAAGAATGTGAACATCCTCCTGGCCACCTGCAGAGCCCTAGCCAGCCACTCACCATCTGCATGCTCTCCCCTCTAAAAGGCAGCACTACTGTGGTCTGCCTACAACCTCGAGCAGGTGCTCGGAAGCTCAAAAGAGGTGATGGGAATGTCTTATTAATTGCAACCCACTCCCAAAATATTTTTATTTTTATTTTTTTTGAGACAGTCTCGCTCTGTTGCCCAGGCTGGAGTGCAATGGTGTGATCTTGGCTAATGGCAACTTCTGACTCCTGGGTTCAAGTGATTCTTCTGCCTCAGCCTCCCGAGTAGCTGGGATTACAGGTGCACGCCACCACGCCCGGCTAATTTTTGTATTTTTAGTAGAGACGGGGTTTCACCATGTTGGCCATGCTGGTTTCGAACTCCTGACCTCAAGTGATCCACCTGCCTTGGCCTCCCAAAGTGCTGGAATTACAGGCGTGAGCCACCATGCCCGGCCTCAAAGGATTATTCTTGTTTGTTTGGTTCTTTAAGAGTTGAGATCTCACTCTGTTGCCCAGGCTGGAGTGCGGTGGTTCAAGTGATCCTCCCGGCTTAGTCTCCTGAGTAGCTGGGACTACAGGTGCGTGCCACCACGACTGGCTAATTTTGTTGCTGTTGTTTGTTTGTTTTTGTAAAGACAGGGTCTCACTGTGTTGCTCAGGCTGTTCTTGAACTGCTGGGCTCACACAATCTTCCTGTCTTGGCCTCCCAAAGTGCTGGAATTACAGGTGTGAGCCACTGTGCCTGGCCCAAGAGATTGTTTTTATTGTGATTGTTCTCGGAATCTTGTTGAGGTTTGATAAAGACACCGGATGTCATGGAGCTCATTTGATCCAAAAAACAGTTCTTTTTTTATTCATTCACTCAACAAATATTTACTGAGAGCCTACTATGTGCCAAGCCCTGCTCTATGTGTTGGGTTAGAGCTCACAGAGACACACATCAAATCGAAGAGATGAAATCACAAGTATATTAAGTGTTGCTAAATACTAAGGAGAAAACTTAAATGGAAATGGAGGACAGGAAGTGAGAGGTTGTAATCTGAGATTGGACTGGTTTCTATCATCCCCAAAGGCATCTCGCCTTTGAGGCACAAAAGTGCTCAAAAACACAGTTGTTGGATGAATCTTAAAGTATCAAAATCCCAGAAGACCTTGAAGATCATCTCCTTCCAAACATTCAGTTTACAGGTGGGAAACTGAGGCTCAGAGAGGCTAAAGTGTGGCTTGTAGACATTGAGTGACCCAGGAAGGAGATGCCTGGGCCCCCTGCTTCTCCCAATACCCCCTCTTGTTCCTCGTCTGTGGCAACCAATGCAGGGTGACTCCAGATCTGCTTGGGACTAGAAAGGAGCTGAAGTCAATAGAGCCAGATCCTGTCCTGGGTGAGCTGGACCAGGGCCAGCTCGGTGGTGGCCACTGGACATGGAGTCTCTTCTGGCCTCCAGCCGTGCCAGGTGCCCATAGCCTTGGCAGCAATGGCGAGGTGCAGAAGAGGAGGGTGGCCCACACGCATCTGTGCACGCACCTGCTCTGTTCCCTTCTATGCATCTGTAGTTGCTCGGCTCACACGGAGCTCAGCAAATGTCGGGGGATTGGGCATGTGATCGTGGGCTACAGGCCAGGCCCTAAGCTGGGTGCCCTAGGGAGGCAGTCAGGAGTGAGGAAAGCCTGAGCCCCGCCTGGGAGATGCTGATGTCAAAGGCTGGGAAACAGGTTCAAACATCACAGCTCACAGAGGAGACTGGGATGGGGAGAGCGGTTTTCGATGGTGGGGGAAGAGTTGCACTGAGATAGGCCTTGCAGGACAGGTAAGGTAGAGACAATGGGGGAAGGAGAGGTAAAGTCAGGGAGGCGGCTGTGCTCAGGAATCAGGGAGCAGGTCTGCAGAAGCCCGGGGGCTGTACATCCAAAAGGGCTGGATGATTGAAGACGCCGGTGGTGGTGTTGGGGGAAGGTGTGGGGTTTGAGTCTTTTAAGGAAAGTTGCTGGGGGTGTTGAGCGGGGCAGTCGCAGACTCTCTAGAGAATTTGAAGTGCTACATTGGTATCTGTGTCCCCTCTGTGACCTTGGGCATGTCACCTGACCTCTCTGAGCCTCAGTTTCCCCACCTGAAAAATGGGACTAAGAATAGTCCTACTTTCTGGGATGCCTGTGAGTGAGCCCAGCACGGGAAGTGGAGCCACTGCTAGGATTCATGTATTCGACATTTATTGAGCACCTACTGAATACCAGGCACTGAGGCTGAAGTGGGGGTTGATGGTGAAGGGTCAAGGCTCCTGGCTTCCCAGGGTAGGTGTGAGTACAAAGATGCACAGGGTAACCAGGTTCTCGGGTTCTGGAAGTAGGGTGAATAGGGCCGTGGTGGCAGGAAGGGATGTTTCCCCAGCCTGCAGGAGTCAGGGTGGGTTTTCTGGAAAAATGAATAATGCATGGAGACTTGAAGAAAGAGAAGCCTCCTAGATGAAAAGGAGAGGAAGGGTCCAGGCACCATGGCTCACGCCTGTAATCCCAGCACTCTGGGAGGCCGAGGCGGATGGATCACCTGAGCTCAGGAGTTCAAGACCAGCCTGGGCAACATGGTGAAACCCCGTCTCTACTAAAAATACAAAAAATTGGCTGGGTGTGGTGGCTCATGCCTGTAATCCCAGCACTTTGGGAGGCCGAGATGGATGGATCAGCTGAGGTCAGGAGTTCAAAACCAGCCTGGCCAATGTGGTGAAACCCCGTCTCTACTAAAAATACAAACATTAGCCAGGGGTGGCGGCACACACCTGTAATCCCAGCTACTGGGGAAGCTGAGGCATGAGAATTGCTTGAACCCAGGAGGCAGAGGTTACAGTGAGCTGAGATCGTGCCATGCACTCCAGCCTGAGCAACCAGAGTGAAACTCAAGAAAGAAAGAAAAAGAGAGAGAGAGAAAGAGAGAAGGGGAGAGAGAGAAGGAAGGAAGGAAGGAGGGAGGGAGGGAGGGAGGGAAGGAAGAAAGGAAGGAAGGAAGGTAGGAAAGAAAGAAAGGAAGGAAGGAAGGAAGAAAGAAAGAAAAAAGAATGAAAGAAAGAAAGAAAGAAAGAAAGAAAGAAAGAAAGAAAGAAAGAAAGAAAAGAACATGTGAAGGAAGACCTGGCAGGGTGGGGGCAGGACCTGACCCACTAGCCAGGTTGCTCTCCTGGAAACAGGGTTGTCCCTACTGGGGTTGGAAATTTGTCTCCATAACGTGTGAGTGTGGGAAGCACTGGCATTTGGTGGTGGCAGTGGGCAGGAAAGCTAGACAGACAGTCCCTGATGACAAGAATGGGCCCTCGGCCCCCAGGATGGGCTGCCGTCTCTCAGGACATTCACGTAGGCGAAAACCCTGCTTGAAATTATCTGTGTCTGGAATCTAACTTCACTTTACATAAAAAGGCCGTTTTTTCCTGCTCAGTTTTCATTGTCCCTGCATTTCCCAGGAGCACAACCACAGCGTAAATGGAGGTAAGGTTGTTCTTTGTTTCATTTGGACGTTAACCAAGAGTTGCTCACCATTTTGGAAAATCACGTCACTGAGAGCCTGCCAGCCTGTGATGTTTGAGTCACCCACAGGCACACCTGTGGCCATCTGTGCTGTGGCTGCAGCCTTCCTGGGGATTCCTGAGCAGGAGCAAGTGGCTTACTACTTCTTTATGTCTCTGGGGTAGAGGGGGTTCTAATGTCCCCACATACAATTTTATGTCAAATTAATTTCTTTTTAATCCTCCTTTATATTGTAAATAGGCATGATATTGATGTATCTGAAATCACATGTATAGCTAAATTATATACCAGGGAATTCAACTTCAAGACAGAAAGAAACATTCAAAATATTAGTTTTGACCAGGTACGGTGGCTCACGCCTATAATCCCAGCACTTTGGGAGGCCAAGGTGGGAGGATGGCTTGAGGCCAGGAGTTTGAGACCAGCCTGGGCAACATAGCAAGGACCCATCTCTGTGAAAAATACAAATATTAGCTGCGTATGGTGTCACGTGCCTGTAATCCCAGCTACTTGGGAGGCTGAGGCAGGACAATTACTTGAGCCTCGCAGTCTGAGGTTACAACGAGAGCTGTGATCGTGCCACTGCACTGCAGCCTGGGTGACAGTAACAGAGCAATATTTTCTATATATATTTTGGAAAAATATTATATTTTGGCAGGATGGGGGCCGGACATGACCCATATACATAATATATATATCTATATATATATATATTTTGGCTGGGCGCGGTGGCTCACACCTGTCATCCCAGCACTTTGGAAAGCCGAGGTGGGGGGATCACGAGGTCAGGAGATTGAGACCATCCTGGCTAACACTGTGAAACCCTGTCTCTACTAAAAATACAAAAAAAGACAGGCACGGTGGTGGGCGCCTGTAGTCCCAGCTACTCAGGAGGCTGAGGCAGGAGAATGGCATGAACCCGGGAGGCAGAGCTTGCAGTGAGCCAAGATCACACCACTGCACTCCAGCCTGGGCGACAGAGTGAGACTCCATCTCAAAAAAAAAAAAAAAGAGATATATATATATATACACACACATACACACACACACATATATATACACATATCTATACACACACATATGTATACACACACATATATATGCACATATATACACACACACACATACACATATATATACACACACACAGATATATATATATATCTGTATGTGTGTGTGTTTATGCAAGAAGCATTGGGTCTGAACGCTCGCAAGGCCCTGTATCAGGAGCCCAGGAATATGTTGTGTGAACCAGGGCTGAATGGAGCACTCAGCTTGCCCAGCAGCAGCTGGGGGCATGGCCATAAGCAGTCCAGATTCCAGGGAAATGAATCAGTAACCCGGGGATGAATCAGGAGACGGGAATTGCAAGTCATCCCACCTCCACAAGGTGGAAACTTAGCCAGCACCTTTACCCGGCGCTGACCCACCCGTATTCTCATAAGAATGTCTGACGGTGGAGACGCTGATCCTGAGAGGAACCTCAGGCACGCAGGTTCCAACCCGGAGTCAGGCTGGAAAAGTTGAGGCTCTTCAAAGAGACTACGACTTTGAACCTGGGTCCATGTAAGCTCCAGTCATCCTTCAAGGAATGTGACTAACGTCATCCATTGATGAGGGCAGGAAAATGTCAGATAAAAGACATTTTCTGATAAGTTAACAGGTTACTTTCACAGTATGCACATTCTAAAGCCCTTGTTTTCACAAAGAGAGAGGAATACCTTTTATGTTAATAATAAAAAGTAGTTTCCCTGTTTGATAAATGTGCAAATATTTAAGGCTGTGGAGAAATAGGGACACTTTTATACTGTTGGTGGGAGTGTAAATTATTTCAACCGTTGTGGAAGACAGTGTGGCGATTCCTCAAAGACCTAGAACCAGAAATACCATTTGACCCAGCAATCCGATTGCTGGGTATATACCCAAAGGAATATAAATCATTCTGTTATAAAGATTCATACATGAGTTTGTTCATTGCAGCACTATTCACAATAGCACAGACATGGAATCAATCCAAATGTCCATCAATGACAGACTGGATAAAGTAAATGTGGTACATTTACACCATGGAATACTATGCAGCCATAAAAAGGAAAGAGATCATGTCCTTTGCAGGAACATGGATGGAGCTGGAAGCCATTATCCTCAGCAAAGTAACACAGGAACAGAAAACCAAATACTACGTGTTCTTGCTTATAAGTGGGAGCTGAACATTGAGAACACATGGACACAGGGAGGGGAACAACACACACTGGGGCCTGTCAGCAGCGGGGTGTGAGGTGAGGGAAAGCATCAGGATAAATGGCTAATGCATGTGGGGGGCTCAATACCTAGGTGATGGGTTGATAAGTGCAGGAAACCACCATGGCACACGTTTACCTATGTAATAAACCTGAACATTCTGCGCATGTATCCCGGAACTTAAAATAAAATAAAATTTTAAAAAGTGGAATTTGGGGGTGTCACAGTTCCTGCCTGGGCCCCCCATGGTTGGGCTCTGGCTGTCACTCAGAGGGATGAGGCTGGAGTGCCAGGCCCCAGCCAGATCAGGAAAGGCCTCAGAACTCACATTAAGGAGCTTGAATTTCATCCCGAGTTTATTGGGAAATTGTTGGTGGATGTTAAGTAGGAAGTAATGTGATCAGATTTGCATTTTAGAAAAATCAGTCTGGCTGCAGAGTGGATGGTGGAAGGGAGCAGGGCAAGGCTGGAGCCAGGGAGGACAGTTAGGAGACTGCTGGGGCCATCAGGGTGTACGTGTGTGTTGGGGAGGGGGCAGTGGTGGTCTGAGTCATCCAGAGGGCATATTATGGTGGCATGGATCATTTGGAGGGGGGGGGTATGGTGATGGCTTGATTCATCTGGGATGGGGTGGGGTTTACAGTGGCCCCCATCTTCTGTGAGGCTGGGGGAAGAAGTAACTGTGACCTGGATTAATAACTGGGCAGTGGGGAAAAGAGCCATGTGCAACCTACCCTCTGTGGCCCGTGCCAGGCACGGCTCATGTAACCCTCCTAGCAAACCTCTAGGGTAGCTCCACTGTGATTACTGCCAGCATTTTACAGGCAACGGCACAGGTGCACAAAGGGCTTACCCTTGCCACGGTCACAGCGGCGGGACCCCGGCCTCAGCAGCGGGACACCAAAGTCTGAGCTCAGGCTCAGAGAGACGTCCCAGCACTGTTTCAGAGGCAGCACTGTGGGGTCTCAGGGCTGGATTCCGGCTCGGGGGCAGGGTAACTTGTGTCTGGGTGGACTGTTCATGGGCTGCCCACCCTCACATGTGGACAAAGAACTCAGTTCCTGCTGTTCAGCCCGGAGCCGCCACCTCAGACCTGCTCATGCTGCAAATGGAGGGAAGGTGGCCCTGACCTGGGTGGGTGCAGAGGCGGCGCAGCTTCCCCAAGGCAGGCATGGACCAGACCGAGCTCTGACGCTGAAGGTCATGGGCAGCCCCGAGTCAGGGCCATGAAGGGTGCGGGGGACCCGGCCCACCATGCCTCTCCACCATCGCCAGTGTCCAGCGATCCCTTCCGCACCGGACCTGCCTGGGAGGGGAGAGGACAGCGGCCGCTACCTTCTTCTTCGCCGCGGCCCTCGTGGGTTTGGGGCGCCCTCTGCTGGACGCTTTTATGGCCTGCGGTCTGATGCCAGGACGGCCTCAGGGGTTTGGTGACGGGACTGGGAGGAAGTCACAGGGAGAAGGTGGCCGGCCGATCCCCTGCCGTGAGAAGGAAGACACAGGGCAAACGAGCCTATGCTTTTCATCTCCCAGTTTTCGTGCCTCTTTCAATAGGGGTCTACCCCGTCGGCACCCCTAAATCCCCCACCCCATCACCCACTACAGACTTTTAGTGCATTTTTTATTTAGAATTCATTGATCCCACAATAATCAATTAAAATAATATTATTTATTCAAATTATTCAAATATTATTCAAATTATTTTAATGGTTGGAAGTACTCTTCCTGCTTATGTATTGATTTATTGGCTAGTATTTGGGTGCACAGAACCACTCCCGCTAACAGCTCTCCCTGGAGTGGCCATGGTATGCCCCATTCTCCATCACCCAGCTTCATCTTCACTTCTATTTTTTTTTTTTTTTTTTTTTTTGAGACAGAGTCTTGCCCTGTCGCCCGGGCCGGAGTGGAATGGTATGATCTCGGCTCACTGCAAACTCTGCCTCCCCGGTTCAAGCGATTCTCCTGCCTCAGCCGCCTGAGTAGCTGGGATTACAGACAGCCACAACCACACCCGACTAATTTTTATATTTTTAGTAGAAATGGGGTTTCTCCATGTTGGCCAGGCTGGTCTCAAACTCCTGACTTCAAGTGATCTGCCCGCCTCAGCCTCCCAAAGTGCTGGGATAACAGGTGTGAGCCACTGCACCCAGCCAAATCTATTATCAAGCCCATTATTCAGATGAGAAAACTGAAGTCCTGGCAAAGATTAAGTCCCGTGTCCAAGGCCCTCGATCAACGCTGGGCCAGATTCCCAGGCCAGTGCTCTCTTTTGCCTTGCCAGCCCTCCTGGCAGAGCTATAGCAGGCCCTGGCTAACACACAGGGATCCCCGACTTGTGCCTGCTATGCCTCAGTTTCCTCCTCTGCAAAATAGAGATAACGATAACAGCACTTACCTCAGAGGGATCATGTGAAGAGGAAAGGAACTAATACTTACATATATAACATTCTTGGCCAGGCGTGGTGGCTCACGCCTGTAATCTCAGCACTTTAGGAGGCCAAAGTAGGAGGATCCCTTGAGCCCAGGAGTTTCAGACAAGCGTGGGCAACGTAGTGAGACCATCTCTACAAACAATTTACAAGTTAGCCAGGTGCAGTTGCATGCACCTGTAGTCCCAGCTACTCAGGGGGCTGAGGGGGGAAGATCGCTGCCCAGGAGGTCAAGGCTGTAATGAGCCATGATCGTGCCACTGCACTCCAGCCTGGGTGACAGAGCAAGACCCTATCTCAAAAGAAAAGAATAAGCATTAAAATACATACATATATATATAAAATAAAATCCTTAAAGCCTGGCACAAGATGACTTCTCAACAAATGTGGGGGCGAGACGCGGTGGCTCACACCTGTAATCCTGGCACTTTGGGAGACCGAGGTGGGCGGGTCATCTGAGGTCAGGAGTTAGAGACCAGCCTGGACAACATGGTGAAACCCTGTCTCTACTAAAAATACAAAAACTTAGCCAGGCGTGGTGGCGGGCGCCTGTAATCCCAGCTACTCGGGAGGCTGAGGCAGGAGAGTTGCTTAAACCTGGGAAGTGGAGGTTGCAGTGAGCGGAGATTGTGCTACTGCACTCCAGCCTGGGCGACAGAGCAAGGCTGTCTCAAAAAAAAAAAAAAAAAAATCAACCAAACAAAAATGTGGGGTTTTAGTATCCACCAGCCTAGTACTCTCAGCCCTGGTTGCAAATCCACCTGGGAGATTGATTGTAATTAACCAATTAGAGCAGGACTGCCTCTAATTGGTCTCAGGTGGAGCCCAAACACGGGCGTTTGTGGAATCTCCCCAGGTGGTTCTCATGTTCAAGCAAAGGTGTAAAGTGCCAGGCCAGAGCCTCCACCGCAGGGCTGGTGTCCTGGGTGCCCAGGACAGTGGGCGGCAGCTGGCAGGTGCCAGGAAATGCTGAATGGCTGCTTCATCGCCCTTGGTGTCTACATTGCTTGTTACTCAGCATCGGGAGTTTAGATGTCATCTCCCATCAGTTAGGAGGGAGGTCACCCACTCAGACCTAGGTCATCGGCTCTGAAATAAAGATGGGCTTTGTCCCATTCTGAAATTCCCTAATCCAAACATGAAGTCATCCCAGCCCTGCCTTTGGAAGTTCCACTCAGGACTGAGCCAAGAAGGAGCCTGCCTCTTTCTTTCTAAAGTCACAGGCTGCGGGGCTCTGGATTCCCGGGATACGTCCAAAGGAGAAATTTGGGTCTAGCAAGGATAGGGGGTTGAGCAGAGGTCACTGAGCTCCCGCCACGGGCATGGATCCGGGCTCACCCCTGCCAAGTTTCTTGAATCCCTCTCCCGGAAAGGATGATAAACATGAGTCTTCATTTCCTCAACCGAAAATGCCCTGCAGGTTCAGGATAGGAATGATGACGCGGGGCTGGCCTGCGTGGGGTGGGGCTACTGCACAACAGTCATGCAGGCTGGTGTGTGAGCCTCCCGGCAGCTCTTCCAGGATCAGCTGGTCCCCACTTAAAGACAGCTGTGGCTTGGAGGGGTTAAGTGCTCCAGAATCCATGCACAATTTGTTGGAGTGTGAAGCTATCCATACCTCTTCTAGTCTGTCTATATGGCAGAATAAGATGCGGCTGAAACATCAGGCAGGGGCCCAAGAGACTTTCTTAAATTGTCTCTTTAAAATAACATGATTTCCATCCTGGGCAACAAGGCAAAAACCCGTCTCTACAAAACGTACAAAAATTATTACTAGCTAGGCATGTGCCTGTAGTCCCAGCTACTTGGGGTGCTGAGTGGGGAGAATCTCTTGAGCTCGAGAGGTCAAGGCTGCAGTCAGCCATATTCATGCCACTGCACTCCAGCCTGGGTAACAAAGTAAGACCGTGTCTCAAAATAATAATAATAAAAATAATAATAATAATAAATGATTGGCTAGACGACGTAGCTCATGCCAGTAATCCTAGCACTTTGAGAGACCAAGATTGGAGCATCACTTGAGGCCAGGAGACCAACACTAGCCTGGGCAATAAAGCAACATCCTGTTTCTACAAATAATAAAAATAAAGTAAAATAAAATAACATGATGGAAGATGAAGAACAAGTCTGGGAAGCTACGTGTTTCCTCATGGAGAGATTGGATCACCCTCATCTCCAGCTTGGTGTCTTGTGACAAGAGGATGGCACCGCAAATGTTTGTTGACCTAAACATTTATTTATTCACTCTTCAAAAGATATTTATTGAGCGCCTACTGGGCATTGTATGAGCACTGGGAAATGGAAAAGAAACAAGACTGACAAGGTCCATGGGCTGATGGAGCTGATATTCCAGTGAGTGTGTGGGGAAAGGGGTGGGCAGGGGAGAGAGACAAAAAAGTAAACAAATAAACAAAGATGATGAAAGATCATAATAAGGGCTGTGTATCAGTTATCTATTGTTGTATAACAAACACTCAACAATGTATGGCTTAACACAACCTCCATTTATTTCCTCACAATTCTGCAATGTGGGCTGGGCTCAGCTGGGTGGTTCTTTTGCTGGTCTTGTCTGAGGTCACTCACAGCCTCAGTTGTCTGTCATCAGGTGGCTTGAGAGGGACTAGTCTGAACAATTAGACTTACTTTTTTTTTTTTTTAAGTTGAATTTACTTTAAATGCAGAAACCAAAGCATTTCACAGAAACCTCCAGCTGAAAAATCAGAAGGTACGGCCATCCTGAGCCCACATTTCTGCATGGCAGCAGAGCATGTGCTGGGCAGTGGCTGCCCCCAGGAGATGGGGCATTGCTCCCCAGGTTCCCACAGCGCTGGCTTCTCTCTGGAGATTTCTAACACTGAGCCTATGTATCCACTGCCATTAAGACCCCTCAATGATTGTTGTTCTGACTATAGAGCTGAGAGGAAAGTGACACCTCTCTCCAACCCATGGCTCTAATCACAGTGGAAAGTGAAAATGGGCTGAGAAGAGCCTGCTTTTGGTTATTTGTATTCGTTATTTCTCACCACCTTTGCTTCACTTTTGTAACCACTTTGGCCTTTGCAGCATTTTAACCCTTCTGATACAGAGTGGGAGGAGAGGGGCAGAGAAGTCTTCTGTAAACAGGTGACTTTGATGTTGTGTCCTGGAGGATGAGAAGTTGGTAGCTGGGCATAGTGTTAGGGGGAGATGCAGTACCAATGTCCTGAGAGAGCCCCATGGCTGCAGCCCAAGGTAAGGGACTTCTTGCAGGGTCTCAGAGGGCATGTGCAAAGTTTGGGTTTCATTCTCAATGCAGTGAGACAGGAGCAGGAGGTTAAATGGTGCAGCTGCCGTGGAAAACAGCTTGGTGGTTCCTCCTGCTAAACATGGAGTTACCGTATGATCCAGCAATTCCACCCCTGGGTATATAGGCCCAAGAGAAGTAAAAACAGGGACTCAAATGCTTGTACTCAAATACTCATAGCAATGCTATTCACATTAGCCAAAAGGGGAAACAACCCAAAGGTCCATCAATGAAGGAATGGATAAACAAAATGCAGTCTATCCATACAACGGAATATTATTCAGCCATTATGAAGGAATGGGGCGCTGACCCATGTGACAATAGGGATAAACCTGCAAAATACCACACGAAGGCAGAGAAGACCATCACAAAAGGCTACTTACTGCGTGGCTTCATTTATATGTGTCCAGAACTGGCACATTCCTAGAGACGAACAGCAGGTTACTGGTTGCCAAAGGCTGGGGAGAGGGGGAATGAGAGTGACTATTCATGGGTACGGGATTTCCTTTGAGGGTAACAAAAAAATACCTTTTGGAATTCGATCAATGAACGCCCAACATCATGAATGTGCAAAATGCCACTGAATTGTTCTCTCTAGAGTGGCTGACATTTGGTCAATTTTACCTCAATTAAAAAAAGGAAAAAATGAGGCCAGGTGCAGTGGCTCACGCCTGTAATCCCAGCACTTTGGGAGGCCGAGGCAGGCAGATCACTGAAAGTTGGGAGTTCGAGACCACCCTGTCCAACATGGTGAAACCCTGTCTCTACTAAAAACACACACAAAAAATTAGCCAAGTGTGGTGGCGCACGCCTGTAATCCCAGCTACACCGGAGGCTGAGGCGGGAGAATCACTTGAGGCAGAGGTTGCAGTGAGGTGGTGTCACGCCACTGCACTCCAGCCTGGGCAACAGAGCAAGACTCCATCTCAAAAAAACAAAACAAAACCAAACAAAAAACAAACAAAAAGGAATAGAAGATAGGGAACATAAAAGAGAAACAATCAACACTGCGGTAGCTACGTTGCTGGTGATATTGAGGAAATGAGGAAGCCATTCTCATACCCAAAGTGGTGTTTCCTGTAGACAACCTAGGGGTGTGCAAGACTCTGGCTGGAGAGGGGTGGGTTAGCGGCACCAGGAGGGGTCCTCCCACGTGTGCACCTGCCAGCTTTCCTGGTGGCCCCCCCACCCCCCGTGATCTTGCCCCAGCATCAGGAATTGGGGGCGATCTGGTCAGGCAAGTCTCCTACAGCACTTAAACCCACGTTTCCGAATTGGATTCAATGGGAGGCAGCTTCCCAGTTAAAAGTCCAGGGCCTGGAGCTGGGGGGTGACAAGGTGGGCCTCCCAAAGACACTGATGACTGAGAATCAGACTGCAAAGGCAGGGGCCGGGATTGGGTAGGCGGTTTACAGAAGGTGAGCAGGATCAGCAGGAATTGCTGGTGAAGGCAGGAGGGTGCGTCTGTCGGGACTCCTCGCCCTCACTGCTGTCTAACAAGAAAGCCCGGGTAAGGAGAGGCCTCCAGCAGCTCAAGTGGGCCCAGGGACTCCGGCTGTAGCGTCTGTGGAGCAGGACATTTGAGTGGCTCAGATCTAGGGAGAACAGGACAGCAGGCTCTGACCAAGGAAAGCCATGGCAACGTCCGGCCAACTCTGGAAGCAGATGGGTCATTTCCAAGATGTCCTGAGAAGGGTCCTATTCCCGAGTCCCTCCCCTCTGGACTCATCAGATTCTGACTTAGAGGGTGGGCTGCATCGTTTTCCTGTGGCTGCTGTAAAAAAGCCCCACACACGCAGTGGCCTAAAGCAACACGGATGTGTTATCTCATCGTCCAGGAGGCCCGGTGTCCAATGCTGGGCTGGAATCAAGGCGTCAGCAGGGCTGCTTCCTCCTGGAGGCTCTCGGGAGAATCTTTTCCTTGCTCCTTGCAGCTTCTGGAGCTGCTGCATCCTTGGCCTTCGGCCCTGTGCCCTGCTCCAGCCTCTGTGTTGGTTGTCACATCTCTCTCTGACCCTCCCGCCTCCTTGATAAGGACTTTTGTGACTGCCGTGGGCCCTGATAGCGTTTGGATGTCTATTCCCTCCAAATCTCATGTTGAAATGTGGTCCCCAGTGTTGGCGATGGGGCCGGTGGGAGGTGTTTGGGTCATGGATGCAGATCCCTCATGAATGGCTTGGTGCCCTCCCCATGGTAGTGAGTTCACTCAAGAGTTGATTATTCAAAGAGCCTGGCACATGGCCGGGCATGGTGGCTCACACCTGTAATCCCAGCACTTTGGGAAGACAAGCGGGGTGGATCACTTGAGGCCAGGAGTTCGAGATCAGCCTGGCCAACATAGTGAAACCCGATGTCTACTAAAAATACAACAATTAGCTGGGCATGGTGGTGGGTGCCTGTAACCCCAGCTACTCAAGAGGCTGAGGCAGGAGAATCGCTTGAACCTGGGAGGTGGAGGTTGCAGTGAGCTGAGATTGCATCAGGAGGTCAAGAGATCGAGACCATCCTGGCCAACATGGTGAGACCCCCGTCTCTACAAAAAATATAAAAATTAGCCAGGGTGGTGCGCACCTGTGGTCCCAGCTACTCGGGAGGCTGAGGCAGAAGAATTGCTTGAACCTGAGAGGCAGAGGTTGCAGTGAGCCGAGATCATGCCAATGCACTCCAGCCTGGGCAACAGAGGAAGATTCCAGCTCAAAAAACAAACAAACAAACAAACAAACAAAAAACCAAAAAGCCTGGCACCTCCCACCTCCCCTCTCCTTGCTCCCTCTCTTGCCATGTGACGCCGTGTGACGCACCTGCTCCCCCTTCACCTCTCGCCATGGCTACCAGCTCCCTGAGGCTCTCGAGCCGATGCTGGTGCCATGCTTGTATGGCCTGCAGAACCGTGAGCCATAAAACCTCTTTTCCATGTACATTACTCAGTCGCAGGTATTCCTATTTATAGCAATGCAAAACGGACTAACGCAGGCCCACTTTGAAAATCAAGAATAATTGTCTCATCTCAGAGTCCGTAATCACATCTGCAAAGCCCTTTTTGCCACGTCAGGTGACATATTCACTGGTTCTAGGAGTAGGGTATTTGGGGAGGAGTAGATGTATTTGTGGGGGCAGGTGGCAAAGATCAGGAATCTCAAGGTCTTTTTCCTGCAGAGGTGAGAACTCTGACAGGGAGGCCCCTGAGCGCAGCTGGGCTCTTCTGTCTGTGTCTCTGGGGTCCACTGGAGCAGAGGAAGCTTTGTTGGTGCCGGTCTCATTGTATTGTGTCTAATGACACAGAGATGGCATAAAGAGGAAAGGACAGCCAGAGAGAGAATACAGGCCTGGGTATCACACAGATGTGGGTCCGAATCCTGGCTCTGCCTCAGACAAGCCATGAGACTTGCAGCAAGTTTGTTTTTCTTTTTTTTTTGAGATGGAGTCTCACTCTGTTGTCCAGGCTGGAGTGCAGTGGCATGATCTCGGCTCAACATGACCTCTGTCTCCCCGATTCAAGTGATTCTCCTGCCTCAGCCTCCCAAGCTGGGATTACAGGCATGTGCCACCATGCCTGGCTAATTTTTGTATTTTAGTAGAGATGGGTTTTCATCACGTTGGCCAGGCTGGTCTTGAACTCCTGACCTCAAGTGATCCGCCCACTTCGGCCTCCCATAGTGCTGGGATTACAGGCATGAGCCACCGTGCCCAGCCATAGAATAAGTTTCTTAATAGCTTCTGACTTTCTTATCTCTTCTCATCCTAGGAATATTCTGAATGTAATGACTAAGTTTAGCAACCTCTCCACAGGGCCTGGTAGGGGAGGTGTTTGATGAATGCTGGCCCTGGACAATCGCTGGGGAGTGCAGAGGACGGGAGAGGAGGGAGGCCAAGGCAAGCTGCACCTCCCTCTTCCTCTTCCACCCTGCCCCACAGCTTTGCTGGGCACACACGGGGCGGCTGTGGCAACTGCTCTCTGGCCGTGCTGGAATTGTGAGTTTCTCCTTTCCTGGTCACAGCTGATAAGTATATCCTGCTCGATACAAAACATCCACCCTTATGGCAAGAGTCCCAGGCTGGGAAATCCCTGAGCACCCCACCTCTAGCCCAAGGGAGCGTGCACTGCCTTTCCCCATAAATAGTTTAGGAGTACACAACTGTAGATGGTTGAGGGGTCTTCCCACCTCCTGGATCCATGCTCTGGGATGCAGCTGGGGAAGATGCAGGCTGGGCTGGCAGTGGCGACTGTGCGGAAGTGGCGACTGTGCAGAAGGGGGTAGTTTGTAGCTATCAGCACTGATGGGGCTCAGAGCTGAAGGCTTAACGGCCAGCAAGAGGAGGTCTCGACTGCACCAGCCACCGTTCTCTGCACTACCATGCATTAACTCACTGAGTTCTGGCACAACTCTGAGGCTGTGGGTCCTTGCCACTCACTGTCCCCAGGAAACTTGAGGCAGAGAGAGTAAGAACCCAGCTAATGAACAAGTTAGTGCTGGAGACTGGATTTGAACACAAGTTTAGCTCCAGGACCTGAGCTTTTAACTGGAAGGTTGGCTCCTACATGAATTTAATTCAGAAACACGAGTTTAAAGGCTGTAGGAGACTTGCCTTCCCAGGTTCCTTCCAATTCTCTGATGCTGGGGCCAGGTGGGGGATCACTGGGGAACACTGGTTGCTGCACACGTGGGTGGGCTCCTCCTGGTGCTGTTAACCCACCCCTCTCCAGCTGGAGTCTTGGCCACCCCTGGACCATCCACAGGAAACAGCACTTTGGGTATTGATATGGTTGGGCTCTGTGTCCCCACCCAAATCTCATCTCAAATGATAATCTGAATTGTAATCCTCACATGTCAAGGGACAAACCTGGTGGGAGGCGGTTGGATCATGGGAGCGGTTTCCCCCATGCTGCTTTCATGCTAGAGTCCCACGAGATCTGGTTGTCTGGTAAGTGTACGGCTCTTCCCCGTTCTCTCTCTCCTGCTGCCATGTAAGACATGCCTTACTTCTCCTTCCGCCCATGACTGTAAGTTTCCTGAGGCCTCCCCAGCCATGTGAACTGTGAGTCAATTAAACTTCTTTTCTTTATAAATTACTCATTCTCTGGTAGTTCTTTATAGCAGTGTGAAAACGGACTAATGCAGGTATAAAAGTGGACTCCTGGCCTGGTGTTGCGGCTCATCCGTGTAATCCCAGCACTTTGGGAGGCTGAGGAGGGTAGATCGCTTGAGGTCAGGAGTTCGAGACCAGCCTGGTCTTGAACATGGTGAAACCCCACCTCTACTAAAAATACAAAAATTAGGTGGGTGTGGTGGTGCATGCCTGTGATCCCAGCTACATGGGAGGCTGAGGCATGAGAATCGCTTGAACTCAGGAGGTGAAGATTGCAGTGAGTGGAGATCGCGCCGCTGCACTCTAGCCTGGGCAACAGAGCAAGACCCTGTCTCAAAAATAAATAAATAAATAAATAAAATACAGAAAAAAAGAGTGGATTCCCTATTTCCTCAATATCACTGGCAACACAGCTACCGGAATGTCAATCACTTTTCTTATTTGCCCCCTATCTTCTATCCCTCTTTTTAAAAATTGAGGTAAAATTGACCAAATGTCAGCCATTTCTGAGAGAACAATCCTGTGGCATTTAGCTCTCTCACAGTGTTGGGCATTCATCTATCCAGTTTCAAAACCATTTTGTCACCCTCAAAGGAAACCCCGTACCCACGAATAGTCACTCTCATTCCCCCTCTCCCAGCCCTTGGCAACCAGTAACCTGTTTCTCTCTAGGAATGTGCCAGTTCTGGACACTTAAATAAATGAAGCCACGCAGTAAGCAGCCTTTTGTGACAGTCTTCTTTCCCTTCCCATGGCATTTTGCAGGTTTATCCCTATTGTCACACGGGTCAGCACCCCACTCCTTCATATGGCTGAATAATATTCCATTGATGGGCAGACTGTATTTCGCTTATCCATTCATCCACTGATGCATATTTTGGTTGTGTGGGCACATTTGGGTTGTGAATAGCACTGCTATGAGCATTTGAATACAAGTATTTGAGTCTTCACTTCTCTTGGGTCTACACGTCCAGGGGTGGAACTCCTGGGTCATATGTTAACTCCATGTTTATCATGAGGAACCACCAAGCTGTTTTCCACAGTGGCTGCACCATTTACGTTTCCACCAGCAGTGCACGAGCGTTCCTGTTTCTCCACATCCTCGCCAACTTTATTTTCTGCGTTATTAAAATTCAAAAGAATTATAGCCATCCTAGAGTAGAGAGTGTTTATTTTTATTTATTTATTTATTTTGAGACAGGGTCTTGCTCTATTGCCCAGGCTGAAATGCAGTGGTGTGATCACGGCTCTCTGTAGCCTTGACCTCCTGGCATCAAGCAATCCTCCCACCTCAGCCTCCCAAGTAGCTGGGACTACATGCATGTGCCACCACACTTGGCTAATTTTTAAATTTGTTGTAGAGACTGCTGGGGGTCGGGGGGAGGTGGGTGGTCGCGTTCTGTTGCCCAGGCTGGTCTGGAACTCCTGGATTCAAGTGATCTTTCTGCCCCAGCCTCTCAAATGCTTGGATTTACAGGCGCGAGCCACTGTGTCTGGGATTATCCCTCACTTTTAAAAGCAGAGCTGAGATACCACTTGGCCCCACCTCTACAGATCCAGTTGAGGAAATGGGTTTTTCAAGTCCAGTGCCCTTGGTAGAGAAGGATCCTTGGTGTCAATGGCTGGGGGCCGGTGGAAGCAGCTGACCCACCCTTCAGAGGAAACCCAATCTTCCCCTTGGCCCAGTAACCACGGAGACAACCCCAGGAGACAACTCACACCCCAACTCCAGAGTGGGCAGAGTTCACGTGAATGGACTCCCTCAAGTTCTCCAGAGAGGTAGAGGTTTCTCTAAAAAGTCACTCAAGCTTGGTATTAAAAAAAAAAAAAATCTTGGCTTCCATCAGCTCCTATTCCAGCTGAAGGACGGTGGTCCTGACTCAGCCCCCAGCAGGATTCCCCGACCCCTTTGCCACATACTGTCTGACTCTGAACCCTTGGCTGTTCAACAACTGAGCCAGTTTCAGAAAAGGTCTGTCCCCTCTCCAGAGACACAGGCCGGACTGTGACATCATTATGTGTGTGGATGTTGGAAATGGCCTTGAATCCCAGCTCTGCCCTCTGCATTGAGCCATGAGTTTGGCAAAGTGACTTCTCAGTGCCTCAGTTTTCTGTGCTGTAAAATGGACAGAATGATACTACCTTCTTCCTACGGCTGTTGCAAGGATGAATTGAGTTAACACATGAAGGGCTGAAGATGGGCTCCGTCACGTAGGTTTTCAATAGGAGATCCGTTATCACCATTGAGAGCAGTCAACAGGGTTAAAGATGGTGACAGTCAACCCCTCACCTCCGCACCTGCGAAGTGCCACCCCCCATAGACAGGGCGTCCCTCTGTCTCAGGCACTGGTTTCTGGCTGAGATTCAGTTAGCAACTCTCCCTCACCCCAAAGATAAAAGGGCTACAGGCCGGGCATGGTGGCTCATGCCTGTAATCCCAGCACTTTGCGAGGCTGAGGCGAGCAGATCATATGAGGCCAGGAGTTCAAGACCAGCCTAGCCAACATGGTGAAACCACATCTCTACTAAAAATATAAAAATTAACCAGGAGTGGTGGCATGTGCCGGTCATCCCAGCTACTTGGGAGGCTGAAGCAGGAGAATCACTTGAACTCAGGATGTGAAGGTTGCAGTGAGCCGAGATTGCACCACTGCACTCCAGCCTGGGCAAGACAGCCAGACCCTGTCTCAAAATTAAATTAAAATTTAAAGGGCTACAGGCCACTGGACCATATGACCTCGTTATGAAAGGTAGAAAAAAATTTAAACCCACTTGCCACACCTATGTTATGCCATGCCGTGCCACCAAAGATGAATATACTGCCTCTTTTCATGTGATTTCAGGAGGGAGTCTGCAGACGGCCCGTGCACTTTCCTGTCCTTACCTAACCTGGACCTTATGGTAGAGTTGCTAAGCTCTTTACCCCTTGCCTTCAGTGGAGATCTGTATTTGAATTATCTTTTTCAAGTACTACCAATCTTTGTAGGTTTATTGTCTCTGGACAGCGCAGTAAGAGGGAACTAGAGAAATCTGCTTTCTGCAGATGGAATTCTGCCTCATATTACCAAGCCCTTAATATCAAGGTCCTCTAGTCCTCCGAAATCTATTTTCTCTCTGTCTTCTGAGGAAAGCCAATTTGAAACCATTTTTCAGGGAAGACAGCAAGGAGACTTATGCTGACGGCGATGGAGAGGCTCAGGCAGTCAGCCATGGAAAGACTCAGGCAGTCAGCCATGGAGAGACTCAGGCAGTCAGCGATGGAGAGACTCAGGCAGTCAGCGATGGAAGAGGCTCAGGCAGTGACTGGGGTGTGGCTGCTAAGGGACGGATCTAACATCACAAGCCACGGTCTAGGAGCTGACACCCACACCGTGTAAATGACAGAAACGACAACGTTTCATTCTTAAATCAAATCAAGCTGTATTGATAATGATGATTTAGCAGGAACCACTCTAAAAATCAGAAACAATTAGAATGCCTTCCCCATCAAATTATTTTATTAGGTTAATTAAACAGCTTAAAGATGATTCCTTTTGTGTGGTACCCTTCTAGAAAATATTTCAAGTTTTTAAGTGAACTTCCAATACATAAAACAAAATTACTTTAGCATACACAAATTTCAGATCAAAATACAACACTCTGTTTCTGTTTTCTTACAGTTATAAAATCCAGTCAATACAAACTACATAAAAAAGATAAAACACTTTCACTGATCCTTGGTACAAGAGAACAGCATGATGGCAAAATGTTCCCCAAGCACAGGTCCTGGGTTCGTGAGAAGGGACCAACCCCACAATATACTGAAGCATGTAAACAAAGTGCGTGCTACTTAATTTAGGTTAACAAATCCTTTTTGCATCAGTATTACTTGTAAACCATAAAGCAACTTTTAAAAAGAAAGGTTATTAATTAAAAATTACTTCTGACTGCTAAATTTCTTATCAGCAAGTGAACAGAAAATTATTCCACAAAACAAACTAGTACCTTTGGACCACAGGATGTGAGACGTGACATTTCAATGAAATCAACTTAGCACGACTTCTCTACTATCCTACTGAACTTGGGGAGTACAATTTTACAAGTTGCAGCCTTCTAGCACTTCCAATATTTTGAACTTTCTAAACCTGCCTATTTAGCTATGATTTTCATTGCAAATCCCTGTTTTTCAGTAGTAGGACTTTATTAAAGATAGGATAATATCACACACAATACAATCTTCACTGAATATGTGTCTAAGCAGACCTACTTGGAATTCTACTAGATAATAAAGTTGCAGGATTTAAAAGAAATACTATTCTGCAGGTCCCATGTCAGAAAACACAGATATGTTCAACAGATTGGTGTGGTATTTATATGGTATTCGTGGCATTTTCCTTATAGTATTCAAAGCATCAAAATGACAAATCAAGACTGTTAAAAACCAGTCTTGGACAAGGGTGACAGTCACATACTCGAGGGTCCAGCACAACACTGGCATGAGCCAACAGGAGCCACGCCGGCCACCTGCTGGGCCAGGGACCACTGCAAAGAGCAGCCCTGAATTTGGGAGGGTCAAATCGAATTTACAAATCTTGTTTTCAGGAATTTCCTTGATAGTTCTCTTTCATGGCAGAAGACCTATACCCGTGATGGAAAACAAAAGAATGTACACATTTCTAGTGTGTCATGAATGGGTCTCACTCACAGATAGGTACAGACATCACTGTCACTGCTAACACACAATGAAGTCTGCCTACGCCTACCTGAGGAGCATCCGCGATACCGTTTCTGATGAGGACAGGACTCTGCGGAGGTGGGCAGAGCAGGGGGTGCTTTTGTCAGCTCTGCTGGTCACTTCCAGGCTGCTGGTACACACCCCAACAGTGGCTGCAAAGATTGTTCAAAACTTCTGCTGAGGCCACAATGATTACGGGATGGTTGTCACAATTCACAAAAGGTATGATACAAAAAACAAAGGGTATCACCATTACGTCGCCGGCGAACTGAAGGGGTACAAGACCGAGGAACCAAACACAAGCTGAATTCAAAACGAAAAGAACCCCAGTGGCAGAAAAAGCCACGAATTATTTAATGAAGCAAGTTGTGCTAATAAACAGCCTGTGCTTTTCTTAACTGAAGGTCACTTGATACATTTCCCAACACACAATTTTTATTCAGATTATCTTTGTTTTCATGGAGAGCCTGAATTTTGAGGTACGATCTAGGAAAAAGATGTTATCACCCACACAAATGGAAGGCTCACTTCTTTACTTCTTAAGCTGATGATACCCTTTTGCCCGCCCCATGTACCAGATCCTACATGATTTTTTAAAATAAAACATAAGTCAATTTCAATGAGCATATGCTAGACTAACAATAAATTTATTTTTTGGAGTTTCTTTTGAAGCACAAATTCCTTTTAAAAAAAATATGAAAAGGTGGTCTCTCCTGGAAACAAGCAGTTCTAGTTTCCGATCCCACAACGATTTGGAACATAGTGTGTTTTTAAGTCAGAGCTGAAGAGGAAAGAAGGAAACAAGGGCTGCGCTCCGCTCTGGCGAATGCGAGCTGCAAAGGGACAGAGGAGGACCCACACGGAGGGTCCCCACCCGGCTCTGCGGACAGACATGGCAGAGGGCCTGTCACACAAGAGGCCACCGGGCCGAGCACGTCCGGGAGCCTGGGGCTGCACTGGGTGCTGAGGTAGTGAGCGGGGCCTGTGCCTGCCTGCCCTCCCGGCTTGGAGGGGGAGCCCTGAGGGCCTCTGGGGCTGGCCTGGAAGGTGTCATTCTAGCCTACAGGTGCCTAAGGCGCTGGGATGTGTCCTTGGCGGTGCCTCAGAAGGCACCTGGGTCCAAGTTCTGACCTGGAGCCTTGGGGACAGATCTGACTCTCACAGCCAGGGCCAGCTGGTTGTGGAAAGTGCTAGTATGCAGGTCTGCTCAGGGATCTGTGAGGCTCATGCTCTGGCCATTATGTGGTCTGAAGAACCAGAAGGGCTATTCTCCTCGCCCCCAACAACCCGCCCCAACTGCACCTTTCTTTTCCTTTTTATTTTGGATACATAATTCAAGCAGTAAAAAAACCAGGCTGGAAGAGGGTTGGGACAGAGGAGCAGAGGGCAGGGTGGGAAAGCTATCCCAAGAAGAGTGAGTAAAAACAACGACTCCGAACATGGCCAAAATACCCTTCCTCCACCTTGACGGCAATCCCTAAGCTGGCAGAGAAAGATGCGCCGACTGCGAAGTGCCTGTTTTCTCAGAGATTCCACCTAGCAGTGTCCATGGGGAGCCACAGTGGAACATGGAGAGAACAATCAAGGCTGGTTCAAACGAAAGGTTATTCACCAGTGAAAGAAACGGGGAGAAGACACAGCCGGCTAGCTCTGAAGACATGGTGTGCATCCCAGCCTATAAATCTCTAATGATCTTGATCCCGTGTTTCCCCTATTTCTGAGCAGACCTTTTTTTTTAATTTTTTATTTTTTTGTGAGACAGAGTCCCCCTCTGTCGCCCAGGCTGGAGTACAGTGGCACAATCCTGGCTCACTTCAACCTCTGCCTCCTGGGGTCAAGTGATTCTCCTCCCTCAACCTCCCGAGTAGCTGGGATTACAGGGGCCCACCAACACACTCGGCTAATTTTTGTATTTTTAGTAGAGACGGGGTTTCACCATGTTGGCCAGGCTAGTCTTGAACTCCTGACCTCAAGTGATCCACCTGCCTTTGCCTCCCAAAGTGCTGGGATTACAGGCGTGAGCCACTGCACCCGGCCTGAGCAGATCAAAAACAAGGCAAGAGGGGTCAGGACACACAGGCAGAGGCTCGTTCCCTCTCCTTCCAGAGCTGAGAATAAAACTGCAGTAGACTTTCACCAGGGAGGAGGACAAGACAAAACCATGACAACAATCAGGTCCCTTGGTGACGACGTGCCCCATCAGCAAGGCTACCCACCTACGGAGTGGGAAGGTTGCCGTGCCAACCTCCCCTAGGGCAGGAGAAACAACTGGCATATGTTCAAATGATCAATATCCCACCCCCCGCAACAAAACTTTTTTCTGAAATTTCATATAGCAACGTGCTTTCTTGAACCGAGACGTAAGACTTTACATTTAGCCATTACACTATGAAGAGTATTGCAGATCTAACACCCAACACATCTTGCCCAGCACTCTTCTTTGCCTTCTATATTTTTATTCAAGTTATGGATACAAATGTCAAACAGGATGCTGCTAGAGTAGCTCACCTTAAGTGATCTTGCCAAAGATCCGTTCTTGCCAACACTGTCTGAACCTGGCTATTCAGCCGACTTCTCGGTCCTTTGTTAAATCCTACTTCTACTTCCCTTTCTTTCTTTTCTTTTGAGATGGAGTTTAGCCCTTGTTGCCCGGCTGGAGTGCAACGGCACCATCTCGGCTCACCGCAACCTCCGCCTCCTGGGTTCAAGAGATTCTCCTGCCTCAGCCTCCCGAGTAGCTGGGATTACAGACATGTGCCACCATGCCCGGCTAATTTTGTATTTTTAATAGAGACGGGGTTTCTCCACGTTGGTCAGGCTGGTCTCAAACTGCCGACCTCAGGTGATCTGCCCGCCTTGGCCTCCCAAAGTCCTGGGATTACAGGCGTGAGCCACCGCGCCCGGCTGTTCTACTTCCTTTTCACATTCAGAGATCAAGAATGACTTTATCAAATGTCTTATTGAAATCAAGACAAGCTGAGCACATTATATACTCCTACCTCTGCCAGTCTCATAACCTAACCAGGAAAAGAAGTGTATGATACCATAGAAGGATTAAGTAGTTCACTGTTTGTACCACTTTGTTAAATAACCTTCTTTATGCAAAGGTACAAAAGTTCCACACACACAGACACATGCACAAACACACATGCACGTACACACAAGTACTTGTAACACATATTTGTTTGTTTTTAAGTTTCATGTAACATCCAAGTTAAGAAAGCACAGTTAGGTCTACTGGTCTAAAACAGAGATCTAGGAATTATCTCGTTTCTTTGACCAATACAGATTACTACCTTTGCTATTTCAATGAAAAAAAAGGAAAATTCAACTTTAGTAAAGAGTTTTAAGTATTATTAGAGAATTTCACTGGGCAAATTCTAAACAGAGGGTTATTTATAACAAACTCTAAGTATTCTAAACACATATTTTGGGCTGTTTCAGCTATCTAGAATTGTGTTGAATTTAAATACTAGAGATGTAGATGGAGAGAGGTGATATGGGTCTAGAAAGCAAATCATTTTCTGGCTGGATGCTCACACCTGTAATCCCAGCACTTTGGGAGGTTGAGGCAGGCGGATTGCCTGAGCTCAGGAGCTCGAGACCAGCCTGGGCAATATGGTGAAACCACACCTGTTCTAAAAATACAAAAAATTAGCTGGGCATACTGGTGTGCACTTGTAGTCCCAGCTACTTGGCAGGCCGAGGCAGGAGGATCCCTTGAGCCTGGGAGATGGCGCCACTGCACTCCAGCCTGGGTGACGGAGCGAGACTCCATCTCAAAAAAAAAAAAAAAAAAAAGTATTTTATGAACACCAACTTCTAATACATTTACTTGTATATCATGTGGCAGCAGACGTGAGAATGTGGAAAGCTATAAGGCCTGGGACACTCAGTGCAGGCAGCCTTGGCCTCATCCACAGGGCCTCCCACCACCCCATGTTGAGAGGTGACATAATCATGGTGGCAGCAACAGTGGTCACTGCACACAAGGCACTCTCCCAGCTGCTTACAGTCATCACCCAGTTAATCCTCACAACAACCCGCAGAGGTGAGTCCTCCTGCTATTCTTCTTCCACATAAGAAACGGAGCCTTGGGAGCCTTAAGAGCTTCCCAAGTCACAGAGTAGTAAGTGTGGCAGAAGCCCCCAAGCCCAGATGCACCTGCCACCAAGGCCTATGCTCTCAACCACTGGGTTTGTAAGGAAAGTATATAAAGATGATTGCCTGAAAATAATTAAAATAACAAAGTTTGGGGTTTAAGTTAAAGGAATAAGCCTTTGTTCTCATGGAAATCACTTCCAGGAAATGTCTCATGTCCTGAGCTAAGTCAGTCTCATGTCCTGAGCTAAGTCAACAGGGTGCTAACAGATTGTCATTGGAGGAGAAGCTTTGTCATTCTACTATTGAAAGCAAGCCCTTTACTCTGAAAAGCACAAGCATAAAAATTAAATCTTATTAATACACAACGACAGTTAAACTTGGCTATACTTGGTACAACTTAAGCACCAGATTTTACCTGGTGCTTAAGTTATACCAAATATGCCAGGCTTTTAGAAATGGGCATAACTCTTTTGGCCACGGCATCACTGAACTCCTCCATTTAAGTAGAATGTGTACAACTGTGCCCTGAAACTGGGCCATTATTACAAGATCTCCCGAGAGGAAGAGTCTTGCCTACAACTGGTGAGCCTCCTCATCTTCTTCCTCCTGACTTGGTGACCAGGCAAGCTGACAGACACTAGGGAGGATGGAGGCGACCACGTGTGGAGTGCAGAAGGCGCATACCGGAGGAAGGTGAGGGATGTTCCACAGATACATGGAACAAATCACATCATTCATGATTTTCAGTATCATCCAACTCTATATAGTTCTGCCAACCTCAACTCTGCACTGAGGAAACACTTTAAGTGAGGAGGATCTTAGCAATGAGTAGATTTTCATCAAAATTAAAGATTTCTGGGAAACAATAGCACCTTATAAGAAATGAAAAAAATAGTATCCTCAAGCACCCAAATCCCAAATACTGGGTCAGATGACAGATAGACACATTTTCTTGTCTGATGCTAACAAGAATGGAAATCGAGCCCCCTGTTTTACACAGCAGTGGCGTTTAAATAGACTACTTTTCTGCATTATGAAAACAGCCTTTTAAAGACTCTTTAAAGTTCAAGTTGAGTTTCAAGTAATCAGTTTGCAGCAACTCTAGGAGAATTATTATTCCTCCTGGTTGTAAGTGCTTTTTTTTCTTTTCTTTTTTTTTTTTTTTTAAGTAGTAAAATGGAAAACAGGCCTTAGAGAATTGTATTCCTCAAGGCCTCTGACTGCCTGCTTCCAAGCTTTTGTTAAAGAACAGAATGTGTTGAATTCTTCTCAATTGGCAGGGGATCAAGCACAATACTACATAATGAGGTAGCTGAGAACAGAGTTTTTCCTATAAACACAAAGAACAACTGAATAAGTGCATGTAATTCTCATCCAATTAAACAGGAAACATGATAAAGCAAGTTAGTACAGTTGTATTTAAACCAAGTTGACTGGTATAACTTGAAAAAATTTAACCCAAGTTTCTAAGGTATGCCTTATTCATAACTGATGAGTAAAAACAATAAAAATAAGGTACCCAAACCTATTACTTGTAATGAAATGCTAAAAATAAGATCCTAATAAATATAATTCACCAACCAGAAGACAGATGAACCTCCGTTTGGGATGTGAATGATTTGAAATGGCCGTTCATTTACGTGGATCCTATTCAGTGTCTACTCGTTCACTTCATCTTAAGGCCGTGTGTCCCCCGGACTCTGTGTGTTGCCATCCTTTTCCACCTGTTCCTTCTCTAATTCATATCACGACTGTACAATTTCTGGTTTTCTTTCAATGTGTGCACAGAAGGAAGCTCAACAACTTTGTTGAGCCAGGAAGAAATTATTATCAACATTTATAATCAGGCCAAATTTCAGCTGAGTAGTGACTTTAAAAGAATTAGTTTTAATCTCAAAATAAAAAAAAAAAAAGAGGGCAGGCGAGGTGGCTCACACCTGTAATCCAGCACTTTGGGAGGCTGAGGCGGGCGGATCACGAAGTTTAGGAGATCGAGACCATGCTGGCTAACATGGTGAAACCCCGTCTCTACTAAAAACACAAAAAATTCGCCGAGTGTGGTAATAAGCACCTGTAATCCCAGGTACTGGGGAGGCTGAGGCAGGATGATTGCTTGAACCCAGGAGGCGGAGATTGCAGTGAGCCGAGATCGCACCACTGCACTCCAGCCTAGGCGACAGAGCGAGACTCCGTCTCAAAAAAAAAAAAAAAAAAAAAAAAAAAAGAGAGGGCAACAGTCATTTCTGACTAAATAATTATATAATGTAGTTTTATTTATTTGATGTTTAATTTCATGAAAAGGGGAAGGGGTTTAAAAATCCAATCACTTAGAGAATTTCAATGACAGAACTGAAAAAGAACAAACTTTCTACGGAGCGTGGTGGCTCATGCCTGTAGTCCCAGCTGGGTCTCCACATCTGAGGCCAGGAGTTTAAGATCAGCCTGGGCAACAGAGCAAAACCCAGTTTCTAAAAGAAATTTAAAAAAATAAAATAAAATAAAAAAGAATAAACTTTCCTAAACTGTATACATTAGACCAAACCATCTGGAAGTATGATTTAATTCCTCAGATGTCACATAAATGGAACTATTACAATGAGACAATATTGAAATATGTTTAAAATGGAAATAATAATAGGGTTCCTTCTGAAAAACACAAAACTTTACCAAGTTTTACCAGCTAACTTGCAAAAAATATAGAAAATGCCTAGCAGTCAATACCACTGAGACTTAACTGCCAGCAGGCATGACAGACACTCAATCCAAGTCTGTGTTATCAAATATGGGCAAATGGGCCCCTTCTCATCCTTATACTATGAATTTCTGTAATTTCTCAAAACTACAGACAGAGTAAAGAGTATTTCAAGAATTATTAAAAGCTATCAAAATACTTTCCTCAACATTCTAAGACATAGTTTATTTTCCCTTACTAATTACATGGAATAAGAGAGGGAAGTATACATGAAGCTCTTTGAAATAAAAAAACAGTTTCTCTTTCAAAGAAACTTTCTTCTGTTCTTACGACCTTAGTAAATAAATTCTTAACCTTCCTATAGCTAACTAACAAAGAAAATCAAAGATCTTTCAGCTTATGCCTGTGCAACTAGCAAAGGACATGTTTGGGAGCGTAAATTGTATTAATACTAAAAATGATTATTCTATTACTAAAAATACTTGTATGCCTAGAAAAATCAAGTTCCAGCCTCACTGGCTGACTGGTGAGCTGATAATCCAAAGACCTGGCTTCTGCTTTTGGTTCTTGCTCCTCCCTAAAGTGAGAAATGAAGCCATATCTATCAGGCCTCCAAGATTACCCTGGTACAATGGGGAGAGTGCCCTGCCTATTCCAGAGGTGTGAGGATCAAAGGGGTATGTCCTGGAAAGATTTTGACACCCATATAAAAAGCAGTCAATAAAGCCCAATACTAAACATGATCAACATTATAAGCTGTGCTGAGTCTATAGAGGGTCTCATAGTCCCATATAGAGGGTACAATCAGAAGACTGTACATCATGTACATCAGGCACTTGGCATTGTTTATGCTATACTAGTTTCAGCTCCATATAGGAGGCCGGCCCATGCTAGTTTCAGCTCCGTATAGGAGGCCAGCCCATATGGGTACAAAGTTTCTCACTGAAAACCCAGTAAAATCAGTCACTCTTGGAGTGCCCTTTTCAACAGAAGAACATTACTTTGATCACAAGAATCTTATATTTATTTGTCAAATGTTTATTGCCTACCTACTCTGTGCAAGCACTGAGACTGGCAGATGACAAAGACGGGGCCCTTGCCCGTTCCATAGTGGGTTTATGACCTTGAGTAGGAGAGTGGTGTGACCTCTGCCTCACTGTTCAGCTCCCAGGATGGCAAGCACAGTTCCTAGTGGGTGCTCATCAGACATGTGTTGGCTGACCCAAGGCGGGTTTTGCTACACTCAGCTGCTCTCTTCTCACTGACTTCCTGGACTCCAGTGCTCAGTGAGCAGCCAGTGGAAAAGGGCCGCCTCACCTTTCCCTTCCACCAGGTGTTTTTAACGGGGTTCCGGCATCTTTAAATTGATACAGTCAAAGCGCCACCTCATTCTTCCCCCATTTAACCAAAGGTCTTCATCTGACCACGGGAGGCCTCTTGAATCATGAACGCCAACATTCTGGAAGGGGATACTGCGGTGTTTCTAGCACTCCTTGGAAGGTTTTTGGAATCCCTGGTTTGGTACACTGAGGTAGGAATGTACCAAAGGGAACTCTAATGGACCACAGCAGCTAAGACATTTCTCTAGAAATGAAACTTAACTACCCATGAGTAACTTAGGTGCCATAGCAAAGCCAGTCCTCTCTTTACCACGTTTGTACAAAGAATGTATTTCCTATGCATTGACTAGGGAATCCCCCCAACTCATAAATTATAAAAATGACACTTCCAAGCCATCAATGAAGGAAGTGTCATCATTAAAGTGGTAGTGCAATATAACAAAGTGTTTACAAACAAAACACCATCCAACATACCCCCAAATGCTCCTTTTTGGTTGTTATACAGTTTGAAAAAAGCCTACAGTTAGCTATCAATTCCTTACAGCAATGAAGTACTAAGCTAAACAATGCATTCAGAAATTTCTTAGGCCAAATCCTGACAGTATACCAACTACGAGTTGGTAAACACTGTTTTTAATCCTGCTGAAGAAGAGAAACGCGAACACCAAGTAAAACTTACTATAAACTACAAATATTTCAATATTTACACTCAATATGAGTTCGACACAGTAGTATAAACTGAAGGTCAACAG